>NC_000023.11:97462542-98087542 GCF_000001405.40 Homo sapiens
ATATTTTCAGGGTGCTAATTATAGAATATGCTCTAGAGTTTGGTTAGCTTTGTAAGAGTAGAAGACCTTTGTAAAGAACGTTTTCACATTTTAATTGGAAGAATGTAGGCTTAAGCTATTATCTGTCATGTTAAACAAAAGGAATCCGATGATGCTCAATGGATATAGAATGATTAATTACTCATTCTTAAGACCTGTGCCATTTAGTTCCTGGTGATAAGATGGTGATAAAGCACTTTTTACCCAGAAAGAGAGAAATGAGAGTATTGTGATGACCATGCTGCAACAGAGTGTGAGAACACTTAAAAAAAAAAAAAGTTTGAAATGAGAAGCATCTGGGACCTCCCTTCTATGCTGTTGTGTATGTAATTGCTTTTAATTTTGTACAAAAAGTTAAGGTACTATTAATAAGCATTTTACTTCATTGAGTGTCTTCTGATTACAAGGAACAAAAAGCTATTTAAACTGGGTGTTCATTGAACAGATACAGAGAGGCTCAAGGGAATTCAGGGCAGGATGTATTATACACCTAGACCTAGAGCCCTGGAAATGGGATCTTTGCTCTCCTTTCAAGGTGGCTCTGTGGTCCTTCACATCATGAGTTCATGGGCCTTTAATCTAGTGCTTGAAACGAGACTTCACTTATCCTCATCTAACTGCTCCTTCTACCTCCTGACAAAGATTCTTGGGTCCCAATTCTATGTTCCTGTGACAGGAATGTTATCTGAATCCTTTTTTTTTTTTTTTTGCACCAGGCCCCAAGTCTTTGACAAGCCTAGGATGGTTCCCCTGTAGGTCGGGGTCCTTCCCTGATTCAATCAGCTATTACCATTTTATTTATTTGTTTATTTTTATTATTATTTTTTTGAGACTGAGTCTCACTCTGTCACCAAGCTGGAGTGCAATGAGGTGATCTCGGCTCACTGCAACCTCTGCCTCCCGGGTTCAAGCGATTCTCCTGCCTCAGCCCCCCAAGTAGCTGGGACTATAGGCACACACTACCACACCTGGCTAATTTTTGTATTTTTAGTAGAGACAGGGTTTCACCATGTTGGCCAGGCTGATCTTGAACTCCTGACCTCAGGTGATCTGCCCACCTCAGCCTCCCAAATGCTGGGATTATGCTCCCGGCCTCTACTATTTGTATTATATAATAACAAATTTAATCCTCACAAAAATCCTATTAGGTTAAGTACTATTACTATATTCCCTTTTATAGTGGGGGAAACTGAGGCAAGGAGAGGTTAAGTAACATTTCCAAGGTTATGTAACTCCAGGGTCTGTGATGAGTTAGGAGATCTGGTTTCTAATGCTTGACCCATCACTGTGCGAATGACTTGAAGTGAATCACTTAATCTCCCTGGGCATTCAGCCATTCCATGAACAGTTTAAAAATTGTTTTTCTAATTTTTTTTATTGACAAACTAAAGGGAGGAATCAGGTCCACTGCCACATTGTCATAGGCACTGCTTGGTTGTATGGAACAGAAATCTACATAAGGTAGCTTGAGTGAAGGGGTATTTATTTAAGGATGTGATAAGCAACCTTGTGGACATCCAAGGATAGGAAACAACAGTGAGACCACAGAGTGTCTTAGGCTGGAACCAAAATGGAAAAGTTAGAAATATAAGTTGCTCTCAGGCCGGGGGTGGTGGCTCATGCCTGTAATCCCAGCACTTTGGGAGGCCGAGGCGGGCAGATCACAAGGTCAGATCGAGACCATCCTGGCTAACACGGTGAAACCCCATCTCTACTAAAAAAAAAAAAAAAAAAAAAAAAAAAAAATTAGCCGGGCATGGTGGCACACACCTGTAGTCCCAGCTAATCAGGAGGCTGAGGCAGGAGAATGGCATGAACCCAGGAGGCGGAGCTTGCAGTGAGCCCAGATCGCGCCATTGGTTTCCTTTGTTTGAACATGACTGCCACAACTATGATACAGTATGTTGCTTACTTCAAGTGCCTATCTTTATGTGACATGGGTCTCTCCAAGTTCAGATTCTTGTGACAGAATCTGACTGATCCAGCTAGCCTGTGAATTTGTTTCCCTTAAGTCAGGTGTTCATTCTGTGGCCAATCAGCCAGAGCAGAGATAAGATCACATGGTGATAGGACTGTCACCTTTTCCAGGCACTTGATGAAAGAGCAGATTCTCTGAGAAGGGTATGGGAAGGGCTGGCAAATAGACTGATGTTTGCTACACCCATAATCCTAGCACTCTAACACAATTTTAAAGCATATTGTGTATTTCTCCATAGATCATCATTTTGGCTACATAAATATATATATATGTATGTTTTTGTTGTTGTTGTTTTGTTTTGTTTTTGAGACGGAGTTTTGCTGTTGTTGCCCAGGCTGGAGTGCAATGGCACAATCTTGGCTCACTGCAACATCTGCCTTCTGGGTTCAAGCAATTCTCCTGCCTCAGCCTCCCAAGTGCTGGAATTACAGGCATGCACCACCACGCCTGGCTAATTTTGTATTTTTAGTAGAGACAGGGTTTCTCCATTTTGGTCAGGCTGGTCTCGAACTCCTGACCTCAGGTGATCTACCCTCCTCGGCCTCCCAAAGTGCTGGGATTACAGGCATGAGCCACCGCGCCCGGCCATGGCTACATAAATATTTTTTAAGCACTTCACTGTATACCAGGGACTTTACTAGGACTACACTAGCTTCAGGCCCTCCATTTCCTAATTTGTAAAATGAACTATCCTGTCTTGCTTTAGAATTCACCCACACACACACACACACACACGTTTATGCGTTTATCTATATTATACTGAATACAATTGTCCTTTCATATCCGTAGATTCTACATTCATGGATTCAATGAAAGGCATATCGAAAATATTTTTAAAAATGACATCTGTACTAAACATGCACAGACTTTTTTCATGTCCCCTAAACAATACAGTATAACAACTTTTACATAGCATTAACATTTTATTAGGTATTTTAAGTTGTCAAGAGATGATTTTAAGTATACGGGAGGATGTACATAGGTGATATGCAAATACTATGCCATCTTATATAAGGAACTTGAGCATCTGCTAATTTTCTGGTTTCTGAAGGAAGTTCTGTAACCAATTCCTCATGGATACCTAGGGATGATGGTATATTGCCTTTGTTACCAAACCAACCGGAATTTTGTTTGTTTGTTTGTTTTGAGGTGAAGTTTTGCTCTTGTTGCCCAGGCTGGGGTGCAATGGTGCAATCTCGGCTCACTGCAACCTCCAACTCCTGGGTTCAAACGATTTTCCTGCCTCAGCCTCCCAAGTAGCTGGGATTACAGGCATTCACCATCACACCTGGCTAATTTTGTATTTTTAGTAGATATGGGGTTTCACCATGTTGGTCAGGCTGGTCTCGAACTCCTGACCTCAGGTGATCCACCCACCTCAGCCTCCCAAAGTGCTGGGATTACAAGCATGAGCCACCACGCTTGGTCCCAGCCAGAATTTATTTATCCAAATGAATGTTGTGCAGTACCCTGAATTTGAGCTAGAGAAGAAATTCAGTATAATTTCTTCAGTTACATCTAGTGTTTAACCAAACTTTAGTATTACCCAGGTTACTTATTGATTTGGCTCTGAAATATTTGTTTTGTAAAACAAATCTATTAAAAGTCAAAGACTTGCTGTCATCAAAACTATTTAAAAGGCTGTGAGGCCTACTGTAAAGATATCCCAAAGAAGGACTTCACAAATGTTTTTTGCCAATGATAGAATCATTCCTTAATTCTGTAGCTCCTAAAGTAACTACCTTGAAGAGCACGGATCTTACCAACATATGTAGGTTGTTTAAAAAATCATTCATATTATGTACAGAATCAAAGATTTAAAAAAGTATACAAGATACAAATACCCAGTTAAATCTATAGTTAGGCATTTGAGACTTAAAAAACAATTTGGTGGGACTCTTTACTGAAGTATTAAAAAACAGAATTCTATCTCACATCTATTTCACCTACTGTGACCCAGTATCTAAATATGTCAGTATACTTCTCTTCTTATGCTCACATAGGAAAAAATTGGATTGAAATGCTTAGGACACACTGGAAACTAGATGAATTTAGAGCTTTTAGAGGAAAAACACCTTGCCACAGATCTCCCCTGAACCAGCCAAGTTAATTAATCTTGGTTTTTGTTGTTGCTCTTGCTGTTGTTTTACCATAGTTATGCAAAAGTAATGCTGCAAGTACAGACCAAAGCCCCAGAGGAGGTAGTTGAAGTTCAGCAAAATAGATTTACCAAATCCATTTGTGTTTGCCTGGTTTTATGTTGGCATTTAGAGTCTATCTTTATTTTGGTAGCTTTGTAGCCTGAGAGTGAGAGAGAATATATGTGTATAGGTATGTTTATATGTATTGCTGACAAATTCAAAGACATTTGATTAAATATGCTTTATGTAAGAAGTGAAAAGTATTGTGTATATTTTTTCTTTTTCTGTGGATTACAATATCTTCATTTCTGTGGTTACTTTTTGCAAAAGATTAGTCCAGATTCATCACTCTAGTTTCTAAGAGGAATGAAAGACAATTTAAAGCTAAATTCAAATTCTATGTAAGTAGTATAATCTGATGAACACACCCTTTTATCCCAAATTTAGAGCAACAAATGTTTTATTTAATTTGAGAATATGAGATAGGAAAAGTCCATCATAAAAGTGGTTTCAGAAGCTCAAAATGTTAACTATAGCTTCCATGCGTTACAGTCCCGTGATGCTCATTTAATTCTAAAGTAAGTCACTGTTGTTTCTAGAAAACTAGTCATAGTTAGACTAATTCCTTTTTGTTGTTGTTCAAAGATTTGAAATAAATGCACAAAGTCTTCCTTCTTTGTAGTAGACTAGTATCCTGGTTTCTGCATTTTTCCTGAGGAATTATACTTTAAGACCTAAGATAAACAATGTAGAAGAATCCTCTAAATGTGACTTGTGGATTCCCTTTGTACAGGACATATTCTTTGGTGTTAATCATGATCCTGAATCATTCCTGCCCCAGCCTTTTGTCTCATCTTCCCTATTGTACATTTACAAATTGGCCCTAATGGGTAAGAAAGAAACAGACAACTAAAATAGCTATAAGATGAACAGCAGTTTTTTAAAAAACTTTAAAATATTTTTCACACTCTACAGGGGAATAAGCAGATAATTTGCATATACACTTGTGGCTCTGTGATGTTTTCATATACCAGAATTTAACACCTTTGCAAAATCCTAGCAGAGACCATGGGGATACACAATTAGATGCTTAATCTAAACCTGGAACAATGTGATTTGGGCTGATTTGCAGAGAGACTGTAAAAGCTGAAAAATCAGTTTGACAACGTTCCTGCTGGGATTGGCCTGCAATAAATGTTTGCAGTGGTATTTGGAGGCCATGCCAGTTTATTCAGATCACTGGGGCTTAGGAGATGATGCCTACAGTAAAACTTGAGTTCACTGCTTATCAGGGAATGTGTGAAGGCTCCCAGGCTGAAGGTTCATTAGGTCAGTATGTAAGAGCTGTCAATCAGACCAAGCTGTCAGGGGAATACTTTTTTAAAAAACAAACAGAAGTAAAATTTTTCTACTTAGGATTTTTCCACATTGCATCCCTTCTGCCATCATATCGTCCATACAAGAGACAGCCCTTGTGAGAGAGTAGAATATTAGCCCATTGTAATGTTCCGAATGTCAGCCTTTGGCCACCATCACCTATGAGCACGGCTGCTGCTCTTAGTAATCATTGTGGTCACTTAGGATGAATGGGATAGAATGGTTGTCCAAAGTACATAAGTCTTTAAGGAGTTAAGGACTTGCATCATATTCATTAGCCCCAGTATTTTACCACTGTGATGGAAACATAGAAGGTGCTCAGATGTTTATTGATCTCAACATCAAGAACAGAAACTACTATATGAATCTAGCATACATATGGCCTTTACCGCCCCATTTCCCATTCTTGGCTTTAACAAAATTTGACAAAATTATTTCCTGTATTTCTTCCATATTGTCAAGCGTGTATTGTTTTATAGCTAGAAAACCTATTATTTAGGTTTGATTTTGGTGTATTTACTGATTGAGCATGACTAGAAGAATATTCGAAAGGTCTTTGTGAAAAAAAAAAAAAAAAACATCGTATTACTTGTAAAGGAAGCCAAGAAGGTTTGGAGGTGCACCGTTTATTAGGTTTTGTGTGAACATTTAACACTAAAACATTAGTTAATATATATTAACCATTTAGATGATTGTAAAACATTATATCCATGTGGCAAGTCACTAAATCAAAACACAGGTAACTGGAACAGACTGACAGAAAACACAGTTGGCCTCATCAGATACATAGAAACCATAGTAGGATGACCAAGATAAACAGTATAGCTATGAAAACATCAAGTTGATGATAGCATAGACTCTAATTATTATCATCGATAGAATGTGAATGTATAATAAAGTGAATTATATAGTTTTTGTTTAACTCTTGTTTTAATTAGCACCAGATTCAGCTACAGTTGTATTTATGAATCTATGTTAATTTCTAATAATTAGAATGAATTACTTCTTCCTAAGATAATACTCTTCCTAGAATGGAAATTTAGAAAATATACTCTATTAAATATCAGTTGATTTTCTTTCCAGGTGGCATCCATTAGGACAAACATTATGAAAAGGCCACTGACCAAAATGTTGATTTCCTAGCTGACACCTGGAAGAAAAATAAACTTATGTTTAATGGAATAGACTGTCTAAATCCCTGTTTTGAGAAGAGTTCACATTCATGAATATGTATTCATTGCTGAATTCAATAGATTCGAGTAGTGAAGGACATCCGTATCATAGAAAGTCGCATCTATTCATTAACTTACAACTTTCCAAAGAAACAAGCAAGAATGCAGCTTGAGATGGAGTGCTGGCAATACGCAGTTCATTCCTTTATTATGTGACACGTTTATCATGACCTGCATGATAACTAATGAAATAAATATGAGATTTGTGTATTATCTGTGGCCTAATTTGTTGAACTTCTCATTTTAAGTTACAGTAGCACAATCCTAAATCAGTATTATAAATGAGCTGTTTATGGTTTTGTCTTATTCAGTGTTCTAGGTGCATTATGTTTTTTTATTTATACATTTCAAATAATTTTTCTCTTTATTTCTTCTTTTCTGCAGTGGTAAATCATCCCTGTGCAACAAGGGCTAATCCAAGATCAGCTACATAAACGGCCTGAGTGCTGTTTTAAACAGGATTGGGTGATGGTACAACATGACTTTTTAAGATAATCAAGTAGTAAAAGTTTCTAGTGGAAACATGATATTCATTTTGTCTGGTGCTCTTTTCTTTCTGCCTAAGGCTTTCTGATAAAATTTATGCTATATGCCCCTTAATACCGATTTCATGATGGTTAACCATATCTATGCCTGGAAAGAAAATATAGACTTGGGAAGAAAACAGATATATAGTCTACAATGAATATTTCTAGCTTGCATTCAAGATGACTGTGTTGTGCAGAACATTCTGCCAGGCATTAAGTGGGATACAAAAGCAGTCTAACATATGATCTCTGTCCTATGAATGTGTTTTTAAAATGTATACTAGTCATTATTGGAGTGACTATTATATAAAGACAAAAGCCACTAGGGTAGCCATGGTTTTTTGCCAGTTATTAGCCATATATAGTGCGTGCATGCACACATACACACACACATACATATATGTAATATATAATTTTAGTATATTTAAATTAATCCATATTTTCAAGAACTTCATTAACTTGAACACTCAGAAATACCCTGAGTGTTTTAAGACATAATTGCAAATAACTCATGTAATGCGTATATTTTTATATCTTTGCATGTATGAAGTTTATACATTCAGGCTTGTGCAAATGTGTTTATATCATTTGCCTAAGCCCTTGATTATTTACATGTTCCTATGTGGGATCACAGTCCTTCAGATATGAATCATAGCACAGTGATTTCTTTACATATTCGTATTCTACTATTGAGATACTTTAAGAATCCTGTGAGTTGTGTACCTGGAAATATAAAATTGATATTATTATTAATCCATTCAGAAATCATATTGGGCAATAGCACTACTACATGTACATTTAGTAGCAAACATAGATAGAATATTTGGAGATAATGAAGATTTCAATACTGTGTTAAGAAAAAAAAAAAAAACAACCACGCAAGAGACTCGGCTCTTGGCTCTCAGCTCCAAAGCATGTGAAATATTCAACTTAATAAGAACATAACTGCAGGAAGCACTTCTAGGTCATGGGAGTTGCTATGCACAAAAGAGGTATGGTTGTTCTAGCTCAGAGAAGCTTCCACATATATTATTTATTGAGGAAGCCTCATTTTAATGCTGTATAGAGAAGCCCGAATGACATACTCTTCACAAGTGGCAGTATTGGTATTACAGCATTCCAAGGGTGTGAGACTTAGTTTGGAAATGAACTGAGAAAAAGCAAATAATATTTCTTAACTATTGTAGAAAATGGAGGTGTCGCTAGGAAAATTATATTTTCCTCTGGTCTTTCTCACCATTTATTTATTCCGCTCACCAAGGACCCTGGCTTTTGAGGAGAGGTCCATGGCTGAGAGAACATTAAAAGGAAAGAGTGAAAGTGGAGAATGCAGATGCATATTTGGATTCAGGAGGAAGGGGAGGTTCAACAGGTGCCTTCTATAGCAGAGTTGGTTGTTAAGTCACACTACCCACAACATGCTACCCACAATAACCACAGAAGAAAGGTTACACATACATAGGTCTGTTCTCCCTTTTATGCTCACTTACCACACAAATGACATCTTTGTGCCTGTTGTTCGGGGTCATTGCCTAAAAAAGTTGAGTTGAAACTGGCAATGAAGAAAGAATGGGCCGGGCATGGTGGCTCACGCCTGTAATCCCAACACTTTGAGAGGCCAAGGCGGGCGGATCACCTGAGGTCAGGAGTTCAAGACCAGCCTGGCCAACATGGTGAAACCCCGTCTCTACTAAAAATACAAAAAATCAGCCGGGCGTGGTGGTGTGCCTGTAATCCCAACTACTCGGGAGGCTGAGGCAGGAGAATTGCTTGAACCTGGGAGGTGGAGGTTGCAGTGAGCCAAGATCGCGCCATTGCACTCCAGACTGGGCAACGAGAGTGAAAATCCGTCTCAAAAAAAAAAAAAAAAAAAAAAGGAAAGAAAAACACAGAAAGAGTGGAGGACTTTAACATTTCTTGAGTACCTATTGTTTTCCTGGCATGTTCTAGGTGTCATATGTACAGCATCTCATTGCATCTTCACAACATTCCTGAGCATTAGGTTTTCTTTTCCCAGGTTTACAGGGGAAGAAATGGAAGATTAGAGAAGTTAAGTAGCTTGGGCAAGGTCGCAGCTGGTGAATGGCTGAATCAGAATCTGAACACCAGTTTGTCTAATTCTATCCTGCATGCTATTTCCTTACAATGTTCCCTTTCACTTAGGGGCTCATGCAAAAGATTTATGATTTCCTTCAGATTTTCTTTGGTCATAGTGCTCTAAACACTTGTAGCTGAATTTTTAGTTCTTACCTCAAATAAGTCTGATAACACTACTACATTTTTAAAAAATGAGTGATATAATTTGTAGAAATAGTCACTGGAATGCTTTTAAGAGATTTCAAATCATAGAGTTGAAAATTCATGCTGTGCTCTAGGCATTATTGATCCTGAGCCATCTCATGCAGGTAGATATAAATCCTCTTCTTAAAGATCTCTGGTGAAAAAACACTTTCAGGCTTTTCCATAGTAATTTACCTCATTGCTGAAAATGTTTACAGATAGGTGTATGCACATTGTTAGGACCAATGACATAATGCCCAGTTGCAGTGAATCAAGCTAATAAAATAATAATCCTTTTTAAAATTATAATCTTCAAAGGGTTTCCGAAAATCACTTATAGGAAGTTTATGTGATTTTGCTGTTTCTCTAGGAAAGGCAGTTACGTTTGAATATTTAAATGATCAGGCCTTGTGTGGGTCACACAGGGATTTTTATTTTGCATTTGGATTCCCTTTATGGTTTAAATCACAGATCTCTACCTTAAATGCAAATGAATGGAGTGTTGAGAATTGACATAATTTTTTAAATTGCCATAGTTATTTCCAGGGAGCTTTATACCTCAGTATAAGTATCTTATCCTGTATTATAATTGCTTGCTTGTTTGTCCTTCTAACAAGACCATGAGCAATTGGAGGACAAGGATTGTGCCTTACTCATCACAGTATCTCTAGTGTTTAGCATAATGCTTGACACACAGGAGTGATCAATAGTTATCTATTGAGTGACTGAATTAATTTCTCCAATTGATTCTGCTTAGACAGGCCTTTCTCCTACATTCCCCCAAATGCAACCTGCTAATTCACATTTCTCTATCCTGGTTTATGTTATTTCTCTCAACTGGAGTGCTCTTTCCTTCTTTTCTCCACTTATATAAGTCCACCTAGTTCTTCCTGGTACAACTAGTTGCTACATGAGTCCTGTTCTAACTATTCCAGATCTCATAGAGTCATGTCCTCCTCATGCCTTGACTCTTTTAGCCTATGGGATGCCCCACACACTTTAGCCCTTTATTATGTGCAGCTTTATATTATTTGCCAATTTAAAAAATATTTTTGTCTTGTTTTCCCAACCATTATGAAAAGTAGCCATGTGTTGTATCATTTTCTCTCCCCTTCATAGTGACTTAAGTGTGGAAGAGACCGTTGGATAACAAACTATGGCCTATAAGCCAAATCCAGTCCAAAACCTAAGAATATTTCTTTTTTAAAAAATTAATTAATTAATTAATTTATTTTTGAGACAGAGTCTTGCTGTGTCGCCCAGGCTGGAGTGCAATGGCGTAATCTCTGCTCACTGCAACCTCCGCCCCCTGGACTCAAGTGATTCTCCTGCCTCAGCCTCCTGAGTAGCTGGGATTACAGACGCCCGCCACCATGCCCTGCTAACTTTTTGCATTTTTAGTAGAGACGGGGTTTCACCGTGTTGGTCAGGCTTGGTCTTGAACTCCTGACCTCGTGATCTGCCCGCCTTGGCCTCCCAAAGTGCTGGCATTATAGGTGTGAGCCACCACGCCCAGCAAGAATATTTCTTATGATTTTAAATGGTAAGAAAACAATCACAAGGGCTGGGTGTAGTGGCTCACGCCTGTAATCCCAACATTTTGGGAGGCCGAGGTAGGTGGATCACTTGAGGTCAGGAGTTCGAGACCAGCCTGGCCAACATGGTGAAACCTGTCTGTACTAAAAATACAAAAATTAGCCAGGCGTGGTACCAGGTTCCTGTAGTCCCAGCTACTCAGGAGGCTGAGGCAGGAAAATCACTTGAACCCAGGAGACAGAGGTTGCAGTGAGCAGAGATCATGCCACTGCACTCTAGCCTAGGCGGCAAAGGGAGACTGTCTCAAAAACCACAAGAAAAACAATATTTTGTGACATGAAAATTATATGAAATTCAACTCTCCATAAATAAAGTTTTTTGCAACATTGCCACGTTTATTCATTTACACATTATTTATGCCTGCTTTTGGGCTACAGCAGTAGAGTTGAGCAATTGTGACAGAGACTCTGTGGCCCACAAAGCCTAAAATATTTACTATCTGACCCTTTACAGGGAAAGTTTGCCGACTGCTGGAGTAGATCATCAATGAGTACTTACTGGTTAAATAATTCATTGTCTTATGACTCTATTCTATTATGAAACAAGATAGTCTGAAAGTACTGTTAATTATGCTGTCTTGCCTTACATAAAGAAAAATAGTAATAAAAGCAACCTCTGGAGAACAGATTATTTTTATCTTTTAGTTGGTGAAGTATAAAAATTTTCATTTTCTCATTCTCTGGTAAAGTGACTTATAGTGCCCTTATTAGTTTTAAACCTTTTCAAATATGCAGAACCTCTTCCTGCAGAGATTTTAAAGAACAGGGTAAGGCCAGGCATGGTGGCTTATGCCTGTAATCCCAGCACTTTGGGAGGCCGAGGCGGGTAGATCACCTGAGGTGAGGAGTTCGAGACCAGCCTGGCTGACATGGTGAAACCCTGTCTCTACTAAAAATACAAAACATTAGCCGGGTGTGGTGGCGGGTGCCTGTAATCCCAGCTACTCGAGAGGCTGAGACAGGAGAATCCCTCGAACCCAAGAGACAGAGGTTGCAGTGAGCAGAGATCGTGCCACTGCACTCCAGCCTGAGTGACAGAGCATGACTCCATCTCAAAAAAAAAAAAAATTAATAATAGTAATAATAAAGAACAGGGTAGATGATTATCGTTCTGGGATGGACTAGATAACTTCTAGTATTGTGCAGCCCAGTGATTCCTTGAATCTCCTCTAAATGTAAACCTTGCTTTATTAGAAATGAGAAATCTGATTTGTGGATATGAAGTCTCCGCATCCCCCATAACTCCTTGATTCTCCTTTGCCAGGACCTCCCCCCACCCTCCACTTTTGGTTTAATCTAGTTCTTCTAATTAAATATGAGATAATTAAAGTTCACAGAGTTTAAACCCAGCAGGTTTGATTTAATGATAAAAATCTTGGTTTGTCAGCTTTTCAAGGCATAATCCTGGCTGCTGCCTTATCTGACAGGTAGTCAGCCTAGCAGGTCTGAGGATGAAAACCAGAGCATCTCATCTTTTCAGGCATGACTTGCTATTTATCTTCTGAGGCATAATTTACAATTGCCCTATAGAAAATGGGTAGGGTTAAATAAGTAGAAAAGGTCTCCTTTTGCTTTGGCTCAATTAATTCATTTCCTATGCGGTTGTCGATGACTAGGCTTACAAAGTAGACAGATGTATTTCAAATGAGGAGAAAATGCCCCAAACATAGCATATTTGATTATTGTAAATTATTCCTTTACTCACTGAATATGTAAAGTATGTAAATTTAGTCCTGCTGTCAAAAGGTAGCTCTGTACCATTAGTTTCTGCAGCAGACAAGGCCTGCTGCATCCTGTACTGCATTTTCAGAGAGATAATTCTAATGACAGCTTGAGCAATTGCCTTAATGAGCCAGAAAGGTGTTCTTTTTTATTCGTGTTTAGCTGCTTAGAGTCATCTGAAATAGAGATCATCTGTAGATATTACAGAGTGAAAAAAGACATGGGTTATCTTATTAATGTGTTTCTCCAAGCATGCTAAGAATGAACCATCAATCAGGTATTTGCCAAGAAAATAGCTTGTTGTCAGTTCTGTATAGGTGATATGGCAACCTGAAATGCAAGTTTAGGTTCTAATTATCATGCTAGCTAAGTAAAAGAGTTGTCAAGTTGCATCTATAAGTCATTTTGGGAAATATTGTAGGGCTTACCAAATTGATCACAAAATAGCATTAATATTGTAAACCTGAAGTGAACAACATAACCAGTTTTTTAAAAATAAGGCACTCTACTTGAGTCATCAGGAAAACATTAGAAATCTACCTATGTGCATCATATTATATGTAAAATTTAGTTTAATTGGAGCTTTGTGTTGTTAGAACCCAACACATTAATATTAACATTTGAGACAAATTTCCTATCATCTGAGTCTTTCATTCTAAGTGAAATGTCCATATTTTCTCATTAATTTGGGTCTATTTAAAGATCAGTCACATCACAGTAACATAAAGATTGGAAAAGTAATGTTCACATTTTAGTTAAAGTCATGAAATATATACCTATAATTGACTATGGTGTTTTGATTTGGTTATAAAGTATAGCTGTACCTTCCACACGGAGTTAAGAGAAGTCCTGGCTTAACACATTAGTGGTAGAAAGTGTAAGTTTACACTTAAGCCACTCCCCAGCCAAGGATTTGCATAAAAAATGAGTGAAGTTCAGCTTGGGTTTATGTTAGCAAAATGGCAAATGTAGAGGCACGCTAAAGGTCCTTTCTGCCACCCTTGTATACAATACATGTCTGCATCTTGCCTAATCTTAATTAAATGTCTTTATTAAATCTTTATTAAATTAATAAAATGTCTTCTGGGTCTGAGGACTGAAATTCTGAAATGTAACCAATATTTAAGAGCTTAAACAGTGCTTCTGTATAGAACTTGTAGTATGAAATATGACTTCAAAAAAGCCTGAGCTGTAGAATTAATTTTTTCAATTGAATGAGTAATACTGCTTTAAAAAATATACATGGCCGGGCGCCGTGGCTCATGCCTGTAATCCCAGCACTTTGGGAGGCCGAGGTAGGGAGTTCGAGACCAACCTGACCAACATGCAGAAACCCTGTCTCTACTTAAAAAAATACAAAATTAGCCAGGTGTGGTGGCACATGCCTGTAATCCCAGCTACTCAGGAGGCTGAGGCAGGAGAATCGCTTGAAGCCGGGAGGTGGAGGTTGTGGTGAGCCGAGATTGCGCCATTGCACTCCAGCCTGGGCAACAAGAGCAAAACTCTGTCTCAAAAAAAAAAAAAAAAAAAAAAAAATATATATATATATATACACACACACACACACACACACACACACACACACACACACATACACACACACATCCTTTTTATGGCCTCGTGCAGTGGCTCACCCCTGTAATCCCAGCACTTTGGGAGGCCATGGTGGGCGGATCACCTGAGGTCAGGAGTTCAAGACTAGCCTGGCCAACATGGTGAAACCCCATCTCTACTAATAATACAAAAATCGGCCAGGCATGGTAACTGGCCTCTGTAATCCCATCTACTTGGGAGGCTGAGGCAGGGAGAATTGCTTAAACCTGGGAGGTGGAGGTTGCAGTGAGCAGAGATCGTGCAACTGCACTCCAGCCTGGGCAACAGAGTGAGACTCTCTCAAAAAATATATATAGGCCGTGTGCTGTGGCTCACACCTGTAATCCCGGCACTATGGGAGGCCAAGGTGGGTGGATCACCTGAGGTCAGGAGTTCGAGACCAGCCTGACCAACATGGTGAAACCCGTCTGTACTAAAAATACAAAAATTAGCCAGGAGTCCCAGCTACTCTGGAGGCTGAGGCAGGAGAATGGCTTGAGCCTGGGAGGCAGAGGTTGCAGTGAGCCAAGATTGTGCCATTGCACTCCAACCTGGGTGACAGAGCAAGACTCCGTCTAAAAAAAAATCTATCTATCTATCTATATATATATATGTGTGTGTGTGTGTATACATGTATATATATACACACATCCTTTTTAGTTTAAATAATCCATTGTATTAGAAAGAAAAAGTTACACTAGTGAATCAGCTCTACAGTTTTCAGAAGGTGAATCAAATAATTACTAAATTGAAGTACAGTAAGATGAACTATCATGTGAAATTATATTTCCCTATAAATTTCTTATGAAATCTTGCATTGATTTGTGCATGTGTGTTTGACTAATGAAGTGAAGTGTGGGACTACTATAGAATTTAGATTTAATGCCTAGGTAATGGGTACTTGTCCAATTACAGGTCTTCATGAAGTTTCTAATGAAAAAAACACTAAAGAGCTCTTCTTCTCAGCTGTATCATAAATGACAAAAATCTCAGCTCCCCAGGCCTAAGTCAGTAATAAGTGGAAGAGTGACTCTTCTAGTTACTAATTCATTTGTGGAGTTTTCCAAAGTTAGCTTGCATTGTAAGTTTCTTATAAGGAGGATCATTTCATGAGAGTTGGTTTTTTGCTATTGTCACAATTGTGTAATCGTCCCCATAGAAGCATGATATGCATACACTTAACACATTCAATTTGTAATTCTTCTTGCTAGTAAAGCCAAAAATTCTATCCCATGCTTAGACATCCATGGAGGTGATCATTATAATGCATTATTTGTCAAATTTTATTCTTTTTCAAAACTCCAAAGAAAATGTGACATTCTACTATGTCTTTGAATCTCTGATTATATACATTTGTTTATGTTAATCTATAACATGTTACTTGGTTTCTTTGAAGCTCTGTTTTCTAGTTGATGATGCTAAAATTTATGTTAATTCACATCTAGGTGTACTTGAAATCACCTAATTTGAAATTGCAGTTCTTAAACAGCTCTAAGAAATATAATTATGTAAAGAATATTTTGAATGAAATTTTGAATAAATTGGTAGAAACATAGTTAATTGTTCGCTGCATCCCAAAACAGTAGGCTTGGAAAGTGATGCTTTTCTACTTTAATTTTAAATCTTGTACATTTTATAAGAAAGGAGTAAGCCTATCCCCATATTAGGCAAGTCAGATTAAATGTTAGTTCCATTAATTCAGAGAAAATAAGCTCAGTTAATGATGATTCAATGCCAGTTGAAAAATAAACAGATATGCAAAATCTTGGTTTCTTCCTGTAATTTCTTACCATTTTTTTCAGTTTCTTTGTTGTTCTGTTAAATCTTTAGTTAGGTTATGGTAGAATGCCGTGGTACCTCATTGTTCTTTAACTCTAGTGATTGGTTGTTTTTAATTACATTAATGGTAGTTTTTTGTTTTTTTTGTTTGTTAATTTTTTGGTATATCAAACATTTTCTGTTAAAGGAGAAAGGAAAGAAGAGCTTTGACTTACAAACTGACTTGAAAGCTATTCCAGCAATTGGTTGTCTTTGAAGTAGGCAATTTACCCTTTTTTTCCCTTCAAAATCAGTTATACTACATATTTCCTTTTTGAAGCAGGAAAGAATGAACTGTGCATCACAGTTCTGTTATCTATAGCAAATCTGTAACTCCTGAATCCTTTCTTCCCGACCCCACCCACCCTGGGGGCTACTTCTCTACCATTAGTTTATGGTCATCAGAGAATTACAACAAGTAGAGCAGCACAGCCTTGTGCTTTCTACTCTAAAGGTATTGCTTCCCCAGACAACTGAAACTTGAGTTAAGCCCATGCCCCAGGAAAAGAAAGGTCAGGAAGTTATTTTGCTTTCTGGAAGGCTACAGAGATGAGAGCAAAGGAGATGAAGAGCCTTGGCATCTACTCCAGAATTGCTTTTGACTGCCAGACTTCGATCTAATCTCTATGGCACATCATCAGCATTCACTGTGTACCTCATACACAAAAGCAGAAGAGTAGCTGGATTTCTTTAAAATTGTGCCCTTCATTTGTTTCCCTTGCATGTTCTATTTCCCCAATTAACTTTGTGAGCCCTGGGCAAATTAGTTAACCTCACTGGGCCTCAAAGGCCTCATCTATAAAATGAATGGTTTAGAATAGATGATCTTTGATCCCTTCCATTGCAAGCATTCTATGCTGTGAAACCTCAAGGCTGTAAACTATATGAGAGTAGGAGCCAATTTTTTTTTTTATCATTTTTTTTATCTCCCCACAGGGCCTAATGTAACTTTGACTGTACTACCTTGCTTTCACTATGTGAAGTAGATTTTGAAGACAGCTCTAATATGTACTAAACTCGATTAGAAATTAGACATCCCATTTTAGTTGAAAGTCAGCTTATTAGGTAGATGTTATATGAACTTGCTTATTTCAAAAGGAAAAAAAATTCTGGGAAATGAATCATTGGGATGGAATTAAGTAATCCCATTTAGGAAAATAGTACTTTAATAATAGGCTATGAAAGAGTTATGGGTTGAATTGTCACCCAAAAAGGTATGTTTAAGTCCTAATCCCCAGTATCTGTGAATAGGACCTTGTTTGTGATTGGAGGCTTTGAAAATGTAATCAAGTTAAGATATGGTCATACTGGATGAGGGTGCACCCTAAATCCAATGACTGGTGTCCTTATAAGTAGGCCATGTGGGACACAAAGACACACAGGGAGAATGCCACGTAACTGTGGAAGCATAGACTGGAGTGATGCGACTGCCAAGGAATCCCAAGGATTGATGGCTACCATAAAAAGCTAGGAGAGAGAAGTGCAACAAATTCTCCATCAGAACCTTCAAAAGAACCAACCCTGCCCTGTACCTTAACTTCAGAATTCTTGTGTCCAGAGCTGTGAGAGAATACATTTCTGTTATTGTAAGTCACCCAGTCTGTCATAATTTATTATGGCAGACCTAGGAAACTAATACAGAAGATGTGGACACTGGCCTAGGAAAAGTCCCCAAAGAATACATAAAGCTCTGGACTGGAACAGTCATAGCTTGCAACTACCGTAGGACATCTACTTTCAGCCTAGGATGTCTTCATATTTTATAAAATATAAATCTAGATAGTAATAGAACATTAAGATCTTTGGAGCAACTCACCATTCCTTACGAGATCAGGACCGATCTTATACAAACCCTGATCAGCTGAATTAGGATCACATTTGTTATAATTATTACCGATCCCTTGAGAGCCACCTTTGACCCAGCATATCATACCCACAAGCCTAAGAGTAAGCTGCAGAAAGACTGTTTCTTAGAATGGTTGTCCATTATTGACTACCCTCTTCTACCTTATGCATGTTTCTTTTGTCCTTTTTTCGTTAACCATTTATAAAGTTAGATGCTAAAGAATATTGAGCTCAGAAATAGTATTTCCAAATAAACAATGTGTAAATCAATTTAAGCTGTTTACTTCCCCATTGGGAATAATCTCTCTTACTTTCTACCTATGAAAACTTCACCCAGGCTTTCACCATGCATAGCTCAGATCCCATCTACCTCATCAAGGCTTCGTTGAATTCCCCATTTGAAAGTAATCTGCTTGCTGTAATTACATAACTTATACTCTCTATGTAGTTCTGTTGACACTTAGCAAAAAGTACCCTATATTATAGTTTTGTTTTTACATCTCTGTGTTTTATTGTTAAAGAAAAAATTATTCTGACACTTGTTAAATATGGTAAGGCTGACTTCATTCAGAGGGACTACTACAGTGGAATTTTGTAGTACGGTAGTGAGATTAAGCCAAACTCCACACACAAGAAGTACCAAGTGGACATTTATAGCCATGAACCAGGGTGGGGGTCGATTGATGGAAAATTACTAAGAGGAAACATCAGGCCTAAGGGCATTCCAGCTAAACTGACTTGACAGGATTCTTGCTGAAGTCAGACCAAGATGATAAGATATCCAGAGTGAGGAATAAGGAATTTGATCAGATAATCAAGGGTGAGGGATCTGCACTAAACTAACCCAGTAGTATTTTTGCTAAAACAGGACTAAATGAGCCAGGGACAGAGCCTAAGTTTGGGTCTAGTTAAAAAGGGAGCTCAGAAGAATCTGACTCAAGTTTGGTCAAAGGAGAGAGTCTGTCATTATCTCCTCAATGAGATTCTAGAGAATAGGAATTATAATTCATACTCTTTTGTATCTCTACTCCCTACTGCCCCCACCCCCATGAAAAACAGTGTATGCATGTCATAAAGTAGTTTGTAATTGAGTATTTTTCATTGATGGTTGACTAATTTTGACAGAGCCGACACCTTAATTCACCAGTTAAATTGGCTCTAGGCACAGCCTTGCACAACTCATCATTATTTGACTAAATGAAGACAATATATTCTAAGACTCTGGTACAGAATTTCTGGTTAACAGTGGTTGGCATAATTTATTCTCTTGCCTGCCATTTTCAAGTGATGTTACTGCTTTGAACTCATTTTTTAAAGTAATATTTATAAATATAACTGGTAAAAGTGTGGCATCTTTGGCCAATGAAAAGAATTGCTGTCAGCTTGAGAAAAGAAACGTAAAGCACTAAGTATACTAGAAATTGCAGACATCCTCACAAAAGTGATGGATTAATGACCACATACAGCATTATGAAAGCTAGTTATGGTTTGCTTAAACCAGTCTCTCTCTTTATGGCATTCTCAATCTTTTTAAACAGCTAGGATATAATAACATTTTAAAAATTAAAGTATTTCACATAACCAAGAACTTGATATGAAATGAGCAACATTAAGCACAAAACAATTGAAGCTTCAAATACTGGAGCAGGCAAGAATTTTAAACAGCCCGAATGAATAAGGATGCAACATTGTTGTGCTTCTTCAGATGCAGGAATAATCAGGCTCAGAGGTTAGCAGAAAGAGATTTTATAGCAATAATGGCTCCCCATACCATTTTTCTCTTGTGACTTTGACTCACAAAGGTGAAGCTTTCATTTGAAGATTTGATACAATGCAGCTGCCAACAGCAGGGGGGAGAATTTGGCCAAATGGCTGGACTCTCTCAAACATCTGTGAGGGACAGAGATTGAGAGGGAGAGACAGGGAGAAATTGAGAGAGATATAAAAGGAAAAGAGGAGGGGACCAAAAAGAAAAAAAAAAAAAAAGATTTGCATTACCAATGACAAATCAAAGTTGAAAGTTTGCCTTTCCTGTTGTCATTCATTGCCATTCATATTTAGAAAGCAGACTGCTGTGATAATTGATTTGATGGTCCAGCTTGAGTGGAAGCACTTCTGGGCATAGCAGCCTCAGAGATGCCAAAAAAGAAGAAAAGGTGGGAATGAAATAATGCACTACTTTCTCCTCAGAGGCATGTGGCCCAGTTTTTAAGAGCAGAAAAACATGCTCTGGGGTGGGGGGAGTAGAAACCTAAAGAACTTAGTAATAAATACAAAAATGACCATATAGCTCCAGTCAGATAAAAATAGGCATTCAAACCAAGACAATGAGAGGACATATTTTACTGACAAGTGAATAATAGGGGAGTGTGGTGGAAATAATCTGATTTTTAACAGACTCTGTCCTTTGGGAGTACCTTTTTTGCTCTTCTTTTATATAGAGACAAAAGTGATTTCTTTTCTAAAAAGCCTTTTAATTTTTAAGCTTTTCATACTAGATTGATAGTTCAGAAGGAGAAAAAGAAAACAATAATTGAGACTGAAAAGCTATATATGTGCCCGGATTATGTAAACATCACTGAATTTCCTTGAAGCAATAGGTAATAATGAAGCTTGTCCTTAGATTTGTGAGTAGAGGTTGGTGTTCAGCCATTGCTTCCTGCTGATATGAATAAGTTAGGAAACTAAAGTGCCAGTTGAAGGGGGCAAAAGAGAGAGAGAGAGAAAGAGTTTTTTAAAGTACTGAATTCACTGCCTGACCTCTTAATCACAACTGCCAATTGGATTGTATGCCCTGTCATTCCATTTAAGAACCTAAACAAACCAGATAAAAGACATAGCTGTCAAAACACAAATTTTAATCAGAACCTGTTTGTCTTTTGAGAGAAATATACTTGTGTTCAAAAGTAGATCAGTCCTTTAACTTTGTTACCTTTCTCTCTTTTCTTCCCTCTCCCTTCTATCTTCAGTTCTCCTTTCTTCATTTACGTACCTAGCTAGCTGCCTCTACTTATACCTACAGAGAAAGCCTGTTGTTTGGCCTCATTGAATGTGTCATACATATGCAGCTGTTATGCAAATATCAATACCGTCCCATCACAATTTCTGTTTTCCTGGTAAGGTTCTCAACTACAGTGAGACATTAAATTTTCTGAGTTAAAACAACAACAGCAACAACCAAAACCCTCAAATGTATGACTTATTTTTAAAAGATTCATCCAAAATTAATATGGAGGAAACAGTGTTAGCTGTCAGTATAATGTATGACAGTATTTCTGAAAATCTTTTAAAAAAATCATGAGAATTACCTGGGAAACTTACTAAAATTCATTATACAATGTATACCTATATCAAAACATCACGTTGTACCCCATAAATATATATAGTTATTATATATCAATCATAAATTGTTTAAAAATTTAGAGTATCAGACCATACCCCAGGTCTTGAATCACAGTATATAGTGCTCAGGAATCTACATTTTAACAAGTGCCCAGATCATTTTTCTACATACTACTGAAGTTTGAATACCAGAGACATAATAGTTAAAGAGCAATATTTAATTACATCAACTGGAATCTAATTCCGTTTTTACCATTACTAGTTGTGTAAACTTAGGCAAATTATCTAGCCTTTCTAAAACTTAGTTTCTTCATCCATGAAATGTATGTAACAATGCCTACCTAATAGGGTTATTCTGAGAATTAAATAACATAACGAATATAAAACACAGCACAGTAGCTGGTGATTCTAATATCAATACATAGTCAATATTATTGATATTGTTTATCTTTTATGATTTAGAAATAGGTTCTTTTCTATGGGTTGTTCATATTGCGCCCTTGTAAATAATAGTTTCTATTTCCATTTTATATTAACATAGACGGTACTTTTCCATGTCTCAAGGATGTATAAGATTAAACATCAGGCCAGGTGTGGTGGCTCATGCCTGTAATCCCAGCACTTTGGGAGGCCGAGGCGGGCAGATCACGATGTCAGGAGATCGAGACCATCCTGGCTAACACGGTGAAACCCCATCTCTACTAAAAATACAAAAATTAGCCAGGCGTGGTGGCACGTGCCTGTAGTCCCAGCTACTCAGGAGGCTGAGGCAGGAGAATCACTTGAACCTGGGAGGCGGAGGTTGCGGTGAGCGATATCACGCCACTGCACTCCAGCCTGGTGACAGAGCGAGAAAAAAAAAAGAAAAGAAAAGATTAAATATCATCCCCATCACTTCATCTTACCCAGTGGGGAAACAAACTATTTTAAACTAAAGTAGTAGCACATGCTTACTGGCATAGAGCAGAACATTCTTATTAATACCAACTCTATGTAAATAACTAGATATATACATTATTCACATCTGAATGTGTAATTAAAGACCATTTAGGTACTGAACTTGATGAATGAGAGGGAAAAATGTCTGGGATGTCAATGTGATACTGTAAATACCGAAGGCAATTCACAGTGTGACTAGTAGCACCACCTGTCTCACACCCAAAGATAATTCATCAAATAATACCACGTCTAAACTGGCAGATTCTTTGTCTTCATAGCCTAAAATAGAGAAAAGATCACTAGATTTTTTTTTTAAAAATCTAATCCCAAAACTTACCAGCTCTGTTACTTCAGACAAACCTCTTAACCCTCAGTGCCCCCATCTATAAAATAAGGATAATTATATTTGCCCCACCTCACAGCCTTGAAGTGAAAAGAAATGTGGTAATGTATCCAGGAAGCATTTATAAACTAAATGCTATACAAACAAATGGTGTTATTTCATACCTATTCAAATGGACTGAAAGTCATTTGAAAATGTTATCAACTTTTGACCGTGATTGTATTCTCATTTTCCAAGGAAGTCCAAAAGATAGATTAAATTTGAATTCTTCATTGTTGTGCCTTGCTGATTTTTGCTTGAGGTGATCACACTGCATTGATGCATTTTTACACAGCTTTTGTTGAATATTCCTTGGTCCAAAAGCTTTCAGCTTTATGGCTTTGAAGCTCCAATTCCCTGATCAATGTCTGAACTTGTGAAGCTTGAAATTTGTCATTTGGCATTGACTTATGTGTAAATCTGAGTCAAAATTCAGTGTCCTTTAAACATCTCGGGGCAAATTTTCAGCATGGCCTCATTTTTACTGATATGATCATGTATTTGTAAGTACAGATTGCCACTTTTGTCCTCAAGAGAGCACAAAGTGGTCATTGCACCTGCCATGAGGTAATTGAAGGTGCAAAAAATCCCACTTCTACAAAAAAGTCTTTATAACACTCCCTTCCTTTACACCCCTCCCTTCTGTTCCTCTGTGTGTACCGAAAATAAAAAAAAAAAAAGAAATAATGCTATTAGCAGGCTATGAATAGAGATCAGCATTTCTTTTCAAGAAAAATAAACTGCATTTAATTTGGGCTTCTCTTAAAAAAATAAGATACCCGGTGTAATTTAAAATAAAAATATTGATGGAAATGGCAATGTCTTTCATAATTATTATTCAATTGCAATGTTATATACTCCATAACTTAAGCAAATGAGTAGTTTTGACTACTGGAAAATAGCATTTGAAAGTCAATTATGGAACTTCCAGCACACCTATAGTTTTAGTGTCCTAAACTTATCCTCTAAAGTTACTCTAGACCAAAAGAGTAACATTTGTTTTTGATACACCCTTCTTTGTGCCAGTGTTCTCTAAGTACTTTTTGGATTCTCGTGCTAGAGAAAAAGAGCTATAAGAAATGAAAGATAAACCTAACCTAGGGTTTTATCTGTTACCAGAACAGTATATATGTTACAAATGACTTATAAAATTACCCAGGCAGTGGGAGCACTTCCTAGCCATTTCCTGGTGTGCTACCTGTGGCCATTCTAAGCATTGACTAAAAATTATTCACAGACCTTGATTTTATTGCTAGTGATATATTTACACATACTATTTAGCCCAGATTATTCATATACTACATATATGCCTACTAGCCCAGTGCAAGTAGGTAGTCACTTGTTTACCTCTCAGAAACAGCAAGCTGTTATTTTTCCTTTTTAAAAATTTGGCTATATTTGTTTTTTGGTTGTAGGAAGAAAACTTAACAAGAGATCTACCCTCTTATCAAATCTTTAAGTGCACAATACAATATTGTTAACTATAGGCACTATGCCATACAATAGATCTCTAGAATTTATTCATCTTGCACAAATGAAACTTTATACCTGTTGAACAGCAACTCCCCACTCCTCCTTCTCCCCAGACCCTGGCAACCACCATTCTACTCTGTTTCTGTGAGTTTAACTATTTTAAATAGCTCATAAACGTGGAATCCCGCAGTATGAGTCTTTGTGTGCCTGTCTTACTTCACTTAGCATATGTCTCCAGGTTCAACCATGTTGTCACATATGGCAGGATTTCTTTCTGTGTTTAAGGCTGAATCATATTCCATTGTACGTACATACCACATTTTCTCCATTTACTCTATTCATTCACTGATGGACATTTGGATTATTTCCCTATCTTGGCTGTTGTGAATAATGCTGCAGTGAACATGGGAGTGCAGATATCAATTTGAGATCCTGCTGTCAATTCTTTTTTTTGTTTTTTTTGTTTTGAGACAGAGTCTCGCTCTGTCACCCATGCTGGAGTGCAGTGGCGTGATCTCGGTTCACTGTAACCTCCACCTCCTGAGTTCAAGCAATTCTCCTGCCTCAGCCTCCTGAGTAGCTGGGATTACAGGCACGTGCCACCACGCCCGGCTCATTTTTTGTATCTTTAGTAGAGACGGGGTTTCACCATGTTAGCCAGGATGGTCTTGATCTCCTGACCTCGTGATCCGCCTGCCTTGACCTCCCAAAGTTTTGGGATTACAGGCATGAGCCACCGCGCCCGGCCTCAATTCTTTCGGACATATCCCCAGAAGAGGGATTACTGGATCTTCTGGTAAGTCTGTTTTTAATTTTTTGAGGAAGCTTCATACTCTTTTCCATAATGGCTGCATCATTTTACATTCCCACTAACAGTTGTATAAGGGTTCCAATTTCTTCACATCCTTAACAGTGCTTGTTACCTTTTCACATCCTTAACAATGCCTTTTACATTTTTTTTTTGTTGTTAAATAGTAGACATCCTAACTGGGGTGAGGTGACATCTCATTGTAGTTTTTGATTTGCATTTCCTTGATTAGTGATGTTGAGCATCTTTTCACATACCTGTTGGCCATTTGTATGTCTACTTTGGAGAAATGTCTATTCAAAACCTTTCCTTATTTTTTAAACTGGCTATTTGGGAGCTTTTTTGTTTTTTATTTTGTTTTGTTTCATTTTGTTTTTGAGATGGCGTTTCGCCCTTGTTACCCAAGCTGGAGTGCAATGGCACAATCTTGGCTCACCACAACCTCCACCTCCCGGGTTCAAGCGATTCTTCTGCCTCAGCCTCCCGAGTAGCTGGGATTACAGGCCTGCACCACCATGCCTAGTTAATTTTGTATTTTTATTAGAGATGGGGTTTCTCCATGTTGGTCAGGCTGGTCTTGAACTCCCAACCTCAGGTGATCTGCCTGCCTCGGCCTCCCAAAGTGCTGAAATTACAGGCATGAGCCACCATACCCAGCTGTTTTGTTTTTTTGATCTTGAGTTATTTGAGTTCCTTACGTATTTGACACATTTTGCATAGTTAGCCCTTTATCAGATATGCAGCTAGCAAATATTTTCTCTCATTTTTGTAAATTGCCTTTTCATTTTGATTGCTTGCTGTACAGAAGCTTTTTAGTTTTATGTAATCTCACTGTGTTTTTGCTTTTGCTGCTTATGCTTTTGGTGTCATATCCAAGAAATCATTGCCCAGACCAATACCATGATGCTTTTCCCCTTTGTTTTCTTCAAGGAGTTTTGTAGGTTTAGGTCTTACGTTTAAATCTTTAACCCATTTTTAGTTGATTTTTATATATAATGTGGGATGAAGGTCCAATTTCATTCTTTTGCATGTCCATATCCAATTTTCCCACTACCATTTGTTGAAGAGACTTTCCTTTTCTCATTCTGTGTTCTTGGCACCCCATACAAAGATCAGTTGACCATATATGCATGGATATATTTCTAGGCTCTCTATTCTGTTTCCTTGGTCTACATGTCTGTTTTTATGTCAGTCCCATATTTTTTAAATTGCTGAAGGTTTGTAATATATTTTAAAATAAGGAAGTGTGGCGAATCCAGCTATGTTCTTCTTTCTCAAGATTTCTTTGGCTATTCATGCTCTTTTGTAGTTATGAATTTTACGATGGGTTTTTCTATTTCTCTGAAAAATGCCATTGGGACATTTAAAGGGATTGCATTGAATCTATAGATTATCTTAAGTAGTATGGACATTTTAACAATATTAAGTCTTTCACTGAATATCTTTTCATTTATATATGTTGTCTTTAATTTGTTTCATCAACGTTATGTAGTTTTCGCCGTACAAGTCTTTCACCTCCTTGGTTAAATGTATTCCTAAGTATTTCATTCTTTGTGATACTATGCAAATGGGATTGCTTTCTCAGTTTTGTTTTCAGTACTTTATTGTTAATGTACAGAAATGCAATTGATTTTTGTATGTTGATTTTGTATCGTGCAACTTTGCTGAATTTTTTAATTAGTTTTAACAGTTTTTTGTGGAATATTTAGGGTTTTCTCTATGTAAGATCACGTGTCGGCAAACAGAGATAGTTTTACTTCTTTTTTTTTTCCTCCCAATTTTAATGTCTTTTATTTTTCTTTTTCTTGTCTAGTTGCTCCAGCTAGAGCTTCCAGTACTATCTTGAATATAAATGGTGAGGGTGGGCATTCTTTCCATTTCCTGATATGAGAAGAAAAACTTTGTGTTTTATCATTAGTTTGATATTAGCAGTGGGCTTTTCATATATGGCCTTAATTGTGTTGAGGTAAATTCCTTGTATGTCTAATTTATTGATAGTGTTTATCATGGAAAGGTGTTGAATTTTTTCAAATGCTTTTTCTGCATCTATTGGGATGATTGTGTGATTTTTATCCTTCATTCTATTAATGTGGTGTAGCACATTAATTGATTTGCATATGTTCAAGCCATCCTCACATATTAGGGATAAGTCCCATTTGATCATGATGTATGATTTTTTAGAACTTAGTGTTGAATTCGGTTTGCTAATATTTTCTTGGGAATTTTCACATCTGTTTTCATCGAAGATACTGGTCTGTAGTTTTCTTGTAGTGTCTGTGACTTTGTATTAGGGTAATACTGGCTTGATTGAATGAGTTTCGAAGTCTACTCTCTTAAAGTCTTTAAAAAGTGTTGGGGTTAATTCTTCATTAAATATTTGATAAAATTCACCACTGACACCATCTAATGCTGGATTTTTCTTTTTGCAGAGGGTTTTGATTACTGATTCAGTCTCCTTGTTTGTTATTGGTCTGTTTAGATTTTCCATTTCATCATGATTTACCCTTGGTAGGTTGTATATTTCTGTGAATATAACCATTGCTTCGAGATTATCCAATTTGTTGGTGTATAATTCTTCATAGTAGTCTCTTCTGATCCTGTTTATTTCTGTGGCATCAGTTCTAATGTCTCATCTTTCATTTCTGATTTTGAATCTTTTTTTTTTTTTTAGTATAAGGATTTTTCCATTTTGTTTATATTTTCAGAAAAAAACAATTTTCTGTTTCACTGATTTTTTTTCTACTGCTTTTCTGTTCTCTATTTCATTTATTTTGACTCTAGTCTTTGTTATTTCCTTGCTTCTGCTAATGTTGGGCTTCTCCTAAATTTGTTCTTTTTCTGGCTCCTTGAGGTATAACATTAGATTGTTTATTTGAGATCTTTCTACTTTTTTAATGTAGGCATTTTATCACCATAAATATCCCTCTTAGAATTGCTTTTGCTCTATCTCGTAAGTTTTGTTATGTTGTATTTTCATTTTTGCATGTCTTAAGATATTTTCTAATTTTTTTTTTAATTTCTTCATTGGCCCATTGGTTTTTAAAGAGTGTGTTGTTTCATTTCCACATATTTGTAAATTATCCAATTTTCCTTCTGCTATTAATTTCTAGTTTCATTCCACTATAGTCAGAAAAGATACTGTGTAGGATTTCAGTCTTAAATTCGTTGAGACTTTTTTTGTGACTTAACACGTGATATATTCTGGAGAATGTTCCATGTGTGCATGAGAAGAATGTGTATTTCACAACTGTTGGTTGAAATGTCTTCTGTATGTCTTTTAGTTCCTCTTGCTCTTAGTGTTGTTCAAGTCTATTGTTTCCTTATTGATTTTTTTTTTTGCCTGGATGTTCTATTCATTATCAAAAGTGGGATATGAATTATCTTACCAATACCATAGTGCTGTCTGTTTCCTACTTCAGATCTGTCAGTGTTTACTTTGTATATTTAGATGCTCTAATATTTGGTGTATATATGGATTTATAATTGTTATATCTTCCTGATGAATTGCTTTCATTATTATGTAATGACCTTTTTCGCCTCTATGTCGGTTTTTGACTTATAGTCTATTTTGTGTCACATAAAGTATAGCCACTCCTGCTCTCTTTTGGTTACCATTTGTGTGGAATATCTTTTTCTGTCTCTTTACTTTCAGGCTATGTGTGTCCTCAAAGCTAAGTGTTGTCTCTTATAGGTAGCATATAATTAGATATTGTTTATTTATCTATTCTGCCACTCTGTGTCTTTTGTTTGGGGAGTTTAATCCATTTGCATTTATTTATTTATTTTATTTTTTTTGAGACAGAGTCTTGTTCTGTTGCCCAGGCTGGAGTGCAGTGGTGCGATCTCGGCTCATGGCAGCCTCCGCCTCCTGGGTTCAAGTGATTCTCCTGTCTCAGCCTCCCAAGTAGCTGGGACTACAGGCGTGCACCACCACACCCGGCTAATTTTTGTATTTTTAGTACAGACAGGGTTTCACCATGTTGCCCAGGATGGTCTCGATCTCCTGACCTCATGATCCACCCAAAGTGCTGGGATTACAGGCGTGAGCCACCGCACCAGGCCTCCATTTACATTTCAAGTAATTATTGATAGGGAAGGACTTACTATTGCCCTTTTGTTGATTGTTTTCTGTTTCATAGTCTTTTTGTCCCTGTTTTCCTCTCTTGCTATCTTCTTTTGTGATTTGTTGATTTTTTGTAGTGATATGCTTTGGTTCCTTCTTCTATTTCTTTTGTGTATCTTCTATAGTTAATTTCTTTATGATTACCATGAAGCTTGCATAGATTGTCTTACAGTTACAGCAGTTCTATATTAAGCTGCTGACAACTTAACTGCACTCACATACAAAAACCTTCCACTTTTACTTCTCCCTCACCATACTCTGTTATTGATGTCATAGTTTAAATCTTTTTATATTGTGTATCCATTAACAAATTTGTGTAGTTATAATCTTAATATTTTTGTCTTTTAACTTTAATAGTAGAGTTTAAAGTTATTTACAGTCCACCATTATTGTAGTATCCGGGCTGGGCACAGTGGCTTCTAATCCCAGCACTTCAGGAGGCCAAAGTGGGCAAATTCATTGAGTCTAGGAATTCAAGACCAGCCTGGGCAACATGGCAAAACCCTGTCTCTATTAAAAATGCAAAAAATTAGCCAGGCATGGTGGTGCACAATTATATTCCCAGCTTCTCAGGAAGCTGAGGTGGGAGAATCAGCCGAGGCTGCAGTGAGCTGTGATCATGCCACTGCAGTCTAGCCTAGGCAATAGGAATGAGACCCTGTCTCAAAAAAAATTATCTATGTCTATATCTATATTATATATATATAGTATTCTGTGTTTGTCTGTATGCTTGCCCATACCAGTGTGTTGTATTCTTTCATATGCTTTTGTGTTACTGTTTTAGCATCTGTTCATTTCTACTGGAAGAACTCCCGTTAGCATCATGTCTAGTGGTGATGAACTCCCGTGCCTTTTGTTTGGAAAAGTCTTTATCTCACCTTCACTTTTGAAGGACAATTTTGCCAGATATAGTATTCTTGATTGGCATTTTTTTTTCTTTCAACACTTTGAATATTATAAGCTCACTGCCTTCTGGTCTGCAAGGTTTCTGCTAAGAAATCCACTGATAGTCTTATTGAGGACTCACTTTACATCACGAGTCACTTTTCTCTTGCTCCTTTAAAATTTTTCTTTGACTTTGTGCAATTTGATTATATTGTATCTCAGTGTAGACTTCTTTGGGTTTGTCTAATTTGGCATTCTTTGGGCTTCATGAATCTGGATATCCATTTCCTTGCCCAGATTTGAAATGTTTTCCTCCATGAGTTCTTTATATAAGCTTTTTCCCCTGACTATCTCTCTTCTCCTTTGAGATTCCCATAATGAATGTATTGGTCTGCTTGATGATGTTCAGTAAGTAGCTTAGGCTTTCTTCATTCTTTATCATTCTTTGCTTTTTGCTCCTCTGGCTACATAATTTGGATGACTTGTCTTCAGTTTCACTGATTCCTTCTGCTTAATCAAGTCTGCTGTTTAATCACTGTAGTGATTTTTCAGTTCAGTCACTGAACCAGAATTTCTGTTTGGTTATTTTTATTTATTTATTTATTTATTTATTCATTTATTTATTCATTTATTTATTGAGACGGAGTTTCACTCTTGTTGCCCAGGCTGGAGTGCAATGGCACAATCTCGGCTCACTGCAACCTCTGCCTCCCGGGTTCAAGCTATTCTCCTGCCTCAGCCTCCTGAGTAGCTGGGATTACAGGCATGCGCCACCATGCCTGGCTAATTTTTTATTTTTAGTAGAGACGGGGTTTCTCCATGTTAGTCAGGCTGGTCTCAAACTCCCAACCTCAGGTGATCTGCCTGCCTCAGCCTCCCAAACTGCTGGGATTACAGGCGTGAGCCACCGCACCCGGCCTGGTTATTTTTTTTTAAATAATTTCTACCTCTGTTAGGGCCAGATGTGGTGGCTCATGTCTGTAATCCAGCACTTTGGGAGGCCAAGGCAGGTGGATCACTTGAGGTCAGGAGATCGAGACCAGCCTGGCCAACGTGATGAGACACCATCTCTACTAAAAAAAAAAATTACAAAAATTAGCCAGTTGTGGTTGCACATACCTGTAATCCCAGCTACTGGGGAGGCTGAGGCAGGAGAATCTCTTGAGCCTGGGAGGCAAAGGTTGCAATGAGCCCGAGATTGTGCCACTGCACTCTAGTCTGGGTGACAGAGTGGGACTCCATCTCAAAAAAAAAGAAAAAGGCAACTCAAACAACAACAAAAAAACCAGCCTGAGCTGGGCATGGTGGCTCACACCTGTAATCCCAGCACTTTGGGAGTCTGAGATGCGTGAATCACTTGAGGTCAGGAGTTTGAGACCAGCCTGGCCAACATAGGGAAACCCCATCTCTACTTGAAAAACATATTTATATATATGTATGTATATATTTGTGTGTATATATATATATTTATATATATGTATATATTTGTGTGTGTGTATATATGTATACACACACACACACAGAAAAATTAGCCGGGCATGGTGTCCCATGTCTGTAGTCCCAGCTACTCGGGATGCTGAGGCAGGAGAATCTCTTTAACCAGGGAGGCGGAGGTTGCAGTGAGCTGAGATTGTGCTGCTGCACTTCAGCCTGGGCAACAGAGCGAGACTCTGTCTCAATAAATAAATAAATACATACATAATTTCTACCTCTGTTGACATTCTCATTTTGTTGCTGAATTATTTTCTTAATGTTGTTCAGTTGTCTATATTCTCTTGTAACTCACTGAGCTTCCTTAAGATGATTATTTTGAAATCTTTGTTAGCCTATTCATAGATCTCCATTTCTTTAGAGTTGTGTATTACGATTTAATTTGTTCCTTTAGTGTAATGTTTCACTGATTTTTCTTGTTTCTTATACTTTTGCACTGGTGTCTGCACATTTGAGGAAGCAGCCACCCTTCCCATTCTTTCTGGACTTGTTTAGACATGGAAAGAGCTTAACCAATTCACTAGGCTAGAGATTCTAGGAGCCTCTCAAACCTTTTCTATGAATGTGTCTTCTCTGGATTTGTGTGGGAGGATTCCTAATTAGATGGATTTACCCCTAGCACAATTCATAGAGCCATGCTAATGTCTTCTGAGGCAGGACAGAATCCAGCCCGACCCTGGTGGTTCACTGAGGCCAGATTGTTGGGAACATGTTCCATTTCTCTCCTATCACAGTGGAAGAAGCATCAGGCTCTGTGCCTTCTCTCAATCTTGTAGAGCTATGCTCACCACAGTAAGCTGCCTGCCCTTTTTCCTTTGTTCTTAATTGCCCTGAAACATCCAAGCTATTTCTTTTCTATCAGTGTCCCATGTGAGGTGAGATAGAAACTAGCCCTTCAGGCAGTGCACCAAAAGGCTGGTACATTGGAAGCATTCTCTACTCTGTATTTTCCCCTGAGAAAGAAACTGTGGGCCAAAGTGATATTTTTCAGTGCTGAGCTGTGATGGCTTGGGGGAAGGGGCTAATACTAGTAAAGTGAAATTGCTCCTTACTCATTTCAGTAGAGTTTTTTCAGTTTTGTGTTTCTCTGGTGTACTGCAACCTCTTAAAAGGATTCTGGTCTTCTCATAAAGGTATTGTGGTCTACATTGTTAAGTTGGTGTTTCTATGGGAGAACAAGAGATGGAACTTTCTATTTCACCATTTTGATGATATCAGCAAGCTATTATTTAAATGAGAAGTTTCCTTTACTTAGATGAGCAATATAATTTAATGCAAGTTTGTCTATGGATTTCTCCTTGAGTGACTACATTACAAAAGGCCATCTGGAATTCCCTTTCTACACATCACTGTTAAAGCAAAAAACTATATTTAAGTGGTACCAAGGTATCAGGATTCCCTGCAGACAGTTTGAGATCTAATATAAAATCAAAAACCCCTTATAGGCCACTGGTCTAAATGATGACAGTAAAAAATTCCCAAGACTATTAAGTTTTATTAATGAATATGATGGAAAATAAGATCTTGGAATGTGAATTAAATGTTTTTAAGGTGATGAGTGGGTAAGAAAGAGAGGTGATAAAAGTTTTTGAAAACTTGTTTTCAAAGCAATACTATTACATATTAAATATACAGTTTAAACTTTTCTCATCCTGCTGACAAATACATACCTGAGCCAAGATTACTGTTTTGTTTCATTTTAACCATTCCCCTACATGGTAATATCTATAGTGAATGACCATTTCTGGAGAGTTTTACTTTGATATGTTAGCACATCATTACCTGTTAGGTAGCCCCAAAATGTAAATAAATTATACCTCATTCCATATTGTCAAAACATAGAAACAGCAACAAAGATACCTAAATGAAAGAAGCTGTGATTGTTTTTCAAAACCAAAGAAGAGAAGTGTAAGAAAAGCATTGAATTTAAGGGGCAGAAACTATCCCAGAAAGTTACTGCTAGAATTCAAATACTAAAGAAAGTAATAGAATTATACCTTTATAAAGATCAAGGGTAACAAATTTGAATTGGTACCTTTTTTTTTTTTTTTTTTTTTTTTGAGAAGGAGTTTCGCTCTCGTTGCCCAGGCTGGAGTGCAATGGCGCGATCTTGGCTCACCACAACCTCCATCTCCCGGGCTCAAGAGATTCTCCTCCCTCAGCCTTCTGAGTAGCTGGGATTACAGGCATGTGCCACCACGCCCAGCTAATTTTGTATTTTTAGTAGAGACAGGGTTTCTCCATGTTAGTCAGGCTGGTCTCAAACTCCTGACCTCAGGTGATCCACCCACCTCGGCCTCCCAAAGTGCTGGGATTACAGGCGTGAGCCACCACGCCCAGCAAGTACCATTTTCATTCTTAAATTTGTTCATATGTTAAAAAAAAAGAAAACATAAGCATGCTTTAGTTTTCCATCTTCACATTAGGTAACACAATGAATGAATGAATATAGTTATTTTCTAATACTCTCACACAGATTGGTTCTTCCATGGGTAAATAGTTCTCTGTAGCCCTGAATTAGATTTTTTTTTTTTTTTTTTTTCCGAGACGGAGTTTTGCTCTTGTCACCAAGGGGGGAGTGCCATAGCACTCACCATGTCTCACCATGTTGGCCAGGCTAGTCTCGAACTCCTGACCTCAGGTGATCCGCCCACATCGGCCTCCCAAAGTGCTGGGATTATAGGCATGAGCCACTGCACCCAGCCATGAATTAGATTTTGATTGATGAAAAGGGAGATAATAATTCCAATAATCTTATGTTCCATAAATGAAATTTTAAAACTGATACATTTTTATATTTAAAAACTTCAAAATAAATAGAAAAATACAACTTTGAGTTGTAGTTTTTTTTAGTGGTCAATCTGATGAGCTTGGGCCCGTATAAGGTATGTTGGACAAGAAAACACTATCCTAATCAATGTTGACTTAACTGAATTCATTCAGATAAGTGGAAATATTGTTAGATTTGTTGACTGGAAGGAAGTCTGAGTTTGATTAGTCCAAAGGTGATTTGAGGAAAGGTGGTAAGCTGAACATGACCTCCCCTGAGTATTACTGAAAGGAAGGAGAATTTGAACCAAATTTTAAGATTTGGCCAGGACCAAATAAGATATCATTGCAGAAAATCTGTGCTATATGTCAATGACCCTTCAGAAAATAAAAAGTAAAGATAAAATGGAGTTGGCACTCCATCTCTGGCCTGTGTGTGCTGCCCCCACCCCCACGCCTCCCTTCTGTCTCTCAAGTTTTGAGATCACCCCTGTTAACCTCCTCTTCTCTTCCCTGGCTCAGCCAATTTGTAAGCTCTGATCACATTTTTTTTTTTTTTTACCACATTCTCTTTGTACCCTATCTTTTGCTTTCTTATAGTTGCTTAATATTGTGTAACGGAGGCCAGGCACAGTGGCTCATGTCTGTAATCCCAGCACTTTAGGAGGCCGAGTTTGGCGGATTACTTGAGGTTAGGAGTTACAGACCAGCCTGGCCAACATGATGAAACCCCATCTCTACTAAGAATACAAAAATTAGCGAGGTATATTGGCACATGGCTTTAATCCCAGCTACTTGGGAGGCTGCAGCAGGAGAATTGCTTGAACCCGGGAGTTGGAGGTTGCAGTGAGCCAATATCATGCCACTGGTATATTGGAAGCATTCTCTACTCTGTCTTTTCCCCTAAGAAAGAAATTGCGGGCCAAAGTGTGTAAGGGAAGGGTTAAAATGAGTGAGTGAGTCTCTCTCTCTATATGTATATATATATCATATAACAGTCTTTTTCTAATTCCAAGGAATAGAGGCATGCTAAAGTTTTTAAAGGTAATATAGGGTTAAGAAAATATGAGGAAGAAATATCACAGTGGTCTCCCAGCCATGGCTCATCAAAACTAGAATGTTCTGACTACAACAGTGGCTCTGGAAGTCTGACAGCACCTCTGACATATTGACCACCCTGCTGGTAGTCTTCCTTTAGGAGCAGGTTTGTGCTTGATTCCAGTTGTAACTTACTAATCCTTCTATTCTTATGATTTGCCATTATGGTGTCTCAGCTACTGCATTTTTATTTTTCTGTCTATCTAATTCTTCTTTTATTTCCTTAACAATGAATGAACTCTCTGTTCTCCTTTCTATATCAGGGTATCTGCTTATTTATGGTTTCTACTGCCATGTGGCTTTTAACATCCTCTCTCTCTTAGCTTCTGCTTCTGCCTAACATACATATCCGTTTCTGCATGTGTCTCATTAAGTTACCCCAAGAAAAATTTGGTTTGTTTGGTTCAGAGCAGAGATTTTCTGCTGGAAAAATCTCTCATGGCAATCTATAGATAGTTTTCTTTGGTACGTACTCATTATCTAATCTCTTATGATTGGGGTCATACGAAACCAAACATTGTGACCTATATGTAAAGTACCTCTTTAGCAGGAGACTCTAAGGTATCTCAGAAGAGAGTAGTACAACAGAGATATTATTTACAGAATATTCTGTATATTGAGCCCTTACATCAGGAGACTTGAGGTACTAGATGTTTACTTTTACTATATATCATTGAATCAAAGATAGTATCAATCATAAGATATTACATTAATTTATTTACCATTGAGAAAGGAAAAGATGCTGCCAATGAAATCACAGCACACCAATGATTGTTAGATGCATCTCAGTCTCAGAGATGTTAAAATGTGAAAAAAGTACATTTTTAAAAGATGTAATGTGGTGTCAGTAGCATATCTGAGATTGTCTGAGGATCAAAGCAGGTATAGTGAACCCCCAGAGAAGTTCCCTGAGGACTGACTCCTAGAGTGGGGTAAATGCTAAAGGTTACAGGTTGGATTACTAATCTGACAGACCAGAGGGTAGTGTCTAGAGACTAGATAGCCAGCTATCTGTCTGCAAGTGGAGAGGAGGCCAGTCACTGGTCCAGAGTGTGGTTTGCCTCAGGGACTTGGCAGATATCAGAAGGTAGATCCAAGGAGAAGGTGAATTATTCCTGTATTGATTTAAATGACATGAATATATTGGGAATTTCTGTTTCTCTTAATTCCTCATTTGTGTTCTGGGATCAATTCAGTTGTGTCTCTTATCTTCTAGAATATCTCCTTGTTTATTACTTGTACATTAACTATATCTCTGGATGTAGGGTCATTTTATAAACCAAATGCTGTATTTTGTCCATGAGGCACCTAAAATAGCACAGCCAGGGATAGCTAAGCTTACAGTTGTGATACATTAATGAATAACCTCTGGTTGTTGACTCCCTTTTTGTTATTGGGAGAGTTAATGTAGCTTTTTTCAAATTTTTAGATTCAGCGGGTACATGTGCAGGTTTGTTGCATAGGTATATTGAATGGTGAGATTTGGGCTTCTAGTGTACTTGTCACTCAAATAGTGACCATTGTACTTAATAGATTTGGAGATTTCTCAGAGAACTAAAAATAGACCTACCATTCAGCCCTGCAGTCCCACTATTGGGCATCTACCCAAAGGGAAAGAAATCATTCTATGAAAAAGACACCTGTACTCATATGTTTATTGCAGTACTACTCACAATAGCAAAGTCATGGAATCAACCTAAATATCCATCAACAGTTGATTGGATAAAGAAAATATGGTATATGTACACCATGGAATACTATGCAGCCATAAAAAAGATAACTTTAATTATAATTATGAATCAACATGTCTTTCTTTCCATTTCTACTATGTAAATAGAGCAGAAATCCCACATTAATGTGATTAGCATAGAAGAAAGTCCTCACTGAATTCCCCTTGCTCTCTTACCAACTGGCTGGACATGGCATAGGTGGTTATCTAAGAATACTCCCATGAATCTTCACAGCATTCAGAGATCAGTTTACTCTGGGTTTGTTAGATATGCGATATGGGCTAGCTGTTTGTTAGAACCACATTTCCCAATGTGTTTCCACTGAACACTTATTTTTTCTGATGTTGCTACATGTCTTGTGTAAAAAGCATTGGGTAAAAGTGCTGGGTAAGTTAAAGGGCTCTGATAACTCTATATAATGTATGTAGATTTCTGGCTGAATCTTTGGGTGTTTACTGCTCATGGGTTCCACTGCTATTACAGCCCAACACAGCTGGTATGATTTGCAGGTTGGTCTCTTGGGGCCCTTTCACCTTCTGAGCTCTGAAAGCCTAAGATAAGCAATTTTTCCTTTGTCCTTCAAGATGACTGTGGTCTCAGCTTAGACTCAAGAGAACTCGTTTGAAATTGAACAAGAGCAAGCCTAGCTCAAGAGGATAGCAAAGTGCCTAGTTTTATTTGTCACTGCACTAGAAACTTCCTAAGGAATAATTTTTAAAAGGGGGCCAGTTTTGTTTCTGAGACTCAACTAGACTTTCACTCATGCTCTGGGGGAAGGAATTCAAGTCTCCAACATTGTCCTTATTGTACACCTGTAGGGCCAGACTGATTATCCTAAATTTTACATAGCCTAAGAATGAGCTTAGATTTCAAAATAAAAAGCTTTCTCTGCTTTTGCGTAGAACATTTCTATCTATTATTTCAGTTAATTTATCCTTGTTATCAATATTGAAGTACCGCTTGCTATACATATTCTAGACATGGGTAACAATGTCTAGAAGTACACTCTGATTTCACAACAGCCATTCAAGGAGATATATATATATATATATATATATATATATATATATATATCCTTGCAAGTGCATTCTAGGGCTGCTGGGACATGTGTTCTTAAATCCTCCTTTGCCAGTTCTCCAAATATGCCAAATTGTTTTGAAATGGCATTCTTGTCTTGTCTTGTTGAATCTACACTTCTATTCCTTCCTTTTGCTTTTTATTCCAACCTTCCATTTTCTATCCTTTAATTAAAAAGATGGCTAATATATGGGAGATGTTGTAGTCCGTTGTTGTCTAAAATGAATTTAGCAGACACTCCCCCACCATTCCCCCTCCCCAAGTTCAGCATCAGGAATAAAAGTCTCATCAGTCCTTTTGGCAGCATTTAAGTGAATGGCCCCCAGTGGCTTTATGCTTGCTAATTTGAGTACTCTTTTTACGTACAGAGCTAGTCAGATTGACAGACCACACTGTACGAAGATATATACTAGTCTTTGAGTCATAGATTTTGTAAATAAACTGAGAACAGTGGCTGAAAATCAGATTACCTGAAAGTCTGGAAGGAAAAAGGCATAGAATGACCTCATCTAGTCTCTTTTCAAAAGCACTATATATATTTCAAATTTTAGAGTTTCTAGAGACAATTAGCAGGCAGTAGTTGCAAGAATAGGCAGAACCCCTGTGAGATGTATAAGCTGTATGATCTTCATTAACTTATATCTAAAAGTTTAACAAACATATACTGACATTATTTTTAAAAGACAAGTATGTTAAGGAATTTGTCTTCTACATAGTGACAGGTATCAAAGTGAAGAATATGGCCTTTTGTTTTTTTCTTACTATATACTAAAATGTTGCTTTATATTAAAAGATCGTAATTTATTTCCATGAATCAAATTCTGTACTTAAAACTGACTTCTGTTTATTTATATACTGTTGTGTGATAGAAATTCTCTTGGGGGAGGCAATAGAAATATTACATGCCTTTTAATAAAGCGGGCTTTTAAAATAATTTAATTCAACTTTTCACCTCTTATGAAATTTTTGAAAAGATATTTTCTAATTTATTTTATTTTATTATTTTTTATTTTTGAGACAGAGTCTCACTCTGTTGCCCAGGCTGGAGTGCAGCATCGTGATCTCGGCTCACTGCAACTTCCGCCTCCTGGGTTCAAGCAATTCTCCTGCCTCAGCCTCCCGAGTAGCTGGGATTACTGGCATCCACCACCAAGCCCAACTAATTTTTGTCTCTTTAGTAGAGACAGGGTTTCGCCATGTTGGCCAGGCTGGTCCCAAACTCCTGACCTCAGGTGATCCACCCACCTTGGCCTCCCAAAGTGCTGGGATTACAAGCGTGAGCCATCGTGTCCAGCCTTATTTTTTTTTATTTTAAATAGAGCTCTCCAAATAATGTCTGTTTTGTATTGAAATGAATGAATTCATGAACTTGCTTTCTTCGCAGCATGAGGGACTAACAGCTAGAATAAAAATAATCAACCTAATATTTCTTGTTGCTGGAAAATAATTATGAGAATATTACACAGAGGAAGCCATGCTTAAAATAAAGGCTTCATATTGCATTTAAAACTCAGGCGGGACTTTCAAGGATTCTGTTTAGTAGAATAATATATTGATGAACCCTTGGAGAACCAATTATGTTGTTTCACATGAATTACAAATGCATCATTTAGCTGTATTATAGTCTTACATGTGTCCTTTACAATTAATCACCATTAAATGTTAGAAATGTAAAATTTAAGAGGCAAAGAAAGCATACTTCTTTAACAAAGTGGCCCAAACAAATACCAGTATTTTAATTTGAGGTCTGTAACAGGTCTACAGATTTTATTTTCTCATTTTGCAAGATCAGTGTATGAATCTGAGTTCTTTTAATAGATTTTTCTTGCAAAATCTTATTGTTAATTGCAAATGTAAGTTGTGACAGTAATTTTTAGTATACCACTTTAGACTTACTTCTGGAATTTGAGCAACAGAAACATATTATTAGAACTTTTTATTATTTCTGTAGCTATCTTTTCAAATATTTCCAAAACGTATGGCTTTTTAAGCCTTTGCCTCTGCAAGTCACAATTTCAAGTAGGCGCTGAAATTCTAGTAACGTGAGCAGTGCAACAGTACATTGAGTCTTACCAGTAAGTTTTAGTGAATTATTTAGGAAGTGAACGTTGATTCCCTTATGAGTCAGTCCAGCCTCTTTCTGAAAATAGTGTTGTTCCCATTATGTGTACCATTTTGCAGGAAAATATTGTATTCCAAGGAACTGGGTGTTATCAGTAATTAAGTAGGCAGAACCCATAGATATTGAATAGTTTAAGTTGTAAATGTGATAAACTTCTATAATACAAATATTTGTGGACAGAAAATGCTGTGAGATATGGAAGCACAAAGTAGAAGTAGCATTTATGAACTGTTACTAAGTTCCAGACATTTTACTAAGTGCTGAGGATACTGAGATAAATAAGAAATAATCCCTTTCCTCGGGAAATTATACCAGTGGTAGAAATACTCCAAAGGGCCAACAGTGAAGGAATCACAATGAATTGACATATTATGTACTAAATAGATCTGCTCACATCCTGAGGTCTCCAGGCAAGGTTTACATGCACTTGAACTGCCCTGCATAATTGCTATTCTGCTGACAAAAGTATAGGTGTGGTATGGTAGAGCTCAAAGGACTCTGAGAAGTCATATAGTCCAAATCCTTCATTTTCCAGAAGAGGAGAACCAGGCCCAGAGAGGGTGAAGGGATTTTCTCCAGGTCATGTAGCAAACTAACGACAGTTGGGACTATAATGCAGATTTCTTGATCCTCAGTCCAATCTTTCAAGTGGAGATAACCTCAAACCTTTTTGTTTCCCCATTCTCTACTTTAAGCAATGGCACAAGAAGTCCATGGGAAAATGAAATTCCCTAAATGGGGAAAAGAGGACCTTGATAGAACGCTCATGAGATCAATAAAGAAATTAAAGGACAGGGTGAAAAAATGTTTAAAAGTATGTAGGGAGCACATATAGACCAGAAAGAAAATTAAGAAAATCCCAGTGGCAAAAATAAGAGAATTGCAAAGAAAGGGCTGAAATAATTATCCAAAAACAATTCTTTTTATGGGTAAACAGGCTAAAATGCCATAGGTCTAATTTTATGCATTCAACCTGCTTCAGAATTTTTTTTCAAACTAAATAGTCAGCTATGTTAAGTAGCCTCACATTAAATGGAAGAACTCTCTATTATTTAGCACATTTGTATAGTTGCAACGTAGTGATGAGTGATGTGTCTAATGATGGCCCCAAGACAGTGTAATGCCCCAATGTACCTTTTGAGCTATTGAAAAATATTTCTATTATGTTCAGCCTAGTTTTATTTTTAACTATATTTAATATTCAAAATCTTGGAAATGGGAGCTATGTTTATAATATCTCTGGCAATTATCTATAAATACATCTAAGTTGATCGCAGCACTTCATATCTTAGATAGGCTGTATAGTAGAGACTTTACTGTAACGAGAAAGATCCTGAATTGTTACCCTACTTGTCTTCCCAGATGTTTTCTTTGTTAGGCTTTTTGGGATTTCTGATTTTTCTTGCTCTTTTTCTTATAAAATGTGAAATATATAGCCTGTGATAATGCTTGGCTGCCCTGCCCAATTATTGACCAATGTCGATCCAATTATGCTTTTAAAAGTATATATTATGTAAATAGATTATTTTACCTTCTGCTGCCTTATAAATCTTTTTTTGTACAGCAGCAAGGGAAGATTATAATGTCATTGGCTGTCAAAATGCCCTTTTCATGTAAGTCAGCTGCCAGGCAAGGATCCTACATCTGTTTTCTAGCATCCATATAAATGTCTGTGATAAATAAGTCATTGCTCACTGGAGCTGCCTTTGTGAAGCAGATCCTGTACTTACTGTTTCTTTCACATGCAAAATGACAGCAGTCAACCTAATTGACTATTACTTGGTCAGTTTCTGTGTCAGAAGTGATGCCAGGTAAGTAGGAGAAATCCAAACTTAATGCATTTCTGTTTAAACCCAGAAAGATTTAGTAATAGAAAAAACAGCACCAATTTCAGGTTTTTCAGAGATGAGTGTGTTCCCAAAGGATGAACTTGACACTACTGCATTCTTTCTCACAACCTAAACTGGATTCTTCTATGAATCTCTGAGTGAATTCTTAGTAGACACATTGACATGGTATAAAATACATCACACGGCTGTAATAAACATAGGTTAGAATTGTGGTTCAGTTTTCAGCCAAATGCCAGGATACCATTTTCATATGTAGTCTTTCCTAATTGGAAATCTAGAGGATGGGGTACAAAATAGTCATCCTAATCTGTTCAAACATCAATGGACAATTATGTCTCTAAAATTCTCAATACTTTGCAATTAAAGAGTTTTTGATTCCTACATTGCAGAGCAGGCCTCTTCTTCTGTGACTGATGCTGCCCTCTCTTTTCTATGTCATCTCTGCTTTGGAATCATCATCATTACGGGGCATGATACCAGTCATGTTAGGCCATGCTGCTGACAATGGTTACTTTCAACAAGGGGGAGTAACCAGGGAAAGGACATCCATCATTATGTAATGTAGGGGAAAAAACCCAAAGACTCAGAAGCCATGTTAACAAACACAGCTGGAAGCAAGGAGGCATTTGAGTAGGATTACAAACATCTTAGATTGTGCAGATTAGTACTAGATTTAGGGAAAACATGAATTGAACAACCTCTTTTGCACAAATGAGCAACCTGGAGTTTGCAGTAATGGAGCCAATAGCCTCATCACATTTTGAATCCATTTGGATGTCATGTAAAGAATGAACATATGCAGTACTTAATAAAGAAAGGTCAATTCTGCCATGGTGATCACTGAAGCATAATGCAGCAAATGAGGTAGGGCTTTTTTTTTTTTTTAACTCATCAATCCTAGAACATTTAAATTTATCTTTTCAGTAAGTTGAGGGATTTTTTTAAATCTCCTGCATCTGTTATAACCTAAATGAACAGCAGTTCAAAGCCAACTCCACACCTGTACTGACATACTAAAAATGTCAAATAATTTGTATAAAAATGCTGAGATGCAGTTTCACTAACAGTCTGTTTTGTCAGTGTCCTCCCTATTTATCAGATTCTAAGAGGATTGTTGGGTTGATGTGGCTCTGTATATTTCCAATTCCCTCCTATTTTTGGATTGTACTGCTTTGATTATAGTTAACAACCAACCTTGCAAGAATTCAAGATTTGTCATAGCTACAATACTTTTTCCACCTCATAGCTTTAACAGTGGCATTTGTATGTTACCCAAACCAAACCACTGAGTTCATCATTTTCATCCAAAGAAGAGTAGCTTCCTTGATTTTCAGCATAATGTTTCTGGCTATCTAGTGCCTTTTTTTTTTTTTTTTTTTTTTTTTTTTTGAGATGGAGTCTCATTCTGTCGCCCAGGCTGGAGTGCAATGGCGCCATCTTGGCTCACTGCAACCTCTGCCTCCCAGGTTCAAGCAATTCTCCTGTCTCAGCCTCCAGGGTAGCTGAGACTACAGGCGCACGCCATGAAGCCCGGCTAATTTTTGCATTTTTTAGTAGAGATGGGGTTTCACCATATTGGTCAGGCTGGTCTGGAACTCCTGACCTCAGGTGATCCGCCCACCTTGGCCCCCGAAAGTGCTGGGATTAGAGGCGTCAGCCACCATGCCCAGCCCTTTTTTTTTTTTTTTTTTTTCAGATGGTAAACTAAAAGGAAATAAAATTGTAACCTCAGCTGGTGCCATAATTCTTTCTTGGCTTATAGTTTCTGAAAGGTGTTGAAACGATTACATATTTATCCATGAGTTCCAAAATTGCCCCTCTAATTCAAGTCATTAGAACCTTCTTCCACCTACAACTCATTTGAACTGTTTTTCATTAAAAGTCATGTCCAAGAGTCAGTTCGAGTGTCACGTTATTTGGTCATTCCAGCTTTCCTCCTGAGTCTTGTAACCCTGACTATCATTAGTGCTGTATATAGTTCTGTCCACTTGTCTCCTTTTCTTATCCAGTAGTTCTTGGAGGGCATCAACTATGCTATCTTTGTTGTTTTCACATTGCTTATACATTGTGGAGATTGAATACATTTTTGATTTTTAACAAACGTTCAATGTGCTCTTACTAAAGCTTGGCAATGACCTAGATCAGGGGTTTGCCAACTATGGTCAGTGGGCCAAATCCAGCCCATGGACTAGAGCTAAAATGTTGTTTATATCTTTAAAGAGTTGTAAAAACAAAGAAGAATATACAGCAGACACCATATGTGGCCCACAAAGGCTAAAATATTTGCCATCTGGCCCTTCACAAGGAAAATGTTGCTGGCCTTTCTTCCAGATGCTGAGGATACACCAGTGAACAAAACCGACAAAAAAAAAAAAAAAAAAAAAAAAATCCCTACCTTCAGAGAGCATAAATTCTATTTTTTTACAACAATTTTATGCAGAATACGCATCTTATTTTTGTAAATATGCACAATATTTACATATAGTACATACTCAATATTTGTGAAATGAATGAATAAGTCATAGAGTCCATCATCCAATATTATATAATATTGGCAAATATTTCCATATGATGTAATAAAATGTTGCATTTTTTAAATCTTTATATGAAGAATTTTTCCCTAGATAATTTTTAGACCAAAAACTCAAACACTACTTACTTGTCAAGACATTTTATTCTGGTACTTAGTAATGATTTCCCATCTTAATGTAACTTTTATTCATGATGAGGTCCTGATTATCTAGCCTCCTTATGAGAGGTAATCATAATTATATTTGATTCTGAAAGCTTTCTGAAATGGTGATTCTTTCATAAGAGATCATTTTGTATACGTGACAGTTAAAACAATGAGTTAGTTTTTCAGAGTTTCTATCCTTGAATTCTACAAGTTTGTGATGTTTATAGCTTGAATTCAGATAAAACCATTTTGCTCCACATTTGAAACGACAAATCTTTTGCATTAGACTCAGAGTTGACTAAAACTATGGCAGCTTTTCATAAAGTCAGGCTATAGATGTCCCTAATTCCCCCACAGAGCCCACAGCCCTTTGAAAGTGATGATAGAATACTGGGGATGGATCAGAGAGTGCTGAGAGGAGAGTGGAAGGGAAGAAGGGACAAAGGGAAAGGAATCCAGAGTGGGAAGAGTTGGATTCGTAGAGCCAGCAGATGGTGTTGGTGATAAAGAAGATTACGTGACTCATTTCTGTAACCCATGAGTGTCAAAGTTCTCCACTCAGTGCCATGTCTCCATCCCATTACCCCCACCTAAATAAGTTATCTGTTCTAACACCCATCTGTCCCCACACCAAACCATCATTACCAGCAAGCAATTTCTTGTACTGTCCTTTATCTTTTAAATATTAAAAATTAGAAGTAAATGAGATGTGAGATCTAAAAAAAAAATGACATGACCTTTTATTTATTTCCACTGGTCTTTTAATCTAGGCTGCCCTTACTCCTCATAGACTATACACTGCCTCTTAGATACTACACTGCTATTAGTCTAAATACTTTGCTTTATTATGGAACTGCTCATTTCTTATTCCTTGCATAGATTTAGGGTTGATAAACTGAGAGTTTAAAATGCAGTAATGGAGAATCTTAATTATAAATGAAGGAAATTGAAACATACTACTGTATGTGCTGATTTACTTTCAGATTCTTGACCTTTGTCAAGACTAATGAGATTACACATCTAGTATAGAGAATGGATAGAAATTTTAATAGACCTGCCTAATTTACATTGTTAGGAATTCTGTAAAACTGAGAGTTATGCCAGCAAACCTACATGTGCTGTCTTTTTAATTGCATTTCTCCCCACCACCAGCCCACCCTCATTCCCTAATATCTGTGGTTAGTACCTATGGAGTCATTACTTACATTATGAAGTGACAAACATAGGAAAGCATGGCTTTGTTCTCTGAATGCAGATAACTCATATCCATCAAAGTTTCTAATTTACAGAGCTTTCCTTTGAAGGAGGCTAGAATGCTGAGTAATGATGAAAAAGCAACATTTGTTAAATCTGATTTGGCGCAGGACTTCTTTTTCTACAAAGCAGTCTTTCATAATACCAGCTTGAATCTAACTATTTCTCTTACGTAGTATAGGGGGAAAGAAATATCTTTTCTTCCCATCTTAGATTCATAGCTAGGACCCCTTAACAACAACAATAACAACAACAACAAAAAAAAAACAGATTACCCGACTACCAAGAGAAAAGCATACAAAGTTATTTATTTATTTATTTATTTATTTATTTATTTATTTATTTATTATTTTTTGAGATGGAGTCTCGCTCTGTCGCCGAGGCTGGAGTGCAGTGGTGCGATCTTGGCTCACTGCAACCTCCGCCTCCCAGGTTCAAGCAATTCTCCTGCCTCAGCCTCCTGAGTAGCTGGGATTACAGATGTGCACCACCATGCCTGGCTAATTTTTGTATTTTTAGTAGAGATGGAGTTTCACCGTGTTGACGAGGCTGGTGTTGAACTCCTGACCTCAGGTGATCCACCCACCTTGGCCTCCCAAAGTGCTGGGATTACAGGCGTAAGCCACTGTGCCCAGCCCAAATTTATTTAATATACGTAAATTTTATGTGACACAGGAAATTTAATTAGGAAATAAAGACCCAAAGAAACAGGAAAACCTGTGTGTTCTTTTTTTTTTTTTTTTAAATTGGCATTCATGTTGCTTTTTTTTTTTTTTTTTTTTTTTTTTTACTATTAGGAACTTTTATTATTATTATACTTTAAGTTTTAGGGTACATGTGCACATTGTGCAGGTTAGTTACATATGTATACATGTGCCATGCTGGTGTGCTGCACCCATTAACTCGTCATTTAGCATTAGGTGTATCTCCTAATGCTATCCCTCCCCACTCCCCCCACCCCACAACAGTCCCCAGAGTGTGATGTTCCCCTTCCTGTGTCCATGTGTTCTCGTTGTTCAATTCCCATCTATGAGTGAGAACATGTGGTGTTTGGTTTTTTGTCCTTACGATAGTTTACTGAGAATGATTATTTCCAATTTCATCCATGTCCCTAAAAAGGACATGAACTCATCATTTTTTATGGCTGCATAGTATTCCATGGTGTATATGTGCCACATTTTCTTAATCCAGTCTATCATTGTTAGACATTTGGGTTGGTTCCAAGTCTTTGCTATTGTGAATAGTGCCGCAATAAACATACGTGTGCATGTGTCTTTATAGCAGCATGATTTATAGTCCTTTGGGTATATACCCAGTAATGGGTTGGCTGGATCAAATGGTATTTCTAGTTCTAGATCCCTGAGGAATCGCCACACTGACTTCCACAATGGTTGAACTAGTTTACAGTCCCACCAACAGTGTAAAAGTGTTCCTATTTCTCCACATCCTCTCCAGCACCTGTTGTTTCCTGACTTTTTAATGATCACCATTCTAACTGGTGTGAGATGGTATCTCATTATGGTTTTGATTTGCATTTCTCTGATGGCCAGTGATGATGAGCATTTTTTCATGTGTCTTTTGGCTGCATAAATGTCTTCTTTTGAGAAGTGTCTGTTCATATCCTTTGCCCACTTTTTGATGGTGTTGTTTGTTTTTTTCTTGTAAATTTGTTTGAGTTCATTGTAGATTCTGGATATTAGCCCTTTGTCAGATGAGTAGATTGCGAAAATTTTCTCCCATTCTGTAGGTTGCCTGTTCACTCTGAAGGTGGTTTCTTTTGCTGTGCAGAAGCTCTTTAGTTTAATTAGATCCCATTTGTCAATTTTGGCTTTTGTTGCCATTGCTTTTGGTGTTTTAGACATGAAGTCCTTGCCCATGCCTATGTCCTGAATGGTAATGCCTAGGTTTTCTTCTAGGGTTTTTATGGTTTTAGGTCTAACGTTTAAGTCTTTAATCCATCTTGAATTAATTTTTGTTTAAGGTGTAAGGAAGGGATGCAGTTTCAGCTTTCTACATATGGCTAGCCAGTTTTCCCAGCACCATTTATTAAATAGGGAATCCTTTCCCCATTGCTTGTTTTTCTCAGGTTTGTCAAAGATCAGATAGTTGTAGATATGCGGCGTTATTTCTGAGGGCTCTGTTCTGTTCCATTGGTCTATATCTCTGTTTTGGTACCAGTACCATGCTGTTTTGGTTACTGTAGCCTTGTAGTATAGTTTGAAGTCAGGTAGCGTGATGCCTCCAGCTTTGTTCTTTTGGCTTAGGATTGTCTTGGCAATGTGGGCTCTTTTTTGGTTCCATATGAACTTTAAAGTAGTTTTTTCCAATTCTGTGAAGAAAGTCATTGGTAGCTTGATGGGGATGGCATTGAATCTATAAATTACCTTGGGAAGTATGGCCATTTTCACGGTATTGATTCTTCCTACCCATGAGCATGGAATGTTCTTCCATTTGTTTGTATCCTCTTTTATTTCATTGAGCAGTGGTTTGTAGTTCTCCTTGAAGAGGTCCTTCACATCCCTTGTAAGTTGGATTCCTAGGTATTTTATTCTCTTTGAAGCAATTGTGAATGGGAGTTCACTCATGATTTGGCTCTCTGTTTGTCTGTTATTGGTGTATAAGAATGCTTGTGATTTTTGTACATTGATTTTGTATCCTGAGACTGCTGAAGTTGTTTATCAGCTTGAGGAGATTTTGTGCTGAGACAATGGGGTTTTCTAGATATACAATCATGTCATCTGCAAACAGGGACAACTTGACTTCCTCTTTTCCTAATTGAATACCCTTTATTTCCTTCTCCTGCCTAATTGCCCTGGCCAGAACTTCCAAGACTATGTTGAATAGGAGTGGTGAGAGAGGGCATCCCTGTCTTGTGCCAGTTTTCAAAGGGAATGCTTCCAGTTTTTGCCCATTTAGTATGATATTGGCTGTGGGTTTGTCATAGATAGCTCTTATTATTTTGAAATATGTCCCATCAATACCTAATTTATTGAGAGTTTTTAGCATGAAAGGTTGTTGAATTTTGTCAAAGGCCTTTTCTGCATCTATTGAGATAATCATGTGGTTTTTGTCTTTGACTCTGTTTATATGCTGGATTACATTTATTGATTTGCATATATTGAACCAGCCTTGCATCCCAGGGATGAAGCCCACTTGATCATGGTGGATAAGCTTTTTGATGTGCTGCTGGATTCGGTTTGCCAGTATTTTATTGAGGATTTTTGCATCAATGTTCATCAAGGATTTTGGTCTAAAATTCTCTTTTTTGGTTGTGTCTCTGCCAGGCTTTGGTATCAGGACGATGCTGGCCTCATAAAATCAGTTAGGGAGGATTCCCTCTTTTTCTATTGATTGGAATAGTTTCAGAAGGAATGGTACCAGTTCCTCCTTGTACCTCTGGTAGAATTCGGCTGTGAATCCATCTGGTCCTGGACTCTTTTTGGTTGGTAAGCTATTGATTATTGCCACAATTTCAGAGACTCTTATTGGTCTACTCAGAGATTCAACTTCTTCCTGGTTTAGTCTTGGGAGGGTGTATATGTCAAGGAATTTATCCATTTCTTCAAGATTTTCTAGTTTATTTGCGTAGAGGTGTTTGTAGTATTCTCTGATGGTAGTTTGTATTTCTGTGGGATCGGTGGTGATATCCCCTTTATCATTTTTTATTGCGTCTATTTGATTCTTCTCTCTTTTCTTCTTTATTAGTCTTGCTAGTGGTCTATCAATTTTGTTGATCCTTTTAAAAAACCAGCTCCTGGATTCATTAATTTTTTGAAGGGTTTTTGTGTCTCTATTTCCTTCAGTTCTGCTCTGATTTTAGTTATTTCTTGCCTTCTGCTAGCTTTTGAATGTGTTTGCTCTTGCTTTTCTAGTTCTTTTAATTGTGATGTTAGGGTGTCAATTTTGGATCTTTCCTGCTTTCTCTTGTGGGCATTTAGTGCTATAAATTTCCCTCTACACACTGCTTTGAATGTGTCCCAGAGATTCTGGTATGATGTGTCTTTGTTCTCGTTGGTTTCAAAGAACATCTTTATTTCTGCCTTCATTTCGTTATGTACCCAGTAGTCATTCAGGAGCAGGTTGTTCAGTTTCCATGTAGTTGAGCGGTTTTGAGTGAGATTCTTAATCCTGAGTTCTAGTTTGATTGCACTGTGGTCTGAGAGATAGTTTGTTATAATTTCTGTTCTTTTACATTTGCTGAGGAGGGCTTTACTTCCAAGTATGTGGTCAATTTTGGAATAGGTGTGGTGTGGTGCTGAAAAAAATGTATATTCTGTTGATTTGGGGTGGACAGTTCTGTAGATGTCTATTAGGTCTGCTTGGTGCAGAGCTGAGTTCAATTCCTGGGTATCCTTGTTGACTTTCTGTCTCGTTGATCTGTCTAATGTTGACAGTGGGGTGTTAAAGTCTCCCATTATTAATGTGTGGGATTCTAAGTCTCTTTGTAGGTCACTCAGGACTTGCTTTATGAATCTGGGTGCTCCTGTATTGGGTGCATATATATTTAGGATAGTTAGCTCTTCTTATTGAATTGATCCCTTTACCATTATGTAATGGCCTTCTTTGTCTCTTTTGATCTTTGTTGGTTTAAAGTCTGTTTTATCAGAGACTAGGATTGCAACCCCTGCCTTTTGTTGTTTTCCATTTGCTTGGTAGATCTTCCTCCATCCTTTTATTTTGAGCCTATGTGTGTCTCTGCATGTGAGATGGGTTTCCTGAATACAGCACACTGATGGGTCTTGACTCTTTATCCAATTTGCCAGTCTGTGTCTTTTAATTGGAGCATTTAGTCCATTTACATTTAAAGTTAATAGTGTTATGTGTGAATTTGATCCTCTCATTATGATGTTAGCTGGTTATTTTGCTCGTTAGTTGATGCAGTTTCTTCCTAGTCTCGATGGTCTTTACATTTTAGCATGATTTTGCAGCGGCTGGTACCGGTTGTTCCTTTCCATGTTTAGCGCTTCCTTCAGGAGCTCTTTTAGGGCAGGCCTGGTGGTGACAAAATCTCTCAGCATTTGCTTGTCTGTAAAGTATTTTATTTCTCCTTCACTTATGAAGCTTAGTTTGGCTGGATATGAAATTCTGGGTTGAAAATTCTTTTCTTTAAGAATGTTGAATATTGGCCCCCACTCTCTTCTGGCTTGTATGGTTTCTGCCGAGAGATCCGCTGTTAGTCTGATGGGCTTCCCTTTGAGGGTAACCCGACCTTTCTCTCTGGCTGCCCTTAACATTTTTTCCTTCATTTCAACTTTGGTGAATCTGACAATTATGTGTCTTGGAGTTGCTCTTCTCTAGGAGAATCTTTGTGGCGTTCTCTGTATTTCCTGAATCTGAACGTTGGCCTGCCTTGCTAGATTGGGGAAATTCTCCTGGATAATATCCTGCAGAGTGTTTTCCAACTTGGTTCCATTCTCCCCATCACTTTCAGGTACACCAATCAGACGTAGATTTGGTCTTTTCACATAGTCCCATATTTCTTGGAGGCTTTGCTCGTTTCTTTTTATTCTTTTTTCTCTAAACTTTCCTTCTCGCTTCATTTCATTCATTTCATCTTCCATTGCTGATACCCTTTCTTCCAGTTGATCGCATCGGCTCCTGAGGCTTCTGCATTCTTCACGTAGTTCTCGAGCCTTGGTTTTCAGCTCCATCAGCTCCTTTAAGCACTTCTCTGTATTGGTTTTTCTAGTTATACATTCTTCTAAATTTTTTTCAAAGTTTTCAACTTCTTTGCCTTTGGTTTGAATATCCTCCCGTAGCTCAGAGTAATTTGATCGTCTGAAGCCTTCTTCTCTCAGCTTGTCAAAGTCATTCTCCGTCCAGCTTTGTTCCGTTGCTGGTGAGGAGCTGCGTTCCTTTGGAGGAGGAGAGGCGCTCTGATTTTTAGAGTTTCCAGTTTTTCTGCTCTGTTTTTTCCCCATCTTTGTGGTTTTATCTACTTTTGGTCTTTGATGATGGTGATGTACAGATGGGTTTTTGGTGTGGATGTCCTTTCTGTTTGTTAGTTTTCCTTCTAACAGACAGGACCCTCAGCTGCAGGTCTGTTGGAGTACCCTGCAGTGTGTGGTGTCAGTGTGCCCCTGCTGGAGGGTGCCTCCCAGTTAGGCTGCTCGGGGGTCAGAGGTCAGGGACCCACTTGAGGAGGCAGCCTGCCCGTTCTCAGATCTCCAGCTGCATGTTGGGAGAACCACTGCTCTCTTCAAAGCTGTCAGACAGGGACATTTAAGTCTGCAGAGGTTACTGCTGTCTTTTTGTTTGTCTGTGCCCTGCCCCCAGAGGTGGAGCCTACAGAGGCAGGCAGGCCTCCTTGAGCTGTGGTGGGCTCCACCCAGTTCGAGCTTCCTGGCTGCTTTGTTTACCTAAGCAAGCCTGGGCAATGGTGGGCGCCCCTCCCCCAGCCTCGCTGCTGCCTTGCAGTTTGATCTCAGACTGCTGTGCTAGCAATCAGCGAGATTCCGTGGGCGTAGGACCCTCCGAGCCAGGTGCGGGATATAATCTCGTGGTGCACCGTTTTTTAAGCCCGTCGGAAAAGCGCAGTATTCGGGTGGGAGTGATCCGATTTTCCAGGTGCCGTCCGTCACCCCTTTCTTTGACCAGGAAAGGGAACTCCCTGACCCCTTGCGCTTCCTGAGTGAGGCAATGCCTCGCCCTGCTTCGGCTTGCGCACGGTGCGCGCACCCACTGTCCTGCGCCCACTGTCTGGCACTCCCTAGTGAGATGAACCCGGTACCTCAGATGGAAATGCAGAAATCACCTGTCTTCTGCGTCGCTCACGCTGGGAGCTGTAGACCAGAGCTGTTCCTATTCAGCCATCTTGGCTCAGGAACCCAAACCTGTGTATTCTTATGCTTAGGTTTGATGAAGAAGTGGAGGGTAGTGGAGAAATATGACTGGACAAAGGGGATATGATCTAATAATAATAAAGTGTGGGGGACTTAACAAGGCCTGTGTTTTCTGATTCTTTTCTGTGTCCTTGTATCTTCAGAGATAAGGATGTTCCTTTCCTCTGAATGTGGGGTTTGGGGGTACCTCTGGAATGAAGGTTTTATGGCCTGCTTCAAGAGAGAAGGGCAAGGGGAAGGTGAGAGTGACCTTGCTTCTGCTATTTTATCAAATGCCAAGGTGACATACTGTTGGTAGCGGGTCTTGAACCCCATCAGTAGCAAAACAAGGGACTTCTCACTCTGAAAAGCTGGTAGATTAGTGAATTCTACATCTGAAGGATTATACTCATAATAATAAACATATAAAATAAGCCATAAGGCCGGGCACCGTGGCTCATGCCTGTAATCCTAGCACACCGGGAGGCGGAGGCGGGCGGATCATGAGGTCAGGAGTTCGAGATCAGCCTGGCCAGTATGGTGAAACCCCATCTCTACTAAAAATACAAAAATTAGCTGGGTGTGGTGGCACACGCCTACTGTAGTCCCAGCTACTCAAGAGGCTGAGGCAGGAGAATCGCTGGAACCCGGAAGGTGGAGGTTGCAGTGAGCCGAGATCGCGCCACTGCATTCCAGCCTCAGCGACAGAGCGAGACACCATCTCAAAAAAAATAATAAATAAAAAAAAAGCCATAAGGCCATGAATGTACTCCATCAATAGGTATTTACTGAAGAAATACTATGTGCTTAGTACTGTGGGAAATATAAATGTAGAAAGCTTGCTCTGTTTACTTGGGTAATCAAGACTTATAAAAAATAAAAGAATTATATGCAAAAACAAATATGTACCAAAATGATGTTCTATAGGTTTCATATATCCTAGAATTTTCAAAATAATCAAAATTCATTATCACATCACATGTTTACATTTTTAGTGCAAAAAATAGGCTCTGTGGCAATAGGACCTCAGAGAAGGACAAGATCACTATAGTTTGTGATACTCCAAAAAGTCTTCACAGAGGAGGCAACGCAGCTTGTTTATCCTACAGATATTGTGTCATCTCTTTTCAGATAATTGTCTGATTATACCTGTGGCTATTTCCCCCTGAATTTCTTACTAGTTGGTTTTTGGTTTTGTTTCTGTTTTTCAGGATAAGGTCTTGCTCTGTTGTCCAGGCTGGAGGGCAGTGGTGCAGTCATGGTTCACTGCAACCTTGGCTCAAGTGATCCTCCTGCCTCAGCCTCCTGAGTAGCTGGGACTACAGGCATGCGCCACTGTATCTGGCCTGTTTTTTTCTTTTATCTTCTTTTTTACTCATTCATAATAATGCAGAATTAGAAGCAATCCCATGTCTTTGTTTTATCTTTATCGAGGTATAATTGGCAAATTATGTATATTCAAGGTGTACAGCATGATATTTTTATATGCATATACATTGTGGAATGATTTCTACAATCAAGCTAATTAACCTGTCACCTCACATAGTGATGGAGTCCATAGTGATGGACCTCACAGGTTTTTTTCGAGTTAATTTTTGCATTGCTTCAACACTGCTTCTACCAGAGTCCCCATTCAAACACATATCACTATGGTAGTTCACAGTAACATGGAAGAAATCATTACAGAGCATTTGAACTGGATAATTTTATTTATTCATTGTGGTCAGACAGCAAGTCTAATTCTGTTGTCATTTTTATACAGGTGATGGTTTAAGAAAAAAAATTATTTACAGACCTCAACAGCCTATCTCGATTTCTGTATTTTTCTTATCAATGAAATAATAAAGATGAGCGCTTCAAACTATGCCTCTCACAACTTTCACAAAGCATGGCAATAATCTATAATTTATGTCACTCTCACCTGTAAGGCTGAGAATCATTGACAGAACCTAAAGGGAGGGAAAAAAGTCATCTTTCTAGATAAAGTGATGATAGTTTTTCCCAGCTTTTAAAAAAATATATGCAAGGAATTTGTGGTGAAATACAATAGCATTTTAATAAATTGTTATTAACTTGTATTACTAATAAAAATTTAAGCCTATTGATCTCACCTGAGAAGCTTAAAACATTGACCAGCTAAGGCTTTAGTCACACATATTCTTAGAGTTTCTGAGAAACCAATAGCTTTTATGATTTTAAAAAATCTATTTACAAACATCATCTTCACATTCCTCTAGCCCTGCTTTTTTTAAAGGAAACCCTACAGGCAAAAATGCAATTTTTCCAAAGTTGGACATATGGCTGATGTCAGAACCAGCAAAATCATGTTATACAAAGCCAAACGCTGAGTTAAACCTCCCAATGCTGATGTTCATCAGACCCCAGAATAGGTGTCTGTTACAGGATGAGCAAGATGTTAGTCATAGAAGTAGAACTCTGTGGAGATATAACTACTCACCTGCAAAATCAGGTGGCTCTGAAAATGAATAGCACTGTAGCGTTGGGCCAATTCCTGCTGCCCTTGGCACTGGGAATGCAATCTTGTATGGCAAATCAAATGAGCAGAAGGCTTGGGGCCAGAATACTATCAAGCTCTTCTCAAACTTTAAATGGATGAGAAGTCCTGCTCACTGCCATGGAACATGGCATGGATTTTAAGTGCCTAGTAGGCCATTTTATTTTGTTCTGTTCTTTCTTATTTTTGGTAAGCAGAGCTGGCAGTATGAGATAAACTTACATAAACAGTGAGTTCTTGATTTTTATATTTCTCATATAGATCCAAAATCAGCAGCTTCATTTACACGTAGCTGTAAAACTAGAGGAGATAAAGTAATAGCGTAGGATTATGTTGAAAAATCAGGATGGGGAAGAATCCCCAGAAGAGCTTGACATTTTATTAATCCCTACTGAAAAACATGTTCCAAAATTTTTAAAAATGTCCTTCTAATAGCATATATATATGTATGTATGTGTGTGTATGTGTGTATATATATATATGTGTGTGTATATATATGTTTGTGTGTGTATATATATATGTGTGTATATATATATATAGTTTTTTCCATCTAGTTTTCTCTCAGTAGTGTCTATTTAATCTAGAAAGCTTCTCAAGCCATGAACTTCTCTATGGATTAGATTCTGTGTATTAGAGCGCAAGTGAGTATAGCTTTAGTCCTTGAATGAGCAGGGAAACTCCTCAATGAGAAAATATGGGATTTTCCAAGAAATTCCTCCAGGGCCCTTCCTATTCTTAATCTTTTCTCTGTAGCTGAGGATAATAGCTGCATACCTTCTAGCTCCCCCAATTCTAGAAACAAGAATAATAAAGCCTTGACAATCCATGAGAAGACTTTAATCTGCCCTCAGGATTCCCGATTCCAGCTCAGTTTCTAATGTTCCTGGATGGTGACTCATATCTCAAAGGCAATTTTGGATTTAAAATGGTTTTCCAAATCTACATAAAGAATTTCTGGATTGTTTGCTGTTTTAAATTAGCCAAACCACCCTTTCTCTCTAACAGCCTGTATAATTGAGAGTTGGCTATACATTGTTTGATACCTGTAAAAAGTAATTGAACATTCTGAATAGTGTATTTTGATGACTGCAATTTCAGGTGCCCAAGCTTGACCAGGTTGCTTCGTTTTTGCTCACAGTGGTATTCAGATATGCCCCTATTTAAACAACCCAATAAATGAAAATAATATTTTACAAGATTGATAAATGAAGGTGATTTTTTTCCCCTCAGAGATCTCTTACTTTTAAAAGAGATTCATTGTATTGTTAGTCATGTCCTCCGTTGCATTGAAAACATCTGTTTCAAAAAAAATTCACATTTATGGGTTATTTTCCTCAAATTATTATTTTCCTCATATTGTAAGTCACCTGGATCTACAAAAATAGGCTAAAAGACAGTTATTACCACGTGTCATATTCACCAGTTCTCTCTTTTCTTTAAAAATGCTTAGATGTCTTTAAAATGGTTTTTAAGTGTTTAAAGGAATAGTAGTCCATGCATAGCCCTCAGTATACCTAAGAAGATGAAGTATACTTGTGACTCTGATTGATAAGAATGCCTGTAATTTTCAACAGAGGTTACTGTTTCAGTGGTGGCCCAGATATCCATCTGTCAGTCTTTGTCAAATAGCTTATTTGTTATTTTTCTGTAGTCTCTTAAACTGTTATTTTTTATTTATTTTTATTTTTTATTTTTATTTTTTTTGAGATGGAGTCTCACTCTGTCACCCAGGCTGGAGTGCAGTGGCGCGATCTCGGCTCACCTCCTCCCCCCAGGGTCAAGCGATTCTCCTGCCTCAGCCTCCCGAGTAGCTGGCATTACAGGCGCGCTGTAATTTTTGTACTTTTAGTAGAGACGGGTTTTCACCATCTTGGCCAGGCTGGTCTTGAACTCCTGACCTCATGATCCACCCGCCTCGGCCTCCCAAAGTGCTGGGATTACAGGCGTGAGCCACAGCGTCTGGCCCCTTAAACTGTTTTTGTTCTTTCCATACATTCATTCCCTACCCCCCTGCTTTTTCCCAATGTTCCATTCTAAAAGTGAATAAAAAAATTCACCTACCAAATCTGGATAACAAGAATGTTATTTCATTTTACTTTAATCTTTGCTATTCTTAGACCTTCTTTTCTTCTTCATCTTTTCCAATTGAAATAAAAAAGATTTTTGATGTATGTACAGGCTATGTTTTTTTAAAAGAACTGTTAAAATTGTGCAACTTCAAAGCGTTTCCAAATGTTGCATTTTCAAAAATGTTTTATCATATTTTTCTTTAAATTTCCTGTTGCTGTGTAGTCTCAATGATGGCTGAAGGCACTGAATTTTACATTCTATATTGCTTTTTGTGTTCCACATCTAGTTAGTAGTTATAACTTCTCCCACACAATAACAGTGCTTTTGTGGAAATAATTACTCAAAGATGATTTATTTCTAATGATTTTTTCATATCATGATTTTAAAATATCTTCTAATTTCCACTTACATAAATGTTTTCCTTCTCTATTTAGATAGAACACAGATACATGTTGATTACATCCTAATCTATCCTTCATCTACTTCCCAGAAAGATTTCAGGTGGTTTTTGCAACAAAGGCCCATTAAAGTTAAATTAAAAGTTAGAGGGAAACTTTTACACAATTATTCCAAATATGTAAATTAAGGCTAGTTACTATTATTGAGCATTAAATTTAGCTCTGAGCTTACTGGAAGCCAATACAGAAAAGAAAACATGTTATGTTTTATAATTCTTATTATCTGACGAAACACAGACAGTTTAAAATGGAAGACGAAGTACAACATTGTCTTTGGTAATAGTTTTAGAGATGATCCAAGAACGTTCTTCATGATCACTTGTTTCATCAACGAACCACTTTCATACTGCCTTTGTGTTCATTTATGAAACACAATTAAATATTGCTGTTTTGGTCTAAATGTGTCTCCCCAGAATTTGTATGTTGAAGTCTACCCTCCATTGTGATTGTATTAGAAGGTGGGGCCTTTGGGAGTTGATTAGGTCATGAAGGCTCTGCCCTCATGAATGGAATTAGTGCCCTTACAGAAGAGGCCTGAGGGAGCTTGTTTGCCCCTTCCACCATGTGAGGGCACAGTGAGAAGGTGCAGTCTATGAGGAAGCAGTCCCTCACCAGACACTGCTGGCACCATGATATTATTAGACGTCCCAGCTGCCAGAACTGTGAGAAATAAATTTCCGTTGTTTACAAGTTACCCAGTCTATGGTATTTTGTTATAGCATTCCAAATGAACTAGACAATTGCATTTATGGAATACAATTTGCAACACATTGTACAAAATGATGTATATTCTGGAATGAGTCCTCTTCCCACTCCTTACTCCCCTTTCCTTACATACACATTCCTTGCCTTTCCTCACCCCCAACAATAGTTCTGGGACAGGAAGATTTTCATTTACTTCTAAGGAGGTATAAAATCTTGATATGGTTTGGCTGCCCACATCTCATCTTGATTTGTAGTTCCCATAATCTCCATGTGTGGTGGGAGGGACCCAGTGGGAGGTAATTGAATCATGGCGGTGGTTTCCTCCATGCTATTCTCAGGATAGTATGTTCTCAGGAGATCTGATGGTTTTATAAGAGGCTTCCCCCTTGGCTCTGTTCTCATTCTCTCTCCTGCTGCCCTTTGAAGAGGTGCCTTAGCCACAATTGTAAGTCTCCTGAGGCCTCCCCAGCCTTGGGGAACTGTGAATCAATTAAACCTCTTTTCTTTATAAATTACCCAGTCTTGGGTATTTCTTCAAAGCAGCATAGGAATGGACTAATACAAATCTTAATTCTTCTTGTAAACATTTATTGAACACCAACTTTGTGCATCTTTCTCTTTTCAAATTATAAATTATTTCAAATGTACAGAAAATGTTATCCCTAGAACTCTTACCAAACAGACTTTATAGAAGTTTGTGATTAGTAACTATCTGCCAATAGAAGTCATTTGCACATAGGTCCTAGAATCATAGAATTTTAAAGGTGAAAATGAGGTTAAAGAACATTCGCTAACTCCTTCCTTTTACATAAACATTAAGGACTTATATAGGTTCTTATACCTAGTTAGTAGAAAAGTTGATGACAGAACTTACGTCCTCTAGTACTTTTTCTACTATACCATAATATAGATTTGCTGGATTATATATACATTCAAACTGTGCTTCTATTCCTGTATGTGATAAACCCAAGCCTCGTGTGATCTTGTTACTCTCTATACAGAACTTACATCCTTGATTAGTATGTAGACTATCAGTTTGTTTATTTTTTTAAGAGATGGGGTCTCGCTATGTTGCCCAGCCTGGTCTCAAACTTCTGGACTCAAGCAGTCTGCCTGCCTGGTCCTCCCACAGTGCTGGGATTATAAGCGTGAGCCACCACACATCTGGCCCAGACTTTCAAGTTTCATAGTGAAAGTGTCTGGCAGATTAATGAGTTGTTGATGCATTCAGTCAAGAAATACTTCTGAACTATGAGGTTCATAATTTGAGGTTTATCTGGTTAAAATCATGACTGCTTTCATTAGTGCTTTAATTAGTTGAATTCTGTATTTCAGAGAGGCAAAACTAGGAACTGCATTTTACTGATAAAATTGAGTTATACTATGCCTTTTAGGCAAATGGAACCCTCATTTTTTTTTGTCCTTATGGTCATTATTAATATTTTGTTTGTTCTTATTTTTGCTTGGAGAAGGAGAACTATCATTGCATTACTGCAAACAGTATATTTATTTACCTCCTGCCCATGAACACTTCTTTCCCTATTTGGAGAAATAAGATACTGTTTGTTCACAGACCTCCCTAGTGGTCTGTCTGTTAAGCAGCGGCAGTCCTGAACTAAGGGCACAAGAAAATGGAGCTGGTAATCACAAGCAAATAATGCAAGACTTTTAACACTTTACATGACAGATTCAGGTGGGGCTTGCCTACTTTATTATCCAAGGTGTTGCTATTTCCTTTCATGCCTTTGGAGATCCCAGAAGAAGGGGAGCTAGCTGAGTCAAACCTCTGTCTCACAGGGCTTTCATGAACAATGACAATTCATTTCAGCCTAGAGGCAAAGAGGGTGCCTTTTCTTACGAGACTTTTGTTCTTATTGCCTGGTGAATTTTTAAATCAAATTGGTGGAAAATTGGAATGTTTTCCTCTCTTTTGTCCTTTTGCATCTCCATACCTCCCTCCCTCCCAGTATTTTTGAGACCAGATAGAAGCAGATAGACTCATGGGGGATTCCTTTGTCCCTAACTCCTATCTAGAGTACTTCCTTTTCCTAATATATATAGAAATGATTTGAAAGAATTCTAACTAACCTCAGATATGGAGATAATGACCACGATTAAATGGACTGAACATCTCATTCTTATCAATTCCAATTCATAATCCTATTTTATTTAAGTGGTTATCTTTGTCCTTTGGAATTCCAATCAGCCAAAGGATGCCAGTACTGTTAATAATACCGTATGCCAAGGGAAATTATTTCCTCTGCTTCCACGACTACCAGGGTTCACTTTGTGGAAGCTGTGTGATAACATAATCCCTCTTACCCACCACCTCTTTTGGGCAATATTTGAAAAATGAAAAAGGGAAAAGAGCTGGGGGAGAAATCATTCAAGTAAATTTACGATAGTTTCAAAACCAGATTTGCTCATTAAAAATAGTACTTGAAATAGATAGCAGCTGTGGTTTCCATTTTGTAATTTTTTTATGATCTATTTCATTTCTGTTTTCTAAGCTACTTAAAACTGTTGTAAGCTATTGATAATATAATTTTCCCCAAATTATTTGGCTCCTCATTTCATTTTCCCTGCTGTGTTTTATAAAATTTCATATCAGAAATAAGAATTAACTAGATATTTTTGAAATCATGAGTAATTTTTATTCACTGTAGAATTAGATTTCTTTTAAGAAAAAGAAAGCTAGTACAGTAAAAATCAGCATTTCAGATGTGGGTGGCAAGAATTAACTAGATTTTAGAGTAAACCGTAGAATAGTACCCTCCTCTTTGCTCCTTACCATACTTTGTTTTCTGAGCATTTATCACCACCCGTCATGTATTTATTTGTTCATCATTTGTCTTCTGCTCCCCACTGAAATGTAACCTCCATGAGAGAAGATGCTTTAACTCCTCTAGTTACCCAAAGACTCTCCAGTGCCTAGAACAGTGTTTGGCAAATATTTATAGTAGTTGCTCAATATTTGTTGTATTAGTGATTAGCCTGCATGAGCTATCTGGCTTGCCCATTTCAAGTGCTGTGATGAATATTCTATGCCGGAGAAATCATCCTCCAGACTGGATCGTTACCATTATCTTCATTTGGCATTTTATTACCAACAAGATAGTACCCCAGGTACCATAGTAAAAATGACTTAAGTGCTTTCCATGTCCATGTGCCTTTATATTTTACTTAACAACATATATTCTTCACATTGACATACATTCATTCAGTAAATATTTGTTGAAAACTTACAATGAGTCAGACACTTACTTGCCCAGAAATAGAGGCATAGATAAGATATTGCACCTTTACTGTAACTCTACTAGAACACAACCCTAGAAAAAATTCAGAATCTGTCATCTCCATAGTTGTGGATTTCTCTACAAAGTTGAAATTTATTGTTGTTTTTGTGACAACAACATACGTTTCCTGATTTTTCTGATACCTTTTGATTCATCCTCATCATTGATGTTTCTTTTTCTCCTTGTACATTAAATGCTTTTGTTCACCAAGGTTCAACCCTCACACTCTACACAAGAATCTTTCTGTGTGATTTCACCCACTCTCATATTTTTAACTGTCTATATGCAAATCATTTCTAACTCCGTAGCTATAGCCTACAGTTCTTCCTGGAACTTAAGGCTTGCATAATGAAATGCCTGCTGGACAATTCTACCTAGATGTTCAATAGGCACCTTCAGTTCATGTCAAAATCTTAACTCTGCTTTTTCTTCTAAAATCTATTCCGTTTTTGATTCTTTGTAGGCGGCACCACCATCCAGCTACTCACTCTAGCAGGGAACTGGGTGTGAACCTTGATTCTTCCTTCTCTATAAATCTCCACATCTCACAATCTCTGTATCCTGCCCGTTTTCCTTCCTAAATATTTCTTGAATGTGTCACCTCTGTGGCTTCCTAACTACCATTGTCCTATTCCCATGTTTTACCAACTGTTGCTGAGACAACTGCAGCAATCTTCTAAATGGCATTCCAGCTTCCAGTCTTGTCCCCCTTCAAATCCCTGCATTCTTTTATAATTTTGCCCACTGTGTCCCCCTGCCTGGACTGCCCTCCCTTGTTCTTTTCATTGGATGAACTCCTGCTCATCCTTTTAAAACTCAATTCGGCCCCATCACCGGGGGGCTATGAATATACTTTCTCAGTTCTTGCATGGTGCTTTCAGCATGTTGTTCCCACTGAATTCCCACACTGCTTTGTCTTTGTTTCTTTACCTGCCTGTCTTTCCTATTAGATAGTGAGCTCATTGGGAGCATGTCTTATTTATCTTTGTAGATCCGGCATTAAGCATGTCATTGGGAACTTAATAGGCCCTTCAGACATTTTTGAATAAATGAGTAGATGAATGAACAAAAGAACAAACAGCAAACAAAGGGTAGCCTTGAGGTACAGTATAAGTATATCAAAGAATACAATATTCTTTTACTTTAGATATCAACCTTATAATTTATTAGGAGAAATAAAAACACAAAAGGGCAGTAATATACCAGCCCACATGTAGTCTCATATTCCAGTACAGTTTTATCTGACTTTGCCTTTTTGATACTGATGACACAGGGAGCATCTGGGGCTAGATAAACTGCTCATGCTCTGAACTATATGTTGAATATTTTGATAGAAACTCTTTTTGCCTGTGGCTTATTTGTCATATGCCGCTTGAGTGTGAACTTAATTTGCATGACTGCAATAAATGAAAAGTGTTTCTTATTTCCTACTTTGAGTACATAAATTTGACCTTGATCAATGTCAGCAAACCAGGCCTCTGGCAACCACTTCACAATTTTGACTATCCAGAGAAGTTCATCATCATCTTTAGACAACTTTACCCTGGAATGGCAGGTTTAGTTAGTATCAGTGGAGTCTTGTCAGACGTGTTTCCTAACAAAAATGACCTCAAGCAGGAGTGTGTGGTTTTCTCTGAGAAAGCTTTTCTTCCCCTGAGCAGATCATAGCCTCCACAAATGTCTTTGAAACAGGCATGCAAAGATTGCTCTATACAGAAGATTGTGACACCGAACATGAGGTTGCTTCGAATGGTTATCCTAAAGTGACCTGCCAAACTGAAGGGCAAAAATGCCACTGCTCTTGAAGTCTTAAAATAGTATCTCTTCTTGTTGAATCCATGGGAATAGAAAAAAGAAATTGTGGTCAGGCCATATGAGAAGGAATGCCAAAAAAAAAAAAAAAAGTCACCAAATCCATTTAGCACTTGGTAACAAAAGGTAAGAATAGACATTGAATACTGTACTATTTTTAGTATCCATTCCAGCATAGTGCTAAGTATGTCTTGCCTCCAAAGTGTGTTACTCCTTCTACCTTCTCCATCTCTAACAGTAATAAGCCCAGTCACCTAAGTTCAAACTCTGAGTCAACTTTGACTCAAGCTTCTCATTGATTCCCTAGAACCATTGGTTACCAATTTAGATTTCATTATCTCTTGAAACTGTTGTACCTCCAAGTACTCTAAAATTCTCTTATTTGAACATGTCCACTTCCTTCCACCTTTCCTAGTCCACACCCACTCTGCTTCTGCTTTTCCGTTTGGTATTCTACAAGCCTTTTTCCCATTCAACTTTTCCATCTATCTCATTTCTGTCCCTACCCAACTATGACTCTGCTGTCCAACATGTCAGTACGTACTCAAAAGCACTCCTCATTCATTCTCTACCCAATTCTCAGCTGCTCCTAGCCCCAACCCTGCAAATAACCATTGTCCATTTTCTCCTCTACTGTTCCCGGACTAATTAATGCTGGTAGGCAACGACATATAATAGTAGCATGTTGATCAGGCCCACTGCAAGCGAAAGAAAAATTCTAAATTCATTAGTTAGAATTTTGAAAACAAAACATCTGTCCTAATACATCTACTTGGTTCTGAAAAACTGTGATTACTGTAGTTATTGAGAGGTTTCTGTAACCCAAATACTTAACTGGGTCGTACATGAAAATTATTTTTAAGATTAAAAGTAGAGCATATATTGTACTGACAGAATTTTCTTTAGGATTTACATGAGTCTAATCTGATAGAATGGAGGAATGTAATTGAAAACTAGGAAGAGAAATCTAGGCATGGAACTTCATCATCCAAACATTTTTTTCCCTGATTAAAAGCAACATATCAGCGTGTGTTTTTCAAATACAGGCAGTCCCTATCTTACAAATGGCTGTAGACAGATGTAGGGCATATTATTGTTTGAATCCTGATTACCCAAGTGGGAAAACTTTGCTTTAGATGTCAGTTGTTTGGAATCCAGAAAGCATTTTCCTACCAAGGCAGTGTTATAAATGGTGGTTGGGCTCCCCTAGGATAGCCAATAATGTTACTGAAATACTATACATTTGCAGTGAAACAGTAGTGAACACATTTATCATATACTACTAATTAAACAAAAGCAATAACGTTGAATAAGATCATTTTATATTTTGGGCTTCAATGGTGGTGCTTGAGGAAAAACAGGTTTAATTATAAGAGGATGAAAAAGTAGATGGAGACTGTGTGAAATCTCAAAATAGGGCTCATGAGCATTTTTGAAGACTTCAAATGACACGTGTTCTTTATCAAGTCTAACTGATTTTAAAACTTGTGAACTTTTACTTCCCTTTTTGTGGTTCTAAGTGTTTTGTAGTACAACTGTTGTGCTATGATTCTGGTCAGTTTTTGACTAGTGATGAAAATAAAACAAGGGAAGAGGATAAAGGAAGAGGATATGGTGCCAGAGGAAAATTTTGAGAAGAGGGGGCTTATATGCAAATATGAGGATTAAAAAAACAACTTTATACTTTAGCACCACAAGCATTCCACAAGCACCAGCAACCAAAGGAAAAGGAGTTCTTTCTTGCTTAGTTCTTAGGCCATCCTATATAAATGTCCTAAATAGAGATAAAAGTTGCAATAAGTTAAAGAGGCTAAGTTGAGCCACACTATAAGGAGATGATATGTAAACCGCAAAGCTTGCATGAGCTGAGGTAGGAAGAGAGTTATTTATTTGCTTTTGTTGTTGTTATTTGTTTTTTTGTCTTCAGTTGTGTCTTAATCTGTTTAGTGTTGCTATAAAGGAATACCTGAGGCTGGGTAATTTATAACGAAAGGAGATTTATTTGGTTTACGGTTCTGCAGACTGCACAGGAAGCACAGTGCCAGCGTCTGCTTCTGGTGAGGGCTTTAGGTTAATTCCATTTATGGCAGAAGGAGAAGGGGAGCTGGCATGTGCAGAGACCAAATGACAAGAAAGAGAGAGGGAAGGGAGCTTACAGGTTTTTGTTTTTGTTTTTAAACAACCAGCTTTCTCAGGAACTAATGGAGCAAGAACTCACTCATTACCACAAGGAGGACATCAAGTCATTCATGAGGGATCCACCTCCATGACCCAAATTCCTCCCATCGGGCCCCACTTCCAACATTGGGGATCAAATTTCAACATGAGGTTTGGGGGATAAACATTCGAACTATGGAAAGTTGTATGGACTATATCTTGGAAGACGGAAGGATATGTTGGAAGTGTGCTACCTTCTAAGTGTCAAAGGTTGAGTCAGAGAAACATAGAGAAAAAAAGGCCAAGGTGGGCAGATCACAAGGTCAGGAGACCAGCTTGGCCAACATGGTGAAACCCCATCTCTACAAAAATATATATATATATGCTGGACATGGTGGCACGTGTCTGTAATCTCAGCTACTCAGGAGACTGAGGCAGGATAATCGCTTGAATCCGGGAGGCGGAGGTTGCAGTGAGCTGAGATGGCGCCACTGCACTCCAGCCTGGGTGAAAGAGCAAGACACTGTATCAAAAAAAAAAAAAGATTTTAGTTCTGTTGCACATTATAAATGGAATCCTCCTTTGATATCCTTGGAAAGGATTTGGTAACTACTTATATTGTTTTTCAGTCATGTTTTGTATTCACATTCATTTTTACTTGGATATGACTCTGTACTGGTAGGGAACTATGAGGCAACTTGGCTTTATTCAAGTTATATAGGTGTGATAGATTTCCCAAGATCACATTAATTGAGCTGTCAGTGGGGGACAAAAGAGTATGATTACTCTAAAGAGGAAGAATAGAGGAGGTAGAAGAAGACAGATATAGAGCCACATAGTTAATTCTCTTTGCTGTTTACCAGCTGATGAACCAACAATTATTCAACAATTTTTTACTGTGCTGTGTTCTAGGCAATGTGCTAAGTGCTTAGAGATGCAGTGGCAAAGTACTTGGAATACAGTAGTACACATGATATTACATCTGCCCTCATATGTTTTACAGATAAGGGGACGGTACAGATAAGTAGATAAGGAATTATAATGAATTATGTTAAGTGCTAATGTGGAGGTACTGTTGGGTATTAAGGGCATATATAGAAAAATCACCTAAATCTGACTTTCAGAATTAGCACACATCCTAGAGCATTCTAAACTGATATAGAAAGATGTGTCAGAGTGAAACAGGAAAACAGAAGTTAGGCAAGAGGCAAATATTCCTGAAAGAAGAAATAATGTTTAAGATTCAATCATACAACAAGAAGCCTAGAGAGAGTACTGGGAAAAAAAAATAGCCAAAGAGAGATTTCTACTTCTGAAAATTGTATAGTAACTTGTGGCAGAACAATGCTCTGCCAAGAATATCTACATAAGCCAGATAACAGACAAAAAGTCTGTTTGAAGGCATTGGAAAGTAGCCAAGACAGCCAGGGCTTGAGAAGTTAAAATCTCAAGCAAGGAAAACTACAGAGAAATGAGGCATATTTCCTTTTGGGGCATTTGCCAATTCTTACAGCATGATACAGAGAAGTCACCAGAAGTTCCAGCTATCTTATAGGCTTAGAGAGAGAGGAAAACATTGAGGGCTGTCAAGGCAGTCAGTACTGAAGGGGGCCAAAATCCTGAAGAGAGTGGATGAGTAGAGAAATGAACTTGCACTCAGTAGTTTTAACCTCCAGGCATTTGCCAAATCCTTAAGCTGTTCATGGGATGAAAAAGCCTAACCCGTCAAGCAGTAAGTGACTGAAAAGCAGAGTGGAGCTTTCCCACTCATAGTATAAAAGAAATAGAAAATAATGTTCAGGGCCCTCCACAGAGGAGCAGCCCCAAGAAACACCCCAGCATTTCATTTGGGACTCTTAAAGAACCTACCCTTTAGGAATTGGTATGAACTAAATATAGACTGAACTTTTGAAAGACTGCAACTTCACCTATTTGTTCGTTGATTCCTTGATTAGATTAAGGTGATCTACCTCTACTCCAGCTGCCTATAAATGATAGAGAGAACCCTCTCTGGAGGAAAATATCATCTAGTGGCTCCAAGATTTCTGCAAACAAAATGTCTATATTTAATCATGCATTAATTGGCTTATGAAGAAACTGAACCAAGGGAAAAATCAGACAATAGAAATAGACCTACCAATGAGTCAGCTGTTGACATTCTCATAGACTTTTAAATTAGCATGATTTTTTAAATTACTATGATTAATAAGTTTGAGAAAATAGATGACAGTATTGAGAATCTCTCCAAGGAACTGGAATCCATTAAAAAATAATAAAGAGGTAGGAGGACAGTGACAATTAGTGAAAACTGTTTCAATAAGGAAAGAGTAGCTGATACTGACTTATACTACAGTGAGGTCCTTTGGATATAGTAACAAGGAGCACAGGTACTAAGAAGTCCTTTGGGTTTCATAGGTAGATCGTTGGTGAGTGCAGGTTCAGTGGAGTGGTGGGTAAAGAGGCCATGATGGTGATAAGGTCAGATTTGAGGTGAGTAGGGAAGGTGACTATGGAAACATGAAAGGTATGATGGGCTTAAAATTTTGGTCCATTAATTTGTAGTGTCATAAATCTATTATATACGACTCTTTAATTTTCTCTAGAAACACTCATCGACTTGATTAGAAATAATAGAGATAGGTTGTATTGTTCTCCTTCCGTCTTCCCCCTTTCCCATTCCTTCCTCTCCCTTCCCCTTCCTTCTTCCAGTCGTTTTCCATTTTTACTTCCTTTTCCACTACTATTTTACATTATTTTTCTTTATTCTTCTTTCCTTTTCTTCCTTTCTTTGTTTTCTAATAGAAGAAATAGAAATAACATTTGTAGATTGAGGAGAGAGAGCTTGTATATTGAGAGACCTCGTTAGACTCAAAGCATGCCATCATAAATCTGAGATATTTAGAATATGTATTCCAGTAAAATCGGCTAACTAACTTAATTTTTACAGACATAGCATACATCACAGTTAAAATGCCTTTTAGAGGCCCATTCTGTTTTACAAGACCAAAATTAAATGTATATATGCTTATATACATACTAATGTTTATCTGTTATGTGCACATATCTGTGTGCATCCATGTATGTAACAACTCAGTGTTTTACTGAAGTAAATTTTTAGGATTGAAAGAAATAGGTTTCTCTAGTTGTATAGACTGCTTATGAGAACATTACAATTCGATATGTAGAGAGATGATGATTACAATTTATTAGTCCATCACCATTTGGAACAATAGATGGCCAAATGTAATTAACCATTGAAAGAAATACATTTTACGTGTCCTAAATTTCATTTCTAATTACTTGTAACTGAAACTCTCTAGAATCTTAAAATCCATTTTGTCTTATGAAAGGCTTCATTGCTTATCCCTGTTGTTGCACTATTACTTTAGATTAGAGTAACTTCATTTTAAAATTACATGTCAAATATAATTTGCTATTAGTAACGTGGAATGTGTGGCTTCACTCTGAGAAAAAAGCCTGTTCAGCATTTTTTAATATCATATACCTAAACAGAGCTTCCACGATGATTAGATCACATCTGGCACAATGTAGATCTATTTGTACTTGCATAATGCATGTGCATGTACACACTGTGATATTTTACGACTATTTGGGTACATTGATTTTTCTATAAAGAGAACTATTATCCACATCTTTTTGCACAGAAGTACACTTAAATATTGGCATAGGTAAACAACTTACTAAAATAAAACTCGTGCTTGGCACAACTATTACTGGTGTCACAGATTTTACAACTATAATATTTCTGAAAAGCTAGCTTGAACGCTTTGGAACATTTTTTTCTGAGTGAATGCAGAGGCAGTTTGGTGAGCTGTAAAACTTCTACTTTTCATTTTGTATTCTAGTCTAGGCCAAATCTTAAGTGTCACTAAATCTGATTCTATCTTGAATTGTGGCCCAGTGTCATCCCCAGAAGGAGGCTTCTCCCCAGCACTGGCTAGGTAAGCAGCCTATGTGAAACAAAGGAAGCGGCTTTGCCAGCAAGCAACTATTAAGAATGGGAAAGAGTTTGAAATAGGCTAACGAAATGCAAAAAAGTAAATCCAAAGTCCAAAAGTAGAGGCAGCTTTAACTCTGCACTATTTTTATCTTGTGATCCTGTTTGAAGAAATGTCTCAATTCATTATAACTGAAGTAAAAGTCACTAGCATAATATGGAAACAATCTTAAACTGGTAAATATTCCTTCTCCTTACTTAACATAAAATAAAACCCATATTAAGATATTAGTTCCTCCTCGTCAGCAGGGGAAGTCTCTGTATAGACTGTCTGAGGACATGGCAGTTGACTGACACTAGAGTGGGCAATCCCAGAGACTGGAAATTGATGTCAAAAAATTTGGTTTTGCCCGCTCTGTTTAATCTGTAATTAGTCAAATTTAATCTTAGTGGATAAGGTATCTGAATTGGGTTCCCAAAACTCATCTTTATTTCTATTTTTTTTTTTACATTTTGCAATAATTATGAATATTTTGAATATTTTTGAATTTTGAACATAAAAGTTGCAAGAATAGTACTTGGAAATCCCTGTATACCCTTTGTGCAGATTCACCATTTTAAACATTTAGCCACATTCATTTTGTTATGCCTCTTAAATTTTTAATACTTCAATTACTGTTTCCTAAGAGCAAGATTATTCTTGTAGGTAACAATAGCAAAGTTACCAAATTCAGGAAATGTATCATTAATGTAATACTTCCATCTAATCAACCATCCATGTTCCAATGATGTTAACTGTCTCAGTGATACCTTTTATAGCATTTTCTCCTCCAATGCAAGATCCAGTCCAGAATCACACATTGCATCGAGTTGTTATGTCTTCTTAGTCTCCTTTAATGTGGAACAGTTCCTCATACCATTGCATACACTGTTAAATATGAAGAAAACTGGTCAGTTATTTTATAGAAGATTCCTCAATTTGTATTTACCTCATGATTAGATTCAGGTTATGTACTTCTGTCCTAACTACTAGATAAGCAAAGTATGTCCTTATGGTTCACATCTGGAGGCACAAAATGTCTCTCTGTCCCTCACTGGTAATGTTAACTTCGATCATCTGGTCAATGTGTTGCCTGATACCTTCATTTTATAGGTATTATTTTCTCTGTTTCAACTAATAAGCAATCTGTGGAAAGACACTTTACGACCATGTAAATATATTGCTCTACATCAAACTCCCCCTCTAGCCTTAACTACTATTGATGATTCATTCCTGAACCAATCTTTACCACAACAGTTGCATGTCATCTTGTATTAATTTCTTTTGGAATGAGAAGAAAAACAATAATTTACTCTGGTAATTTTCTGAAGAATACCGTTGATTTCCTTTGACAATGTTCTAATAAAGGAAATTGCTCTCTATGGAATCGTAGTGATCTGTATCCTCTGAGTAGTTTACTCATTCTAACTCAACCAAAATGAGCAGAAATTAAAAGCAAATGATTTTTGCTCTAGAATCAATACTTATGTTCACAGTCAGTATATATGCTCTGCAACAAGTTGTACTCTGGGTATACATATACAAAATTTCAGTGTTGCTTAAAAAAAAAGCATTTTTATTGACTTAAATGGAAGAATTCTATAGTTTTTTAACTACTTTAGTTTTCTGGAATTTGTTTACTTTAAAACTTTTCAGCCTTTGCTTTTCCATCTCTTTAACAAATTATCACCTCATTCATTTAGTCATGTTCTATTTAATTTATATATTTTTATTCTTTTGCCTTTCCACATTGCCTAAATCCTTGTGGCTAGGATTACTTAAATTTTTCTACATGGTTTTCATTCACCCCCATTCTTATAAATTATGTGTATCATTTATTTACTAAATATCTTGGTCATGTTCAAGAATTGAAGATGAGAGTTTTCAGTTATCACATTGAAAAAGATTAAAATTTATTATATACATATAAATATTATACTATAAAAATCCTTATGTAAGTTCTGCAAATCAGTATTTTATATATTTAGTGAACTGCACAAAAGGCAACTTCTATTCAGTGTAATAACCCTAATTTTATTTCTTAATTTTAAAATTTTAATCTTTTCTACTTAACATTCTCCATAAATAGCTTATTGTAGTGTTACAATGAAAGAAAAATTTTAACATCCTCATGAATCCTGACTACTTAGTATATACATATGTAAGGTGAAATAGGTTAAATAGCTTATGTGACTATTTTCTAGTTACTTCATTAAGTCTCTAATGCCTTTTGGATAAACAAAAATGATGAAAAGTAGGTCAATTGGCTACCTCAGCCAGGTGATCAAGATCAACATCATTAGAGATAGTGATAAGACAGGTAGATAATATGTTCTCTTCATGCAATGAGAATGGCATTTTGCCTCTGTCTTCCCCGAGAACATATAACCCCAGTCTAATTATGCGGAAATTGTCAGACAAACCCAAATTGAGGGACATTCTACAAAATACTTGACCATTACTGCTCAAAAGTATCAAGGTCATCAGAAACAAGGAAAGTTTAAGAAGCTGTCACAATCTAGAGGAGCCCAAAGAGATGTGATAGCTACATGTGATGCTGTATACTGGCTGAGATCCCGAAACAGAAAAAGGATAGTATGTAAAAACTAAGGAAATTTGCATAAAGTATGGACTTCAGTTAATGATGACTTATCAATGTTGGTTTATTTGTTTGACAAATGTAGCACACTAGTATAAGATATTTACAACAGGGGAAAGTGGGTACAGAGTTTATGAGCACTCTTATACTATCTCTGCAATGTTTCTTTAAACCTAAAATTATTCTAAAATAAAATTTTATTTTAAAAGATATGTGTATTGGGAAAGTTAAATGTTATATGAACAGTGATGTTGGATTCTTAAAATCAGAAAGTCCCTGAAAGTATACCATAAAATGTTTTTTTTCTAATTGTATTTATTTATTTTTTTGAGACAGAGTCTCACTCTATCGCCCAGGTTGGAGTGCAGTGGCATGATCTCGGCTCACTGCAACCTCAGCCTCCTGGGTTCAAGCGATTCTCCTGCCTCAGCCTCTCAAATAGATGGGATTGCAGGCACGCGCCACCACACCCAGCTGATTTTTATATTTTTAGTAGAGACGGGGTTTCACCATGTTGGCCAGGCTGGTCGAACTCCTGACCTCAAGTGATCCACCTGCCTCCGCCTCCCAAAGTGCTGGGATTACAGGCGTGAGCCACTGCACTCGGCCAAATGGGGTTTTTAAATACTTGGTAAAGAATAGATCATGCCCAAGGTCACTATCATCTAGCTTTATATTTTTTAAATAACAAAGTATACAAATATATACTGATTATTGTTTCAAGTACTATATGTTATAGAGAATAAGAATAGGAAGTGATTAAAAGACTATGGTCCCAGTACATGGTAACATTGGTGAACACAATTTATACAAACAACAGAGAATAGAGTCTTCATTCCAACCTTTTACACATCCTTAGGGAAAGTGCTATGTAAATGATACAATTGCTTTATACTTCATAGGGATACCACACAAAGGGAACACTTTTAATATCAAAGGATTCTAAGAATTTCAAGAAGTTTACTAAATGAGGAATTAGAGGAAGATGCAGGTAAGTATATCATAAGGAAATATAATTTTAAAAGCTTATCAGTGCTAACTCAGGCTCAGCTATTATAATATGTAGCATCTTATGGACAAGGACAAAATAAATCTCACTGAAAACTTAAGACCATTTTTCACCTTGAAAACTCAATGTGGAATTTTCCATGAAGAGCCCTTGTCATCAAAGCACTCAGATATAGTATTGACCATATGAAGCCACACTAGTACTTCTGGCTCATTGGAATGAAAATATCATATGAGTCAGCTTTTAAATTTTTTAAAAATTCTATTATTCTGATCTTAACACATTATTACTACATGAAATTTATCCTCAACATTTTGACTAGCTCTTTTTAAGTAGACTATTGTACAGGTATGACAAGTATATTAAAATACACATAACAATTTCATATTTGTATCAGAGTATATCAAATTACCAATGTCTTCAAATATTCCATGCTAGAAATACCTGTTTGTAGAATTTCTGTACTGGATCACTTACCTCTTCTTTCTATAGCATTTTGGCTTCACACCTTTCTCCCATAAATCCAACAGTTCAGTTACACTTTTTTCAAGTATGTTTAAATATTGGATTGAAAATCATGTACCCTGAAACCTCATAAAACTCTGTCACCAAAGAGCATGTCATCAGATTGAGTGGGATACAATACAGACCTGGATTATATAAAAATTATACGAAATTGTACACAAGCAATTAAGTCTAAAATACATTTCTTTACTGCTGAATTATAAGCACGGTATTGTGCTAGGTACTGTAAGGGTTGAAAATAAGCTGAATAAACCATAATCTCTGTTTTCAAGGACCATATAGTTCATTGGAGGAAGCAAACATATATATTCACATATTTTTATTACACTATATATTCATATTTCACAATAGAGGTAAAACTGAATTATATGGACATATGGAGGAGAGAAGGATTGAATTTTACTAGGGACATCTCAGAAGCATTAAGGGCAGAAAAAGTATTTGAATTGGGCCCTAAATGAATGCAGGAAACGTCAGTAGGTAAAAATGGGCTAGGAGGATAGGGAGGTATTTCAGATAGAGGGGGCATAAAGATGGAAAAGCATGCAATGTTTACAAGTAGCCCAGTGCAACTAGAGTGAGAAGTCAGATCCTGGAAGGCCAAATATATGACTGGGGAGTTTGAACATCATTCTGTATTAGAGGTTTTTGAGTGGTAGAATTTCAAAATCCTATCTTATATTTGAATGTCTATTGGGCAATCATGATAGACGGGAAGAGACAGAAACCACTTAAGTGATGCTATAATAAGGCTTGAGTTTATTTAAGTAGATACGTTCACTTAATTTTAACAGGTTAGTTAGGTGTGGTAAACAGCCTCTAAGATAGTTCCGAATGATTCCTGCCTCCTGGTATTCATGTTCTTTGAGTTTGGGGTTGGCCTAGTGACTGGCTTCTAACAATAGAAGGAGAAATTGATGGGATGTCCCCTCTGAGATTAGGTTATAAAAAGAATGTGGTTCCCTTCCATCTTCTGTGCTCACTCTCTGTCTCACAGATCATGAGCTTCCATGTTGTGAGGACACTTAAGCAGTTTATAGAGTGGGCCACATGTCCAGGAAAACCTGGTTGCCAGCAGCCATGTGAATGGACTTAGAAGAAGGTCTTGCCCTGGTTGAACCTTATTTGAAATCGAAGCCTTGATCAGTGGCTTGACTATAACCTCATAATAGACCTTGTGCCAGATACACTACTTAAGCTAAGACTAAATTCTTTTTTTTTTTTTTTTTTGAGACAGTCTCGTTCTGTTGCCCAGGCTGGAGTGCAGTGGTGCGATCTCGGCTCACTGCAAGCTCCGCCTCCCGGGTTCACGCCATTCTCCTGCCTCAGCCTCCCCAGTAGCTGGGACTACAGGCGCCCGCCACCGCACCCAGCTAATTTTTTGTATTTTTAGTAGAGACGGGGTTTCACCATGTTAGCCAGGATGGTCTCGATCTCCTGACCTCGTGATCTGCCCGCCTCGGCCTCCCAAAGTGCTGGGATTACAGGTGTGAGCCACCGCGCCCAGCCAAGACTAAATTCTTGACATATAGAAACTGTGAGGTAATACATATTTATTGTTTTAAGCCATTAAATTTTGCCATAATTTATTAGGCAGCAATATGTCATTAACAGAAGTCAAATCCAATATCTAGCCTGGTTTATCTTTGTACTAAATTATTGAATATTTTATTTCTATCATTTCTATACATAATATGGCTTAAAGATTACTGAATTATAAATAAAATCTAGAATTTTCTCCATATTGCTTAGTATAATCTTAACTATTATATTGTGAAAGCTTTGTGATCCCTTGCATTTACAGCTTTTAGAGAAATGAAAGATACAGGATTTATATGTAAGAGAGGTCTTAGAAACCTATTTTGAAATTAAACATTTTTAATATTTTCTGTTAATCCTTTTTAGGAAAAAAAAATTTGTTTATAAAGTTTTTACTAAAGTTAAAGAACACTAACTTTATGGATTCACTGCAGCTTTGATAATGAAAAAACTACTGGAAAAGAATTAAAGAAGTTGCTAATCAGTTCATTAATCAAGTGTATCTGCTGCACATTATACTGAAACAAATTGAAAAGGATGCTGTGCTAGCCAGAAACTCCCTCTCAAATAAAGTCAAAAGTGAAGATAAACTAAATTGACTTTTCGTTTGTGGTTGATTTCTATCTAAGTAGATCCATCTCTAAAACACTGAATAAAGAAAGTTGCCCCATACATAGATTCAAGACTCCACTAGGATTCTGTATCTTAATACTACTGAGAATAACTTGAACTATATTTAATCAGTCTGTCTTTAGTTTTTGTTTTTCGTTTTGTTTTCATTTACAACCCACAGACCACTTTCATTTTTAAATGTTAAATATACTTAGAAAGAAGAAGAAAAAAACAACATCACCTTGCTCACTGCATTAAGACAACTGGTTTTGTAACCCGATCAAAAGAATTAAATAGCTTTCTATATAGCTTACCCTCCCACAAAATCTTTCAATGCACAAAATATTTGTCAGTGGTCAGAATGATTCCAGTCCATCCCACTCTCTGTGGTGCCTTAACTATAAAAATGGCAGTGAGGCATTGCAGCTTGAAAAAAATACAGTCAGATTTTCAATTATGATTAGAGTAGATCTCCCAGAGAGGTCTCCACAGAAGGCCCAAGGTTCTCTAAAGGGTAAAAGGAGTGACAAAATTCTGACATAAAACAATGTAGTCTTTCCTCTCTTTTCTTGATACCGACCTTCAAATATTTTGGGGTTTTTAAAAGCCAAATTCTAGAAGAAATTGAAGGTTCAAAATTGGAATTCGCTTGAGTTTCATTAGGTTTAAGCCAGATACCAGCCTATGTCATTTTCTAAAAGCAGAATAATTTAGTTTTAAAGCAATAGTACAAGACGAACAAACAGGTACCTGGCAATCACATTAAGACTCCCTTGGTGTAGACAGATATGTATAACTTCTTTTGACAGGTTATTTTGTTTATTCATTCATTTAATTTTGGCACTTAATTTTAAAAGAGCTTAGAAATCATAGTCTTTTGATAGATATAATTGGTATGAATCTGAAATCAGTAAACTAAGATGCATAAGAAATGTAATTTTCTTTATTTTCTTGTAACTGAATTAATTCTATCTTAAGACCCTATTCTACTGGAAGGTACCATGGAAGATAAGAAAACAAACCACAAAAAAATACACAAATTTATACTTACTTCACATACTGTCCCCACCATGTTATAAGGATATAATACTCATCCATTAAGACATGAGTTGCATGTTTACCCCATTATAGATTATTTAGGATTATGCTGAATTTACAAGTGAAGGAAATGAGCAAAGAAATGCCACTGGATAAACAGTGTTTTGCTTTCCAGAAGCATTAATTTAAGTGACTGGCCCATGATTATCCATCTGCTCTATCAGTGAAAGATCCCTAAAGACAATGCTTGTCTTCTATCCTTGTCATACTCAGTACACTGTTCACATTAGCAAGTATTTGCCCAAAATTGCTCAATTTGGGATACAGAATAGAAATATATGTACAGTAGTGAGTCACTGATAGGATCTGAGTGAAAATTTTTTACATTTTTTTAAGGCTTAGATGAATGGACACAGTTTTCTATTGTTTTGTTTACCTTTGTCTGGTTTCCCTTCCCACCCCCATGCACGTGCTCATGTGTGTTTAATTAAACAAAGAAGAGTTCCAGGAAGTTGGGAATGTCAAATGGGAACAGACACCTTCGCAGGAGCTGAGAAAATATGCTATATCATTTATCCTTGTGGAAACATGCAAACCAGATTTGAATAGTTTTTAATTGATTTGCAAACTTTGCAGTAGAATTTTCTGGTAATTAGCAACTTGCTGAGATTAAGTGAAGTCATAGTTAGCTTCACAGTGGTTTAAATCATATTTCATTGTTTTGCATGTTTTAAAAGTCATGTTGTAAATTAAAAACGCAAAGAAAAAATCACCAACTTATTAATAGAGAATTGATCATTATGCAACCAATTAGAAGATATAAATAAATATACAAATCAATCACGTATAAAATGGTAGGTGCTGCAGAATGTTAACACTGTACAGGCAAGTGCTTGACAAATAATAATGAGCTATAAAGATAGACTAGAAGCAAAACAGTAATGTGGCAGCTTTGTTGGAAATATTTTCTAGAAATGAAGATGCATGACCTTCCGTACCTTTGTTAATCATCAGTTATAGATAGTTAAAATGTTATATTTACAATAATTCTGTGACTTTTAAAGTAATTGTTTATACAACTACATTGAGCTTACTAGTGGCAGTATGTTCATATGTACATGTGTCTCTCTTGAGCTCTCAGGAGAGAGAAAAAATCTGAGGAAGTGCTAGCAAGCATAAGCAGGGAGATAAGAAAAATAAACTATCTTATAAGTACAATAAAAATCACCCATGCCTCATGGATAACCTAACTTCCCAATTAAACATGACGTTTCCTCCAAAATATTAAGCGACAAACTAGAATTCTGTTTCGGAAGCCAAGGAAATTAAAGAAAAATAGAGTCAAGGGTTAAGTAGAAGAGAAGAGACTTAATTACATTTAGCAAGGGTCCCAATCCACTTAGATACTTACTAGGGTACTCAGCACTTGTTCACTGCAGCATTTGCATTTAGCACTTTTAAAATTGGGATGAAATGAGTTTTATAGATACTAGAGGAATCATTATGAGATCACAAAGAAGTACTGTGATACCATAACTGAAGCTAGGAGAAGGGAAAGCAAATTCATATCACAGAGGAAAGCAAACTTCCATCCTCTCAAGTTATCTTTCCAGTCAACATTGCCGCATATCACATATGGTGTGCAAAAGGGGACAGATTAATGAAGTACTCAACAGGAAGGTATAACAATCCAAAATATGTCCTTTGTGACTCTCTATCCATTTCTGCCATATTCCAAGGAAATGCAGATGTATCTTCATTTCTATGCCATGATATACTTGGGCTGGGAATGGGGGACAAACCCAGAGTGATTGTTCTCTTTTCCTGTGTTCATAGTGTATATGTGCACACACATGTGAGGGTGAGCCTACACCTGTTCATACCCCATGGCAGTCTGACTTCACTGATTACTTTCTAGAATCTTTTTTCCTTTATGTGCCCTGGACAAGAGAGTGGACAGGAAACATGGTAACAAAAACAAAGATAAACATCCTTCTATAATTCTAAAGAAGCATTTTTCTGTTTCCTCCTAGGAGAAATAAAAATGTATAATTTAAATTACCAATTAGGATCATGTTGGGCTTTAAAATTTTTGGGGGGTAAATTGTATGAGGGTTGCAAAAAAGTCATGCAGAGAAAGATACTGAAATCTCCTAATACAACATGTTGAGAAGAAAGTTAATGATCAGTTTTTCTGGTAGTTTTTGCATATAAGCCTACTTGGAAGCACTGTGTAGGCCTAACTGACGTTAGTGAATCAGCAGAGAGCTGATTTGAAATGCATTATCCGATAGGCATGAGATTAAGCAGTTTGATAGGCATCTTAGAGCTGTTTCCATGGCCTTATTAATTTGTAACAGTTGTGTGGTAAGTTATGTCAACCTCCCAGTCAGAAAGTCTTCAGTAAGTTTTTCAGGCTCCAAGTTGAGGGATGGGTAAGACCCTGGGACAACACCCTAGTGGAGGCTTATAGGAGAGTTTAAGCATTTCTGAATGCTTAAATTCTGGATGCTACATTCTGGATGCTACAGGCCCAGAATTCCACACTAAAGTATTTGTTTGGAGAACTCAAGTATATTATGGGTATCTTATTTGTATTATGTGTAAGTAAATATCAACATAGGTTTGATCATTTAATCCCATATCCTGATTTTGCTCTAAGCGAAGGCAGTTATTTGAGTGCCAGCTCAGAAAAGGTAATTCACTATTACCTGTTAAGTGTGATGAAACAGGACTTCTCAGCATATCTTTCTTGATGGTATTTTAGGTTCAAAGCTGATGGATTAGCTTTTTGCCCTTTCACACATTCTACCTATCAGTGACACCATGGCCAAGGGAGACAATCCAATTCACTTCCCTGACAGAATTGTGGGTGATGGTTATATCATTACGTATCCTGGAATGCAAGACTCTGCTTGTATTGATCTTAAACATATAAGCTAAACTCAGTAGCAAAAACATAACCGATATATGGTGGGGAAAACGACAAGGGAGTGTTTTCTAAACCCAAGAAATACTCAATAAATAGGCTAAGACCAAGATGAAAAGTGCAAAGAACCAACAAGACAAGAGTAGAAAGAATGCGGGGCTCAATAAATGGTATTATTCTCAGAAAGTATATTCCATTATCTGTTGTTGTAGAACAAACTACCCAAAACTTAATGGCTTAAAATCATTGTTCACGATTCTGCAATCTGGGCTGGCTTCAGCCTGGCAGTTCCTGCCACTAGTCTCATCTGAAGTCACTCACAAAACTGCAGCCCATTGGTCCAGGGTAGTCCCATTCATATGTTTGGTGGTTAGTTGGCAATGTCAGCCCAGCATTTCAAATTTCATGGCTTCTCCAGAAGGGAGCTCAGGCTTCTTACATGGCGCATGTAATGTTCCAAGAAGTCAAGAATGGAGACTACACAGTCTCTTGAGTCCTAGGTCAGAAGTCACACATCATTACTTGTACTGCATTCTGTTGGTCAAAGGAGTTCACAAGGCCAGCCCAGGTTAAAGGGGTAATGAAATGGATTCCACCTCTACATGGAAGAAGGTGCACATAGTATGTGTCCATATTTAAAATGTCACAGAATTTACAGGAATATGAAAATAATCATGGCAAATGTGGTGCATTCTTAGGAAGAATTTTTTTTTCTTTTTTCTTTTTTTGAGACAGAGTCTCACTCTGTCGACCCTGGGCTGGAGTGCAGTGATGCGATCTTGACTCACTGCAACCTCCACCTCCCAGGTTCAAGTGATTCTTCTGCCTCAGCCTCTCGAATAGCTGGGATTACAGGTGTGCACCACCACACCCGGCTAATTTTTTATATTTTTGGTAGAGATGGGGTTTCACTATGTTGGCCACGCTGGTCTCAAACTCCTGACCTCAAGTGATCCGCCCACCTCAACCTCCCAAAGTGCTGGAATTACAGGCGTGAGCCACCATGCCTGCCCAGGAGGAACTATTTTTAATGTCCACCATTGTATAGTGCTCCCGGTACAGCCTCTATTTAACAATTTTTAAAATGTCTCTACATATTTTGACTCTCTTAAAAGTTAATAATAATGAGAAATATTTACATTGTATTCATTCAATAAACAAGTACTATGATTTCTCTATCGCGCTCAGATCTATCAGAAACCTTAAATGTAAATAGATCGTTTGATGCTTTATTATAATAATTGTTAAACATTCTTCCTAAGTGCATTATTGACCATTGATAGAAAAGAAATTGCTTCATGTTATACTTATTCATCAAAAGCACAAGAAGTGCCCTTCCCTGTCAAACTCCTTCAATTGTCACCCCAGCACTTCACTAGAGATACAAATAATAGCACATGAAATTGTAGCTGGAAGGGAAGGGGAAGACTGGTAAGGCTTATTTAAATTGCATTCCAAGCATAGAAAACATATCTTCTTTCCAAAAAATGAAAGCTAGTACAATATTAAATCAGTAATATACATACTTAAAGGCATATTATTTTATGTGATATGTTAACCATGACATAGAGTATCTCAAACCAAAGTGATTCAATTGTCATTACCATCAACAAAATGAAACTTATAAGTGGATTGTTAGCAGCCTCTTTTTAGTTTGTTGTAGAGTGTTCCTCTAAAGAGAGGAGAGGCCAGAAATCATCTCAGTACACAGACACAGTGTTGCTGCATCTCCATTTTTCCACACCGATTTTAGTCTTGATATTACTTCCCTGTGGAGGCTGTCTGAAAGCTAAAAGCCTATACAGAAGTAACTTAGGCCAGGTCATTTTTACTTACTAAAAGTCAGTTTTCCTATAACATGTACCACAAGATGTTACTTTAACAGTTTTGGTTCAAGGGTCACCAGACTGTACAGACTACCAGAGCTTCAGCAGTGGCATTCTTTCAGGTGGCACTCTATAAGTTGTCTGAATCATTGGGTTAACATTCTCTTCATGTTTTCATCTTAGAAAGGCAAGTTAACGTATTTTTAAAGAGGTTTAAGAAGGCTTAAGAAAAAGTAAACTTTTTTTAATGCATTGAAAAAATAATTTTACAATTTATTCAATTCCCAGAGTTTTTATTACAGACCTACTATGTACACAAGCATGGTGTACCCGGCAGCTGTGAGAATAGCAAAGACACAGCCTCAGCCTCCCAAAGTGCTGGGATTACAGGTGTGAGCCACCGCACTGGGCCCCAGTAGATCTTTTCTGTGTATATTTTCCCCTACTCCTCTCATCTACCCTTTACTCCATCCTAAGTGAATGATGCCCTTTTCTCTGACTATATCTTACCTTTCCTACCTCTATGTCTTTGTTGATCACTTTCACCCTAGCCACTCTTCAAGGCTCGTTTCAAACACAGATTTCTTCATGAAGACTTTTCTCCTGAATACACACACTGCTACCTCAAATCCAAAGCTATTTCTCCTTGTTTATCTCCCATTGCACCTTAATTCCTCTTTGGGCTAGAGTTGTCTCTGTATCTTGTCTCCACCATCCACCAAATTTTAAGACCTGAAAGTAGAGACATCATTTTGTTCTATCTCCTAACATACTTTGCAGTTAATAAGAGGCAAAATAACTGTTTAGTTGAATTAAAAATGAATGTGAGGAAATATTGTGGCCATCTGCTAAAATGCATAGGTAACAATGTTGGAAAAGAAGTGGCTCTTTTTTAAGTTTGATGAAAAAAAAAAAATATATATATATATATATATATATATATTCTTAAAAAATTAATCACTTGTCCAAGATTTAACAGCTAAACTAACATTTACTGTATGTTCATTATTCTGCATAATATGTTTCTCATATATGTAAAAGCACATTATTTAGTCAAAACTATCATATTAAATTTCTCCCGTAATTCCTAAGGGCTGTCAGCTGCTCATTAAATCTTGATTTTCTGTCAGGAGGAATTAATAATCTTGCCTTTGAGTGAATTTAGAAGCAATGAGGGATTGAGCAGGAATATTTGAATACCCTCTCGGTGGTAAATTGGATATCCAATTTTCAACTTAGTCTTAATGGGAAAAAAAGAATAAATTGAATTCAGAAGCTGTTCTTTACTTTTTAATATTTCCTCCCCACTTTTAACTGAGTTAAAATGGAAGGGTATAGTTCTTTCTCAGTGGTGGGGAAAATCAACTTTCATTCACTTAGAAAAGTTTGTCAAATTCGAATGAGACTTAATATATGGACAATCTATATGACTAAGTCTATAAGGTGATCCTTTGGAAATCATAGGAAAATTCAGTACAATAACACAAAAATTGATTTGCATGAGGTTTAAATCGTGTTTTTCTAAAAGCAAGGAATCCTGCTCCTCCCTCTCCCCAAATGAATTTTGTTGTCAAATACTGGTACTAACAATTATTGATATCACAACTCAGTCTCTAAAAGCAAACTGTCCTATTATTACCAGAGAGGTGCTAACTCACATTAACCTAATAATATATAGCTCTTAATTTTCAGTTTTCATCTTTCATCATTTTTTAGCTACTCATGTCTTAGATTTAAAGTCCCTTAAAATTATAAAAGGTTGAGAGACTGATAAACAGGCATAAAACCTTGTAGATTTTTTTCCCCTCCACTCTTTTTTTCTAACTAAGCTACACAGTACCATCACGTACCATCCATCAGTACATTTAGCTGTCATGACGCTGCCAATAGAAGTTGTCCATCCACTAGGCAGTATAAAATTACAATCACGATCTTCGCTGGGAGTGGCAGCTCACGCCTGTAATCCTGGCACTTTGGGAGGCTAAGGCAGGTGGATCTCCTGAGGTCAGGGGTTCAAGACCAGCCTGGCCAACATGGCAAGACCTCGTCTCTACTAAAAATACAAAAATTAGCTGGGCGTGGTGGTGCATGCCTGTAATCCCAGCTACTCGGGAGGCTGAGGTAGGAAAATCACTCGAACCCAGGAGGCGGAGGTTGCAGTGAGCCAAGATCGCGCCATTGCCCTCCAGCCTCGGCGACAGAGTGAGGCTCTGTCTCAAAAAAAAAAAAGTTACAATCATGTTCTCAGTGAGGCAGTAAGGTGGAAGAGTGTATTTCTTTCTGTGTAGTATGACTATATGACCTCATGTGTGTCACTCACTTGCACTTATTTTCAAATACCAGGCAGCAGTTTGCTTGAAGTTAACTATCTGTTTTATCATGCAACTTAAGAAGAAGTTGTAACACATGCAACTCCAAATTATTCTTATTCATAACTCTGTTCTATAGTAAGCATTTGAATATGGATGCAGCTCATGTGATGAGCATCATTCTACTTGACATGAAGGAATGAGATCCAACTGCGAGGACCCCAGTCAGAAAGAGCTGAAGGCCCATTGATGCCTCACCTTTTCTCCCTGCTTCCCCCACTCTTGCTAGGGATCATTGGCACCACCACTCAGACTGATGGTAAAACAAGAAATTGTCTTCTGTCTAGCTCAGACACATCACTTGTCCAACTCAACCCCTGCTTTGGGTACAGGAAGTTTTAATCTGGTTAAGTTGAATAGAGTTTGTCTTCTAGCTTTTGCTGTGCTAAAGCAAGAGAAGTACAAATGTCAACAAGCAGAATAAGAAGAGTATAACAAGAAATGGTAAGAAGTCAAGGCCAAAATCTAGATACTGACCTGTGGATAATTGAGAGGTGTCAGCAACTCTCTTCTAACATCAAACAGACATAATAAAAACCTAACAAAAGATGTTGAAGTCTGACCAGCATACCTCTTACTTTGCATAGGTGCTGTTTGGATTTCTATGCAAGCCTGTGCTTAAAATCAGCCTTCAGATTGAATGTTGATAACCTTTCCTTTTTTACATGCCTCATTTCAGTTTATGGCATTCCAACCTTTTCTCCCTCGTGACGAACACTTTTTTGTATCAATGTGAGGCAAGCTCTGTCAATTCATCTAATCCTCAAAGAATTTTTGCAGAATAAGTATGATTATCCCCATTTTATAGATGAAGAAATCAAGGCCCAGAGAAGTTCAATTAGTTGCCTAAGGCCATACATCTGGCAAATGATAGAGTTAGGAGTTGATCCCAGATCTGCCTGATTCTGAACCCTTTGTTTGATCTTTGTGTTGTTCCATATCATTTCCCTATTTAAGAAACTCATTTATATTTGCACTCCATAAATATCAAGCCTGTCGGGACTAAGTTGTAATGAGTTCAGCATCAATTCCTGTTTACTGGTCTGGGCTAAACAGTGCTGATAGTAATGCTCATGTGACCACTGGGAAAGGTCCAAGTTCATGCTCTAATATCTGACAACAGAAACTACTCCCTTCTAGAGAAAAGAGCAGACCTGAGGATACCTTGTGCAATCCAAAGTCAAATTCCCTATTCATTCATTCATTCTTATTTTGTGTGTGTCTCTCTCTTTCTCTCTCTTGTGCACCTATGCACACACAATTTTTGGTCGATGCACAATTTTAAGGTCATTTTTAATCTAAAGAATTTGTTCCCCTCTTCTTTCCTGATTACATGGCCATACAGCCTGCCCCAAACAGTATGACTCACTCTCCATGACTCTTCTGCGGCTCTTTGTTGTGAGTTTTCATTTTGTGCCTCATTTCTGAATATGCTCTAAAGAGCAGGGATGGCCTTTGGCTAGAAAGAATGGCATGTCAGGAGGGTTCCACAAGCCATGTTGCTTTTCTGAATCATGAAAAGGCATCAGCACTCAGTGACATGGCCCAGTTTTCTAATCTAATTTAATTGAATGTACAATGATGTGGGCACTGGAGATTAAATACAACCCCACTTCTCTGCAAAGTTCACATTGCCTTTAAAGCAATGTAATATTTTTTTCATTTCTTATGAATGGTTCTGTGTATGTGTCATGTATACTTTTACTTGTATTCTCTGTGCAAAGTGATACCTTAAAAATTATCTGTAAAAAGTCTAATATAACTTGGTCTTCTGGAATATGGCCTGATTTAATTAATTGACCAATATTACTTTAAACCATTATATTGCAGTGAAAGTTTTTTCTTGTCACAGTAGGAACTAGAGACGTGTCCTAACAAAGTACTAACTTATTTGCAACTGATATAAAGTGAATTAATATATTTGTTACTTTTAAAAGAGAGTGTATTTTGGAATTTTGCAGTTATTTGTATATTAAGGCCCACATTAAGGGCCTGCCCATTTATAAAATGACGGGTAATTTTCCCAAGTGCTGATAAAATATTTTATCATCTAAATTTGAAAAGAAAAAGAAACTAATTTTAAAACATTTCTAATTTATAACATTTTGTGACTAACTTACTTTTTATTTAATTTATTTCCTTTCATTCCCCTCACTGTGATCCAATTTGTAGACAGGCAGGCTTGCTAAATAGCTTCAGCATTTGGGTTTGATTTACTGTGAAGTAGATCTTAGAAATTAAAGTTTCAGGTTGAAATTTGCCTTTCAGATCTCCTTGCCTAAATATACATGTAAATTTGGGAGTAATCTAACATGTGCATAAACACATTCAAACTATTTTATAGCTTTAAAAAAATTATATTGAAATAATTTTAGACCTACAGAAAAGTTACAAGGTTAGTCCAGATTTTGATACCCCCTTCACCCAGATTCCCCAAATATTAATGTTTTACTGCATTTCCTTTATTAATCTTTTTTCTAGAAACACATACACACATTATTTTTTTCTGAATGTTTCAGAATAAATTGCAACATGATGCCCCTTCACCCCTGAATACTTAAGTGTGTATTTCTTCAAAATAAGAACATTCTTTTGTATAATAGTACATTTATCAACATTGGTAAATCAACATTGATAAATTACCACTTAATCTATAGACTTTATTTAAATTTTATCAGTTCTCCCACTAATATTCTCTATAGTAAGAGAAAAAAAATCCCAGCCCACATGTTGCATTTAGTTATCATGGCTCTTCAACCTCCTTTAATCTGGAACAGTTCCCCTGCCAAAAATGCATATCCTGAATCTAATCATGAGGAAACATCAAGCAAATCCGCATTCTACAAGATAATTTACCTGTACTCTTTAAAAATATTATAGTTTTTAGAGCTATAGTACATCTCCAAGTAAGCACATAGGCATATCTACATTTTTAATTTTCTCTAAGAAAGAGCAACAATTCAAAATAATCCCCAAGTATGTTTTAAAATAAAGGCTTCTTTTTGAAAGTCAAAGACAAATGCTCTTAGCCTAAGGTTTCATTTAAACATAGAATGGCTATTTCAAAAAACAGTATTACATAAAATATGGGCTGGGTGCAGTGGCTCACGCCTGTAATCCCAACACTTTGGGAGGCCAAGTCAGGTGGATCACCTGAGGTCAGGAGTTTGAGACCAGCCTGGCCAACACGATGAAACCTTGTCTCTACCAAAAATACAAAAATTACCTGGGTGTGGTGGCGGGCGCCTGTAATCCCAGCTACTCCGGAGGCGGAGGCAGGAGAATCACTTGAACCCAGGAGGCGGAGGTTACAGTGGGCCGGGATCCTGCCACTGCACTCCAGCCTGGGCAACAAGAGCGAAACTCTGTCTCAAATAAATAAATAAAAATAAAATATGTATTATATAAGTTAGGGACAATCTGGTCTTTCATATATAGACTTCAGACAATTGGTTGTTCATTCTGGAGTTGAGCACTATTTCTCTCATGGGCTCTTAAGCTAAGAACATTTAGCTACATGTCGGGTATGTTTCTTACATTCTGCCTCATGACCATCTCCCACTGCCATGCATATGACAAAGACACTTAACTCTGAGCCCCAAATCTAGAGGAGAGATCTAAATGTCACGTGAAGTTCTTAAAAACCTTTCTTCTGAGGAGTTAACAAGGGATATTAGGAAGATTCCTCTGCCCAAAAGACCTCCCAAATAACCTCTGCCAACTCAGGCTGCATTAAGTTAAACCAGATCTGTCTGTAAAATAGAAATGAGAATAGCTAATAATATCAATATTTCATACCTTTATTTTAACTACTCTTCTCTGGCTACTTTGTGGGTTGTGAGGGAATGGAACATTTTACTGAGGAGCCAGGTGAATGAAAGAAGACATGCAGAGCAAGAGGTCTTTGGTGAGAGGGCCTGTTTGAGCCCCTACTCAAGGGAATTAGGAGTAGCATGAGGGCCCTGTATATCCACAGAGGACATTCATTTTTAATTTCCTCTAAGAAAGAGGAACAATTAAAAATAATGCTTAAGTATGTTTTTAAAAAGACTTTTTTTTTTTTGAAAGTCAAAGAGAAACGTTGTTAGCCTAAATTTTTATGTAAACATAGAAGGTGATTTTAAAAAGCCATTAAGGAGGCAGGGGAGAGGTATGAAAAAATAGATTGAAGGCCACCTACTTTACAATTTTGCCTGGTAACACCAAACTAGGCAGCCAAAGCCTGGCTTCAGGTTTGTCACAGCTATCGGTTATGATAAACAATATTACCATCACTTCCTGGTTGTAGTCTGCATGAATTTGAAAACTAAAATTTGCAGTGTTCGGGAGTGGTGGCTCATGCCTGTAATCCCAGCACTTTGGGAGGCTGAGACAGGTGGATCACCTGAGATGAGGAGTTCGAGACCAGCCTGGCCAACATGGTGAAAACCCATCTCTACTAAAAATACAAAACTTAGCTGGGCGTGGTGGCGCACACCTGTAAACCCAGCTACTCGGGAGATTGAGTTGGGAGAATTGCTTGAACCCGGGAGGTGGAGGTTGTAGTGAGCCGAGATCGTGCCGCCATTACACTCCAGCCAGGGCAACAAGAACGAGACTCCGTTTTTTAAAAAAAAAAAAAAATTAAAATTAAATTTAAAAATTAAAATTAAATAAAATTTGCACTATTATGATTCAGTAAAGCAGGAATGTTATAATTGGTTGTTTTCTCCTTTTTTCCTCTGTAATACTATTTTTAGGAGGATCTAGGTAGATATCTCACTCTGATTATTCCCGAAGTATGAAGTCTCCCATACTGGCTATTTACATATAACTTAATTCATAAGACTTTTAAGAAATCTCTTTTTGCCTTCTCCTTATTCTCCAGACTGGCATTGTGAAGATGAGAGCCAACAAATTATACCTCAAAGTCTGGAAAATTAGTCAACTGTTCCACAGTTGTGCATGAAACATTTCTGACTTTGTGATTTGTGAAAGTAGCACTGACTCAGCTAAGGATCATGGAAAGAGCATAGACTTAGATCAGAAGACTCATTCTAGCTGGTAACTGTGTGATCGTGATCTGATCACTAAGACTCTGCGAGCCTTAGGAGTCTCCCCTTGCATGAAATGAAGTTGGTGAACTAGATGATCTTCGCATTATCTCCTAAGTTGTAAACTCAATGATTTTGAGTATAGGAATTAACAAAGCCACTTAAGGGGAAAAAAGTTCCCTTCATTTCTTGATGAAATACTTATTGAGCTATGTACCATATTCCATAGAAAGGAAAAACTAGATATCTTAACCCTACTAAGTTGTTTAGTGAAAAGAACATGAAAAGTTCAGATGAAAAGTCAAGAAGTCAACATAGGAAAAAACAGATAAACTAATAAACTGAATAAGTAAGTAATACAGCTTCAATTAAGTACTGGACTTCCAAATGGATGGAATCATACCTTTCAGGGCTAAATTGTATTTGAGAATACCTACTCTGAGGAATAGGTTTTTATGCTCTGGAATCAACACCTCAAAATTCAACATTTAATTCATTTCACTCTTCACTCATTACTCTTTTGTTTTTGAATATACACATTTTTCTTTTTTTTTTTTTTCCTTTTTTTACTATAAGATAAACCAAAAATAAATGGCTAGGTAGATGGCTGGAGTTTGCTTGTTTGTTTTAATGATAGTATAACTGCATATAGAAAAGCAATATATGTGTTCCTATATGAACAACCCAAAAGAAAAATAACTTTTAAGTCATAGAACTTTGAAGGTCTGCAAATAGTTGTTGACTTAGTTATTACTACGTGTATTAGTTTGCTAGGGCAGTTACAATAAATGCCATAGACTTGGTGGCTTAAGCTGGATAAATTAATTTCCTCAAAATTCTGGAGGCTAGAAGTCCAAAATCAAAGAGTCAGCAGGTTTGGTTTCTTCTGAGCCCTCTGTCCTTGGCCCTTCTCACTGTGCCCTAATGTGACTATCCCTCTGTCTCTATGCTCTGTGTACTAAGGACACCAGTCAGATTTAACTTAATTACTACTTTAAAGGCCCTATCTGTAAATACTGTTATATTCTGAGGTACTGCAGGTTAGGACTTCAACATATGTATTTGGGGAAGACACAGTTCAGCCCATAATACTGCATTTATCTTTATAATAAGGAAGAAGGATTTATATTATTCTACTGTTTTGTGTGCTGAATGTATTTTTAACTTTGGTTGTACAATTTCCCTTACACCTGCATCAGCTTATCACATTGTGCCAAGGATGTGAAATGAATTGCTTCAAAATACACCCTAATTAATTAAATATTCACAACATTTTTATAGCATTTGATTTTTTTCCTTGTTAAACATAACAGAGAATTGGATGTTGTTCACATACCACAGATAAGCCAATAAACCAGACATTTTGTCATACTCTGTATTGATAAGAATTTTTTTGGCATGGAAATGATGTATTTTATTGCCTTTAACTTCTAATACCCCCTTAATTACAAACATAATGGATGTTTTACTGGGGATATTGTATATGCAGCAGTTGTTTAAACCTGAAATAGAAATGCTAAGAGGGAAAAGTATTCAAGTCCAGTGTAGCCCAATGCTGAAAGATAAAATTGCAGCTTTTGACATTTTACCAAATTATTGATTGTGTTCTCTGGCTGGCTTTAAAAAACTTAATGCAGTGAGTAGGTTAAAAAAAAAAAAAAAAAAGAAGAAGAAGAAGAAAATGGCTGGGAAAGCATAAAGGCAAAACAGTTTTAAAAAAGTATGAGAAAGCTTAAGGCCTAACTCAAATGATAAGCAGTAGATTTTATGGCAATGGTGCCAGACAGCCGGGGTTTGTATCTTGACTCTTCCTACTTAATAACTCACTATCAGGCTTGATGTGATAATAAAATAATTCATGTAAAGCACTCAGCACATACCTGGTTTATACTAAACTCAACAATTTCTAGTTATATACATAGATAGACATACACTAGTACATGTGTATATATGTATATGTACCTTGTATATGTATGTGCATATATTAATATATGTATGTATGTATTCATATACATAATATGTATACATATTCACATTCATTTTCATATTCTCCAGCCTCCGTTTGGTACACTACAACAGTGTGTGTAGTTGAACTAACAGCTGGTTCTGCTGTCATGATGGCTAGAACAGCAAAGTCAGCCAGAGAAACCAGCCTCAAATGGTACATCTTTCTGTAAGCAGATATATATGATCTATAGCAGCACGTCCAGTGATTGCCTCACAGATACTACTTCTAACCTATGGGGGAATTTTTGCATAGAAATCCAAATCCCCTCCTACCTCTCCTCTCAGTGCTTGAGCAATCTCTTGATACATATAAAGCTTTGTAACTATCCTTAAGTTTTTCTCTGGTCTACATATGGCCTTTATGCTTAACTCATTGTTAAATTCTCACAGGACAAAGGCTACATACATTCCATATATAACTTCAGCAGCATCTGCTATAAGCTTTCCCATACCTTATACACTGAATAAATCATGAAGGCTGATGGAATCCTGAAATGAACCCATAATCCAATAAAATGAGAAAGGCTAAAGACCTAACCTGCTCTGGACTCACATTAGTCTAGAAGCTTCAGGAACTCACTGAAAGGCAAGATAGAATAATGGTTAGTATATGGACTACAGATTCAGGAATACCTACATTTGAATCCTGGCTTTGCAACTTATATAACTTGGGCAAATTATTTGACCTCTCTGTGCCTCATTTTCCTCATCTGTAAAATGATAATCAGATTATATGTTTCCCAAGGTTATGAAGAATAAGCTTATTCATATTTGTTATGTGCTTAGATTAGTTCCTGGTACAAAGTAAGTGATAGCACTTACTATAAGTGTGTACTACATAAATAAAATAAAATAATGCCTGGTGTCTCAACGCTGGCCCACAAACTAGTCTACTCTACACAGGTCTTCCAGACCAAGAGTGACTATAAACCTAATAGACATCTCTCAACAAGGCAGCTGTAGGTCTTTACTGTTCATGTTGGGTTTTGCCAGCAGACCAAGTGTTATGAATTGGCTTTAGCCAAGGGTTTCCTGAAGAGATTAAAAAAAAAAAAAAACAGGCTGGTGGAACATTTGGTATGTGTGTTTCTTTAGTGGTTTACAGTCTGTGTTTCTAGTGTCTGCATCATTAATATATTTCTCTTTCTGGATTTAGACCCTGTCATTACTCATCTGTGTCTGTTTTGACTTAAACCCATCACTGGAAGAAAGAAAGAATATGGGTCTCAATGAGTTCTATTGCTTCATTATGGTGATAACTTTAGTGCCCACAAGGAAATAGTTGCATACCCACTGGCTGCAAACTAGGTCTGCATTCTTCAGGAAAGATGTTATATGGCAGCCTTTAAGAAATGCAGTCTTCTTTTACCTTCAACTTTGTGTCTTATTTCACTCTACAGTTTTTAAGTGAAGGAGATAAGAAGAAAGAGCTAGCTGCAAAGGTGAGAGTTGAAATATTTTTACAGAGACATCATTATAATGAACATGATGGACTGTAGTTGTAAATAGGGTGAGTGGGAGAAAACTTGAAGAAAGTTAGAAACAGATGAAGAAAAGGATTTCAGATAAAAATCAGGGAAATCAATGTCAGTATGGGAAAAAAGATAGTAAGGTAGAAAAGGAACTTTTAAATGAAAAGAATGAGTAAAAGATGATTTTATACTGATTTTAAATAAAACTCTGTGTCAAAGCCTTTTGTAAATAATAAGGTTATAGATGATTGTCATGGTGGTTATGTTTGTTTAGCAAAGACTACATTAATGAAATGGCTAAGAAGCAAAATCTTACCAGGTTTTAAATATGAGTACACTGTGTCTATTGCTCTAATTTTTGTTACAAACTTACCCTAAAATAGGTCTTTTAGGCAACAACAGTAATAGCGCCAATCGCAGTTACTCTACCATTCTACCACAGACCGGGGAACATTCTCATGAGGACTCCAGCATTAGATGGCCCATTTTAGGGCACAACACTTCAGCCAAAACTTTGGTAGAGAAGCAGTTTCAGTGAGTCATTCATGATCCTAAATCTTTTGGCTGTGGCCTCAAGATCTCCCCTCTGTTCCCAGTGGGAATTATGGTAGAGAGACACAGTTAATTGCCTGTGGATTTTATGACTGTCCCCTTCCCTGCAGCCGGAATCATCATGGAATTAAACATGCAGGGAGGTTATCAAGGGACTCTCTCTTATGCGGACTGAGAAACTTAGGTTAGACCCTTTGAAGAATTCACTGGACTGAACATAGAGTCTCTACTGAGTAAAAGGATCTCCTCTGTTAAGTTGTTCATCATCCATTTATTTATTCATTCAATAAAAATGTATTGGGTGCTGTATGAGTTTCCTAGAGCTGCTGTAATATATTACCACGAACTGTGTGACTTAAAACAACAGAAATTTATTCTCTCACATTTCTGGAGGCTAGAAGTTTAAAATCAAGTTGTCAGCAGGCTTGATTTCTTCTGAGGGCGCTGAAGGAGAATCTGTTCCATGTCTCTCTCCTCTCTCCTATCTTCTGTTGGTTCCCAACAAACCTTGGCATTCCTTGCATTCCAATTTCTACCCCCATTGTCACATGGCCTTCTTACCTCTGTGTGCCCTCTGTGTCTCCAAATCTCTCTCCCCTAATGACACCAGTCACTGGATTAAACTTATTTCCAAATATGGCTACATTCATAGGTAACAGGGGTCAGGACTTCAACATGTATTTTCGGGGGACACAGTTCAACCCACAACAGGTACCTTTTTTGTACCAAATACAATCCTAAATGCTGGGGATAGAAAGATGAATAATACGCGGTCTCTGAACTCAAAAACGTCATTTAAATAGGGGTAGACATAAATATACAATTATAGTGTCACAAATATTAAATTATATGTCTCAACAAAATGCTATGGGAACACAGAAAAACAGGGCAACTAACATTGTCTCAGGAAGCCCAAAATGTTTCACTGTGAAGCTGCCTTTTGAGTTATAGGGTAAAGGATATTGGAGTTCATCGATTAATTCATAGTTGTGAGTATGCAAAGGGCATTGCAGAGGAATGGAAAAATATGTATAAAAACATGGTATCATGAAAAGACTTTGTATCTTTCAAGATAGGGAAGGAGTTGGTGTAACTGGAGTCTAGGGTTAGTTGTAGGGAGCGGCAGAATACATAGAAGAGAATAAACAGGAGATGGTAGACGGCAGAGGACCTGTACAATTTCATCTCAAAGAATTGGGGCTTTAGGCCAGGCACGGTGGCTCACACCTGTAATCCCAGCACTTTGGGAGGCCGAAGTGGGCAGATCACCTGAGGTCAGGAGTTCAAGACCAGCCTGGCCAACATGGTGAAACCCCATCTCTACCAAAAATACAAAAATTAGCTGGGTGTGGTGGCAGGTGCCTGTAATCCCAGCTACTCGGGAGGCTGAGGCAGGAGAATCACTTGAACCTGGGAGGCGGAGGTTGCAGTGAGCAGAGATCGTGCCACTGCACTCCAGTCTGGGCAACAAGAGCGAAAGAATTGGGGCTTTATAACATAGAATGTCTCTGCCAAGACTCTTGGGGATGTGTTTTAATCCTTAAAGTAACAATAAATGTATTTAAGTAGTAGTATAAAACGAAGTGAAACAGTAGTTAATAAAGCATCTTGCAAATTTGGAAAGGCCATTTTGATTTTGAGAAAATTATTTGAATTATAGAATAATTTTAAGGAAATGCTTTTTAATTTATTTTTAGGATGCATAGGAGCTCAAACTAAGTTAACAAGATTCAGTCATCCAAACCATTGCCTAGTAGGTGTCCTTAAGGACCCAGTCTTAATAAACAAATACAGCTAAATTATAATTGGCATATCAACTGTATGTAAATTGAAGCTTATAAAGTACTTGAGGGGATTTGACAAGTTTGTTCTCTTAAGCATTTTAAATATTACTCATGTTAGTTATACTATTTATTATCTATGGGGAAGGAGTTTGCTAAACCAAGGTAAATGTCAATGCTAGTTCCTAGACAACTATCATGAATTCTGAATTAGTCACTTTTTATTTATTCAACAAATATATATTACTTAACATCTACGAACGAGATTATGTCCTAAGTAGCAGGAATTCAAAGACATGACAAGGGCACATTCATGTCCTCTTATAACTCACAGTCTAGTTGGGGAGACCAAGATGGAAACAAAGAAACACATTAAAGTTTGTTGAGTTAGATAATGGTGGTGCATACAGGGTGCTTGGGTGAATGCAGTGGAAGACCCAACTCTTTGTTGAAGAAGGCTTTATATTTAGCTTGCGAACTTTGAAGGATAAAAAGTGGTTTTCCTAGAGGACAAAGAAACTGGACAGTGTAGTGAGGATCCAAGGGATCAGGCACAATGCTTTAAAAAGTTAGGAGAAATGAAGGCTAAGCCAAAGTCCCAGAACTGCAAAAAATTAAGTCCGTGTGGTTTTGGTTAGGATGAGAGGAGGCAAGGTAGGAGATGAGGCTGGGGGGTTGGCCAGCAGCCAGTAAGGGGTCTCATACAAAGGAGTTAGAACTTTTATATGATGTACGATCCACTGATTTAAGCAGAAGAGGGCCATGATGAAATTGGGTTTTAGAAAGAGACCTCTGGGAACAATTTGGAAGAAGAAATTAGAGCAGTGGTTTTCAAACATTTCTCTTTTTTTTTAACACAGAGAAAACTTTTCTAAAGAAAATCTTACATCTAACCAAGATAGATAAAATAAGAGTGATATTTCTTTCAAATAAATATTATGCAAATGAAAACAGGCTACTTCAAACTCAAAAGTGTCAAATTGGGGGTTATAGACTACAGCACCTGTGTTATATTAGACTCAGTATCAAAATTATATCTGTACACAGTTAGTTAGGAATTATGATGGTTCAACTATTTTTCAACTTTACAATGGTGTGAAAGCACTATGCATTCAAGTAGAAATTGTACATCTCTCATCATGCTGGGTAGCAACATTGAGGCTTAGCTCCCAATCAGCTACACATTTTCAGCTTCTGTTGGGTTTATCAGGGCGTAACCCCATTGTAAGTCAAGGAGCATCTGTATTTATTACCGTACTATATTGAGACAATTCTGATTTTCTGTAATAAGTTGTAAACAATAACGGTTCAAATGACTCTCCCTGTCATGTCATGAAACCCTTCAGTTGCATTGGTCTAGAAATATAAAACAGTCCGGGTCGGGCATGGTAGCTCATTCCTGTAATCCCAGCACTTTGGGAGGCCAAGGCAGGTGGATCATAAGGCCAAGAGATCAAGACCATCCTGGCCAACACGGTGAAACCCTGTCTCTACTAAAAACACAAAAATTAGCTGGGCGTGGTGGTGCGCGCCTGTAGACCCAGCTACTCGGGAGGCTGAGGCAGAAAAATCGCTTGAATCCAGGAGGCGGAGGTTACAGTGAGCTGAGATCATGCCACTGCGCTCCAGCCTGGCGACTGAGTGAGACTCCGTCTCAAAAAAAAAAAAAAAAAGTCTGATAGTGGGAAAAAATCCCTAACAAGAGTCACCACAACTCACAGTCTTTACTGTAAATATAGGCATTCAAAACTTTCTTAAAATGCTAAAAGCATTCATAGTGTAGTCTTACATGTCTATTTTATGTGTTCACTTTTCGTTTCTACGTACACGGTAGACATGGTAAATATCTGTTGAATTAAAATGATCAAAAACAAAGTAAAGATTTAACCAAAAAAATACAGACAATATAAAACCATGAAGATTCAAAGTCAAAAGTAGCTATAGTCTCTAGCAAGGCAGATGTTCACTGGCATTTGTCCTCTGGTCTGACTTCCAGCCCCAATTTATATAATCCTGACCTACCAGAAATTGGGATAGGTATCACTTCATGGAAAAAGACATCATGCTTTAAGAAAGAAGAGACACATATAAACTTGTATGGGGTTAGAGGAGCTATGTCCCTCTCTAGTTCCATTAGAAATTGCTGTTAAGAAGGGTTGGGAGCAAACCTCTTCCAATCCTACCCACGTCTCAAGGCCTAGATCAAATTTCACGGTCTCTGTGTGACACACTGATATCTCAACACTTCCTGAAGGTGACCCATATGCCAGGAACAGCACTAGATCCAGAGATACAAGTATTAAAAAGATCCCTGCCACCTCTCATCTACATTTCTAGCATCTGTTTTTACTCATTTGCCATTTGATCATTTCCCATCTGTATACAAGACTTTAAGGCCCATGAGAGCAAAGTTTCTGTAAGTTTAATTCAACCTACTTTTTTTGGCCACAAGCTTTGTGGCAGGCGCCATGTTAGGTATTAAGAAATACAAAGATATAGAATACAAGTCCTCCAGTAGCTTGCAGTATACCATGTATAAACCTCAGATGGCTACTACCGTATACCCCTCAACAGCCAGTTAGCTGTGAGAGTAAATTGTAAATTCTTTCATGCTCTGGCCAGATTTAAAAACATATTAATGTGTATATTCTTTTCCAACTGTGTCTTCTTTTTTTTTTAGATGGAGTTTCACTCTTGTCACCCAGGCTGGAGTGCAATGGCTCAGTCTCGGCTCACTGCAGCCTCTACCTCCTGGGTACAAGCTATTCTCCTGCCTCAGCCTCCTGAGTAGCTGGGATTACAGGCACCCGCTACCAGGCCCAGCTAGTTTTTGTATTTTTAGTAGAGACGAGGTTTCGCCATGTTGGCCAGGCTGGTCTTCAACTCCTGACCTCAGGTGATCCGCCTGCCTCGGCCTCCCAAAGTGCTGGGATTATAGGCGTGAGCCACCGTGCCCAGCCCAAATGTGTCATTTTAGATTTCACTTTCTTCTTGAGACCATGATGATGCCACATGAGAAATCCTTAAGTCCAGCTCCAATTATACTGCATATCCTAGAATGGACCATTACATTAACAAGAATTTTCATATGCTAACCATGACATGTACTTCATATCATGAATGTAGATGGCTAATTTTCACACATTACCATGCATTTCAGCATTCCCTAGAGTTATCTGAAGCATCTGGGGGGAAGGGGGAGAGAACCTTTAAGTTTTCTGCTTCTGAGACTATTTTGTTGTTATTGGATATCGCTTTGACCCCCTTCTTTTAGTGCTTATCACTAGGCATCTGCCGTATTTAATGATGTGTGTCATTTCATTTAGTATCACTGACTTGGATCAATTCCTCTTCCAGGTTTCTGTACTGTCTTGATACATGTATTTGTTTTGCTTTGAAAGAAAAATCAACAATTGAATTGCCAGTGATAGACATATGAGTAGGACCATTCTTAATGGATATGTAGAGATAATTTCTCTTCCTTTAATGTCTGTGAATTATCATCCACTGTGATGCATTTAAAAATGCAACTCAACAACAGTAGTCTACTGACAAACAGGTGACTGCTGCCTGTGATGTGTTTTCAGTTGTTGGCTTTTCTAAGTAGTTACTTGTCAGAGAGAAAGGAAAAAGGATGAAAATATCCATTTTGACACCTCTTGAAATGTGTTTGTTGACTGTCTCTCTTTTAAATCGCCCTGTACCTATTTGGCATCACTAATCACAATGCTAAGTGACTTTTTACTTTACTAGGCATTAAACTTGTGCTGCTTAACCTTTGAGCATCAAACAGGCCTTTCCCCAGCACCCTGCTGTATCTTTAGTACAAAACTCCTGAATCATTATCCATCTTGAGGATCTGCCTTGCCTTAGAGGTACTCTGACATTTGCTAAGACTTCCCATTGGACCTTGCAGACATTTCCAGATCATGACAGTGTCATTTGATATTTTGGTTTTAAACATCATCAGAGTGGCTTGTGCTGAAGAACCAGAACTAGAAAGAAAATGTAAAATGAAAAGAAGGCTATTGCCTCTGTGCTGATTGTTAAGATGGCATTGGAAACATTTTTGTTTTTACTATGGATATAGTCATAAAACCATGAATATTTTTCAAAGGATCACAGTATGAAATACAGAGCCAACGGTAGAATATATTAAATTAGCCCATTTGAAAGAGGGTCTATCTGTAAATAAACCTTGCAGTTAAGAAAGCCAATTATGATAAAACTGTATAGTTACCTGGTAAACTACTGTTTATAAACTACTTTAATTTTACAATATCTTATTTGAACCTTACAAGAAATGTGTGAACATAGTAAGGTAGGGTTACTCTCCTCATTTTGCAGGTGAGGAGACTGAGAATTAGAAAGGACATGTGATGGCCGGGCGCGGTGGCTCATGCCTGTAATCCCAGCACTTTGGTAGGCGGAGGCAGGCGGATCACCTGAGGTCAGGAGTTCAAGACCAGCCTGGCCAATATGGTGAAACCCCATCTCTACTAAAAATACAAAAAAAAAAAAAAATTAGCTGGGCATGGTGGCGTGCGCCTGTAGTCCCAGCTACTCGGGAGGCTGAGGCAGAAGAATCACTTGAACCTGGGAGGCGGAGGTTGCAGTGAACCGAGATCGCGCCACTGCATTCCAGCTGAGTCAAGATCCCGCCACTGCACTCCAGCCTGGGTGACAGAGCAAGACTCCCTCTCAAAAAAAAAATTAAGAAAGGCCATGTGACTTACTCCTAATTTCCTGGCTTGCATGAGGCTGAGCCAGAATTTGAGCCTAAAGCTTCTCTGAGTCCAAATTTGGTGTTCTCTCCACTATATCGTGCTGCTTCTACTTATGGGATTGGGAAATATTCGGGAATTTTAATTGACAAAAGTGAACTGTGTTCAGGACAGAACTTAAAACTAAGGTAGATATTAAGGGAACACCCTATAGTTCAATGGGTGTTTTTCTAGGCTATAGATGAGGAGAATGCCAAGGTTATTACCTACTCCAACACCACCACTTTGTGGTACAAATTAACAAAGATACCCCCCAAATCTATGTATGGTTGGCTTGCACAAATTAACTTTGTATTTGGCAAAAATAAAAAGCCCTCAGGATAATATTTCCCTTATGTAGTAAAATAGCTATAATAGAATTTCACAATCTTTGTTATTTTCTGTTGAAATGTCCACAGGAAAATTAGAATTCTGCTAATTGATTTTTTTTCTGTATTTATAATAAGCCCTCATACAATTGAAGCATATCTGAGAAAACTAGAAATCTATTTTATTTATCTTGTAATCTGAAAAGGGAGTGTTATAAAAATTAATAAGGTTTCCTAGAGTAGGAAATAAAAATTTTAAAAATGAAGTAATGATAAACATTAGGCTCTTTAAATATATACGAGGCATATAGAATTACAAATCAACCTGGAGAGACCAATTGGAGGGAATGATGACAATGAAAGTAGATGCATTTTAGGATGTTTGGCAGATTAATCCTTCAGTTTTATCCCTTCAGAGGTATGAGAGGTCAGTAGCATGTCTAAATGTAGGCTTATGTTATTTACTTTTCATCATCACTGTGAGGAAGGGTGAATTTTTTAATAAAAAGAAAAAAACTATCATAGCATGGAGCTTGCTTTTTTTAATTGGCAGATAATTTTACACTTAATATTTCTCTCTCAGCTCCATACGTTATCAGTTTAATTACTCTGAGGCCTCAATAAAAAAATTAAGGAAACTAAAGTAGGAGAGTTTGCAGTTTACACTCAGCTGTTCTGAGTTCACTGAAAGTGAAATGCCAAGCTGCCAGGGATCTACTGCATGAAGCTCTCGTGAGGCTCCTGAGTGGGCCGAGAAGTGGCAGATGAGCTTCGTGTGGATACGGTAAAGCATTTAGTGAAAAATGAAAGTGAAAGAAGCTAGGCTGCATTCACAGGCTGGCAGGCTTTGCCTTCTCAGTTTCAAACTTGAAAAAGGGATCTAGGAGTGACTGGTAACCATTCTGTGAAAAAAAAAAAATTAGCTCAGGAAGGTGTTGTAATCACAATGGTCCACACTCTGCAGATCAGTCTCAGGAAAGAGATTGGCATCCTAACAGAAGACATTCTACTTCCTTAGTACAAGATTAGGGTCCTCCAGACAGGATGAATTATTGCAAGTAATTCTGATTGCTGCTTCTGTTTAAAAACAGGCTGCTGCATCAGGCTAGAGAAGGCCCTTTGTAATGAAGTAAAAATGGGTGAAAATTCCCTGTTATGAAAGACCAAAACAATTAGTGCTCTTCTCTTGGAAAATATAATAGTTGAGTGAGAAGCTTCAAAGAGCTGCCTGGCCCTTCCACTCCTTTTGCCATGTGAGGACACAATGTTCATCCATTCTACAGTGTAAGGATGCAGAGGCTATGCTCAGTGTTTTTGAAATCAAGAAATCATAAACATTTGGATAGGATAAATGCAAACCTATTTACCAAACCCAAGCATGTTGAAACCTTAATCTGTTCAGGCTGCTCTACCTGAGACTGGGTAATTTGTAAACGACAGAAATTTATTGCTTACATTTCTAGAGGCTGGGAAGTCCAGGATCAAGGTGCTGTCAGATTTAATGTCTGATGAGTGTTTGCTCTCTGCTTCCAAGATGACACTTCTTGCTGTATCCTCACATTGTGAAATGGACAAACGCTGTGTTCTCGCATAGCAGAAGGAGTAGAAGGGCCAGGGAGCTCTCTAAGGCCTCTTTTGTAAGGGCATTAATCCCATTCATGAGGATAGAACCCTTATGACTTAATCACTTCTCCAAAGGTCCCACCTCTTAATACAGCTACAGTAAGAATTAAGTTTCAACATAAATTTTAGAGGACTACAAACACTCAAACCATAGTAAAGGGTATCTTTGAAGCATTGCAGAAACAAATGGGGAAAGGGAAGTACCATACATGACTCACAGAACAACTTATCCTGGAAGTTCTAAAGAAATAGCATGTTTAAAAAGTGAAGTGATTCAGGTCAACTCATGCACTATAGATACATGGTTGCTTTGTAAGAGAAACCAAGGAGGAAAAGCCATCCTTTCTACAAAGCATCCCTTGGTGACTCCCACCAAAAATAGAATCACAAGGCTAAATTGATCATGAATTTGGTATTCTTCATGGCTTTAGTTTTAAAAATATTTTTAAAGTATTAAAAGGATTAGTATTGAAGATAGTAATACTGGTAATGGTTTGCAAAGCTTCTTGTTCTTGTCCTACTTTGGACTCCACCTGCATTTACACAAAGTACCTTCCTGTCAAAGTCATGGACCTAGAAATCCAGGCTTAGTGCTTGTGGATGCCATCTGGTATGGGGGTCAGCTTACGGACTTTGAAACTCCACAGATGTCCACCACTTATTAACTACATGATCTTATGCAAGCTTTTTAATTTCTTGGAGGCTTACTCTTCTCATTTGTAAAATGGTTTTATAATACCTATCATACGGGATCCTTTTAAGAATGATTGACGCAATATATGCAAGTCACTTAACACAGTGCATGGTATCCACTAAATGCTAAGTAAACAGCAGCTCTTACTATTGTTGTGAGCTAAGTGAGCTATTTATACAACCCTGGATTCAAAAAGTTGTAATAAATATGGTGGATAAGGTGAGCCCACATTTTCCTAATAAAACTTTAAAAAAGTTTTATGACCATTTTGAGTGTAGCTGGACTTTTAGAAATGTAGACGAAACAGTGAAATGTGTAGTTATGAAATTTAATTTGTTTAGTTATACAGATATATTCAAATTGTAGATGATGCAGAATAATCTCTTCAGGTATGATACTTTGCTTTTCCTCCCCACTATCTCATTTTGTAAAACAATTCTATTGAAACTTCACGCGTATCTCTGACATTGGTGTTTCTAGAAGCACTGGAGCTAATTTTTGTGTCATCTAACAGTTTTCCAGAGCATATTACATTCATGTCCACCTAAGTTTTTAGAGATACAACACTTTAATCTGTGTATCAGAGTATCAATGTCAGGCTTTTTCCGCAAGCCACAAATACTCATTTGCATACCACTAGGTCCATTGGCTTTTCCATTCATCTTGCATGTGTATATTGGTGATCTTCGTTAGGTATTTACTGCAGGGAAATCTTAAGTAATCTTTCAAAGGCTTGTTTACAATGATCTCCAACACTTAGTACTATGACGTCACACCCTGTAAACAATTAATAGGTCTGTGTTAAATTTCATTATCTTAACTGCCTTCCCCAATTTTGTACGTTTACATCATAAGCATCTAAAACCCATATTAAGTTGTTCCAGACTAATGCGTGTTTTCCAGAGAGTACATTATTAAGAATAATTTGGAAAATGTCCCTTGGAATTAAGCACTTGAATGTAAGACATCTTCCTCTTTTTTTCTGCGAGATAACTTGTAGGGAGCAACGGGAAGGTATGCTTTATATTTGTGAGGATAGGAATAGAGATTTTCTTGAAATATTTATCCAATTATATGACTTTAAAATCATGCAAGTTTCTTATTTTTATTCATCGTATATATGTATTAAATGCCAGGATGATCCAAACACATAGAAGGTGAAGTTCCTGCCATTATAGGAATTTTTGGACCTTAGAGAATATCCAATTCCAGAACAATGCATGGAATACTTTGTGGAAAGCATTTGCAGAGAGAAAGCTGTGAGTTGCAGCCCTTGTCCTCAACAACTGACAGCAAATTTGTCAACAAATTTAATTATGTTTATATCAGGCAGAATGTGTTTGAAGGGCCTGCACACGTTTCACATAGGGAAAAGAAAGAGGTGAAGAGAGAAATGTTACATGTAAAAAATTTTACATAGTAAATCATCACATGGAAAAACACATTTTTCACTGGCAAGTAAAGAAATACAACAACAAAGTAACAGGTAGCGACATATATGTATTGTGATGGCTAAGCACTAAGTGAGGTGTTGGAGAAGCTGTAGAGAAACAGGTACAATTTCAAGGTGGTGCCGTTAGGTGACAATTCATGGAAATGTATACATAAAACAATGTTAAGTGAAAGAATTAGATCACAAAAGAGTATATAAACGCTGATTATATCTATAATAATGTGTGTATGTTGACATCTATTGAAAGAGGATTTGAAAGAATGTAAGTTTAATGTTGATTTGAATTTTCTCTCTGTAACAGTGATTTAAATGCATACTAATTTGAAAAGAATACAATGAAAAATGACTCCCCATCACACCCCTAAAACACATAATAACTACACACATCTTGGTAAATAGATTGTGGTAGAATATGATGTTCATTGTTTGTGATGTTGCAACATTATCTATAAATCAAGGACTTAATTGAAGTTGTACTTCCCTTCTTTATCTACTGTAAGTCTGATGAAGCATTTTTTGATCACTGTTTATTATAGTAATGAGAAAAGAATAAATCTTTTCCTTATAAATCCTGACAATCTGCATTTTAAATCCTTGCACAACCTGAATTCTTTGTCTCCACTAAATGAATACAGAAAGTTTAAGCCTGTGATTGCCTTATTTATTCTGCCTCCCTACCTTTCAATAGCTACTCAATAGCTCTTTCTTGACCTTTACCTGTCAGTTAATAGTTGGTACATTGAGATGTGTTTATTAAGTCCAGGCAGCTAAGATTCAGATTTATATGCAGCTAATATGCTGAATGAACTGAAGATCTACTATGTACCACAGATCTTTGCCTGGTACTCTACAAAGGGGACTTCACTTGATCTTGGTAGTAACCATCTGAAGTCTGAACTATTATCCCTATTCTGATGTGACAAAACTAAGCATCAGTTCAGCAGGCAGTCCTCTTCCGAGCCCAGGACAGTGGTCCTTCCCTTGTTCCATTGTGCCTTTTAAGTGGCTAGTCTCAGTGTGTTATAGAGAATAGTATAGTTTTAAACATATAAAATAAATTTGTAGGAAGCAGCATATTTTTAAGGAAGATCTTTTTAAAAAGACAAGTGTGTTGCTTTTTTCCTCATTTAAAAAACTGTATATTGTTGCTATAAAATTTATTTATAAGAGTGGTTGGAGGGAGGCCGAGGTGGGCAGATCACCTGAGGTTGGGAGTTCGAGACAAGCGTGACCAACATGGTGAAACCCCATCTCTACTAAAAAGTACAAAAATTAGCCGGGCATGGTGGTGCGTGCCTGTAATCCCAGCTACTCAGGAGGCTGAGGCAGGAGAATCGCTTGAACCTGGGAGGCGGAGGTTGCAATGAGTGGAGATTGCGCCATTGCATGCCAGCCTGGGCGACAGAACGAGACTCCATCTCAAAAAAAAAAAAAAAAAAAAAAAAGAGTGGTTGGAAATTTTGATACAAAGCAATTCAAAATTATACAAACAATTTGAGTAGAATCCAAACATGAAGCAAGATTTTCTACTACTTTAATAATTTCAATTAAATAAAAGTTAGGAGCTGATAAAACCGTTTGAGGGTTTATTTAAAGGGGAGCATGTTATTGGCATGCTGACCAATAACACTGGGAATGTAATGTATCATGACATGTCAGATAACACAAACAAGGACAGTTTTTGGAAAATCATAAATAACAAAATAGAAGGAGTGTAAAATGGAAGAAGCATCAAGGGGTGGTTGGTACAATAAGATATTAACTCTGAGAAAGTTTTCTAACTCATCACTTAACATTATGAATACTGAATTGGGATGACCACAATACTAGCTTCTGTATGACTCCTTAAATATTGATATTGGAAATGTGCACCACATGATAACCAATATTTTAAGGTGGGGGCAAAATAGCTGCTGGTATGAATCTCTAGAAAGATTAACTTGAAAACTGTCTTGTGTAACAAAAGGAAAGGAGAACATCTGGGAGGAGAAAGGAAATTTCCTAGAAATGGGAAATGTGGCCATAATGTGATTTCTTTCTATAACCCATGTATGCAAAAACATTTATCTCCTTTTACTCTAGTCACACTATGTTTGTGGCTTGCATGAGTAAGAAAGCTAGATGAGGAGATAATTGTTCAGCAAAAGAATTATAGAGTTGAAATCAGTGAAGTGAATGGTATTTTATAGCAAAGAGATCCCTAAAAGTAGGTGGCATAAAGAATAGATGCAAAAAAGTATTGCTTTCTCTTCGAGTTCTAAAGACCTCTGTTGATGACGTTTTGCTCATTTAAATTCCAGAGAATAATTGGAAACAGAGACTTTATGCGACAGAGCTTTCATTTAACTTGTTCACCTGACAGTTGGCTTTGAATGATATTTTATTACCAATCAACCTAAATTAAAATACCCAGCTCACTGTAAAACCCTGCAGACAGTGTCTGGAATGCTAAAACACATACCATATATAAATAAAATTAAGGTAAGGACAAAGATTGACAAAAGCAATGACAGTGAACATTAACATGATATCAGCAGCTTTGAGCTTCTATCAACAATGTGGACCATGATGAAGTTACCAGAGAGGGCAGTATAGATGGATTTTCTAACTTGCATTTATCAGAAGAGATTTTCACTTTTCAATCTTAACTATGTCTTATACCTTTTAATAAAGATGTGGTATCAAACATCGAACATATATGTCTGTACCTACATGTAAATATATATGCATGTGTGTATATGCATAGCCATAGCTATCCATCCATCCATCCCAAAGTTCATCTCTCCAAGGTGCTAGTCCACATAATTGCGTTCAGTTCTTCTCTGGTCTTTGTATAAATGTGTACTTAAGGACTTTGTGGATAGTGCGTGATATAAATATGGTTCAGGCCCATCAAAATGCAGATTATAGGATCCGGTGAACTTTTCCTTACCAAATAACTGAATTCCTGAATGTTGTATTATTATAAAATTACAAAAGTTTCAAACTTACTGCTATTCTCTAATTACTTCTATAGAGTGATTATTATATGGGATCACCAGATGATCATGGTCTGTCATGCTATTGCTATCTTTCTTCATAAATATATAATTTATCAAAGCTTAATTATATTATTATCCAATAAATGAATGATAGAATAATTATGGTTATGTGGTTCATTACGTTATGTCCCATTCTCTGACTGAAGCCTCTCAGTTTCATATCTTTGTTGTGTAGACTATTTATGACAAGTTAAATCTGTTCTCTGGAACTTAGTGTCATCGTCTATTAAAATGAAGGGTTGGATTTCAATTAAATAATTCATAAATTTCCTGTCAGCTCTAAAATTCTATGTTCCATTGATTATCCTCAAACTATTATACAAGTTCATAAGGCCTTCTAATATATATATATATATATATATATATATATATATATATATATATATATTAGAAGATAGATAGATAGATAGATAGATAGATAGATAGATATACTAGAAGGCCTTATGATTAGAAGGCCATATGTGTATATGTATATATACACACACACACATATATATATGTATGTATAGTGTTCAGTTCTTCTCTGGTCTTTGTATAAATATGTTTTATATATATATTTTAAAACACTATATTAATGTGCATGAATTGAGAACTGCTGTGGTATCTAAACTCCTTTCTGCTTGACTCTATGATGAGAGATGAATGAATTTGGAAATATTTAGTCCAAGAAAAGAAAAAGTGTGGGGATAATCAGTCTTCAGGTTTATGATGAATTGTGACTAGCTTTCACTCTCTTGTAAATGATAGACAAAGAGAGAACAAACTGTACCAAATCTCAGAATGCATAATGTGATAGTGCATTAAAAAATGCTGTAGAAGCTGGAGATACTTAGGGAAGGTAGTCATTTGATGCAAAATATCAGTTAATCTCCTCTCTAGTGTGCTTTAAAGCCAGGGAATCTAAAATGGGGGAAGCCAAGGAGGAGTAGAGTTGTTTCTCACTGTTCAACAGGAAGGCACTTTATGTATTTTCTTATATATTAATTATTTCTGAGCTATTTCTCCTAAGAGAAAACCCTTAGATTTGGCCTACAGAAGATGTACTTATCATTGGCCTTTAATGATACAGACATTGCCATTGCTACCAAAGTTAGTTTATATGTACAAGGTTATATTTAATTAGCTTATGTAGATCAAAATGCAAGGACAGAACCTAATCCCTCCTCTTCCTCTGTACTAATCAATTTATAATCTGAATGTGTCAGAATTCAGATTATGAATTATGTTGTATCTATTAATCCTTGTAACCACAGCACATTTTATAAAAATATACATACTTTGATTCTAAATGATAATATAGTGCACGTTCAAAACCGAGTAAGTCACAGTTGGTGGGCACAGAGACATTGGTAATAATGGGATCCTCCAGCTAGCACCAAGTCTCTGTTTTTTCTTTAATGTTATATGATGAAGGTAATAATAGGTGGCCAGTAAGGATAAAAAGCCACCCAAGAAAGAACCAGTCTTAAACTTGGCTCTTTTGCTTTTTTCAAGTTTTCTCATAATATATTCAATTCCATGTAAATATTGCAAACAGCTGAATTGCACACATTAACCTAAACATGAATAAAAAATGTTGATATTTTATTTAACCTAAAAATAGTAGTTATGGATAGGCTGCTTTTATGATTATCGTCTTTAAAATATATCATTTTACATTGGGAATATAGGGAGGATTGTCACCGTTATTGTATAATAAGAAAATTTGTTTTGAGTACATTAAAAATACAGTAGATGATTATTGCAATATAAGGGGAAAAGTTGTTTGCTTTTGACAGTCTGTCAGATGTAGCCTAGGAAGACAAGTATGGTAGCTGCTTTATATAAAACAGTAGGAGAAGGACACAAGCTCAAAGAAATTTTACCTAGCTGCTGTTATTAAAGAAATTCTTTTATAGAATAGAGGCTGGTTTTTTTTTTCATCTTTCCGTTTTTGCTTCCATCTCTGAATCCTTTGCTTTCATATGGCATGCAAAGCGTCTGTGCATGGCAGCCTGTAACTTCTGTTATTTAAACTGCCAACTGTTAAAATGGATTGAGTTGAACCAGAGGAGGAAAATAGCCCCACTGAGGCAAATGCATTTTTACACCCTTCTTTAATAAAATATTGTAAGGTATAGCTAGAAAGTTTCCCCTTGGACTTTCATCTAAAACTGTTAGATTGTAGCTTTGTGAAAGAATCATTGTTGACTCCTGTCAGACAGTTTTGGAGAGGAGGTGAAGAGGCTTGTCTTCTGACTTTCTGTGCACTTTGTCAAATCAGGTACTTTGAGCAGAAGTACGAAGTGAAGGCTGATGTCAGAGAATGCCTTGAAGCAGGAACTTGTGCTAGTCTCCTGTGACTTCCTTTTTTTTTTTTTTTAAGGAATCAGATTGGATTGTAAAATGATGGGAATATGACTGGACATAAACACGTTCATTGCAGGCTCAGCAGCCGTTACATATCATTAGTGAAGGGAGGCAAGGGGCAAGGGGGACCATTTTGATGTCAGTTTCATTCTTTTTAAAGACAAATGCATTCACTGATGAGAAGTAAACCAGCATCTGTAAAATTTTACAGACAAGTAATATTTTAATGCCTTCTTTTCCTGTAGATAAACGTATAACTTTTCAATAATCATTAATATAAACTGAAATAATGAGTAATTGTGTTAAATACCCATAATGTTGGAGCTGCTTTTAAGGAAACCAGTTATGAAGCAACTGTAACATCAAGATCAGTATATTTCTGTTCCAAAATAGTCTGTTTCATAGACTCAGTACATAGCTTGCTGTTATGCCACTTCGGCCACAGTTAATGCCAAAATCTAAAATTTTAAAGGTGATAATGCTTTTTAATAAGAAATATAATTTGGCCTTAACTTTCCCCTTATAAAAGGCCATATTCCATACACATCAACTCAAAAGTTTGTCCCATTTTCTGACTTTTCTTTTTCTTTATTTGCCAAAGAATCTCTGTAATTGGCTTGCTCTGCAAAGCATTTTATTTGCCCTTCTGAACATTAACTATTTTAAAGATCCGAGTGTATTATGGCAGGGAACACAAGATTTTACTTCAACCCCTTCTATGCCCTCCTCTCTACTAAATTAATTATTTCTGTTTTGAGTGTTCCAGGGAAAGAGTAAAATTGTTAAGGTATAACAGGTACCAACGAGTCATCCAAACAGAAGTGCCATTCCAGGAAAGTACAGTATCTGTGTGCCCAGCATGGATCTTGGCCCTGCCCTACTTTTAAGCTTCTAACATATCTTCGTAGTCATTTCTTCTGTATTGTGATTTTTTTTTAAGTGAGCACTTTTAGATGTCCCATATGGTTTAAACCAAATCAGAAATTCATGTCCTTAATGTTTCGTTAGTCAGAATAATTAAGTTGATAGTTCGGGGAGCAGTTGAAGCAAAATAATGGGGTCATTGAAGCAGTCAAGCTCTAATGGGAACCTGAGCTCATTCAGATACCAAATCTAATAATTGTTCTACACCTGTATGCCCAGTCCCATTGAGCAAATTCACATTAAAGGTTTAGTGGAACAGTTTCAATGCTGTGGTCCAAAGGGACTTGCTACTGTTTTCACAAGAAAGCACTGAATATTTTTTGGCAATATATATATATATTTTTTGTGATGTGTTAACTAAGCTCTGTGCATGTATGTTGGTGCCCTATCCCTACCTAGAGAGGAAGAAAAGGGAGAGATGTATTTTCAGGAATGTTTTTCTTACCATTTAGGGTTAATAAAGATACTCTCAAGCATTTGCCACCTGGAAGCAATAATATGAGATGATTAAACTCACTGGATAGTTTGGGGAGAGGGGGAGTTTGGTTAATCTATGCAACCAACTAGAAATGAAGTTCACTTAACCCTTTTTCTTCATAAAATAAAATGGTATCAAGGTATCAAGCATGTTTTTTTGGGGTTTTTTTGTTTTTTTTTTTGTTTTTTTTTGAGGTGGAGTTTCACTCTTATTGCCCAGGCTGGAGTGCAATGGTGCGATCTTGGCTCACTGCAACCTCTGCCTCCTGGGTTCAAGCGATTCTCCAGCCTCAGCCTCCCAAGTAGATGGGATTATAGGTGACCGCCACCACACCCTGCTACTTTCTGTATTTTCAGTACAGACAGGGTTTCACCATGTTGGCCAGGCTGGTCTCGAACTCCTGACCTCAGGTGATCCACCCACCTCGGCCTCCCAAAGTGCTGGAATTACAGGCATGAGCCACCGTGCCCGGCCATCAAGCATGATTTTGGTTATTGAAGTAGAAAGTAGCAATTAAGCATTGTGTAGTAATGCACTGTTTCATTTCTCCTGTGTCACTATATGACTGTAACAACAAACTGACTGCCTTTGATTCTCCTGTAAGATATCTAAAGAGAGTTGACAAACCTAAAAAAATTAAAGGTCTAAAGAGTGGAACTATGAATTTAATTCTGCCGTAAACTGACCATTGAACTGACCTATCTCCAATAGAACTCCCTCATTGGAGGATTCAAAGCACACAGGAAAATTAAACGATTTGCAATTTACCTTTAACAACTATGAAATACAGATCTGACCAGCTTTCTTTATCAAAAAAGGCAATCAAAGCTGAATTCACTTACCTAAAGAATAGTTCTAATACACATGAAGGTATTCATTCAAATGACTCTTGTGCTCTAATATTTTTATTTCCTTTGGGGAATTCAAAAATCATTTACCAAATGTCTCTTATATTACAGGTACCAAAAAAAAAAAGATTTAAATTGCAGTTGCTGCCTTTCCAGAGCTCACGATAAAATGGGGGAAGATAGATCGCACAGGGACAATCACAGTATAAAGCTCAAGCTGAATCTTAACAGATGAGTAGGAGTTTCTTGGGTAGGAAAAGAAAAAGGAAGAGAAGCATGATCCAAGAAAGGGAACAGCATTTATGGAGGCAATAGGAGAACACAGTATATTCAAGGAAGAGCCAACTGTTAACATTGCTGGAACATAGGTATGAGAGGCTGGAAAGATGAATAGTCATGATAGGCCATGTATAATTAGTTCGATTATTTTACTACATGGGTGATAAGGAGCCATTTCAGGCTTAGACTTATGGTAGCATGGCTAGATATACATTGTAGAATGATTATCTTCTAACGATATAGAAGGCTGATAGGGTAAGGGTGAGGCTAGAGACAGGAGAAATTCAATAGGGATCTATTATAAGAGCCTAAGCAACAGAAGCATAAGGCCTGCACTAGAGCAGTGACAGTGGAGATAATGCAGAATAAATAGATGCAAAAATGATTCAGGGGTTAGAATTGACTGAACTTATTGAGCAACTGGATATGAGGATAAAAAAGGGAAGGATTCTCGGATGATTTATTGATTTATTTTATGATTGCTATATGATAGCTGTAGTAATTTTATTAGGGCTGCTGTGACAAAGCACCACAAACTGAGTGGCTTAAGCCACAGAAATGTATTGTCTCATAGTTCTAGAGGCTACAAATCCAAGATCAATGAATGGGTTGGCTGTGCCACGCTCCCTGTGAAGGTGTTAGGGAAGGATATGGCCCAGGCCTCTCTCCTAGCTCCTGGTGGTTTTCTGGCAATCTTTGGCATTCTTTGGCTGGTAGAAGCATCACGTTGATCTCTGCTTTCATTTTCACATGGCATCCTCTCTTGGTGTGTGTTTGTCTCCAAATGTTTCCTTTTTCTAGGGACACTAGTCATAAGGGATTAGAGCCCACCCCAATGACTTCATTTTAACTTGGTTACCTCCATAAAGACCCTATCTCCAAATAAGGTTACCTCATTCTGCTGTACTGGAGCTTCAGAGATCCAATATATGAATTAAGGGGGACACAATTTAACTTATAAGATGGCTCTAATCATCAAAGTTAGGATATATAAAAAGGAGGGAATAGGATGAAAGGAAATGAAATCAGTTTAATTTGGATCTGCAGTGTGAGGTAGCTTTGGAACAATCAGGAGAAATATTGAGAAGGTGATTGAAGCTGTAGCTTAGAGCCTGAGAAATGCAGAGTTGAGATCCATTAGCATGCAGGAGATAGAATAGTTAGAGCAGTTAAGTTTGGCAATTGGATGAGCATACCCCTGGGAAGTAGCTCATGGAAAGTATAGAGTTAAAATATGGGAAAGGGCAAAGAATAAAGTGCTGAAAATTACTAACACGTTGTGACCAAACCAAACTGTGTCTGTCTGCACACAAGCAATGGAAAGCCAAACACCAAAGCACTGTGTTTTTGCAGTGAGAAAGTTTATTGCCAGGCAGCCAAGCAAGGCGATAGGAGTCAGGTTCAAAGCTGTCTCCCATACTAGCCTTGCAGCCATGGATGGATTTAAGGGAGAGATTTTGAGGCTGGGATCTGGGGGCTGGACAGTGATTGACTGTAAGGAAAAGGGGGTTGGAAATTCCCTTGGGCATGAGCTATTGACCATGCACGCTTCTTCATGGGTCTTATGTTCAGAAAATGATCTGAGGGTGGAGATTTTGGCCCTCTGACATCAAAAGGTCACTCACCAGGCAAGCAAGTCTATTCTGTGCAGACTGCAGTCAGACACATTAATGGGTTCCAACTTGTCCCAGACTGTAAGCCAGTTTTGTTGCAAACTAAGGGAATTGTAACAAAGTGTTTTGTTCTCTGTTCTCCTGCAAGACAAGCTCAAGAAATTTTGCTACTTACCAAATTCTCAAGGAAAAGGATAGTAGCATAGAAACAGAGAAAGATTAAAGAAATAATTTGAGAATGAAGAAAGAATAATAATATACAAGCTAAAAGAAAAGAGAGTTTCATGGAAAGAATAATTGTCAACAGTGTCATGTGCTACAGAGAGGTCAAGGAAAATGAAGACTGAAAGAAAAAAATGTTAATACTGACTGCAGAATGTGATATTGATTCAGGATAGGCCAATTCATAAACAAAGTAATCATGGAACATACCCTGTATTTTCAATAGAATTTCACTCTACTTGTTACTAGAGAAAAGAATGAATTTATTTATATAGTATAAAATTTTTATACTTATAAAAATTATATTTTTTCTAGATCATGTAGTTTTTCTAATCCATAAGAAAGTCATATCTCCTATTTTACTGTCTTTCAAAAGGTAGTTAAATAATCCTGACAAAGGGAATCGTTTAGAAACAATACATACAAATTCTGCCTTGGTCTTGAAATTTTGATATTTATGGTTATGGTATTTTGCGACTAATGTTCAGAATAGGATAAAATAGGGCATCTCAGAATAAGATTATAATGTGGTTGGTCAGAAGAAAGTCTTCTAAGGAAGTATCTTTCACTTCAAGTCATTGTCTGTTTTTTATGTAGTTAATGCTGGAGCTCTCAGGGCTGCTAAATGTCATTTTATGTACTACTTCACAATCTAACCATACATATTAACCTTTTCCTTCAACACCCCTAAGAACAGAAAGCTGTCTCTAGAACCAGCTTTAAAGATTCACAGTTAGACCCAGAGTAAAAGAACAGATTGAAAAGATAGTTTGTAAACTATTTATTGTCCTGCACGAATATGTATATATGGGAACAAATGACATATTTCTATGTCTATAAATCCTTGTAAAAGTTTTATTCAGAGAAAGAATCAGCATGTATTTACTACATGGCTATTTAATATCGAGAAAGCTAATAAAGAGGTAGAAGAGGCTCATTCTCTGCCATCCCAGAACTCTCCTCTTAGAAAGGCAATATCTGAAATGATAGTGAGCAGTACGAAATTGGCTATAATTGAAAGCTGAATTGTGTGAAACAAGCTAAGTTTGTGCTATTGGAGTCGAGAGGAGAGAAAGATCAGCGAAGGCTAGAGGGATCGGGAAGGTGGGATTTGAGTTGGGCTTTGAAGGATAAGTAGTCTTGAATGGAGGGGAAGGAGAAGGCAAAGTGGGTACATAAGCACAAATCTGGAAGATATATAGATGTGTTTGTGGAACAGTTGTGAAGCCAACCTAACTAGATTCAAGGGGGAATAGTAGAGAATGGGAGAAAATCTGATTGGATAGAGTGGGATCTGTGTAAAAACAAACAATTTTTAAAAACCCAGAAAATATGTACTCCATGAATCTCTCCTGTACTTTTTTAGCTGCCACAAATTTTGGGGCCAAATTTATTACACATGTATTCTAATCTGCCGAAGCTACATCCTTTAGTGTGAATCTGTTCACTTTTATCTTCATATGTCTTCTCTTGCAGTGAATTTTAATCTGAGTCCCTGAAAGTTAACTTGTTACCATTTTTATTGTTGTTTTTGTCTTTTCTTCACCACTTCAAATTAGGATTGAACCAGATTAGTCTTGTTTTAAATCCACTGCAGCCTTTTGAGCTGGGGAGTACGGTCTCTTTGAGAAAACTGTTTTCTTTCTTTTTTTTTTTTTTTTTAGAACTAAGCATTTGTTGCAGTTTATTGGCACTGCATATTTTTATTTTTATTTATTTTTATTTATTTTTATTATTATACTTTAAGTTTTAGGGTACATGTGCACATTGTGCAGGTTAGTTACATACGTATACATGTGCCGTGCTGGTGTGCTGCACCCACTAACTCGTCATCTAGCATTAGGTATATCTCCCAATGCTATCCCTCCCCGCTCCCCCCACCCCACAACAGTCCCCAGAGTGTGATGTTCCCCTTCCTGTGTCCATGTCATCTCATTGTTCAATTCCCACCTATGAGTGAGAATATGCGGTGTTTGGTTTTTTGCTCTTGCGATAGTTTACTGAGAATGATGGTTTCCAATTTCATCCATGTCCCTACAAAGGACATGAACTCATCATTTTTTATGGCTGCATAGTATTCCATGGTGTATATGTGCCACATTTTCTTAATCCAGTCTATCATTGTTAGACATTTGGGTTGGTTCCAAGTCTTTGCTATTGTGAATAATGCTGCAATAAACATACGTGTGCATGTGTCTTTATAGCAGCATGATTTATAGTCCTTTGGGTATATACCCAGTAATGGGATGGCTGGGTCAAATGGTATTTCCAGTTCTAGATCCCTGAGGAATCGCCACACTGACTTCCACAATGGTTGAACTAGTTTACAGTCCCACCAACAGTGTAAAAGTGTTCCTATTTCTCCACATCCTCTCCAGCACCTGTTGTTTCCTGACTTTTTAATGAGTGCCATTCTAACTGGTGTGAGATGGTATCTCATTGTGGTTTTGATTTGCATTTCTCTGATGGCCAGTGATGGTGAGCATTTTTTCATGTGTTTTTTGGCTGCATAAATGTCTTCTTTTGAGAAGTGTCTGTTCATGTCCTTCGCCCACTTTTTGATGGGGTTGTTTGTTTTTTTCTTGTAAATTTGTTTGAGTTCATTGTAGATTCTGGATATTAGCCCTTTGTCACATGAGTAGGTTGCGAAATTTTTCTCCCATTTTGTAGGTTGCCTGTTCACTCTGATGGTAGTTTCTTTTGCTGTGCAGAATCTCTTTAGTTTAATTAGATGCCATTTGTCAATTTTGTCTTTTGTTGCCATTGCTTTTGGTGTTTTAGACATGAAGTCCTTGCCCATGCCTATGTCCTGAATGGTAATGCCTAGGTTTTCTTGTAGGGTTTTTATGGTTTTAGGTCTAACGTTTAAGTCTTTAATCCATCTTGAATTGATTTTTGTATAAGGTGTAAGGAAGGGATCCAGTTTCAGCTTTCTACATATGGCTAGCCAGTTTTCCCAGCACCATTTATTAAATAGGGAATCCTTTCCCCATTGCTTTTCTCAGGTTTGTCAAAGATCAGATAGTTGTAGATAGGCGGCGTTATTTCTGAGGGCTCTGTTCTGTTCCATTGATCTATATCTCTGTTTTGGTACCAGTACCATGCTGTTTTGGTTACTGTAGCCTTGTAGTATAGTTTGAAGTCAGGTAGTGTGTTGCCTCCAGCTTTGTTCTTTTGGCTTAGGATTGTCTTGGCGATGCGGGCTCTTTTTTGGTTCCATATGAACTTTAAAGTAGTTTTTTCCAATTCTGTGAAGAAAGGCATTGGTAGCTTGATGGGGATGGCATTGAATCTGTAAATTACCTTGGGCAGTATGGCCATTTTCACGATATTGATTCTTCCTAACCATGAGCATGGAATGTTCTTCCATTTGTTTGTATCCTCTTTTATTTCCTTGAGCAGCGGTTTGTAGTTCTCCTTGAAGAGGTCCTTCACATCCCTTGTAAGTTGGATTCCTAGCTATTTTCTTCTCTTTGAGGCAATTGTGAATGGGAGTTCACTCATGATTTGGCTCTCTGTTTGTCTGTTGTTGGTGTATAGGAATGCTTGTGATTTTTGCACATTGATTTTGTATCCTGAGACTTTGCTGAAGTTGCCTGTCAGCTTAAGGAGATTTTGAGCTGAGACAGTGGGGTTTTCTAGATATACAATCATGTCATCTGCAAACAGGGACAATTTGACTTCCTCTTTTCCTACTTGAATACCCTTTATTTCCTTCTCCTGCCTAATTGCCCTGGCCAGAACTTCCAACACTATGTTGAATAGGAGTGGTGAGAGAGGGCATCCCTGTCTTGTGCCAGTTTTCAAAGGGAATGCTTCCAGTTTTTGCCCATTCAGTATGATATTGGCTGTGGGTTTGTCATAGATAGCTCTTATTATTTTGAAATATGTCCCATCAATACCTAATTTATTGAGAGTTTTTAGCATGAAAGGTTGTTGAATTTTGTCAAAGGCCTTTTCTGCATCTATTGAGATAATCATGTGGTTTTTGTCTTTGACTCTGTTTATATGCTGGATTACATTTATTGATTTGCGTATATTGAACCAGCCTTGCATCCCAGGGATGAAGCCCACTTGATCATGGTGGATAAGCTTTTTGATGTGCTGCTGGATTCGGTTTGCCAGTATTTTATTGAGGATTTTTGCATCAATGTTCATCAAGGATATTGGTCTAAAATTCTCTTTTTTGGTTGTGTCTCTGCCCGGCTTTGGTATCAGAATGATACTGGCCTCATAAAATGAGTTAGGGAGGATTCCCTCTTTTTCTATTGATTGGAATAGTTTCAGAAGGAATGGTACCAGTTCCTCCTTGTACCTCTGGTAGAATTCGGCTGTGAATCCATCTGATCCTGGACTCTTTTTGGTTGGTAAGCTATTGATTATTGCCACAATTTCAGATCCTGTTATTGGTCTATTCAGAGATTCAACTTCTTCCTGGTTTAGTCTTGGGAGAGTGTATGTGTCAAGGAATTTATCCATTTCTTCTAGATTTTCTAGTTTATTTGCGTAGAGGTGTTTGTAGTATTCTCTGATGGTAGTTTGTATTTCTGTGGGATCGGTGGTGATATCCCCTTTATCATTTTTTATTGCGTCTATTTGATTCTTCTCTCTTTTTTTCTTTATTAGTCTTGCTAGAGGTCTGTCAATTTTGTTGATCCTTTCAAAAAACCAGCTCCTGGATTCATTAATTTTTTGAAGGGTTTTTTGTGTCTCTATTTCCTTCAGTTCTGCTCTGATTTTAGTTATTTCTTGCCTTCTGCTAGCTTTTGAATGTGTTTGCTCTTGCTTTTCTAGTTCTTTTAATTGTGATGTTAGGGTGTCAATTTTGGATCTTTCCTGCTTTCTCTTGTGGGCATTTGGTGCTATAAATTTCCCTCTACACACTGCTTTGAATGCGTCCCAGAGATTCTGGTATGATGTGTCTTTGTTCTCGTTGGTTTCAAAGAACATCTTTATTTCTGCCTTCATTTCGTTATGTACCCAGTAGTCATTCAGGAGCAGGTTGTTCAGTTTCCATGTAGTTGAGCGGTTTTGAGTGAGATTCTTAATCCTGAGTTCTAGTTTGATTGCACTGTGGTCTGAGAGATAGTTTGTTATAATTTCTGTTCTTTTACATTTGCTGAGGAGGGCTTTACTTCCAAGTATGTGGTCAATTTTGGAATAGGTGTGGTGTGGTGCTGAAAAAAATGTATATTCTGTTGATTTGGGGTGGACAGTTCTGTAGATGTCTATTAGGTCTGCTTGGTGCAGAGCTGAGTTCAATTCCTGGGTATCCTTGTTGACTTTCTGTCTCGTTGATCTGTCTAATGTTGACAGTGGGGTGTTAAAGTCTCCCATTATTAATGTGTGGGATTCTAAGTCTCTTTGTAGGTCACTCAGGACTTGCTTTATGAATCTGGGTGCTCCTGTATTGGGTGCATATATATTTAGGATAGTTAGCTCTTCTTATTGAATTGATCCCTTTACCATTATGTAATGGCCTTCTTTGTCTCTTTTGATCTTTGTTGGTTTAAAGTCTGTTTTATCAGAGACTAGGATTGCAACCCCTGCCTTTTGTTGTTTTCCATTTGCTTGGTAGATCTTCCTCCATCCTTTTATTTTGAGCCTATGTGTGTCTCTGCATGTGAGATGGGTTTCCTGAATACAGCACACTGATGGGTCTTGACTCTTTATCCAATTTGCCAGTCTGTGTCTTTTAATTGGAGCATTTAGTCCATTTACATTTAAAGTTAATAGTGTTATGTGTGAATTTGATCCTCTCATTATGATGTTAGCTGGTTATTTTGCTCGTTAGTTGATGCAGTTTCTTCCTAGTCTCGATGGTCTTTACATTTTAGCATGATTTTGCAGCGGCTGGTACCGGTTGTTCCTTTCCATGTTTAGCGCTTCCTTCAGGAGCTCTTTTAGGGCAGGCCTGGTGGTGACAAAATCTCTCAGCATTTGCTTGTCTGTAAAGTATTTTATTTCTCCTTCACTTATGAAGCTTAGTTTGGCTGGATATGAAATTCTGGGTTGAAAATTCTTTTCTTTCTTTAAGAATGTTGAATACTGGCCCCCACTCTCTTCTGGCTTGTAGGGTTTCTGCCGAGAGATCCGCTGTTAGTCTGATGGGCTTCCCTTTGAGGGTAACCCGACCTTTCTCTCTGGCTGCCCTTAACATTTTTTCCTTCATTTCAGCTTTGGTGAATCTGACAATTATGTGTCTTGGAGTTGCTCTTCTCGAGGAGTATCTTTGTGGCGTTCTCTGTATTTCCTGAATCTGAACGTTGGCCTGCCTTGCTAGATTGGGGAAATTCTCCTGGATAATATCCTGCAGAGTGTTTTCCAACTTGGTTCCATTCTCCCCATCATTTCAGGTACACCAATCAGACGTAGATTTGGTCTTTTCACATAGTCCCATATTTCTTGGAGGCTTTGCTCGTTTCTTTTTATTCTTTTTTCTCTAAACTTTCCTTCTCGCTTCATTTCATTCATTTCATCTTCCATTGCTGATACCCTTTCTTCCAGTTGATCGCATCGGCTCCTGAGGCTTCTGCATTCTTCACATAGTTCTCGAGCTTTGGTCTTCAGCTCCATCAGCTCCTTTAAGCACTTCTCTGTATTGGTTATTCTAGTTATACATTCTTCTAAATTTTTTTCAAAGTTTTCAACTTCTTTGCCTTTGGTTTGAATATCCTCCCGTAGCTCAGAGTAATTTGATCGTCTGAAGTCTTCTTCTCTCAGCTCGTCGAAGTCATTCTCTGTCCAGCTTTGTTCTGCTGCTGGTGAGGAGCTGCGTTCCTTTGGAGGAGGAGAGGCGCTCTGATTTTTAGAGTTTCCAGTTTTTCTGTTCTGTTTTTTCCCCATCTTTGTGGTTTTATCTACTTTTGGTCTTTGATGATGGTGATGTACAGATGGGTTTTTGGTGTGGATGTCCTTTCTGTTTGTTAGTTTTCCTTCTAACAGACAGGACCCTCAGCTGCAGGTCTGTTGGAGTACCCTGCAGTGTGAGGTGTCAGTGTGCCCCTGCTGGAGGGTGCCTCCCAGTTAGGCTGCTCGGGGGTCAGGGGTCAGGGACCCACTTGAGGAGGCAGTCTGCCCGTTCTCAGATCTCCAGCTGCATGTTGGGAGAACCACTGCTTTCTTCAAAGCTGTCAGACTGGGATATTTAAGTCTGCAGAGGTTACTGCTGTCTTTTTGTTTGTCTGTGCCCTGCCCCCAGAGGTGGAGCCTACAGAGGCAGGCAGGCCTCCTTGAGCTGTGGTGGGCTCCACCCAGTTCGAGCTTCCTGGCTGCTTTGTTTACCTAAGCAAGCCTGGGCAATGGCGGGCGCCCCTCCCCCAGCCTCGCTGCCGCCTTGCAGTTTGATCTCAGACTGCTGTGCTAGCAATCAGCGAGACTCGGTGGGGTAGGGCCCTCCGAGCCAGGTGCGGGATATAATCTCGTGGTGCGCCATTTTTTAAGCCCTTCGGAAAAGCGCAGTATTCGGGTGGGAGTGACCCGATTTTCCAGGTGCCGTCCGTCACCCCTTTCTTTGATTAGGAAAGGGAGCTCCCTGACCCCTTGGGCTTCCCGAGTGAGGCAATGCCTCGCCCTGCTTTGGCTCGCGCACGGTGCGTGCACCCACTGACCTGCGCCCACTGTCTGGCACTCCCTAGTGAGATGAACCCGGTACCTCAGATGGAAATGCAGAAATCACCTGTGTTCTGCGTCGCTCAGGCTGGGAGCTGTAGACCGGAGCTGTTCATATTCGGCCATCTTCGAGAAGACTGTTTTCAAAGCTGGATTAGAGATTGACTAGAAAGGAAGAAAGCCTGAGTATAGTGATTAGTCTACCCAATGCATTGTTTCTCAAATTTTAGGTGTAGTAAAAGGGATCTGTGGATACATTTTAATGAGAACCTAATAATTTTGGGTCCCCAGTAATCGACTTAGACTTACTTTTAATATATTGTTGCTTAAATATAAAAATAGGCATAAACTCTATATGCTTTAAGAATTTTAATAAAACAGATAAAACTAAAATTAATGTTCACTTAATGTGCCTACTGATTCTAGATTTAATAGTAGAGCTTCAGATCCACTTATACCTTTTTTTGACCTTATCATTACAAATGCAGAACATCCCTGTTGTATAAGTAGGCTGAACAAAGTGGTACTAGTACCATCAGTCAACATTTTGTGATAGAATTCAGGGTCATCAGACTCCATACCAAATGAAAATTTTGGTAGAGAGCAACTCTCAAATTCCAGTTTTAATAGGATGTCTGCTCCAGAACCTTGTAAAGTTGTGTTGCTCACATGAAGAGAAGGCTAGGATTGGAATATAACATGGGTATTTAATCCATTTACTGCTGGAATCAGGAAGCAAAAAAGTATTCAGTACATATTTACCACTCAATTTTTAGATAGTGAACAATTGCAAGTTGGTCCACAAGGATTACATCCGTATAATACAACTGATCATGTCCTGAAGACGGTACTGACTGTTATGTCACAGTTCTCATATGTCCAGCTTGCCTAGACTGTTGTGTGAAAGAGCATTGCACCCTGTGATGACTCAAGTCTCTGAAAAATTTTCTCTCTTCAAATTATCATGAAACCTTCATTAGTACAGTGCACAATAATGTTGCTTGGCTTTTACGTAATATAAAAGCAAATATATATAAGCCTTTTTGTATATCAGTGATCAGTACACTAGTCACTCATAAGGTGATGATGCAGGGTATCCTTATGTAAACACTTTTTACTGTACCATAAAGTGAAAACACAAAACTGTAAATATACCCTGTTTTAAGAAATAATGCCCTAGTGAGCTCCACTGACTTTTTTTTTTTTTTTTTAATGAAATTGGCTGCAACATTGGGAATTACATCATGTAATTAATATCTTTGTTACATTGGGCTCTTTTAGAACAGAAACTTACTCTGGACCCCTTAAGAAACAAAATGAATTTTACTTCCTTCTGTGTGTCTGTTCTTTTCTATTTATCTTTCAACTGGCTTACTGCCCTATTGAGTAGTGCCTTTCATCACAAATCATGCCATGTGTTACCTATGAATTGGCTGCCCCTGAAGGAAACTGATGTCCATAATGGTCCCTTCATTGGCCACTGTTGAGGGGGAAAAAGCCTATTTAGTACTGCTTTCCTAAGTAAAAAAAAAAAAAAACTATTGAGGGTGATGGTTTCAGCTAGAAGTGGTGTTGGGTACATCGGGCACAATGACCTGAGGCAACTGTTTGCACTCTAAGAAAATATCACCCCTTTCAGGGTCATGGGAAATCCAAGTGTAAGTTATATTCATTGCCTCCACTTACTCCTCAACCTTCTGCAATCTGGCTTCTGCTCCCCTTATTTCGAACTGAAATTGCTCTCATTAAGGTCTCTAATGACCTCCATATTTCTAAATCTGATAGTTTGTCTTTATTTTACTGCATCTTTCTACAACATATGATATTATTGCTTATTCCATTTTTCAAAATATCTACTCCCCTGAATTCCATAACGTGTACTGTAATGGTTCTTTCTATGCCTCTCTGAATATTTGCTGTTTTGTTTCATGGACTCTTCTTCCTATACTTATCTCTTAAATGTCACTGTTTCCCAGGATTTGATCATTAGCCCACTGCTTTTCTCACTTTACGTACATTCCTGAATGATGGCTTTGATAACCATCTACCATCTATTACCCAAATCTCTCTCACTCTTTTCAGGCCTCTCCCCTGAACCTTGGTCTTGTAATATTTGTAACGGCCTGCTGGGCAGGTCCACTCAGATGTTTTAAAGGCATACAAATTGACAAATCCCTAACTGAACTCATCATCACCTGGAATGCACCTTTTTCTCCTATATATTCTTAGATGATGGAACCACCATTCTCCCAAACATATAGGCTGGAAATTTTAGAGTGATCTTGGACTCCTTTTCTTTAATTTTAGAGTGATCTTGGACTCCTTTTCTTTCCTACATGTCCAATGAATCCCTAATTATTGTCTTGTGCTTATTAAGTTCACCTACTGCATGATCACCAAACTGAACTGTCTTACCACTTCACTCCCTATTGCATATCTGAAGTTCAAGAGCCTTAAAATGACACATAAGCCCAATCTGTGTTCTAACCATCATCCCCTGCTTTTAATCAATACTGATTTTGTTTGTCATCTTCACACACACTTTTTTTACCTCATATTTTCTCTTCCTTTCCTCACAGCATCTCCTTTTCCTGGAATATACTTTTCTTCCAGGATAATTCATCCATATCCTTTAAGAATCTACAACAATATTGCCTTCTCTAGAAAGTCTTCCCAAAGATGCTTCCCCTAAGGCTTGGCTGAGTATTTAATTTCTGTACTCCTGAACAGTATACCCCTCATCATAGCACACACTATAACTCTCTTCTCATTATCTTTGTATGCTAACCGCATTTGAGAGAGAACACCATGAGGCAAAGGGCTGAGACATTTCATTTTGGTATCAGGGGATCCAATATAATCTAAGTTCTCAAACTGACTCACTGAGAACTATATAACAGAGTAAAGAGAAAGCCTTAATACATTTCCATTAGACTAATTTTTAAACCAAAATGCCACAATCACTACATAGTACCTGCCTTGAAAGACTGGCTCATTTATCTCTGTATCCCTCTAGCACTGTGCCAGGCACATAGTCAATGTTCAAGAAAAGATGGTTGAAATAAATTGCAGGCCAGTTTTTGGACAGAGGGAAATATGCCTGACATTGGAACAGACTCTGCTTATGACAGCAAGGCTCCTCCTCTTTCGAGTGCATAAGTCTACTCAGGAAACCGAATTGAATTTCAGCAGGTTGCCTGGTAAATCTGCTGTCCTAGAAAAAAAAAAAAAAATGAGTGACCGGTTTTGCTAGATGCATCATTCAAGCCAGGCTGGAATCTCTAGAAATAATCTCTTTCTACCCTAAAGGACAAATCTGTCCAGACAACTGGAATCCTAAAGCAGCGAAGTAATAGAAAGCAGTCTGGCAACATTTCTATACCCACTGGATGACAATAAGAAAAATAAGTAAATAGTTATGAAAGATTTTCATTGCTTCTCAAGGGCATAAAAAAAATACCCTCGCCTATGATGACTTGTGAAATAGAGTTAGAACCTTGATAAATTCTGACTTCTGGCTGATCTTTTTAAGTCTTTGTTTTAATAGGCTAATCTGAAAAATACTTCTATAAACATCTGTTTGCATCTAATCTCATTGTCCCAAAAGTGACTAAAAAATGTCATAGTACCATAATGAGGCTGTCTAGACTTTGAAAAGTGTAATATGATCGTGATGCTAAAATCTTTGGAATTTGGCTCTCACAATATCTAATATTTAAAATGTTCAGCTTTTTCTCTGTATCGGGTGCCATTCTGGTCATTTTACTTTATTGTTTCATTACTAAAGTCTTTGTAACTGCCCTGTTAGGTGGGTCTTTAATATTATTTTTATGTTCACAAGGGGAAATTAAAATGAGAAAAACATAGCTCTTAAGTGGCAGAACAAAGATGTGAACCCATATGTATGGCCATACACTGAGAACTTTGACCTGTCACGCTAAATTGTGACTATCCATTGTAAGTAGAAACAGTTTTTTGCTTGAGGCTTGTTTATTGATTTGTGTGCATGCTCTTCACATCCATCAGAAGATTAGTATGGGCCAGGTACTAGATTACCTCATTTAGTTCTGTTAATACTCTTCAGTGTAAGTACCATTATTATCCCCATCTTACGAATAAGGAAACTGCTGTTTAGAAAGGTTCATTTTGCGAATGCATAAACGCAAAGTGGGCCTAATTGGTTAGGAAACAAATGAGTCTAGTAGTCTACATTAATAAGTTCAAAGACTACACATAGCAGTTAGCTTTACTTTGCTCCATTGTTATAAGTGGTAAGAAAGAATATAATGCTTAGTGCTAAGACTTCCCTTTCCACCCCACACTGCCTGCACTAGGAAGGGAAAATTAACCCGGAATGCATGCTTTACTAAACATCGGTCAGTACCTTTTACCATCAAAGGACAGACTTTTTTTTTTTTTGAAGTCTCATGTGATTTTTATCATTGAAGTAAAACTCTCTCCAGGTGATGTAATGACATACCTCCTATTTTTTCTGGATTTTTACCCATCTGTTTGGAGAGAGTCAATCTTTTAGAGAGAATGACTTTTTAAGACTTTAACTTTTAGAATTTATAATCTAAGATACGTGAAATACCTTTATAAATGATAACTGTGTGGACACAAATTTATTCATGTTCTAAAATTTGTAAGCCATGACTTTCCCATCAGGGAACATTCCACGGCCCTTACTGAAACAGGGCAGAAAACTGGCACCTGTTTTATATCCTTTTTTTCTTTCCATTATAGTATACTTAGTGATGGTATAATCAACAAGGAATTAGTTTAGAGATTATTGGATCCTATGCTACTCTTTCTTAAAATTGAAAACAATATGTACTTTGTAGCTAAAGACTGAGAATTTAACATCCTATCTAGATTTTGTTCTCTAGTTTGACAAATTAATCATGCTCAATGCCAAAAATTCAGATATTATAGAAATATATATATATATATATATATATATATATAAAAGAATCAGATGGTTGCGGTGGCTCATGCCTGTAATCCTAGCACTTTGGGAGGCTGAGGTGGGTGGCTCACCTGAGGTCAAGAGTTCAAGACCAACCTGGCCAACATGGTGAAACCCCATCTCTACTAAAATACAAAAATTAGCTGGGCATGATGACGGGTGCCTGTAATCCCAGCTACTCGGGAGGCTGAAACAGAAGAATCGCTTGAACCCAGGAGACGGTGGTTGCAGTGAGCCAAGCTCGCACCACTGCACTCCAGCCTGCACGGCCGAGAGAGACTCCATCTCAAAAAAAAAAAAAAAAAAAAAAGAGTCATCCCACCATTCATAGATAGCCACTATTTTTTATTGGTGTATATCCCTCTAAACTTTAAAAATTATAATATTATAAATTATATTTTTTTCAAAAAGCAGATTATGACATACTCTTATAACTTGCCTTTTTCACCTTATCATATGGACCTCTTTTTATCAAGTACATGTAGATCTATGTAATAGTTTAGATTGACTGCATAGTATCCCAATGTTTGTAGGTTCCCTGTTTTGTCTAATCCCATGATGGACATATTGGTTATTTATGATATTCATTAGTATAAACAATGCTGCAAAGAACATCAGTGTATGATGATCTAGCTTTATACATTTATCCGATAATGTGAGGACTGGCTTTGTCCCAATAGATGTAAATGTCAGGAATGATTCTTTGAGACATCTTATATGAGAAGCAAGTTGCTAGGTTAGTAGCCATTTTTATTCATGTATAGGCTCAGCCTGGCACTCAGGTTGTGCATGGATTGTGTTAGACACTAGAAATATAAAGGAACTTGTGCCAATTATGAATATGGAATCAAGAAGCTGTGTTTTAACTGTGTCCTAATTGTTCATATTTAAAACAACTTTTGACTGGCTTCTACCTTAAGGGACAATTTGTATTTTAAAACAATGGCACCGACAGCTGTTAAAGTGTGTGTGATATTAACCATACAGGTTGCCTTTGTTCATACAACTGGTTAAGTAATTAAGCACAGGCTAGCATGGGGAACATTGCTAATGGGAAGCACCTGTTTATAGACTCTTGCATTGTAAGCTGTAGGTTAAGTATCTTTTATCAAAATCATAGGCAGTGGTATATTTCTGTGATCTGGTTCTTTGGGAAATGGAGACATCATGCAGGGTGAATGAACGACTGCCATTTCTGCCTCACTGCTGAAACTAGCGAGCCTGCATATCAAGGGTACCTGGGCTTACTTAAGCTGGGGAGTTGGACTGACTACCCTAAAACTTCCATCATCAGCAAGAAATACGTAGCCCAGACCCAAGAGATGGGTTGCACATGTTAAAAACAAAAAGAGTAGATACATGGTCTTAGAGTGATTCAGAAACAAAGGCAGATGACAGGTAAGTGTATTCTAAGTCAGCATATCAGCAACAAAGTTCAGGCAGATCACAAACAACTGCCTCAGAAAATGACAGAGGATTGTCCATCATGTGCTCAAAGTTAGAGAAATGGCTGATGCCTACTATTCTTAGTCATAGGCATATATGCCACACATGGAGTAGAAAGGCACAGAGATGACAGGTGATAGTAATGAATTGACCTTGTAGCCACCATGCCGTTTAACAGCTAGTTTATTCTCCACCAACCCAAATGGCTGCTTGAGCTCTCACCCTGCCAAACACTCCTGGCCCAGGTTATTGCAATCTATGCCTTCATCGGCTTTTCTACTGTCACTCTTGATACTATCTAGGATATCTAGGCTTCAACAATAGAACCTCTTCGGAAGATTTCAGAGAGCCCATTTCTGCTCACTTTTTAAAGCAGAACTCCTGTTTTCTATGTAAATGCTTCAAGACTGTTTTTTTAAAAAAATAGAATTAAAATTAAAATTACATGTTTATTGAAACAGCTGTCACTGTCTTAGTTCTAATAACTACAAGTCCAGTCAGTATATTTTATTTCATTATTTTCTTCCTTAGAAAATAAAGGTTAAATATGTATAGACATTCTGGTTCTTCCTTTATACATTCATTGCTTTTCATACCCTCTTTGCAAATAGGAAACATTTAGTCATTAAATAGCAATATTCGAGAACTAGAATTCCCTTTTTCTGCTAATCAAAAATTAACAGCTATCTTTCTGTTTCTTCTTGTTGAAATCCCCCTATCTTTTAAGGCTTAACTGGGAAGAAGTTGTCCCTGACTCCCAGCTCCTGTACTCAAGGGATATGATTTTTCTCCACTTTGAACCTCCATTGTACTTAAAATGTAATAGATGCTACAAGAGACAATATAGTTAGTTTCATGTTCTAGTTGTTGGTACATTTATCCTTTCTACCCTCATAATGTGCAAGGGTGCCTGTTAAGGTACCCTGCAGATAGCTTATGCAGTAACAACGTGTGGATAGACAGACAGAAGAAAGCCTTTCCTTTCCTTGTATTAATGTCAAAATACATTCCCTCTGTGAAAGCAGCAGAGCTGAAGGTGAATTCAAGGATCAGTTTCTGATTTGATGCTAATGATTGGATGATTATTTAATCAACAGACAAGTTTCTAGAAACTACTATGTATAAGCCACTATCATAGACACCTTGAGCATCTCTGTTGTAGTTTGTGTGGTTTCTGTTAGCTTGCTCTTCAATATGTTTCACATATATAACTTCCTTGGAAGCTTTACCAGCTATTGCCTAACTTTCTTCATATATTTATTTGTCACCTTTTTCTGTATTTTCTAGATATGCAGGCATCCTCATCAGACTTTGAACATCATAGAGAGAAAATCTGTCTTACGACCCAATTGCATTCTCTAGTAAAGAAGCAAACATAATGCATGGCTCATATACAAAACCAAGGACATTTAAAAAAATCTATTCACTAGCTTTGACATTGAGTCCAAAGATAATCAATGGCAAGGTCTGTGGCAGTTGAAATACTGAACAATATACTGATGTAATTTTTTCTTAACCATACTTTTCTAAGATTTCTTGAAATGCCCATGTTATCAATTATGTAAATGCCAGTCATTCAGAATCCCAAGAGATTGGCTGTACATGTTATAAAAATATCATGTTTATGGTAGATAAAAGTAAGTATTGCATATTTTCTACATTTGTAGTTTAATGTGGATACATTTTTAATGCCTTGAATTAATATTATTGTACTATGTGATTTTACTTTTATCAGGTATTTCAATCTTCCTAAAGTTACTATAATTGAGTTTGTTTGATAATGTACCTTTACATTAGTACGAGACTTGATAGTTTGCAAAATATGAGGTTCATAATAGAGATGGAGAGTAGAGTTACTACCTGGCAGGGAGGATAAGAAGAAAGTGAAATATAGAAAAGTGATTTAATCTCACTACTGCAGTTTTGTAAAATCTAATTTGTTTTTCCCCTAGCACAGCAGAGTTTCATGTTGATAACAAGCTACTGAATTAATAAATCCATTGCAACTATTGAGATTTTTCCTTTAATAACATAACGAATGCTGAGCATTAAGAAAAGGAAAGGCGTTCTTTGCACAGAAGTTACCTCTAGCAGATCTACATCCCTATGCATAGGAACAATACCAACATCATACCGTGAACAATATCAATGTGAAAGTAATTTGTGCATCTCAATTAGAATACTGTATTTTCTACACAAAAGCACTCTGTTTCATGGAACACATTTGCTTATTTTCCAATTGGAAAGACATTTGGGGGTCTATTTTGTTATCATTACATGTGCTTAACTCCAATTACAGTTAATGGGAGTCGTGTGTCTATAGTCACAGTAGCCTCTGAACTATTTTAACATTATTGCTTTCCATTACCATCCTCGTTAAAATAACTTTCATCTCTTCTACCAACCTGAACTACCACAGTAATCTAGGTTTCTGTTTTCTTTGCACGGATTTATTTGCATGTAATGAAGGATACAGATTACACAACATGACCTGTTTCTAGTTTGCACATTATAATGTCATTGAGATTAGAATAGGTCTAGAACTATTTAATTGCTAAGTGGAGGTAATCGATTGGCTTCTAGACGAGTACCCATTGGGTTTGTTTATCTAGCTGTGTTATTTTTAAGTTGTTTTGGGATTATAGCATGTAGAGTTCTAAAATGTGTCCTAAAAAATACATAGTTTAAATGAAAATATGAGTAATGGAGGTTTAACTCCACCAGATATTAAAACATCTCATGAGGCTGAAATAATGAAATCAGGAGCTATTGGCACAAAAATATGGAATAATCTCAATGTCAATGGAACAGAAACCCGAGTATAGCAATTTATATTTGATAAAGGAGGTAACATGAATCATTATAGAAATTCATGATTATTCAACAAATAGTGCAGGAACAGCCCATCTCCTCTTTGTAAGAAAAAAAAGAAACAAACTGGTGTGGAAACTTACCTGACATTGTACAACAAAATGAATTATAGATAATTTAAATAGTTACATGTAAAAAAAAAAAACAAGTTAAACCTTAAAGAGCAAGAACTCATATAGTTGAATGTTTGTCACATGTCTCTGGCTAGAGAAGGACTTTCTAAGCTTAAAAACAAAGAAACAAATCACAGTGTAAAAGATTGATAGATTTAGTTTCATAAAAACAGCAAAAAATGAAACCATATATTCCTAAAAACCTACAACACAAAATAAATAACAATCAACAAGCAATCAACAAACAAAGGAAAATATTTCTAATAAATATTTCAATTGTTTAGTATCCCTAACATGTACCATTTAAAATAAAAACAAAAGCAGAAACCTAAGATCCCAATAGATAAATGGGCAAAAGACATGATCAGTATAGAAAGGAAGACATATGAAACGTTCCACCTAATTAGTATTTGAATAAATGCAAAAAGAATGAATCAGATGCAATTTTTTCACTTTTTATATTAGCACATTTTTAAAAAGATTAATACCTAACAAAGAGATAAGATACACAAATTCATATACTGCCAATTGGATTTAAATTAATACAACTATTCTGGAATACATTTGGACTTACTTTTGCATACCCTAACAATGCCACTTCTACATATGGCATATGTAAAGATGTAACTGTCATGTTCCAGAAGTTTAATGACATGGAAAATTTCTACAATACAATATTAAATGAAAAGGTAGAACACCAAACTGCATATGTAGTTTGAGCTCAGTATATATATATATATACGTACACATACACAAAAGACACTATTCTGGTCACAGTGAGGAGAAAGAATCTGGTCAACTAGTAGAGCAATTGGCTGTCCCCCACAAAGAGATTAGGCTCAAGCCTAATTTGGCTGCCACCTTGCAGTCATTTCTGGTGAGTAAAAAACTATTTCCAAGTCAGGATTTCTAAAATCACAGAGAAAAGCATAAATAAAACCATTTTGGACACAAGGGGGAAAAAATGTAAGTCCATATGAGATGATTTCAGTATAACAGTCCAAAATAAATCATCTTTCTCTCATCAGTGCTTGGGATGCAAATAGCTACTCTATGGACATTTTTGGAAGCAACATAAAAAGTTTTCTTGGTTTCCTTAGCCTAAGCTGCAATAGACCCAGACCTCTACTTGCTCTCTTTGCCAGAAACAATGCCTGACCACTGATGGTAAATCTGCCACATTGTCACTTTCAAAGGGCTTTGGAGAAAGCAAAGCTCATTGTAAATTACAGAGGGTTTCTTTTACTTTGTTTTCTAGCCTACTAATTGGCATTAAAATGGGATATTTTGTAACACTATGTATATAAGGGTCATAGACTTCGTTTATGTTATCCTGCTGTGAGGGACTAGTATATAATGTTAGGTCAACACTGGTATCTCTACATGCCTATGAAGCACCATAGGGAAAGAAACAGCCTTCCCCTAGGCAACAACAGATGGACGCCTAACCTTGTGGGGAATGAATAATGGACGTGGCCCTTTTATAACAGTTTTTTTCAATCCCAAGTTTACCGCCTCATGCCATATTCAAGATACAGCCTTGTACTTTTGGCACTCGCTCACTGTGTTAGAGGATTGTTTGCACACTCCCAGGTTACATAATGCAGCTCGAGTCCTCCAGTCTATCTCATGTCACATTGTGTTTAAGCTTTATCTGTATTGTGCTTATTCCCCAGTTATTTCACTTGACAAAGTCTTCGGTAAGAAGGAAATTAATGATGTAGATTTAGGTGTGGATCTGAAACTTTGTGACATCCAGGTATTTTGTGGATGATGTGCTTTGTACATAGTTGCTGAATAAATGATTGCATGAATGAATTCTGAAGCAATACTATAATGGGTTTAGTCCATTTACTGCAGGACTCAGTTAAGAAGGTTTTGAGATGAATGCCAAATCAATTTATGCTTAGAAAAGGCATAAAGCTTCTTACTCATATGACAGCAGGGAAAGCCTTGACATCTGTTTGAGCTGGTTAACCTGATATTCAGAAGCTGCAGAACCATGTTTAAGCTGGGCCATGGTTTTATATTCCTTTTTAGTGAAAGATTTGAATATTACTTTTGTTTTGGCCACGCTTTCTCCATAGGATGCACATTTTCTTTTCTTTCTTTCTTTTTCCTCTCTTTCTTTCTTTCTTTCTCTTTCTTTCTTTTCTCTTTCTTCCTTTTTCTTTTCTTTTTCTTTTTTCTTTTTTGAGACAGAGTTTCACTCTTGTTGCCCAGGCTGGCAATGGCACGATCTCTGCTCACCACAACCTCTGCCTCCCAGATTTAAGTGATTCTCCTGCCTCAGCCTCCCGAGTAGCTGGGATTACAGGCATGCGCCACCATGCCCGGCTAATTTTGTATTTTTAGTAGAGATGGGGTTTCTCCATGTTGGTCAGGCTGGTCTCAAACTCCCGACCTCAGGTGATCTGCCCACCTCGGCCACCCAAAGTGCTGGGATTACAGGCGTGAGCCACCGCGCCTGACCCAGGATGCACATTTTCATATAACTATGTTCCTGTCTTCAACCTTATGCTTTAACCAGGTCACTCTTCATAGTATCAGAATCTATTCACCTTCACATGGGGCACATTTCAAAGCCTTTGATGAACAAAAAGAATCTGTTAGCGCATGCATAGCCGGCTCTGGTAGATTTGGAAGGTCCATTTTGGGATTGATTTCTCAGGCTTATTGCTGCATTAAGGCTCATGTTTACAAACATTAGAATCCCTTAATGAATTCTTAGACCATAATGTGTTAGTCTATGAATTAAGAAAAATGAAGCAGATGAAGAATATGACAAATCATGTTACCCCATCCTCCAATCAAGCGTGTTTTTCTGTATTTCATTGCACAATGTCCCCAACAAGCATATATACACAGACAGACCCTCCTCTTCCATTTTTCTCTCTTTGATTTCCAAAAAGATAACAGGCAGATTGGAAGGGATACCACTACTTGTTAACAAAGCCCTCCATATAATCTCAGGTAAATACATGTGTTGTCAACTATTGACTTTTTGAAGGAGAAGCCTGTATTTTTTTCACTTAAACTATACTAGTATTAGGAGAATGAGACTAGTTAGAAAAGTGAATTGGATTCAGGCTGGGTCTCATGGAGCTCTCAGATCATATCACATGAGCACCCAGTTTCTCCACCTGTTTCCAAAGAGGACATACAATCATGGCCACTATCACCCAAATTAATGTATATCACCTCTGGCAGCAATCATATCTAACATTTGTCCTTTCCTCATAAATGTGATGCCAACTATGAGTCCTGACCTTATAAGGGCCAGGCCACTGCTTTTTCCCCATTCGTTTTTAATACTATAAATATAAAAGTTGTATTTCAAACAATTGAGTGATTTTCAATCTCTGCTTAAAAAACATGACTCCAAACGTGGAAGTCGTCATCATTAGATTGCTAGCCACTAGAATGTGAAGATAAATGAAATCAAATTTACACACACACACAAACATGCAGAGTATAAGAGTATATATATGTATATATATTTGTTGGTTTTTAAACTAAATTAGTTTTAACATAAATACAGAGAGTTGGAAATAAAAGATCCAGATCAGCCATTGCTGCTATTGTTTCTAATGATATTTTTTTCATAAACGTTGTAGGTTGACATTGTGAAAATGTAAGTGGCAACTTTTACAGAATTGCTTCTTATAATTATCTCATTAATATTGGGACAAATTAGGCATCCAGAGAGGTGTGGGAGGTGGAGGCAAAGAAGGAAAGGAGAAAGGAATAAAGGGAGGGAGAAAATCTAGAATAATTCTGTTTTGTGCATGTCAAAAGCTGGATTTAGGCCCTGAACTCAATGTTTATCCTGCCTTGCAAAAGCTTCCATGTCTTTTCGTCAGTTTGTTTTGACCCGAAACTTTGTTTTCTCACACCAGATGACACCAGTAAGTTGCAGGTTGATGTGAAGCCTTACATCCCATCATTTATTGCTGCAAAGCTGGGTTTTTGGATGTGGTACTTGTCTTGGACCCAGTGGGTAGTGAGTGATGGTGTGGGGTGCCAGTAGCATTACTGAAGTGAAGTGTGGATGCCTGTTGACCTTAGTGTGTAGGACCACCAAGGCACAAGCCTTTTTTCAAGTCAGCATGATCCTCTGGGAATGCTACCGTCATTCTCACGTCTGGTAGCTTTAACACTGAATACTTTCATGCTAGCAATGCGGTGGGAACCATTGTATTGTAATCTCATTTTTAAATGTTTTCTAAGAAGTAGAAAACCAATCTGTATGCAAACCAGTGACATCTAAGTAATAAGTCCTTTATTCGGGAATGTTATCTTCACATTTTTAGCTGAATTGTGATCCATATCTCAAACTAAATAATGGATTTTTTAATGGTATCTTCAAAAGGACACCCAAATAATCCATCACTCAGATATATCTCTGAGTAGAGAAAATGCCTCTTTCTTTCTCACCTCTCAGTGATATTATTGCATCATGAAGCACTCAGTATGCTTTAAGTTTATGGCTGGTTGGCTCAGGACACATACCGTGGTGTTAATGAGGCTGGGGTCATGGAGGCCCGTTAGCTTTGCTCTGTTTGCTGACCACAGACTACCGGGAAATCAGTCAAGAGATGCTAGCACAGACAAGAACGGCACCATGGCAAAACCTCAGTAGTTCTCAGTTTTTCCTCCCCATACAACAGGCAGGATGTGTTAGTTGGGCGTCATCATCTCAAGGAGGAAATGAGTAGCAGCTTGGGAGGCCCCAACCTTTAACTCTGAACAAAGCAGGCCTGACATTTAGGCATTAACTTTGCATTATAATCCCCCATCATACCATTGATTTGCTGTGTAACCTTCATCACTAAAGCAGAGATAATAGGATAGAATGAAATGGGCTTACCTCCCGGAGATGTTGTGTGAATTAGCAAATTAACGAGTGTAAAGTGTTAGCATTTATGTAAGTGCTGGTGGTTGTCATTATTTCTAGGGACCTAGTCTCATTCTAAATAGAGAATCTAAGTATATTATGCTTTTGTCAGAAAGGGATTTTCACCCCACATCAATTGCATTTAAGCTGAGCATAAAACAGAGGTGATAATAACATAGTAGTGATCATTGCAATGCAGAGCTGTAAACCTTTTCCCTATTAAAGCTAGAACTATTTTCAGCAACTTTCAATGCTTTTAAACTTTGTTTTCCAAGTTTTGTTATCTCTATAATAATTATTCTTCCTGTGATGGGTGGTGGGAATGGGACCTGGAATAGGTCCTATTCATTATTCATTCCCATGATGACTATATAATATATTGAATTTTTTTACATCATACAATCAAGCAAATTTGGTAGCTAGTGTGATTGCCACATATTGCAATCATTGTAAAAAATAAAAACTCTTTTCTGCTCTGCCTATGCTGGTGTCCTCTAGAGGTAGCCAACATACAGATTGAAAACTCATGGGGAATTGAAGTGCTTTCCAACAAAAGGTGCTGTATATAGATCTTTTCAATTTAACATCTTTACCAAAGAATTTTGTTGTTGCCTGCTATTTCCAAGGGGACTGTGCTTGAGAGACTGCTTCCATTTCTTTTATCACTCTGACTTCGCTTACCAAGAAAAGTCATTTATTGCTGATTGCAGAACTCTTGAACTCAGCCGGGCAGCTGCCGCATGAACTCCTCAGATCTGAGTTCCTTGTTACTTATTTACATTTTCATTTGAAGTGATTTTTCAGGACTATTTGAAAACCTTTCTCAACCTAACATCATGTAATAGCAAAGATCTAAAACTTACCATGCTTTTGGTCCTTTTTCTGTTTGTCTTACAGATAACAGACGAGTACCTTTGGAAAGGTCACGCTCTCGCCACAATGGAGCTATCTCATCTAAGTGATTCCTGATGCCAAAGAATATGAAAATATTTAAGTAAAAACAAAATGATGCATTTTGAGAAGAACAAAGTGTGCACTCAGCGGCTGGAAAGGAAATAAGTGCATTTCTGCAAAGATCAAGATAAGCTGGATGAAGTAGTGTGCATTTGTAATACTATTGCAAGACTCCTCCCACAATTATTCTAATCTGAACACAGTTATCAGGATTACAAAATGTGTTCCATTTTAGTGTAAAGATGTGTATCATTTGTAATTGTGTGTGACCTGACTGTGATGATGGAAGTGTAAGAAATTGAAGAGTTCTAAGGCTTTCAAAAACACTCAGTCAAAAATTTAAAATCTTAAATGTGTAAGTCACCCCCACCAAAAACAAAAGAGAAGAAAAAGAATAGAAAGAATTATCCAGTGTCAGCTTCCAATCCCTAGTACATATATAATAGAAAAGGGCCAAGAAAAATATGCATCTTGATTTGGAGAGAGGCTAATATTATGCACACTGTAAGAGAAGCCATTTTGGAAATTCACGAAAGTACTGCTCCACCCCAGTTGAGTTATTTAGAATTTTATCTCAAGTGAAAGCTGATGGATTCATCTGCTTTGGCTGAAATTAAACTTATCATTAGTCTAGCTAGCATTTCAGCATGATATTGCAAGCACTTCTCATTGCTAAAAATAAATAAACCAAAGTTTAACCGAATCAGTTAGGGAAAGTGATTTAAACTTTATTTAAAGAGGTATTTTCTAATTATGCACAGATATCTACTTTATACAAATACTTTATATGGCTATTTTTGAGAAAACCCTCACATTTTAATGTTTATGCTAGGGATGAACCTGAAAATTCTATTACGTTTATTTAGATTTCAAAGGCAAATATTGATTCCTATGCTCTGTGGTTTATTTCTTTTTTCTATTGCTTCTTTCTCCCTTGAGTCCCTTGAAGGCAGGGAATAGACTTCTAGAAAACCTGAGAGGAAAAAGAATTCTTTTTACAGGAGGCAGCAGAAAACTGTCTGAAAGGTCAATTGTTTTATCTCCCTTTCCACTCTCTTTCCAATTTCACTTTGGTGGTCTGAAGAAGAAAAAGAAATTTTATGTATGTATGTGTAAATATGTGTATATATTTCTATCTCTTGCTACAATAATTCCAACTAAGTGAACTTCTCAATTATCATCATACTTACTTACCTTATATTAACAAATTAAGATGATGCTGCCAAAACAAGTCTAGCAGGGAAAACAGGTTCTACATTTTTCTTAAATAAATTAGGGAGTAAAAGTTATACTTAACTTGTCTGTCTATTATTTTAAAATATGCATTGAAATAATGTGGTATAACTTCTCTGGAGTGCAATTTTAAGTCTAATTCATGCAGATGATTGATTGTGATTATTGTAAGAAATTTCTTACATGTATATTTCTTATGTAGAAAATACTGTTTCTACTCATTCAAAGCACATTGTAGATATTCAGAGAGAAGAACAAATGGCTGGCTTGGCAAATCCCCATCTGAGATAAAGTAAACAAGTGACCAGCAGCCCACAGATGATTCCTTTATATAGATGTATAATGATTCAAACTGCTGCCTTTGCCTCCAGTGCATCCTTACTTAGGTATTATACTTCTTTAAAAAGCTCTGAAGCTGCTACAATAGAAAAATCAAAAAGGGTAACAGTATCTGAAATTTCACAGTCCTATCCGATCTGAAAACACACATACACAAATGCACACACATGCACACACACATTTAAGGGACATAGCAGTAACACTGTTTTTTAACAACAACAAAAGTTTAGGTTCTAATTTATGTAAATACCTAGTATGTGTATTTTTGACTTTACAAAGTCTTTCTTTTCTGAAATCTTCGTGGTATGGCTTTTTTAATTCTTTTGACAGCTTATCAGTCTGTAGGAGAATGATCTTGAAATGTTAACCCTGACTAAAATTTGGGAGCATATGCCTTGCTATATTATCAAGCTGGTCAAGGTAGAAATACTGATATGTATCATCACCTTTTCCAGATACAAACTTGCCTTATTTTCTAGTTTGTGAACAAGAACGAATGAAGTACTATTATTGATAACTTATATATTTTTATTTAGAGCAATCCCACATGCTTTTCACAAACATTAAAAAAAAAAACCTTTCAGGGTCTTTCATGAAGTTCCAATAGTTGAGTGAGTTAAAAGGTTTGTTTCCCAGATTTGTAATGGTCCTGCTCTAGCCATTTGCAGTTTTGTTTTAGATGATTGGAAAGTATATCACCAAAAAAAGTATATAGTGACATTTTTAGTATGAAACCAAATTACACTAAGGTCTTTTGTTGGCCATATTACTGCCACACATGAGAAGCACCATTTATGCAGATTTTCTTCAGAATATTTTTAAAAGGTACAGAATCCTTAAAATATTAACAACTAATTGCATCCATCATCTCCTTTGGCTGCTGTAACAAATTACCACCAATAATATGATGGCTTAACACAACAGAAACTTATTTGCTTACATTTTTGAAGGGCAGCAAAGCCATGCTCCCTCCAGAGGCTCTAGAGGAGAATCTTTCCTTGCCACGTCCACCTTTTGGTGGCTATTGGCATTTTTTGGCTTATGGCCACATTTCTCTTTCTGCTGTGTCTTCACATCACCCTCCTCTGTATACCTAATCTGCCTCTGCCTCTGTTTAATAAGGATCCTTATGATGACTTTTAGGGACTACCCAGATTACTCCAGGATAATCTCCTCACCTCATGAGTCTTAACTTAATTACATCTGCAAGGCCCCCTTCTCCAAATAAGATAAATTCATGGTTTTGGGGATTAGGATGTGGCTATGTCTTTTAGGAAGCCACTCTTAGCCCACCAGAGTCTGCCCTTTGGCCCAAAATTTATGTCTGTCTCATGTGTAAAAGACATTCATCCCATCCTAACATTACCAAAAGTCTCAACCCATTATATCAATCCTAAGTCCAAAATTTCATTCAAATATCATCGGTTCAAAAGTTCCAAAGCTTATCATTTAGATCATCTAAATCAGGTATGAGTGAAACTCTGGGTATGGTCTTTCCTGAGGCCAAATTCCTCTTCCTCTGAGAACCAGTGAAACAGAAAAGTTAATCTGCTTTCAAATTACAATGGTGGGAACAGGCATAGGATAACAGTTACAGACATTTCTGTCTCAAAAAGGAGAGAATGGAAATTGGAATGGAGTCTCCTGTCCCAATCATTTTCAAAATCTAGCCAGGCAAATTTCTGTTATATTTCAAGGCCTGGCAGTAATCCTCTTTCTCAGGGCTCCACCCTTTGGGCCTGTAGCTCTTCTTTCTTGGACTATGGATTGGGCCTCTGCCTCTGTGCCTATGGGTTGCACTTCTTCCTCTGTTCCCACACTTGGGCCTCTGCCTCTGTACCTGCAGCTCTGCTCTCGGGATGGTGCTTCCTTTATCTTGAAGGGTGGCACATGTTTGCAGCTGAGAAGTTTTATCAACGGGTTTCCTACCTGTAGAATTCTGGCAGTCTCACAATCTTCTTTCATTTTTTTCTGTCTCTGTCCCTTTTAGGCCCAGTTGGAAGTGTTTCTGATGGTAGAACATTCTCAAAAATCTTGTGGGTCTTCTACGTATGTCACATTGATTCACACATTCAGAAAAGAGGGTCCTCACAGATTTTTCCTGAACAACCCCATCTCTATTCTTGGCTTCTGTTGAAACAGTCAAATAAATCCACAAGTTAATGCCTAACCTCTTCAGCACTAGCCAAAGGTTGTCAAGACACACCCTTGGGCTTATCTACAGAGCACACTTTTCTAACAGTGAATCTCCTAATTTTAGCATCTTTTTTTTTTTTTACAATCATTCAGATTGTGAATTCAGGCTCAGAATTTACCCAGTCATCAGATACTGATTCCTTTTGTCCACTTATATAGTTATTTTCTCTTTAAAAAAAAATTTTTTTTAATGTATTAGAGATGAGGTCTCACTCTGTCACCCAGGCTGCAGTGTAGTGGTGCAAACATAGCTCCCTGTAACCTCAAACTCCCAGGCTCAAGGGATCCTCCTGCATCAGCCTTCCAAGTAGCTGGGTCTACAGGTGCATGCCACCATGCCTGGCTAATTTTTTGCATTTTTTTGTAGAGACTTGATCTTGCTATGTTGTCCAGGCTGCTCTCGAACTCCTAGCCTCAAGCAATCCACCCATCTTGGCCTCCTAAAGTGCCGGATTACAGGTGTAAGCCACCATGCCCAGCCTGTTTTGTCAATGTATCTGTTTTCTGTCTTATTTTACTATAAGCACTAAGAAGAAACTAAGCTATATCTCTAACACTAGACTTGAAAATTTCCTCAGCTAAACATCCAAGTTCATCATTTATTCAACTTTTCACACTACTGTAGTAGACAATTTAGATAGATAAACTTTTTGCCACTATATGACAAGGATTCCCTTTCTTCCATTTTCCAATAAAATCTTCATTTCCTTCTAAACCATCACTAGAAATGCCTTTAACATTCATACTACTACCATCTGGTAAAGGCAATCTAGTTTTTTCTATCACAGCCACCAAAATTCTTCTAGTCTCTACCCATTATCCAATTCCAAAGCCTTTTTCACATTTTAAGACATTTGTTACAGAAGTACCCAATCCGTCCCAGTTCCACAATCTGCATTAGATTCCCATGGCTGCTGTAACAAATTACCCTCTAGCCCAGTGGCTTAAAACAATAGAAATTTATTATCTTGTTGTTTTGGAGGCCAAAAGTCCAAAATTGAGGGGTTGGCAGGGCTGAACGTCTTCTGGAGACTCTAAGGGAAACACTCTTCCCGTGTCTTCCAGTTTCTTGTGGCTGCCATCATTCCTTGGTTTGTGACTGCATCTCCCTCTCCTCTGTCTTCACATCACTTCCCCTCTGTATATATAATCTACCTCTGCCTCTCTCTTATAAGGACACTTGTGACGGGACTTAGGGCCCATCCAGATTACCCATGATAATTCCCTTATTCCAAGATTCTTAATTATATCTGAAAGGACCTTTTTTCCAAATAAGGTACTATCACAGGTTCCAGGGAGTAGGATATTGAATATCTTTTTTGGGGAGGGGGCACCATGCAGCTCACTACACTATTCATTGCACACAAATGAATTTTTCACTTTTTAAGATGCATTCTTGGTGCTCAAACCAGATCGAAGTTTGTCTCTAAAAGCTATTGTCTGCACAGGCTGCTGCATGCTCTGTTGTTAAATGGATGGACAGGCTATTCTAAATTTTGGTTGATACTTTTGCTACTATGGGCAATTAACTTGAAAAAAATAATCGATCCCAACTCTGTGCTCTGATGTACCTCTTCTGCCCCTTTTATGACACCTTTGACCAAATGCCTTCTATGGTTCACAGTGCAGGCACAAAACTACCTCTGATACAGAAGGGTTCTTTACAAGCTTATTTTACATACCGTGAATCCCTCACCTAAAGGGAGAGGTGAAAGCAAAGACTGCTTTGAATGGGTATTGAGGGAGATTGTGTCCATACCAAGCCACCCTGAAGAAGTATTTCACTTGCAGTAGAACTGTGGATTTGTGCTGTCATTTCACCTTGGAATAAACACCTATCTCTAAGCAGGACCAAGAATGACTTGCAATCTATATGTAATGGCTACTTACTTATTCAATAAAGTTAAGATATACGTTAAATGTTGTGCTGCCTATGATAATTAAGATTAAAGACAAGTGAAAAGGCATGAACTATCGGGGGGGAGAAGCTTCAACCAAACAGAAGTGCAGGAGTGCTTTTGTATGTGCCTGGTCCAGTGGAGATCATGGGATCATATTAAAAACATACTTGTAGGAATCATAAGGTTTTCTTTAGCACTGCTTGCCAGAGTAGTGGAGATATGGTACAACTGAAAAGTTTAGAAACATCAGAAGGGTGATTTACACGCTCCAGAGAAACTGTTTCAACAGAGAAGTTTTTCGTTTTGTTTTGTTTTTTGTTCTGTTTTGGTATTGAGTATAGAATTAAGCAAGTGGGCTTCAAATGCTTAGAAGGGTAAAAATCTGGAATGAGTAATAAAAGGACTGTAGATTATTATTTTCTGGAGAGCCTTCAATAGAATAGCTCATCATGGGTGGGGTGACTTGAAGATGAAGGTCTGGACAACGTAATAACCAGGTCTATAAATAATACAATCAGAAACATTTGTTTCCAAGGCAAACCAAAGACCATTGTTTCCCTTGGAATGGTTTACATCAGGAATCAAATACATTGGCTTTTTCTCCCCCATGAGACCCAAATAGGCAAATTCCTTAATAGGAAGTCTGAAAACGTTAGTATCCACAACTAGGAGAATTTGAGCTTAAGGCCAAGAGCTCAAAGGAAAAATGGAAATCCAGAAATTAATATACATGCAATGCATGTAACATGCTATATAGTTTTGATGATTTATAATAAAAAGAAAGCTATAGCCAAATATCTCATTTACAGACTGAATTTATTTAGATGTCCAGAGTCCCAGTGGCCACAAATAAAATATTATTACAGTTAGTGTCCATTTCAGAAAAAACAACTTGCAAATATATGAATTATGCAAATCATAACTTTGTTCCTAGTTCTTGGAGATGAGCCAGAGTTCAATCTTTAGCCATGATGACCTTATATCTTCGATAATAGCAGTTCAGCTAATATTTTCACCTATATCTTGGCTAATTGAGGTTCAGCCATCACCTTTTGATGTTTATGAGCAAAGTGTAAACACTATTATCCTATTATTTGACATAATAATAAATAATATAAAACCCCTCGACTTCTCTACTTTGTTAAAGTCTGCCCCCACCCCCACTCCCCAGTGGGGCTGTTCTAATCATTGAGTGTCCATTTGATGCAAGCTGCTTTTTCAGGACACAATTATGAATTAAACATAGCTCCTGGCTTCAAGATCTCACAGCCTAGTGGGAGATGGGATATGTACAAACAGAATTGTAATCCAAGGTGGAAAGAAACTGATTGATGTTGAAACCGATATAAGGCCTGTGGAGGTTCAGAAAAAGCAAGAATTTAGTTTTAGAGAGGTGGGGTGGTTATTGGGTGGGAAGCTGGTATCTGTGTAGATTTTGTGGAGTGGCTGGCATTTAAACTGAAATTTAAGAGGTAAGTAGATTTGGATCTGTGACACTGTCATTCAGTCAGTATTTACTGAGCACCTATTGTGTGCCACACACAATGCTAGGCTCTGAGACTATGACAGTGAACCAGCTAGACGTGGTTCAAGATTCATGGAACTGACATCTTTTTGAAGAGGGAGGGAGGGAAGGCATGAGCCGAGGTATAAACTTGGAACCTTGGTGCATATGCAGAGAATATTGAACAATTCTGTTTCACTAGAGTGCAAGGTCCATGAAACACAGCAGTGGATGTGTGGTTTGGGCTTCTTGATTCAGTACAGGATAGGGAAATATTGAGGAGTTTTGAGCAAAGAAATTATTTGGAGCACTGAAGGAAGATGACTCTAGAAGCTCTATGTAGGAAAGGTAGAGTGGGGAGAGGCCACAGAAGGCCAACTTTGTTGGAGGTTACTGCAGTAATACTTATGAGAAATGAGGCCCCAAACTGGGGTAGCAGTTGTCAGTGGCACCACAGATACGCACAGCTGCAGCTCTGAGGCTTGCTATGATCCTTTTTTTTTTTTTTTTTTGAGATGGAGTCTCGCTCTGTCGCCAGGCTGGAGTGCAGTTGCACGATCTCGGCCCACTGCAACCTCCACCTCCCGGGTTCAAGCAATTCTCCTGTCTCAGCCTCCTGAATAGCTGGGACTACAGGCGCATGCCGCCACACCTGGCTAATTATTATTATTTTGTTTTTGTATTTTAGTAGAGATGGAGTTTCACCATGTTGCCCAGGCTGGTCTCGAACTCCTGAGCTCAGGCAATCTGCCCACCTCGGCCTCCCAAAGTGCTAGGATTACAGGCGTGAGCCACGGTGCCCGGCCGCTATGATCCTATTATCTGTACTGTTGAATGGCTCATGCAAGCCTTATAAGCAAGTAGCATCAAATCATAGAGACATGAAGCAGACAGGAGAACATGATTTCTGCACAACTTATTCAGTAATATTATAGTGATTATGGTAATAAGAGCAAGGGTAAGATCTCTAGGTTGCTTTCTTTTCCTTTCCTTTCCTTCCCCACCCCCTTTCAGTTCCCTTCCCTTTTCTTCCCTTTTCTTTTCTTTTCCTTTCTCTTCCTTTTTTTAAAACAACACTGAAAGCCAAAACATTGTATGGCTGTTCAAAGAAAGAAAAAACTGACAAAAGACTGAGTGCACATTAAAATATACTGATTCAGCTTTGGTTTCATACCGTCAGGAAAGAAAGATATTTAGATAAAGTATAATTTATGGGGAAAGCTTCAATTAGTTCATAGCTAGGCCTTCTTAAGTGTCTGGTTAATATTTTAAGCTGTACATTTAAGAGGTTCTTGAACAATTATTATTTTCTAAAAGAACAGCAGATTCTCTGTTTTACTATGGTCCCAGTAATCTCTTAGACTTTCAAACTGTGCCCAAGTCTATTCCCTTTATGCTAAATGTCTTTCTACTCAAATAACTCTAAGACTTCCCTCCTAGGACATTCAGATGCCGGGTCATGTGACACTGAATGGCTTTATTTTGGCTAATATTGTGTTATTCCAGAATGAGGCCTGTTTTATGAATCTGCTCTATCTCCTTCCACCCCAAATACCTTGTGTTGCCATCCCTCCATTTTCCTACAAAAACTCAAATATCACAATGGGAATTAAATTGAAAATACCTAAGTACTATGAATTTTCTTTTTGAACAAGTCTCGGAAACCTATGGCATATAATAGCACAGTGGCCTCGACTTTTGGACAAAAATCGAGTAATGGAGTGCTTTATCTGGCTGAACAACTGGTAGCACTTAATGGTGGTGCTTGAGGGAAAGAGGGAGGGGAAATGAAAGGGGTCATGTACTAAGGCCCCTAGCAGAATTCAGTATAACGATAAAAATAAAAACGTCTTCCAGATGTCAATGACTTTTTTACTTCAGAGCATCTGTGATAACAAAGCTGACTTGCTATGACCTTACATCTTGTAGTACTTTGTATTATTGTAAGGACTTCACTTTTAACATCCATTATCCATCATCACATTTCCTCTCAGTCTACAAACAAACATCTTTAAGGTTCCACCATACTATTAAACAACAACCTTCAAGCTGTGACTCTTCTTCAAGGCTACCAATGACCCACCTAACTGCCAAATCCTACGAATGCTTCTGAATCCTCATCCCACTTATTTTCTCTCATGTCTTCCACCAAGTGTACCTAGCCCTGTCTTCCCCTACCTCTCAGAAAACTCATTCCCCTTTATCAGTGGTTGTCTTCAAATGACCCCTAAATATAGGCATTCTTTTATTTTATTTCACTAGGTTTTGGGAGAGCAGGTGATGTTTGGTTACATGGGTAAGTTCTTTAGTGGTGATTTCTGAGATTTTGGTGCACGCATCACCCGAGCATTGTACACTGTACCCAATTTGTAGTCCTTTATTCCTCACCCTCCCCCCACCCTTCGCCCCAAATCTTCAAAGTCTATTATATCATTCTTATGAATAGGCATTATTGTTAGTTGCCTTCATTTGTGTTCTCTTCACCTTCCAGGGTCATCTTAGCCATATCCACAGCTTCAAGAATTTCTTTCATGGAGATGACTCTGAGATCTCTCCTGGACCCCAAAACCACCTTCCCACCGAAAAGGATAGCTCACACACTAAACTCCGTATATTCCCAACCAAATATGTTCTTCTCCAGCAAACTTATTTTTCCATCCAGGTCAGTCACCTGTCTCAGTATTGGCATTAGCCTTTTCCCAATTTCTATAGCTAGAAACTCTGGAAGCATTTTGTATTATTCCCTCTCCCCTAATATCCAGCCAGGCACAGAAGTTGCCCTCCCTGTTTCAGTCTCTTACCTCTTCAACCCATTCTTCACACTCTAGAGAGAGCATCCTAAAATGCCTTTCTTGGCCCACTTCAAAAATCTTTGATTGTTCTCCCTAATTAATGAAACCAGTGCAGCCTTCAAAGGTCTCAGGAGCAGACCCAAGCATAACTTTGACGCCTCTTCTACCTCATTCCTTAAGCCATGCCACACAGGAGTTATCATTGGAAAATGCCAATACTAAACATATGATTAAGTCACTGACTGTGTATATACCTTCATGCCATTATACACACATGCACTTTGCTCTGACTGTTATGGCCTCACTGCCCAGCCTCACCCTTTTTCTCCTATCAATCCTTCAAGGACCAATGCTGCCTTTCTGAAGCCTTTCTTAATTTTTCTTCCCCCACTAAAATAAATTGTGTTATCTATGCTCCCACAGCAATTTGTTCATACCTCTATTCTGGCCTTTGTTTCATTCTGCCTTCTACTACAGTTGTCTGTGTCCTTGACTAAAGTGTAAGTTCCTTGATGGCAGTGACGGTCTCATTCATCTCTGGGCCTTTACACAAAGCAATTGCTCAATGAATTAATGTGTAGTGTCAACTCTCAGGGAATTAAACAAATGAAAAGGAATGTTTGCTACAGGTAATGGAAAATCATAGCTAATTTCCTCATCCAGGTGAGAACATAGCCTTCATCACTGTCCTGGGAACTGAGGACCTGCCTAAGGTCAGCATTAAGGACAAACTCCCCGAACTGTGTTTAGCTGGAAGTTGACTTTAGAGGAGTACTTTCAGGAGGTGAGGAAGGATTGAAGACAAGTAGGAAGTTTTTTTCCTCCAAGGTCAAGCTTTTAACAAGTGCCTGCAATGTACACTGAGGGATTTGGCTGTACTCCAATTATGCTAATATGTTTTATATATGGGCCTCCAGCATCCAGGAACCACCTCCCTCAACAATTTAATAAGTGTAAATATCAAGGCAGAGTTGTAAATGTGGAACTTATTTGTAATGTACCAACCTTGTTATTATCAAATGTCACAGGGTATAAGTCATGGCAATTATGCTGCCTGCTTTTTATTACATTTATTTTACTTTTTAAAAGTGCAGTATATCCTCATAAGCTTCTCCTATTCTGCCCTACCCAAGGAACCTAGTGTGCCTGTGTGTTCTGGAGTCACAGAAGGCAGAAAATTTAGAGTCACAGGATTAATGGGCATCCCTAGTAAGAAAGCGACCTCGTGAATCATTGACTCCACGCACTGACACCATACCTCTACATTAGGCTTCACTGTGTATTTCAACAATTCAAGTTGTGAGACCTTGTGAGTTTCTCCATACAAGAGATTTCATGATTTAAAGCACAGAATTGTTCCTTCCTCCAGCTTCCTACCATCTGAGTGTGCAGATGTGTGTGTGTGGTCCTGTCATGGGAAAGTTGGTCATTTTGCACAAAGCCTTCAAACTCGATCGGCCAGCTTGGTGTGATACAGTTCAGAGTCACCTCTTCAGTGTTCTGTTGGCAGGTGAAAGTGAGGGGAAGTGGGCCTGATTTTTCTGGTTAGGACCAGAAAGGTATCCACTATATCCAGCACATAATTCCCATTTCCCAGTAGTCTCTTTCTCCTCCCACTTCTTACTAAATTGCATCAATCACTCAGAAGCGGAAGGGTGGGTGAATCTCTTCCTCCATATAACTAAGCATTCTGTGGCAACAGTCCTTTTTTCTTATAGAGGAGTCCTAACCTATCTGCAGGCTTTAGCAGGCTTCCCTGGTATCAGGCAGAAAACCTGCCAAGCCATAGAAATCTGTTGGCAAGTAGATCTGTTTTTAAGGGGTTTGAAAAGTGCCACTGCTTTCGAAGTTTCCTCGAAAGAGAAGGACCAAAAAGAAAAAAGTAATACTTCATCCTTGCACCTAGGAGGTACTTTAGTAGTCATATTTCCCCTAAATCAAAGCACCCTCCTTTGTTTTTGGTTTATGATCCAACAACCTCATAAACAAGCTATTCATCTCTTCATCATTCATCCCACAAATATTCATTGAACATCTACTGCATGACAGGCACTATGCTAGGCACTACATACCAGCAAAAGTAGACGTGTTTTAGGTCTTCATGAGCTTAGTCAAGTGGAGCATGCCAATGGCAAACAAATCAATATGTGATTACAGTTGTGTTTAGTGCCTTAGAAGGAAAGACTGCAGATATTGTAGGAGAAAATAATGGTGTGAGAGAGAGTGTGTGTGTGAGTGTGTGTGTGAGTGTGTGTGTGTGTGTGTGAGTGTGTGTGTGTGTGTGTGTGTGGTGGAAAGGGAAGGGGCCTAAGTTAGATTGGGTGGTCATGAAAGTCCTCTCTGAAGAAGTGATATTTAATTAGAGACCTAAAGGATGAGTAGGAGTCAGCCAGATTAAAAGTGCGTAATTGTGTAGTCAATGCAAAAAGGAAGTAAAGTCCATATCATGGGATAGTGTATTTGTCAGCTTTTGCTACGTTGTATGATGGTTAAAAACAACCCCCAAACCTCAATTAGCAAAGGTATGCTGTGGCAGCCACAGGTCATCTGTGGCACTGCTTCATTGTGTCTTCTTCATTCTAGGATCCTGGCTGAAGGAGAAGCCCTTTTTTTTGGACACGCCAATCTTACGGCAGAGGGAAAAGAGCAAACAATGCTGAACCTTGCCACAGCTTTCAATCTTCTGATCATATGTAGTGGAAGTCACTTTGGCTCACATTCCATTGGCAAAAGCAAGTTTTATGACCAAGTTCATGTCAATTCATCAGGGCACGTGGCAGGAGGCAGGAGGAAAAAAGAATCTATAGAAACAATAACGCAATCTGCCACAGCCCTTGTCTGAGTTCCACCTATACCTCTTACTAATAGACGTTACAAACATTTCACTAACTTCTCAGGGCCTCAGTTTCCTCACCTCTACAAATAATGTTTAAAACAACTGAAGAGAACCTAAGATGGTTTTTCAAGGGTTAGAGCTAGCCCTTAATTTAGGAAGCAACTTGGGGGAACTGAAAATATATAATCTGGAATCTAAGATTTCTCTACATTTACCCGCAGCATTTTCTTTCAATTACAATGATACAAGGAAGGCGAGTTTTAGCACGCTACCTTGGCCACTAACTAGCTATGTGATCTTGGGCAACTTACTAAAACCCTGTGAGCCTTGGACTATTGTAAGGATTGTGTAAAGTAATATATAGGATGAGTACATTTTGTGTATTATAATGGCATAAACATACTAATCATTATTATAATTATCTGACTGCCATGATCACCTCTACTAAGATCCAAAAATCTGCCTCTCGGCCAGCCACGGTGGCTCACACCTGTAATCCCAGCACTTTGGGAGGCTGAGGTGGGTGGATCACCTGAGGTCAGGAGTTTGAGACCAGCCTGGCCAACATGGCAAATCTCTGTCTCTACTAAAAATACAAACGTTAGCCCGGCGTGGTGGTGGGCGCCTGTAATCCCAGCTACTTGGAAGGCTGAGGCAGGAGAATCACTTGAACCCAGGAGGCGGAGGTTGCAGTGAGGCAAGATCTTGCCACTGCACTCCAGCCTGGGCAACAGAGCAAGACTCAGTCTCAAAAATAAAATAAAATAAAATAAAATAAAATGAAATAAAATAAAATAAGATATTAATAAATAAATAAATCTGTCTCTCATACTCTCAATCCCACGTTTCACCCAGCCACCTCAAGCTCACCATGTCAAAAATCAAACTTCTTTTCCCTCTCAGGCAGTCCCCATTCAGTTCCCTCTCCAGACTTCCTGATGTTGATCACTGGCACTGATGTGCTTCTAATCACCAAGGTCAGAAAACTTCAAGTTATCTCTTGACAGCCACACCCCTACTCAGTTCTATCACTTCTCCTTCCACAGTATAGTTTACATTTCTCTCTTTCTGATTTCAAAGCTACCACCTAAGCCCAGAACCTAGCACCTCACTCCTTGATTACTACACTAACTACTCTTACTCCCTTTACTTCACCCCAGGCCAAAGCAGCCTTTTGATTATCTGATTCCCGTGCTCAAAATCCTGCAGTGGCTCACCAGTAAATAAAAAAATAAAGTCCAAACTCTTCAGCTGAGTGGCCGACATCCTTCAGAATTTGGCCTGGCCCACTTTTTCCAACCTTTCTTCTCACTCTTACCCATATACACCTTCTGCTGCAGCAGTACTGACCTAACTCACCATTCTCTGAAAATCTCCAGGATCTAGAATAGCACCGTCCGGGAGAAATCTAATGCAAGCCATGACATGATTTTAAATTATGTAGCAGCTGCATTTTTTAAAATGAGAAACAAGTGAAATTCATTTTAATGTTTCTATTTTCCAAATATCATTTTAACATGTAATAAATCTAAAAATTAATAATGAAAAATTTTACATTTGTTCATACTATGTCTTCAAAAATCCATAAGCATTTTACACTTGCAGCGCGTCTCAATTTGCACACACTAGCCACATGTCCAGTGCTCCATAGCTGCACGTGGCTGGGGCTACAGTACTGGACGGCAGAGATCTATCCCCCACCTTGTGGCTCAAGGCAAGCTCCCACTCGAATTAGCACCTGTGGAAATGCTGCCTTTCAAAGACCCAGCTTCATAGCCTCCAAGAAGTCTTCCCAGATTCTCTCAACTGAAAGTCATCTTTCCCATTTCCATGCTATACCATACACATTATTTTAGTATATTAATACATTTTCAAATGTTTTGAGTAGATAACACATTCATTTGTCTCAAACTCAGAGAGGGTACCGAAGGATATGCATACAACATTCCCAGCCCGTCCCCCTTCCTAGCCAAACTAATTCCTTTCCTTAGAGGCCACCAATGTCATTTGATTTTTGTATGATTTTGCAGATAAATCTTACATACATATACACATGTATGTAAACACACATTTCTTCCATCTCTTTTTCAACAAATGGCGGCAAAGTAAACGTGCTGTTCTGTACCTTACATTTTTTGCATTTACTAGTTTACCGTAGTGACCATTCCACATGGAACGTACAGTACATGAAATGTTTCATTGAACTTTCCACTGCGCATTAAAGATCATTGTATTTGTGTCTGTCTCCCTGACAAGCCTTTTAATTTTTGAAGGGTATACATTTTGTCTTCTTTTCCGTATCCTCGCAAAGCTCTGCATCCTGGACTCTGGTGCTATACACAATACTCAATAAATATTTATTAAATTGCTCAATCAGAATGATCTTCTTAAAATGCTCTTTTGCATTTGACACTCTCACCCCCAGGAAAATAACATTAACTTCTAATTGCCCACAGCATACTTTCTTTCTTTCTTACTTTCTTTTTTTTTTTTTTTTTTTTTTGAGACAGAGTCTCACTCTGTCACCCAGGCTGGAGTGCAGTGGCGCCAGCCCAGCTCACTGCAACCTCCGCCTCCTCGGTTCAAGCAATTCTCCTTGCCTCAGCCTCCCGAGTAGCTAGAATTACAGGTATGCGCCACCACGCCCGGCTAATTTTTTTGTATTTTTAGTAGAGACAGGGTTTTGCTATGTTGACCAGGCTGGTCTCAAACTCCTGACACCTTCACAGTCAGGCCCAACTTTCCTTTCTAGACTAATCTTTACTCCCCAGAAACACACTCTTTGTTTTAAACAAGTCTCCTCACTGGAACTTTCCCACAGTTGGTATGTATGGACCTATCTACTTCTCTCTCTGTGTGTATATTTTATTCTAATGTCTTCCCAACTAGACTATAATCCCCTGAAAGAGAGGCAATGTCTAATGCCTTTATTCATCCCAGGACAGTACCTACAACTCCGTGATTCTCATTGCATGCTTGATGGGCTCGTAAATATCTTTCTCTAGGATTTCTTCCCTCCTTTCCTTTCCCTTGGGCCTGGCCTGCCCCAGGCTGGATGATAATTACCCCGATTGTACATTTCCTTTTGGCAGAGACAGAATACAGTTTGTTTCTCTAGTTCATTTTTATTTTTAAATCATTCTTTCCTCATTCAAATGATTCTCCAGCCAGAGAAGTTATAGGCAGAGGCAGTGACAAAGGTCAAAGCACATAATAAGTGTACTTTCTGAGAGGGAGTTTTTTTTCCCCATTTTAACATTTTTGTCTTGAATTTCAATTACTTAAATCCAAAATCACTGCCTTTTCCTATGTCTCAAATAATGGAAGCTGCTTTGAGATTCACATCAAAAGCCAACATGGCACTATAATGGCTCTCCAGCGCTTGAATAAAGCCCAGTAGTACTTATAACAGTATCAGCTCAAAAATGGGAAGCGTTACAATAGCTACCACTTAATGAGCACTATGTGGATGATACTATTCGAAAGCTTTACACCCTTCATTTTATTTAATCCCCACAATCATCCTGAGATAAACTCTATTATTCATATTTTACAGATGACTCAACTAAGGCTCAGGGAGGTAAGGTAGCATGATCAAAGTGTCTATCAGAAAGTGATAGAGATGGAACTTGAACCCAGGCAATATGGCTCCAGAACACATACTCCAACCCCTAGGCATATTTTCTCCCTTAGCTTGTGAGAGCCAATGCCTTTCCGGTGTATATTGCTTGAAATCTATTATATTTGAACCCCTCAGGAGCACAGGTGTCATCAGCCTCGTCTCTGCGTCCCTATTGTTTCCTCTTCCCTTCACTTGGTTCAAAAAGAACTGTTCTGCTTTTCCACTAAGCCTCTTCACCATTTGACTGCTACTATCTGGGGAAGCCTCTCTATCTGCACTCTGTATCTAGAGTGTTCCTTGCTGCTCGAAATATACTCCACGGTCCAGCAGCATCAGCATCACCAGGGAACTTGTTAGAAATGAAGCATCTCAGGTATCACCCCAGACTACTGAATCAGAATCTGCATTTTAACAGACTCTCAGGTGATTCGTGTGCACATTGAAGCTCGAGAGCAGCGCTCTCCATCTTTTGCAGTACTTACTCCCTTAGTAATTCCTTGCTGGAGTGTTCCGTACACAGAAGTCTAAAATCTATGGCTTGAAAGGGAGGGAATCATTTAAGCTGTTCCCTGTTCTCTGGCCTTTAGGAGCTCCAAAATCAGTCAGAGACCATGCTAAGAGTAGATCTTGCTGTCATTAGACTAACAAATATGTGGACGAAATGAAAAGACAGCCACGTTAGCCATGATTTCCTTTCCATATTTCATTCATGCTCTCCCTGTATCTCACACTGCCACAACACAGATGCTTTCTTTTATATCATGGGAACATTTTTAATTAAAGCATTGGAACCTTTGAGAATAGACAATCCTTTAAAAGTTAAGTTTATCTGTATTTACAAGCCTCCATTTATTTGGCAGTGACAATAGGAAAAAAAAACTGCTGCTAAAGGCATATAGAGGAATGATTAAGCTAATTTACAATAATTGCTTTAATCTTGACATATTGAATTGTAGTGTCTAACTCTTTGAGTTCTCTCGGTCTGAGGTAAAGGAAAAATATAACACTGTGTTCGATATTGTACCTCTGAAGCACAATGGAAATTTTGCCCTACAGTGCCAGCCTGTCACCCATGGTGTCCATGTGATAGAAGGGGAGAGATCACCCGCAATGTCTAATTGCCACTGTACTCACTCCTGTGCTTTAAGATAGAAAGCCCATGTTCAGAAGCAAAGCCATTAGCAGCTATTAATTGCTTAGCTCTAATAAATTGTCCAGACCAGGACTTAATTAGGGAAGACATTTAGGAACAGGACACAGGACAAGAGGACATAAAGGAGAGCCAGGAATGAGATGAAACCTGAGCAGCCAGGAAGGCCAGGAAGGGGCCCAGGATGGAGAGAGGGTAGTTGAGATATCCGGATGTCAACTTTACTTACTTTCTGATCGCGTTTCAAGACAGTCCGGCTGGTTGCTTCTTCTAAAGACTCCTATAGTTTTGCATCTATACCTCTCCAGGAAGCACCTGGAGTAGGAAGAGCCGTGGTATCTAAGGTGATATGAATGGTTTCTTTTTGCTCTTGGCAGCTCTGCTCACCCCTGCCTCCCCTGAAGCTGTCTACTTCTCTGCTTGATGGGACTGGCTGGGTCAGGCCTGGTTTTGCTTTCTGACTGACTCAGGTCTGAGTCACTGATCAAGAGGAGGAAGTCCTAATCATGGGTGCAGCCCTTTCAAGTAAGAAACATGGAATTTCATCAAAAGGGACTGTGAGCTCTCCGAGACATTTGGCTGACAGTTATTGTCCCATTATTTCACTTTTAGAGAAACTACATTCTTCATCTTTGGCCCTTCGTGAACTCTGCTCCACCAGTGATTTCAATCTCAAAGTTTCCTGAAGGGCTTTGGCCAGATGTGACCAACAGCTCATCATGAGCTGATATCTGGTATACGGCCTCAAACAATAGGAAGAAGATGATCATTGTATTCATGCAACATTTATATAGGTGTCTCTCTCCAGATTCTGGCAAGAAATTGCAAAAAAATGAACTATTGCTTTTGAATTGGAAACAAAGTACTTGGCTGCTAAAAATGTGGCACTGCAGCCCACTTACAACAGTTGAGGGCATTACAACAGTTGGACTCTCTTGGTGTCATTCCTTTAAAGAAAAGCATTATCAGCAAGAAGCAAATATGGGTCATTCTTATTAATATTTCCATACTCTAACTTCCTTCTGAGGGGCTTGGTGCATTCTAACTCAATTATCTCACTTATCTTTGAGGGCTTTTGATTATCTTGGGTGGGGTTGTGGGACAGGGAGGGTCGACACACAAGCACATATCCTTTAAGAGCTCACAGATGCTTTTACATCTAGCAACTTGTTTGAGCCTCGTAAGTCTATGAGGTCTACAGAGATGATCATACCTTATTTGTGAAAGAACCATGTTTGAAAGCCAGGGCTTCCAGCACTACATCCCAAATACCCCGAGAGCTGTGGCTCTCAGCACCACTGTTGCTGTAGACAGCATTCACTGTTCTTTAACTTCCAAGGATGTCAGGGTAGCCGTGCGCTTGCAAAGAGGGGGCACCAGGGCTTTTTTCTTCCCCTGCTTCATTTGCTCTTTATTTCTTACACTCTGACTCCTTATTGAAGGTTTGTGGCCCTAAATGCAGTTTCTTTAGCTGTCTCTTTCCCTCCAACCCCAGGTAGTATTTTAGCCTGGATAGTTCCCATAGGTATTTCTTTATACCTAAATTCAAAAGTGTTTCTTGACTTCCTTAAACCTATGCCCTTTTATGATCAACATCTTGCATGTCCTACCATTTCTCCCCCTCCCCTGACCCTTGCAAAGACACTGGAATGGACATTCATCCCCAGTGGAGAGTTCAGGCTCCTGGTTTCCATAGCCTTCATCTTATCCCTACCAGCAGCCACATTTTTACGAATCTTTATTTCCTGTTTTAAGAAAGCAATATGCCTATTTTTTCTCTGCGATATAAGGTAGCATAATATTGATAGGATCTTTCAAACTATTTCTCTCTGGCCCTGGTTCTGAAACATATAGCCCCTTGAGAAACATGGCTCTATTATTACCTATCAAGTTTTATTATATTTAAAACTGTTTCCACATCTGTTCCCCTAAACCGTGACCTCCTTGAGGATGGGGATATAATCTGGTTAATCTTTGTATCTGCAAATGCCAAGCAGAGTGCCAGGTACATAAATTGTTGAACGAACGAACGAATGAATGAATGAATGAATAAATAGTGCCAGAAGAAGACAATGCTACTCCATCATTTCCCCCATGTCTTGCTCTGTTTTTAGCCAAAGTACAAACTGGAAGTGTCTAAGATATTTTAACACCCAACTATGAATAGTGTCAATGAAAATGACAATAGTTCCCTTCTCTGTTCCCCCATTCTGTCTATTTTCCCATAGAATCTTTACTGCTCAGGTTCTATATGCTTCTGCTTGACTAATTATACACTTCTTTCTTTCTTCTTGAATGTTTAAACTGACAGTAATTGCCCAGAACTGAATGCATGACCTCTAAGAATCTAATACTACTAAAAAGGGACTGGTTTCACATTCTAATCTGGCTGTCATAATCATCCTCAAGAGGATTGATTCAGTAACTTGGAAGAGGTTGCCATGTCAAAATAAAGGTTCAGCTCAGCTCCACTGGTCAGCCTACCAGCTGCACCTGAACTTGAAAATACCTTTGTATTGTTAGTTGTTCACATTTCTTTTTATAATCAATAGATCCATGCATCTGGAGTGAAGAATCAAGTATTTTGTTTTGTTTTACTTCATTTCAATTTTTAATCTATCTAAGTTTCTGTAAAATATAATAAAAATAAATTACTAGATAAATATAATGGAAAAAAGTCATGCAAAATAAAAGCTCCCATCTTTTTTAGAGTCAACAGACACCAGAGTACTCTGTTAAATTGCTGTAAGGTTCCTGAATGCTTACTCTCAACAGCTACGCTTACCTCATCTCACCCCCCTCAACCCATGATTCTGGGATTACATCAATCTGTAAAGCAAGAAGTGAGGAGTGCTGCATGAGACTGTGTGCTTATCTAGGCCTTAACCAAACCTTATTAAGGCCTGAATTGTCCTTGAATCCCCAGAGCCTAGCCTCCATTATACCTAGTGGTTATTGTGTCCAAGTGAATGCCGGTGCCCTTCTTTAAAGGTCTATCCACCTTGTGAGTGTGAGTTAGAATTGATGTAAATGATTCAGCACTGTAATTAAAGGTGCAATCTCTAGAGACAGACTCAGTTTTAAACTTCTGGTTTAGCCACTTACCAGCTATAAGACCTTGAGCAAGTTATTTAACCTCTCCGTGCTTCAGTTTTTTTTATTTATAAACTGGGGATAATTATAGTATCTATCCCATAGTGATGTTGTGAGGAATACAAGATGTGACGCATTTAAGATACTTAGCAAACTGTCTGGCACATAGTACAAACTCAGTAAGGTTGGCTATTATCTCCACGTGACTGCCTTAATTCATTCAGGCTGCTATAACACAATACCATAAACTGGGTGATTTGTAAACAACAGAAATTTACTTCTCATAGTTCTGGAGGATGGGAGGTTCAAGATCAAGGTGCTGGCAGATTTGGAGTCCAATGAGGGTCCACTTTCTAATTCATAGATGGTGTTTTTCTGTTCTCACATAGTGAAAGGGGTATCTCTTTTGTGAAGGCACTAATCCCAATCATAAGGGATTCCACTTCATGACCCCATCACCACCCACAGGCTCTGCCCCTTAATACTATCACCTTGGGGGTTAGGATTTCAACATGAATTTCGGGGGCACATAAACCTTCAGACCATAGCAATGACTAATAAATGGTGTTAATGTCCCCTTCATTTCATAAGAGAGTGAAATTCCAAGTTTACAGTCCTACAGGCCCCTCAACCCATGACTCTGGGATTACAGAAATTGCTCTAAGGCATGCTGTCCCTTCTCCCTTTTTTCTACTCAGAGTAATGTCTCATTCTCATTGCTCCCAACAAGGCTCCTGCACCCTGGCAAATCAGTTTACTTACTATTGTTCCCTTATACTCAGCTAGCTAATTCTCACTTGTTGACATTTTCCCAGGACCACCATCAACCTGGATCACCCTCTTCTTTCATCTCTGTTATAGTCATTTTCCTTGTTCAAAATCAATCTCCAAAATAGCCTCCATAAACAGTAGTTCTCAAACTTTAATGTTCATCGCGATCACCTGGGGAGACTGTTAAGCATGCCCTTTCCTGAGCTCCACCTCAAATTCTGATTTACGAGGTCTGGGGTGAAGCCCAGGAATTTAATTTTTAAAATAAGGCCTCCCTCTGTCTACCCCTCCAACTGCCAGGGGACTCTGAGGCATTAACTTTTTTGGGTCATAGACTGACAAAAAATGTTTTATAAGAAAACATGAATTAACACCACTTGAATCAATTCTTTCTCTGAACTTTCTTAAATGCTAATACTTTTAATAAAGTAACACCATATTAATTCAGCTTCATTAAATTGGAAGTCTTGATACTTGGACAGAAGCTAGGCTGCCAAAAAGAGAGGTGGGAGGCTGAGGATGAATCTCCCTTCAAGATGATAAGTAGAGCTAGCCATGCATATTTAGATAGGTGCCAATTAATTCTTTGCTGATTTATTCATTGACAAAATTCTTTGTTTAGTCCACTCAAGGTCTCATCTACTATTTCTCTCACTTGGATTATTGCCCTAGTCTCTTACCCAGTTCCCCACTTCCTCTGATGCTGCCCGATAGTCTATTTTCCACATTCAACAGAAAACAATTGAAAGGTTTTATTCAGGTGAGTGATACACTAGAATTTTATTTTTTAAAGATCACACCGGTGTTTATCGTAGGATAAGGGCCAAAAGCTTGATTAGGATCTACAAGGCCCTGCATAGTCTACTCCCAACTACCTTTCCAGCCTCATCTTGTTTTATATGCCCCCTTTCTTTCAGTTCCACGATTAGGAACAGTTCCTTCTGCTGCAGAACCTGTGCATAAGCTCTTTCATCAATTTGGAATGTTCTTCTCAGCATCCCCTCCTAACCCCGTGTACCCACTCAGACACACACTTAGTTAACCCCTACTTATCTTTTGAATCTTAGCTCAAATGTCTCTTCCACAGAGATATCTCCCTGGCTTCCCACTCTAAGTCAGCTTTCATTGCTATATGTTTTCAGAGAATCATGTTACTTTTCCTCAGAATACTTGTATCGGTTTGTGATTACACAGTCATTATTATTACTGTAATTATTCAATCAATGCCCATCTTCTCTTGTAGATGGCAAGCTCCCTGAGGACCCAAAGCATATCTATTTTTGCTTGTCACTATATCCTCTGCATCTAGCATAATGATCAGCATACAGCAAGCCCTTAATAAACGTATGTTAAGAAATGAACAGGATGAATCCCTTCTGTTCCTTCCCAGAGCAGACCACAATGATCTAAACTTCTCTAGTTTCTTCCCAAAGCTAACACTGTCTTGACTGTGTAGGAGTGTGTGTGTGTGACATGAGTTCAAACTCCCCTAGAGGGAAAACCCCGGTCAAGGTAATAGGACTCAAAACCTACCCACTTAACCTTTAAGCTTTTGGCCAGCTCCATCCGCCAGGGGATGAGACAAGCCTGATCCTGATGGCTCCTGCCCATTGGCCTTTGCACTGAATAGTTAGCTTGTTTCTAGAAGTCACCCGGGCATCATGGTAAAGATGGGATCCTTGTTCAAGTCATTAAGTTGCAGTTCAGCATTATCAAATCTTGTTAGCTATCACCTTAACTAGCAAATGCCTTCTATATTAAACACTGAGTAATTTTACTTTGATTAAGTTATCCATCCCACTCCTTCTGATATGCATGTAATTATAGTTCTTGAAGTGAAATCGAGGAGGAATGGTAACAAGATATTGCTGGTGACAGTGATGGGGGGATGAATGGGTTGCTAGTGTAGTGTGATGTGTCATTTCTTAGCCCAGATGCCATTCAGAATTTCACAAGAGTGGTGCCACCATTTTACATAAAAGCCACATCAACAACCTGGAAAGCTTCAGCTAAAATCACATCTGAGGTTCAAGAGTTGAAGTATATTGACTCCTTGTCCCTATTGCTCCCAGCATAAGTAAACTCCACATAAATCCTATGACTCCAGATGGATAGAGGCATAACATACTAATGTTTCTGTCAAAAAAAAAAAAAAGCCTTAACTACAGAGCAACTGGACAATTCAAATGATTTTCTAATTGGTCATAATTTTCCAAACATTGTAATATCACATACTGACCATATAATCCACCTGAGAAAAGGCATGCCGCAGGAAGACCATAGGCATAACTGGCCTCACAATTACTCTGTCTAAATATTCTGCTAATTGGATTTTTTTTCAATTGTGACTATTTTAACTGTCCTTTCCAATGATGTAATAAGTGATATTCTTCAACACGTGAGATGCTGTTGGCAAGCTCTGTGGATCTGAGTAATTTGAGTAGCTTTCAGCAGGTTTTGCAAAGCCATTTTATTTTATTTATTTATTTATTTATTTATTTATTTATTTATTTATTTTGAGACGGAGTCTTGCTCTGTCGCCCAGGCTGGACTGCAGAGGCGCGATCTCGGCTCACTGCAAGCTCCGCCTCCCGGGTTCACGCCATTCTCCTGCCTCAGCCTCCCCAGCAGCTGGGACTACAGGTGCCCGCCGCCACGCCCAGCTAATTTTTTGTATTTTTAGTAGAGACGGGGTTTCACCGTGTTAGCCAGGATGGTCTCGATCTCCTGACCTTATGATCCGCCCGCCTCGGCCTCCCAAAGTGCTGGGATTACAGGTGTGAGCCACCACACCCGGCCTAAAGTCCTTTTAATACAATGATTTTTTCAAATGAGTATGCCTTGTATGTATGTGTTATGACTTTTCCTTTTTAGTTTTAACTTGTAAATGGAATAAAATTCAAACAAAAGTAGTGTTAATATGAAAGTATAAAAAGAAAATATCCAAAGTGCCATACTTTTCAGATAATCTCAACCCATCCTCTGTTAACTTGTACATATGTCCATTAGTCTCTGTGATTAGGAAGCATATTGGAAAATTTATTTCCTTGGTGATACCCAGGTTTTGTTCAATATATAATTTTAAGTTTCTCAATAAGACCATCTGTTATGTAAAATAATCTCTTCATTTCCTGAAAATTCATTTACAAAATGTTTGGAAAGTGTCCATTTGATATAATTATTCCTTGCCTACTCTCTTTTCCCAATCTCCATTAAAATATGCATGAGGATTTTTTTTTAAATGAGGTAATCAGTGAGATCAGATGACAAGTTACTACAGTACCCAGCTCCTTTGCCATGGATAACTGGACTGTGGATAGACACTAGACCCAAAGGCAGTATTTATAGGCTGACCAGTGGCCTATGGGGTGGAGCGGCATAAGAATTCTAACCAATCAGATCCTCACTCAAAGGGATTTTCAATTTGAGACTCAAAATATCAGCCCATTGGTCAGTAGTCATAGAAGTAAAAGCAGAAACAGAATAGCTGAGCTAACCTAATAGCAGAGCTCCTTGTGAGAGGACAGCTTACTGTTGTATGATGAACAGTGGTGAAGTTATTTAGATGGCTTGTGTAGTTTATTTAAAATAAACTTTGATTGACTGAGATGTGCTGAGCATGTCACTATTCTGTGTAACTTGACTGTGCCTAACACATGGATCAACTTTTTAAAATGTTCTGAAGTCCAGTTGTCAATGTAGAGCAAATAGAGGCTGAACAAAGATAAGAAACCAGGTCTCTTCATTCCTAGTCTAATGATATTTACAAGATCAACTTTACTTTCTTTCAGAAAAGCTTTAGACCTCAATGAGATACTGTTATTTCTTCAGACTTGCTGCTATCAACTGCATCAACACTATGATGCTATCTTATGTATAGGAAAGCCTGATGACAATCTGTGAAAGGACAGGCAAATTTCCAGGTGATATATGTAAAATATTTGATTGACAAAAACGTCACTGCTAGGAATTAAAGAAAAGCTACACGTAGTCACTCAAAGCTCTGGTGAGGGAAACTCGCACCCAGAACCACACTTAACTCTTCAGTTGGAAAACAATTTTTGTCAAATGTTTCAGTAGAAGCCTTTAAGTATGCTTTGTATGCTCAGATGTGATTAAATGTACCTCTTCTGAGTAAATCTGCCTCTACACCAGATCTGTTCAAAGTTTGGGGACAGTACCACCATTTCCCTTACTTCTTGGGATAGTATCCCCCAAGATTCAACTTTCTAGCAGTTATTATTTCAAGGCCAGGAAACTTTACCTAAATTAAGCTAAGAAATATAATGTCTCATGCTGATTTTTCAAAATTTAAATTCTCCATCTCTGAAAGATTTCTTTGTATTATGAGGTATCTGGACTGGTGAAACCTAATTTGTAAGACTTTCCAAATATTGGTAGGTTCAGCTGATCTACAGAATCAAAGTGGCTTAAAAGAAACTTTGACTCTATTTCTTTGAACCTCCATGGCCACATCTGTAAAATGAGAATGATAAAACTTGCCATGCCAATATAACCCTCCTGAATTTTAGAACATGAGAGTTGGAAATGCCTCTCCCAAGTGATCTCATCCATCCTCCCTGCTTTACCCTGTGGTTAAGGTATGAGCATCAAATGAGATAACAGAGATGCGTTTAGAAGAATGCTACAAGGTATTAACATCATCACTCTTTGTTTTTATTTGAGTGATGCCATTACTAACTGTTCCAAAGGAGCTTCTTGGCTCTTTATTTATTGGTTATCTTGATTGAAAAGACCTCCAGACTAGCTAAAGTCCTGGACATTAGCTCTATGCAGAATAACAGCCAGTATTTTTTTTTTCTGTCTGTTCTCTCTGTTTCTGTCTCCACCTTTGATAGTTACATCTAAATTTATCCCCAGAAAAACCAACATATATTCTTAACCAAGACAGCACTTCCTAATTTGTCCTGTTCAGGTCTCATCCTCCTTGTAGAAAACCAGTATGTCTTAGCTGAAAAAGCTTTGAGACATAATCTTGTCTAGAGACTCCTTAATGCCAGTCTGCAAACCAGCTGCATCTGAATTACCCAGGGGACTTTTGACAAATGTAGACTTTTGTTTGTAGTTTTGTTAAACTCTTATTACAAAAAATTCAAACAAACAAAAAATGACAGCCTGTCATGAAGAACTCTTAGATACTTACCACCCAACTTACACAATTAACCACCCATGTTTAATCTTATTTCATTTATATTTCATCCAAATCTCATGTATAAATATTTCAAAATGCAAACATATATATTTCATTTTTGTTTTTTCAAATAAAAGTTCCTGGAATTCTGATTTGGTAGTTTTGGTATAGGGCCCGGGAATCTGTATTTGTAATAGATGAATCTGATATGCAATTTTCAGAACAGTTGTGTTTGATTCTCCTTCTCATACATAGAGAAATAGAAGCTAAACAAGGACGTCATTAGCTGAAGTTTACTCCATTGCTTTATCCCAAAGACGGGTTACTGTTTTGAAAGGAGAAATATTCTAAAGACCATTCAGAAGAAACAAAAACAAAAACAAAAACAAAACAAAGCAAAAAAACATTATTTGAGTGGTAAGTGCTTTGAAAATAACAGGCTAATACCAGGAGGCAAGGAAGCAACTTTCTGAGATGTCAACTAAGCAATGAAGCCTTCGCAGTCCACACTGAAGTCTCATGCCTTTGAGCTCAGCCTTCATTGACTGGACTACTCATTTGGAAGTTAATCACAGGCAGCCTTGTGACAGCTCATGTATTATGGAATCGATTTCACTCTTTTTTTTTTTTTGAGACGGAGTCTCGCTCAGTCGCCCAGGCTGGACTGCAGTGGCACGATGTCGGCTCACTGTAAGCTCCGCCTCCCGGGTTCACGCCACTCTCTTGCCTCAGCCTCCCGAGTAGCTGGGACTACAGGCGCCCACCACCACGCCCGGCTAATTTTTTGTATTTTTAGTAGAAACGGGGTTTCATCATGTTAGCCAGGATGGTCTCGATCTTCTGACCTCGTGATCCCCCCGCCTCGGCCTCCGAAAGTGGTGGGATTACAGGCGTGAGCCACCGCGCCCAGCCAGATTTCACTCTTAAATTGCCTTAACTCTCCAACCAAATTGTAAGCCTATGAAGGGTAGGGACCTTGCCTGATTCAGCTTTGTACCACTCTTCTCCCCACCTCCTAACAAAACCCCGTTTGGTGTCCTGTCACATGTGATATTTTATTGCAGTGCATTACTTCTTACTTTATATCACTAGGAGATTACTTCACCACATTTCTATGCTGATGTGCTAAATGTAGAGAAAAAGTGAGTGTGTGTCATAATGTACCTAAATACAAGGACTATGTATTGTGATCTATGTGTCGTGATTCAAAAGGTTCTGTTGGAATGTCCTGAACCAAATTCATTTCTTCAGTGGCTCACCATATTGCCTGGAATTGCTACCCTTTATCATCTCTTTAAGTGACTGGATTGAAACCCTAAAGTTCACACAGGAGTTAATCCAGAAGCTCCTTAGCATAAATTAGCTGACAGAGCTGATTGCATTTATGATGCAGGTCTCTTTGATGTCATAAAGGGATCATAGGCTTCAGGTCGATAGCTCAATTAGGATTCTCCAGTGGAAGTTAAGGGGCTCTTGGGTACCCCATGGGTGGAACTACGTTTGCTGAAAAGGGGCACAGTGGTTGAGAATGCAGGTTTTGGAGTGAGATGGATTTAAATCTCAGTCCTGAGTCTACCACTGACTAGTTAGTTATGTGACATTGGAGTAGTCACTTAACTTCTCTGACCCTCATTTCGTTCATCGGTAAAACAGAGGGTTAACAATAGAACTCAATTTCATTTATTCAACAAATTTGAGGGCCATCTATTTGCTAGGCACTGTGCTAGGGACTGGGGATACCAGATAACAAGGCCAGGTAAGGTCTCTGCAGTCCTGAACTTTAATTCTACATTTAAAATTTTGCTGAGGCTAACATGAGATAATGCCCGTGAAGAACTTAGCGTGGTGGTTGGATTTGGGAAACACGACAAACATCACTTATCTTCATGGTTATTATTATCCAGGAAAGAAGGTGAATGGCACCACGGGAAAATATTTCACAATTTGCCCAAGACTCATGCTGGTAAAGAAAAAATTTGGCTCAGATCCCCCAAGCCTATGAGGAGGCTAGAAGCAACCCACAAAAGGACATTTGAGGAATGGAGAAAAATCTCTCTCAACCAAGAAGATATTCTTATTTCTGCTTAAAACCACAGCATACCAAAAGAAGCGCTCTTACCACAGCAGCCAATGCCATGTTGGGGTCTACTTAAGCCAGAATGTTTTTATCACGTGGGTTTGCGTGATAGCCAGAGCAACAGAGGTATTGATAAGATTTGGCTGTGTTGCCTACAAAATCTCACCTTGAATTGTAGCTCCCATAATCCCCACATGTCATGGGAGGGACCTGGTGGGAGGTAATTGAATCATGGGGGGCAGGTTTTTTCCATGCTGTTCTCATGATAGTGAATAAGTCTCATGAGATCTGATGGTTTTATAAAGGGCAGTTTCCCTGCACACGCTCTCTTGCCTGCTGCCATGTCAGATGTGCCTTTGCTCCTCCTTCGCCTTTGGCCATAATTGTGAGGCCTCCCCAGCCGTGTGGAACTGTGGGTCCATTAAAACTCTGTTTCTTTATAAAATACCCAGTTTCAGATATTTCTTCATACCAGTATGAGAATGGACTAATACAGGTATGGTGAGTGAGCTTTTTGTAGTTGAGGCAAACACCCTGTGTACTTTAATGTTTGCACAATCACAGTCAGAGAGGGTGCAAATTCTCTGTGATGAGCATCAACAGGCCTGATATTAGGAAATGATCATTGATCTGGTGAGAACTAGTATGAAGTTCAATACACAGAAAATGAAGAATAGCTACAAGACAATGAAGAGATAAATGATAATGCAAGAGGAGGGTACAGGGCTTACCTCTGAAGACATGACTTGAAACTCCAATGTAAAATATCCAGGGAGGCAGGCTGACCTTGAGCTTGGTTCAGAAGGGAATTGAGAGGGGAGAGATGTAATCTGGAAGGTAGGGTAGGGAAGCAGCACCCAGATCTCCAAGGGTCATGCCCAGCACGCAAGATAATGGGTCTAGTCTAGGAAACAACAATAACTTTAGTCCCCATCTACTAATATGGTTGAAACTTCCAATATATTTTCTGCCCTGGTCAGGACTAGCTTAATCACTTGGCAGGGCTGAGCCTGTAGACACCTTACATTAGTGACTCCAGCTGAACAGGCCTGACATCAGGTGTCTTTGTTTTATTTGTACCATAATAGAAAAGGAGAGATAAAACTCACAAGCTACAGGGTTAAGCTTAGCAGGTGTGTACAGAAACATCTGAACACACACAGCAGGATTCTCACTTAAAGATCCAGACCCAGATATACAGACTCATATTCAGATCCACATTTGAGAGTCAATATTCAATCATTTTTCAAGTGACTGCTTATTCCTACCTTACCTTAATTTATGCAGAAAGCTAATACTTATGCATTGTATATATTCACGGCTTAAAATAAAGGGCCGTTGAATAAATCTAAAGATGAGTTTTGAACAGGTCTTTTGCCTGTGTTCTCTTTTTCTTCCCGCAACTGACTAATGCTAGATTCCAAAGGTCACTTGTCTTTAGCAATTACTCTGAAGCACTACATCCTACCTGCAGCCTTTTAAACATTCTAGCCTAAAGAGGATTCATTCTATTTTCTTGGAAATAAATGTGAACTGTCAATCGAATGCCACTAATAAACGTTTCTAATTGATGTTTGAAGAGGGGGATTTTTTTCCCTTAGGCAGGCTGCCTTTTATCTTAGTCAGTGGCCTTGTTGTTTATAAAAAAATTATTTGTGCATTCATAAAGCATAGGATGAGAGTTAAAGGACAATACTTCCCTTTTCTGTTTGTCAAATTGGATAAAGGCACCATTAGTACTGAAGGGTTTTTCTTTTCTCATGATTTAAGGCCAGTATGTTTTAACAGCCAAATCAAACACAGATTCAGATATCAGTTTCACTTTCATGAAATGAAAATATCTACCCCCATCAAATGCCTGAGGCCAAATCATGTGTTGCCAAGTTTGAATTTTGCTCCCTCCATTCCCTACTTCAGTGCCCCATCATTTTTTTTTTAATTGTAATATGGGGATTACAGTAGCTACCTCATAGAGGTCCTGTGAAAATTAGGGTAAATAAGATAACCATTGTGGTTGTTGGAGGGAGAAATAATATCTGATTTCAAAGCTAACTGAGAAATAAGATACAGGCTTAAGGCAAATGAAGATGAAAATAGCCTTATTACTGATAACACTGAACTCAATGGTATAACTTTGATATGCAGCCAAATGGTTTTAGTTATTTTCTCCTCTTCTCCTCTAGTCTTTAAGATGATTCCTCTGAAGGAATTTGGGTCTACAGAGCAGACGAACTTACCCATAATGTCCTCTTAGCTCTATCTAATTGCAAACCATGGACCAATGGGCCGGTTCAGATAATTCACTTCTCCTCCCATGGGTAGGATTGCCAGATTTAAGATATAAAAATACAGAATACACAGTTAAATTTGAATTTCAGATAAACAATAAATAATTTTTAGTGTAAGTATGCCCCAGGTAGTGTGTAGGGTATACTTTTACTATCAACATTATCTATTATTTATCTGAAATTCAAGTTTAATGGAGCATCCAGTATTTTATCTGACAACCCTACGCATGGGATGAAAGTGAGTAAGGTTGGGAAGAGAATTTCAGAGTGTTACCATGGCAGAAGGAATGTTACTCATGAGACCATGGGAATGGAAGGTCCTCCTAACAACCACACAGTGTGGGAGCACAGTGTCCAGCACAAACGGCGTGCTAAACACTTATTTATTGCTTTCCTTCATGCCTATAAGAACCCTTGTAGTAAACGAACTCATTTATTCCGAGGCATTCGATTCTTACTATGATGCTCTTCTAAAAGTATTTTTACTTTAAATGAGGTCCAGGAGGAGATCAATGCTTAACTCACAGAAATTCTTCTCTAATGATTGATTTTCAGCCTTGACCGAGCATCATAATGCCCTGGGGAGCTTGTTAGAAATACAAACACCCAGAATTCCCCTCCCCAAGTTTGATTCCGGGGTAGGATCTAGGCATTTGTATTTCTAACAAGCTTCCCCAGGGATTCTGACACTCAGCGAAGTTTAAAGCACATCATTCTGACACATAAGTGCAGTGTCTGCAATGTCAAGGAGCAGGGGATTGGTGTATTCAGGGAAAGGTGTATGCTTCTACCCAACAAGTTAGCTGAGAAACTATTATGCCAGTGCAGAGACCATTGGTTTAGACCCAACGTTCAAGATCATGGACAAAGAGAAGCATGCCTTCCTTCCAATCCTAGTAGCAATAGGCCAAAGCTCCAACAATAAATTTATGAGCATTGAAGCACCTGAGTAAAGCTCATTTTAATTAGAGGTTCCTTCCTGTGCTCTTCAGCTGCCTTAGACATTATGTGTGACTGGCTCTGAGAGCAGACATGGTCAACTATACCATCTCTTCTCACTGCAGATTACAGTCCCATGTGAAAGGGCTACAAGAGAGGCAAGTACAGGGAGTAGAGGGTCAGGAAGGAGTAGGGAGGGAGTGTCAAGGAAAGCTTTAAGGGACAGTGAGTATTGTCCTTCAGTCCTTTAAAGGTGGGTAGAAATTCAGCAAGGGGAAAGAGCAAAAAGAAAGATACATAGAGGATAGCAGACAAGAGACTACTAGAGCCAGAGAAAAACTGAGACAAACAGTTATATATTCTAAAGCTAAGAGAAACCTTCATAATGAGGCAAAAATAGGCAGACATAAGGCGGAGAAAGAAGAGAAAGAAAAAAGAGGAGAAGATAAACACACACACATTACACATACAAACACTGTTGCATTCACAAAGAAAGATCCTCGGGAGATGGAGAAAACAGAAAAGGGACAGAGAGAGATACAAATCCAGATTATAAAAATAATTGCGATCACCCTTGCTGTAGGATTTTCACTGTTGTTTAAACATGATGAAACAAAACATCCGATATACATATACTTTCTCAGAAGACTATCTCATGCTGAATGTATAGGAAATGAACACCACATTTGCTCATTCTTGATGACATTTGCTGCTTACAAATGGCTGTTTTCAGGGGAAATATTGATTATAGTTCTAAAAGTAGGTGGATACATCATTAATATATTTAATAATTAAGAGTAGAATCATAATACAGTATTGAGAAGTAAGGCAGCCTTTTTCCTGAACTTGATCTAAAAGTAGACTTTCTAATAGCTGCCATTGCAATTCTCCAGTACTGCAGTGTGTCTCCCCCCGCCCCCCCAATTTTTATTATTCGGATTCATTTTGTTGTTGCTATGAAACTTTTGGAAAGGCCCTTTGCAGCTGATGAGCCCAACCGTTAAGTGTAGGTGATTTGGCTTCTCTGGGCGATGTTGTTGAGCACACCAGCTTCCTGGAAGAAACACAGTAGAGGGAGATCAATTTTGCTTCACGGTGCTTAATATCACCTCAAGGTCTTTTCCCTTCTGTTTCTTTTTCCTTTTTTTTTCTTTCTTTTTGGAGTCATACGTTCAAATAACCACATGTTTGAACATTCAAAGGAACATGGCTCAGCATGTCTTTGTAAAGGTACAGAAGGCAATATGGCATTACACACGCTCAATATGCTGTTTTGAATTCTCTAGAACTTTGTTGCTCCAAAATCAAATATCTTCAGATAAAGGGAGAGTATGTTGCTCAGTCAGAAACATGTAGGTGCCAGGTTTGATTTCTCTTCTGTATCTTTAGCATTTTCAGCATCTACTTTGTAACCTGAAGGGTTTTTTTTCTCTCCCTCTCTCTCTTTTCCATTTGTAGTTTAGAAAATAAGCACCAGATGAGGAATCACTGTATCTGGGGAAGGGTACCAGGTGATTTCTCTTTGAAAAGCTTGTATTAGCCATGGACATGAACCTAGGATGCGACTGGACTGGGTGATCTCTGGTATGTACATGAGAGCTCAATGGACAAAAGAGGATAGGCAAGCAAGGAGGGACTGCCCATCTTCTTCACTCCTTTGACTTGGGGGAAGTGGTCACTGTATCTGTGGATGCGAAAATGGAATTAAGAATGCCCTAACAAGAATCATAACTACAAGAATCTCCCACTGTTTCCCTGTCACAAAAACACATTATTCATTTCAGAGGAATGCAAGCAGTTCCAAAAATTAACAGCCCTTTTCCAAATGCTCCCAGTGGCTTACAGTTTCTGCTGCAATTGCATTAGCATTTGCAATTCTTGTTTTTGATGACGACTGAGCTCATGATTGGTTTCTCTGCCACTGCTACAGCTGGTGTCTTTGCCCTGGCACAGGGGCACTCACTGGTGCCCTTATTCCCTTGCTTATGATCTACTTCTCCTACTTATATTCTTGTTCTGCTGCTCTTGATTCTGGATGAGAGTTTTTCTACCATGTGGTCAGAGCATTTTTCAATGTCCTTAGGTAGCCCAAAATATCAATTATGACAATTCTTTTTATCCCCAATCCAAAGTACACTTATTCCTTCAGGTTGATGATTCTCTAAATATTAGATCAGCTTCCTCTAGAGAGGGCCGTGAAGTACTTGAGTAACTTTTGGCATTTCTCATTGACTGTTAACCATTCTGCCACGATAAGGAATATACCAGTACTTCTCTACCTTCCTTCCCATAACACATCCTTTATTAACAAATCAATCACTCACCAAATGTTTACTGAGCACTGTGCTAAGTACTGGAGATAAAGTAGTGAATGAGACATAGAAGGCTCCTACCCTCACAGAGATTACAGTTTAGCAGAACAAGAAGCAAGTAATTACATAAAAGTGTAATAAGTCTTATGCAAATGAAAGCAGATTTGCAGTTGAATCCAACAGTCTTTCTGAGGAAGTAACACTAAATACGAAATATGAACGCATTTGCCAGGAGGAAAAGAAGTGGGGTAGGAGTGGAGATTGTTCCCGGAAGCATATATAGAAGTCTAAGGGAAAGAGAGAACCTAGCAATTTTGCAAAGCTAAAACAACAAAACAAAACAAAACAAAAACTTAAACATAGCTGGAATACAGAGTACAAAGGGGAGTGTGGTGCAAGAGAGATAGGATAGGTTAAAAAAAAGTCTAGACGATGGAGAACTTTGTAATCGAGTCTAGAAACTTTAGACTTTATCATGGGTAGCAGGAAGCCACGTGCAGGATATAAACAAGGGAGTGACTTGATCAGGATTGCACTTGGGAAAGCCCAGTCTGACTGTAGTGTAGCAGAACCAACTGGAAAAGGATAAGGAGGGGAGAAAGAAAACCAATTAAGAGTTTGTTCTTGTAGTAGGCCAGGCTACAAGTCGTGGTGGCCCAAGCTAGGGTAGTAGCATGGAGATAGAGCAAACTGGGCAGATTTAAGAGGTAGAATTTACTCAATTTAGAGGTGGGAGGATAGGGAAAAGAAATAATCAAGAGGGTACCTGGTTTCTGGCTTGTGTAACTTACTGGCAGGGGCGGTGGTGATGTCACCTATTAGGATAGGAAATACAAAACAAGTAGCAGGTTTGAGGATGAAGATGATTTCAGTATTGGAGTTTGGAGTCTGAGATATCATTAAGACATCCAAGTGGAGATGCCAATTAGTCAGATACAGAGGATCGAAGCACAAGAGAGATCAGAGATGAAGCTAGACTTTTTGTGGGCATGTGAGTCTATGAGCTAGTTCAAAAGGAGCATGCAGAGTTAAAAAGCATAAGACCTAGGATATGGCTTTTAGTATCACCTGCCTTTAAGGACTGGACAGAAGCAGAGAGGCTTGCAAGAAGTCTGGGAAGGAGTGGTCAGGTAAGTAGAAGTAAAGCTATTAATAGTAGAGGGCAGCGTAACAGAAACCAACAGAACAGAGAATTTCAAGGAGGAACATCAAATGTCAAGTGCTAATGGGTGGTCAAACAAGACAGAACAAGACTCAAAAGAGTGCTTTGGCTTTTATTATACACAGGCTACTGGCTACCATGTTTAGGACAGCCTCAGCTGAGCTGTCTTAGTGGGGTAGCGGGTGGGAGACGTAGAGGTTGGAAGCAAAAACAAAATGCAGTAGTTGAGGAGCAGCAGGGAGATAGGCAAATGGAGACAGTGAATCTAGACCAGACCCTCTTTTGGGGAATTTGGCTGAGAGATGAGGAGAAAAATAGAACGGTATCAAGGGCAATAGACTGCAGGGAAAGGTTTTGTTGTTGCTACTACTGAGTGGCTGGCTCTGTAGTAGAAGTGAATATTTTGATATCTACTCATTGACGATGACATGGAATTTATCTTGACTGCAAATTCCTTCTCTTGGGGGAATGAATCCTAGGGTAATACAGGAAGAAAAGAGACTTGAGCATGTTTTAAAACACAAGAGTCTTTGTCCTGAATTTCCCAGAAGCAAGTCAGTCCTGAAACGCTTTCCTCATCTCTCCCATGGGACCACAGGAACCTCATGCATACAGCAGTTTTGGTGATATTCCTTGCCACCTCAGAGTCCCTGTGGTGAGTAAATAAATGAGACTCCCCCCACCCCAACCACCACCACCACCACCACACACACACACACACACACACACACACACACGCACACACGCACACACACCAAACAGGATGCTGCATTATTTATTAAAAAATATTCTAGCAATCTTCTTTCTCCTTCTGGGAGGATAAATCATTTAAAAGCATTATTTCTGTTGCTAGTTGTTCAAGTTTTCCATGAAGATGAAAACACACGTTTACTCCTATTTCTGTATGACCTGAGGTTTCACGCTTCCAGGAGAGGGAATTCATGGTCAACATACATTCCAGGTCATAGTTGAGGATTAGAAATAAAGTATCTATTTCCTTTCCAGAGCCCTGTGGAGGTTCACTTTCCCTGTTAAAACCCCAATTAGAAAACTATTTTTGAGTTAGGAAAATGCAAACGTGTTTCTCATCAGCATATTATCTCTCCTCTGATCTCTATGTCAATTTTAAGACATTTTTTCTTCATCTATCTGCTAACTTGGCATAGCAATTAGCCCTCAATAAAGATTTGAAATGTGTTAAATTTCAGGCTTTCTGAGATTTAGTTTAATATAATCAATTGAAAATAACTACCTTCTTAGTGTCAACCTTTTCTATATACTCAAATTGCTAACCCACTTTGACATAGAAACTTGAATATTAAAAAAGAAGATACACGCTGGGTGCGGTGGTTCACACCTGTAATCCCAACACTGTGGGAGGCTGAGGTGAGCATATTACCTGAGGTCAGTCGTTAGAGACCAGCCTGGCCAACAGGGCAAAAACCCTCCTCTACTAAAAGTACAAAAATTAGCCGGGCATGGTGGTGCATGCCTGTAATCCCAACTACTCGGGAGGCTGAGGCAGGAAAATCACTTGAACCTGGAAGGCAGGGGTTCCGGTGAGCCAGGATCGTGCCATTGCACTCCAGCCTGGGTGACAGAGCAAGACTCCATCTCAAAAAAAAAAAAAAAAAAAATCTTTTCCCATTTCACTCCCAGCGTGAGTGTTTATCCTCTTAAGTTTACCCCCTAAGGAAGTTTTCACTGTCTTGCTCCTCCCTCTTTGTTAGGATGTGAGATAATATGTTTCTTCTCTGGCTTTTTCAAAGGCTCCAAGCACCTCACAGAAGAGAGAGGAGGGGAGGGGAGGGAGAGAGAGATTGATGGCACTCAAGGACAGCACTGTCTTTTGTTTGGCAGTCTCAAAATGAATTTTCCATCATCCTCTCAGTGTTTTCTATTCACCACATTTACCATGCACACTCCAACTCCACTCTCCCCAAACTCCAGGGCTGAATTAGAGCATACAACAGACAGAAGCAGTGGCTACCCAGGTCACTGCATAAGCAGGCTATTGAATTGACTCATGATTAGCTGGAAGTGCCTCGTGCCTGCCTCCTACCCTGATCTGGACATTGCGTTTCTGTGCCCAGACACACTGGGCAGGCCCTGTAGGCTTGTGCCTGGGCCCTGACCCTCTTCCTTGGAACAGCCTTGCCTCTTCAAAAGAAATTCCTTTTTGAGCTACTTTATCCATCATAAGATTAACATGACACCTCCATACGATCTATCACAGATGCTGACGCACTTGCTTCCAAGTATAAATTAGGTGTTGGGCAGTGCAGAATGCAGAGCTGTGGCTAAGAGACCCCATCTGCAGCTCACAAGGCATGGTTGATATTGGCTCCGGTAGTAAAAACCACTTTTCTGGATGGCTAGTAAATTGCCACCATAGGAGATGATAATATTTGGGAACCTTACTAACAAGCTTGAATTCTAACATAAGGCAGTTCATTGTTATGCTGCAGAATGTGAAATCTTAATGCTTTTGCTATTCAAACTCATTTTACAACATGATTTACTGCAGCTCGAAGGATGCAGCAGAAGGGAAAAAAACAGGGAGGTAGGAGGAAAGAGATAGTTGGGAGTGGAAACATGGATGAGTCCAGCTTTGTGAGCAAATTTCATTGCCACTGATAATGTAATATTTTGCTTTGATTAATGTTCTTTCTTTTTGAGTGTATGCTGCGTCCCAATAACTGTTTCTTCAGCCCAGTCACTGATTTTTTTTTTTTTTCCTGGATTCTGCTTCCAAACCAGGCATTGTGGTGTGTGCAAACCTAGGGAGAAAAGAAGGAGGAAACAATCCCTTGAGAGGTATGCTTCTGTCCAAAGACATGCTGAATATATTTGCCTTGCCAGATTCATTTTCTCCTGCCAGAAATTTTCAAACAGATGGTGGAGGAATTGGTGTTTGACCAAACAGTTGGGCAATCAACAATAGAAACTAATTGTCATAGAATTCTGCTAATGGTACCTATGCTGATACTTGCTGACAAAACGTAAGTTTTTTGGTACTAGTATCAGGGATTCTCTTCAGGAAAAATAAGTTAAAAGAGCTAAGTAGTCAAGACCAGCCTGGCCAACATGGTGAAACCCCGTCTCTACTAAAAAAATACAAAAATTAGCCGGGTGTGGTGGCGCATGCCTGTAATCCCAGCTACTCGGGAGGGTGAGGCAGGAGAATCGCTTGAACCCGGAGGAAAAGAAAAAAAAAGAGCTAATTAGGCAAATGTTTCTAGGAAATACTGACTCACTTCAGGAGGACATTATTTTAAATACAGTCCAGTGTGGGTACAGATAGTTCACCCTGTACCAGGGGACTGGCATGACTGTTGATAGCGTCTATGTGAAATAAAAACTGGCCTTAAACAGTTATTTTGTGGTCATTACACTGAGATCATTTTTACCTCTAAAGTCCTGGGTCCCTGGGATAACTCTGAATGACCAAACAAACAAAAAAAAACCCCAAGGTGTCAAAATAGGAATTTTTCAAGTTAAATAATGTGCTGAGAACTACTGTCTTCCTTAACATTGATTGTCAGAATTTTCGATTTAGCCTGCAGTCAAGTTTAGTGGGTGTGTCCCTCCACTTATATTCCAAGTGCCTATTTTCTTGTGAGTATGCATTTGAATTGAGCTCAGGGAGTCAAAAAAAAAAAAAAAAAAAAGAAAGAAAGAAAGGCAAAAACAAAAGCAAACAAACTTCTGGTAGGGTTGGTGGCATTTCCAGAAGCTTCCACAATATGGTCATGAGATGAATCTCGGTTAACTCTGAAGACAAAGAAAAACTTCATTTGAGACTATTGTTTTTCAGATAAATAAAAGGCAAGGTTGCTGGGTGCTGCCCTTATAGAGTTTTTTATTTAAACCTTCACTTGGTTTATAAAATAAAGTCCATCTGTACACTGAGGTAGCAGGAAGAGGGCAAAAGGAGACCCGTGTTTCTTGAGAGGGGTAAATACATAGAAAATCACGTTTTCCCTGCTGCCTCCTTGTGAAGAAAAACAGCTTTGAATGTATCAGCCTGTGCATCTGGACTCTCCTGAAAGATTAACTAGAAAGCCGCCCTTCCCATTTCACTTTTGTGTCTCTAGATGTGACAAAGAAAACTCACTTATGCCTTATTTGTCACCTCAGACAGTTGACAGACACTTTGCCAATGTCAGATTATTTCAGTATCTCACTACTTGTGCAAACTGGATCAAGGAGGCATTTCAGAAGGCAGCAAAAGAGAGGCCTCTAATCTTTGCCTGAGTCCATTCTACAGCTGAATGGTTCATCTACCTAACAACCTACATTGTCTGTATGTAACTTTACCCCTTACATTAAGATGTGAACGTTCATGCAGCACTGCACTATAATTTGATTTCCATAGATAGTTAGAAATAGGTAAACCCTTTGTACCGACTGGTAAGTATTCATTATGTGCTTTATCAGAGTTATAATACTGTGTAACACAATTTAAAACAAAACGAAGTATATGCACAATGAGAAAAGAAATATCCAAAACAAATGTTACTGTTTTTGGTGCAAACATTATATACAGGTTATTTTTAAAATGCAACTTTGCTTGTAAAAAAAGAAAAGAATATTAGCAAGTATTTTATTTTAATAATGGGGAATCTTAGAACAATTAATAGCGTATTGCATTCTAACAGGATTTTTATAATGAGCAGCCTTTGTACTATGTCACCTTATAGCTTCCTTTTGAATAGTGGGATCAAAGCTAGTGTGTTATTTGTCCCTGGTGAATGTAGTAGAAATAGAATCTGTGATACAAATGTTAATAACTCAACAGGCATCCCATCTGTTACAAAATCCCTTTGTTTCTTGTCCACTTCTTAGAACTCTGCCACAGACCCATCAACTTCTTGTAAGTAGCAGAGCACTTTGCTGTGATGACAGTAGTTTAACAGCAGTGAAGCAGAGGGTATCTTTTTGTGTTTATTCCACCCCTTCCAGGCCTGAACAAAAGCACCTGGCTGTGCTAGTGAACAGAGAGTGCTGCTTGCAGAGAGGGAGGAGCCCGAGGGAGTTTCAGTGGTCCGGGAGACAATGGCATCAGGGACCTCTGCTGCTGCCTACAGATTCACATGCAGTATTGGCAATCTCAGGTCGGCTGTCGGTTTCACAGTAAGTAATGGCATGAGGGTAAAAGAGAGGAAGTGGCTGAGACTTGAGCTGGAATCGTAGGGCTTAAATAACTTAAAAACAGCCAGGATGCACAAAACACTTATGATTTTGCCTCAGGTTTGTTATCACATCCGTTCTCAAGAGACTCACTAGTGAGATTCAGATCTTTCTTTGTGGGCAGCTGGTAGAGGTCTTATGAGCCCTAATTCCCCCAGTAATCTTAGAGGGGGATGTCTGGCCAACCCAGTGGAGAACCTTCGAGTGAACTACAAAGAATACAGCAGAGGAGGGAGAGCTTTACTTGGCTGTCAGCTTTGCCACCTGTTTATTATAAATTGCTGACCATGTAGCCAAGAGCGTGAATTTTGTCATTAGCCAGACCTGGGTTCAAATCCTAACTTGGACACTTTCTCTTGGGCAAGCTGCTTAACCTCTCTAAGTGTCACTTTTCTGATTAATATATCAACGTAAATCACCCTGGGATTGTTAGGATTAAACTAAAAAATTGTGAAAAACAGTCAGTAGACTAACACATACTAAGTGCCCAATAAATGGGTATTTTATTATTATTATGAATGAAAATTATGTATCCCCTGTATCAACTGGGGTAAGCAGTATTACTCTAATTCAATATCTTGCTCTAGGAAACAGGAAATTTTTTTGAGAGTAGCGTAAAGGGCAACATGCTGACCTGTCTTTACTGAGAGTTTGAAACCTCTAAGTGGAACACAAAGTGAAATAGTTTGCAGGGATTCCATAACGCTGGTCAAGTGAGTGTTTTCAAAACACCTGGGAAGCTGTCTTTTTTTTTTTTTTTTTTTTTTTTTGAGACAGAGTCTTGCTCTGTTGCCCATGCTGGAGTGCCATGGTGCGATCTCTGCTCACTGCAACCTCTGCCTCCCGGGTTCAAGCAATTCTCCTGCCTCAGCGTCCCAAGTAGCTGGGGTTACAGGTGCCCTCCACCACGCCCATCTAACTTTTTTTTTTTTTTTGTATTTTTAGTAAAGATGGGGTTTCACCATGTTGGCCAGGCTGGTCTGGAACTCCTGACCGCAGGCGATCCACCCACCTCGGCTTCCCAAAGTGCTGGGCTTACCAGGCGTGAGCCACTGCGCCTGGCCGGAAGCTTTCTAAAAATAAATATTCCTGGGACCTGCCTCCAGATGATCTAACACAAAATTAGACAAAGAATGTCCATTTGTAAGAAGTTTCACTAAGTGCTTCTAACAAAACTAGACTGGAACCACTGGTTGAGGGTATTTGTCCCAGGATTTCCAAATATGTAGCATGAAGGACAATAGGCCACGGTAAGAAACTTGATGCGAACCTGGAAGTGGGCAGTAGTAAAGATGGCAGACAGTGGGTGGGAGGCTGGCAAGATACTGGAAAGGAGAGGGATAGAAAGCAGATAGTTAAGTGGTGATCTGCAAGTTAAGCAAGAAGGCAGTCAGCTAGCCTATGAAAGGTGTCAGGGATTCTGGAGAGTTGGCAGAGCATGGTCAGCCAGACCCATCAGAGGGCTACCTGTAAACTGAGGCTCAGAGATAAATTGTGCACATACTTCCGCCAGAAACTAAAGGCCCTTATAGGATGACATTTTTGGATCCTCCCATTCAGCCAGCCTAGCCTTAAAGGGCTACTCCTCCTTTATTAATGCTGGTCCTATATAGGTCCTGACACAGAGAGAAAAAACACCACTGCAGAAGATGAATCATGAGGGAAATCAATAGATTTACTTTTTTTTTTTTTTTCGGTTTAGGAGAAAGAATTATTAAGCCCCCTTTACTTACACCTAAGACAATTGACTTTCCCCACATTCCCATTCCAATAGATAGAAATTGCCCTATGAAACTCAGACTCCTCAGGATATCCACACTGTGAATTGCCCTTGACAATTCTGCAGAGCCAAGTGCTAGGTTCAATAGTATCTATTCAATATTTAGAAGGTATTCACTGAATGGATCTTATATATTGAGGTGGTGCTTATTTCTTTGTACACTAGAGGCTATTTGTGGGATACTTACATTTTCTGCACAGTGCATAGTCAATAACTCATGCTGATTGACTGAGGCTAAGACTATATAGGTCCATCTGATTAACCATTTACAGAATTGATCAGTGCTTATTATCTTATATACACAACCTGAGCAAGAGTCTTTTTGCTCAAGGCCTAACTTGGCTACTTAGTATCTGACTTTCACCATGTCATAGCTCTCTAATCCTAGCTTGAACAGCTGAACTACCAGGAAAATCCATTTTATTTCACATATGAGTGTTAACATTTGAAGGTACCTGTGTTATGAGGCTCAAAGTTTCCATTACAGTGGGTTGCATCAAAATTGTTTCATGCACTAAGGGACCCCACAGCTTCCAGTTCTCTCCATCTTCATCACCATCACCCTAGGGTAAGCCATGATCTCTCACCTCAACTACAATAGCCACCCAACTGGTCACTTCACATGCATTTATGCCCCCTCCCCAAATCTGATATTCACATTCCAGGCAAAGTCATCTTTTCTAAATGCAGATCTGATTATGTCAACCTACTTTCCCTCCTTCCAGATGCTGTGCTAAAAGCTTTAAAAGGTTCCAATAGTATTCAAGGACAAAACTTCTTACTATGACTTTCAGTGCTCAGCAGGGTCTGTCCTCTGCCTACCTGCGTCCCAAATGCCATCATGAACTGTGATTTTCCTCACTCTCTGAGCATCAGCCACATGTAAGGTTTTAGTTCCTGCTAACTGTGGCCATAACTTAGGGTGCAGATACAGATTCATGCTCATTCCCAGCACAGGGCATTTGCACATGCTATTCTTTGTGTCTTTCATTTTTATCAGTTACATTTTGTTGATATATGGTTATTCTTATGATAATATAGATGACATCTGTGCTCCCCACTAGAATACAAGCTTCACAAAATTAGACACTGTGTTTGTACCTCTAGGGCCTAGCACAGTGCCTGGTACATAATAGACAGTCAACAATACTTGTTAAATAAATAAATTAAGACTGTACACAATCACCACACATTTTCTTGTTAACCTTCTTCCTCCAACTTCCTGCAACTTCAATACATAACTAAGCACCAGTATTCTCAAGCAGGTTAGACTACACCCTTGTATGGCATATCCTCTGTGGGCATCATTCCATGTTCCAGAGCTCCCTGCTCCCGAATGAGAATATACCTACTCAGTGTCCTATTTCCTTAATACTTTAGTCTTGAAGCGTTAGAATAACTTATCAAGAGTAACACTTAACTTGCAATCCTAAACAAAAAGAACAAAGCTGGAGGCATCACATTACCTGATTTCAAATTATACTACAAGGCTACAATAACCAAAACAGCATGGTACTGGTATAAAAGTAGACATGTATAATAATGAAACAGAATAGAGAATGCAGAAATAAAGCCACATACCTACAACCAACTGATCTTTGACAAAGTCAACAAAAACAAGCAATAGGGAACAGACTCCCTACTGAAAAAATGATGCTGGGAAAACTGGCTTAACCATATGCAGAAGAATGAAACTGGACCTCTACCTTTCACCATATACAAAAATTAAGTCAAGATGGACTAAAGACTTAAATGTAAGATCTCAGACTATAAAAATCCCAGAAGAAAACCTAGGAAATACTCTTCTGGACATCACCTAGGCAAATAATTAATGACTAAAACCTCAAAAGCACAGGTAAGAAAATCAGAAATAGACAATTGTCACTCTGTGCTGTTGATTATCTGCTTATAAGGGCCAGGGCAATATCTCAATCACTGCTATATCCCCAGCACCTAATAAAGAGTAGTTTCTTAATTAAGGCATGTTGAATGAGTGATTGAAGGAAGAGTCCTTGCAAGTAGCTCTGGTCTAACAATGGAACCTTCTTTCCCAAAAGACAATCTCCTTTACCTTCTAGCTTTATTGAGGTATAATTGATGACTAAAAATTGTATATATCTAAGGTGTACAACATGATAATTTGATATATGTATGCATTGTGAAATGATTGCCACAATCAACTTAGTTTACATATCCATCTCTTCACATAGTTACCACCTTTGTGTGTGTGTGTGTGTGTGTCTGATGAGAACACTTAAGGTCTACTCTTAGCAAATATCAGGTACACTGTACAGTATTACTAACTATAGTCACCATACTATCCTTTGGGTCTCCAGAACTTATTTATCTCATAATTTAAAGTTTGTACCCTTTGACCAACTTCTCCCTGTATCTCCACCCCGATCCCTTCTGCTCTCTGTTTCTGAGTTTGACTTTTTCAGATTCCACATATAAGTGAAGTAATGTCGTATTTGTTTTTCTGTGTCTAGCTTATTTCTTTAGCATAATGTTTTTCAGGTTAATTCATGCTGTTACATATGGCAGGACTTCCTTCCTTTACGAGGCTCAATAATATTTCATTTTCTTTATCAATTCCTCTGTTGATAGACACTTAGCTTGATTCCATATCTTGGCTATGGTGAACAATGCTGCGATGAACACAGGAGTTCAGACATCTCTTTGAGATACTGATTTTATATCCTTTGGATGTATACCCAGAAGTGAGATTGCTGGATCATATGGTAGTTCTATTTTTAATTGTTTTAATGAACCTCCATACTATTTTCCATAATGGTAGTGCCAGTCTACATTCCCATGAACACTGTACAAGGGTTCCAATTTCTTCACATTCTTTCCAGCCCATGTAATCTTTTTACTTTTTGATAATAGCCATTTTAACAGGTGTCAGATGATATCTTATTATGGTTTTGATTTGCATTTCTGATGATTAGTGATGTCCAGAATGTTTTAATATACCTGTTGGCAATTTATATGTCTTCTTTGAAAAAAAAGTCTATTCATGTCCCTTGCCAATTTTTATTTTATTTATATATTTATTTATTTATTTATTTATTTATTTATTTATTTTTTGAGATGGAGTCTCACTCTGTCGCCCAGTCTGGAGTGCAGTGGCACGATCACGGCTCACCACAACCTCTGCCTGCCTGGTTCAAGCAATTCTCCTGCCTCAGCCTCCCGAGTAGCCAGGACTACAGGTGCGCACCACCATGCCCAGCTAATTTTTTGTATTTTTAGTAGAGACAGGGTTTCACTATGCTGGCCAGGCTGGTCTCAAACTCCTGACCTTGTGATCCACCCACCTTGGCCTCCCAAAGTGCTGGGATTACAGGCATGAGCCACTGTGCCCGGCCGTCCCTTGCCAATTTTTAAATAGGGTTATTTGGATTTTTGCTGTTGTTGTATGAGTTCCTTATATATTGTGGATATTGACTCCTTATCAGATACATGGTTTGCAAATATTTTCTCCCATTCTGTGGGTTGTGTTTTTTGTTCATCTATTGCTTCCTTTGCTATGTGGAAACATTTCTGTTTGGTATAGTCCCACTTGTTAATTTTTGCTTTTGTTTCCTAAGCTTTTGGTGTCATGTTTAAAACATTATTGCCAACACCAATGTCATGGAAGTTTTCCCCTATGTTTTCTTCTAGGAGTTTTACAGCTTCAGGTTTTACATTTAAGTCTTTAATCCACTGTTTTATATATATATATATATATATATATATATATATATATTTTTTTTTTTTTTTTTTCTGTGTAATTCTGTCTTCATTGAATGAATGTTCCCTTCTCTTCTATTTTTTGGAAGAGGTTGAGAAGTATTGATGCTAATTCTTCTTTAAAAGTTTGATAGAATTCACCAGTGATGTCACCTTGTTGTGAAATTTTCTTTCATGGAATTTATTATTAACATTATTACTGGTTCAATCTCTTAAGTTGGTGTAGGCTTATTCAGAATTTCTATTTCTTTCTGAGTAATTTTTACTCTTTTATGTGTTTCTAGAAATTTGTCTATTTCATCTAGGTTATCTATTTTGTTGACATACTATTGTTTATAGTTTATGCCTAAAACCTCAAAAGCACAGATAACAGAAACAAAAAATAGACAATTGTTACTCTCTGTTGTTGATTATCTGCCTCTTATAACTCTTTGTAGTTTTGTAAGATCTGTAGTAATACCCCCACGTTTCTTTCTAATTTTAGTAATTTGAGTCTTCTCTTTTTTTCTCGGTTAGTCTAGGTGTAGGTTTGTCAATCATGTCTTTGACAGAACACACTTTTGATATTCTTGATTCTCTCTACTGTTTCTCTTTTCACTATTTAATTTATCTCCACTCTAAGCTTCAATATTTTCTTCTTTCTATTTGCTTTTGGTTTAGTTTGCTCTTCTATCTCCACTTTCTTAAGGTGAAAGTTTAGGCTACTGATTGAGATATTTCTTCTTTTTTCAGTGTAGATGTTTATAGCTATAAATTTCCCTCTGAAAACTGCCTTTGCTTCATCCTGTAAGTTTGGGGTTTTTTTTTGGTGTTGTTGTTATTGTTGTTGTTGTTGTTTAGATAGGGAGGTTCTCACTCTGTTGCTCAGGCTGGAGTACATTGGTGCAATTATAGCTCACTGCAACCTCAAATTCCTGGGCTCAAGCAATCCTCCCCCTCAGCCTCCCAAGTAGCTTGGACTATAGGCGTAAGCCACCATGCTCAACTAATTTTTTAATTTTTTGTTAAAAATGAGGTCTTGCTATGTTGTCCAGGCTGGGTTTGAACTCCTAGGCTCCAGTGATCCTCCTGCCTCAGCCTCCCGAAGTGCTGGGAGTATAGGCATGGCCTACCATGCCCAGCTGTATGTTGTGTTTTGTAGTCATTTATCTCAAAGTATTTTCTAATTTCTCTTTTAATCTCTTTGACTCATTAAAGTGCGTTGTTTAATTTCCACATATTTGTGAATTTTCTAAATTTTATTTGCTTTTTATTTTTAATATCATTCCATTGTGTTTGGAGAACATACTTTCTATCTCAATCCTAAAAATTTATTGATATTTATATTATGGCCAATCATATAGTGTAGCCTGGAGAATGTTCCATGTGCACTTGAAAATAATGTGTATTTTGCTGCTGCTAGGTAAAAAGTGTCCTATAGCCGTCTATTAGGTCTAGTCAGTTTATACAGTGTTAAGTCTTCTATTTCCTTCATGCTCATATGTCTAGTTGTTCTACCCATTATTGAAAATGGGACATTAAAGTCTCCAACTATTATTGTAAAACTGTCTATTTCTCTTCTCAATTCTGTCATTTTTGCTTCGTGTGTTTTAGGGCACTCTTATTAGTTGCATATATATTTATAAATTGCTATGTCTTCTATATAGATTGACCCTTTTAGCATTATATACTGTCTTTCTTTGTTTCTAGTAACATTTTAAACATTTTTCTTTTCTTTTTTTTTTGTTGTTGTTGTTTTGAGATGAAGTCTCGCTCTTGTCCCCCAGGCTGGAGTGCAATGGTGTGATCTCTACTCACTGCAAGCTCCACCTCCCAGGTTCAAGCCATTCTCCTGCCTTAGCCTCCCGAGTAGCTGGGATTATAGGCGCCTGCCACCACACCCGGCTAATTTTTGTATTTTTGGTAGAGACGGGGTTTCACCATGTTGGCCAGGCTGGTCTTGAACTCCTGACCTCAGGTAATCCACCCGCCTCAGCCTCCTAAAATGCTGGGATTACAGGCGTGAGCCACTGCGCCAGGCCTCTTTGTTTTATAGAGATAGGGTCTCACTATGTTGTCTCAAACTCCTGGGCTCAAGCAATCCTCCCACCTCAGCCTCCCAAAGTACCAGGATTATAGGCATGAGCCACCATGCCTGGCCTATGTTTCTAGTAACATTTTTTGTCTTAAAGTTTGTCTGATATTATTGTAGCCACTTAAGCTCTTTCTTGGTTATTGTTGTATGGGGTATCTTTTTTCATCATTTTGCTTTCAACCTATTTGTATCTTTGTATCTGAACTGTCTCTTGTAGACAGAGACATATAGTTATATTATGTTCTTTTAAAATCTGCCAAATTCTGCTTTTTAATTGGATACTTTAATCCATCTACTTTTAAAGTAATTACTGATAATGAAGATTTACTTCTATAATTTTGTCATTTGTTTTCTATGTCGTATTTTTTCTGCCTTAATTTCTTCATTACTGCCTTCTTTTATGTTGAGTCGATATTTTAGTGTACCCACTTTAATTCCCTTGTCATTTTTTTTCACTGTATGGTTTGAGTTGTTTTCTTAGTGGTTTTCCTGGGAATTACAATTAGTATCTTAACTATAAAAATCTAGTTTCAATTTTTGTCAACAATTTCAATAATATACAAAAACTTTGCTCCTATATAGTTTTATCTTCCTCTTTATGTTGTTATTGTCACAAATTACATCTTTATACATTGAGTCCATCAATATAGATTTATAATTATCATTTTACACAACTGTCTTTTAAATTAGACAGGAAAAATACCATTAACACTGACTTTTATATTAATCTGTGTAGTTACCTTTACCAGTGTTCTTTATTTCTTTGTGTGGATTCAAGTTACTCTCTAGTGTCCTTTTATTTCACACTGAAGGACTCCCTTTGGTATTTCTTCTAGGGCACATCTACTAGTGACAAATTTTGTCATTTTTTTTTGGTTTTATCTGGGAATGTGTTAATTTCTCCTTCAATTTTCAAAAGTAGTTTTGCTGGATGAGCATAGTTGGTTGACAATTGTTATTTCTTTCAGCACTTCAAAATAGCATCCCACTGTTTCTGGCCTCCATAGTTTCAGATGAGAATTTAACTATTAAGCATATTCAGGATCCCCTGTACATGATCAGTTGCTTTACTCTTGCTGCTTTCAAGATTTTTCTCTTAGTCTTTGGCTTTTGACAATTTCATAATGTGTCTTGGTGTGGATCTCTTTGAGTTTATTGTACTTGGACTCCATTTAGGTTTTTGGCTCAGTAGATTAAACTTTTTAAAAATCAAAAATTAATTCAAGATGGATTAAAGACTTAAACGTTAGACCTAAAACCATAAAAACCCTAGAAGAAAACCTAGGCATAACCATTCAGGACATAGGCATGGGCAAGGACTTCATGTCTAAAATACCAAAAGCAATGGCAACAAAAGCCAAAATTGACAAATGGGATCTAATTAAACTAAAGAGCTTCTGCACAGCAAAAGAAACTACCATCAGAGTGAACAGGCAACCTACAAAATGGGAGAAAATTTTCGCAACCTACTCATCTGACAAAGGGCTAATATCCAGAATCTACAATGAACTCAAACACATTTACAAGAAAAAAAACAAACAACCCCATCAAAAAGTGGGCAATGGATATGAACAGACACTTCTCAAAAGAAGATATTTATGAAGCCAAAAGACACATGAAAAAATGCTCATCATCACTGGCCATCAGAGAAATGCAAATCAAAACCACAATGAGATACCATCTCACACCAGTTAGAATGGCAATCATTAAAAAGTCAGGAAACAACAGGTGCTGGAGAGGATGTGGAGAAATAGGAACACTTTTACACTGTTGGTGGGACTGTAAACCAGTTCAACCCTTGTGGAAGTCAGTGTGGCGATTCCTCAGGGATCTAGAAGTAGAAATACCATTTGACCCAGCCATCCCATTACTGGGTATATACCCAAAGGACTATAAATCATGCTGCTATAAACACACATGCACACGTATGTTTATTGCGGCACTATTCACAATAGCAAAGACTTGGAACCAACCCAAATGTCCAACAATGATAGACTGGATTAAGAAAATGTGGCACATATACACCATGGAATACTATGCAGCCATAAAAAATGATGAGTTCATGTCCTTTGTAGGGACATGGATGAAATTGGAAATCATCATTCTCAGTAAACTATCGCAAGGACAAAAAACCAAACACCGCATGTTCTCACTCATAGATGGGAATTGAACAATGAGAACACATGGACACAGGAAGGGGAACATCACACTCTGGTCTGGGGACTGTTGTGGGGTGGGGGGAGGGGGGAGGGATAGCATTAGGAGATATACCTAATGCTAAATGATGAGTTAATGGGTGCAGCACAGCAGCAAGGCACATGTATACATATGTAACTAACCTGCACATTGTGCCCATGTACCCTAAAACTTAAAGTATAATAATAATAAAAAGAAATCATTACCATTATTCATGAAATTAAAAAAAAATCAAATTTGGGAAGTTTATGGCCATTATTTCTTCAAATATTCTTTCTGTTCCTTTCTTTCTCTCTTTCTGGGACTCTCATTATGCATATTTGGTATCATGGGCAGTGTCCCACAAATCTCTTAGGCTCTTTCCATTTGATTTTTCCTCATTTTTTTTTTCTTTTGGTTCCTCAGACTGGAAAATCTCAATTGATCTATCTTCAAGTTTACTATATGGTTTTGAGTTGTTTTCTTAGTAGATCTTAGAATTCTTAGTAGATTTCTTAGAATCTTCAAGTAGATTCTTTCATGTGCCAGGTTAAATCTGCTAGTGAGTGCCTCTACTTGAATTTTTCATTTTATTTATTATACTTTTTAACTCCAGAATCTCTGTTTTTTCTTTGTAATCTATGTCTCTTGACTGATAGTCTTTATACAGTTCTCATGGTTTTCTTAAGATTTCTGGACAAAGTTTCTTTTAGCTCTATTAGCATATTTAAAATAGCTGACTTAAAGTTTTTGTCTAGTAAGAACAATGTTTCACCTTCCTCAGGGACAGTTTCCATTAATTGCCTTCCCCCTCCCCCATGTATTGGCCATATTTTCTTGTTTCTTTGTATGCTTCATAATATTTTTGTTGAAAACTGGACATTTTGAAAATTATGTGGCAACTATGGAAATTAGATTCTGCTCCTTCCCAGGAAATGTTGTTACTGCTTATTGTGATAGTTGTTTGTTAGGGACTTTCCTGGATCAATTTTGTAAAGTCTGTATTTTTTGTTGTGTATGGCCAGTGAAGTCTGTGTAGTGATATCCCCTCTTGTATCCTTGATATTGGTAATTTGTGTTTTATTTTCTGTTGATCAATATTGCTAGGGCTTTATTAATTGTGTTAATCTTTACAGAGAACCAAATTTTGTAGTATTGTTTCTGTTGTAGCCCACTGATTTCCCTTCTTAGCTTTATTGGTTTTTTCCTTCTACTTATTTTGAATTTATTTGGCCCCTCTTTTTCTAGTTTTTTTAAAGTGGAAGTTTAGATTATGGATTTTAAACTTCTCTTTCTAATATAAGTCTTTGAAGCCTTAAAGTTCCCTTTAAGTATTTTCTTAGCTTCATCCTGCAAAGGTTTACATGATGGTATATTCATTATAACACAGTTTGAAGTATTTTCTAACTTCCTTTTTTTGATATATCACCTAAATGCCCTAGACTTGAGTATGTTTTTAAACTTCCAAATATTTGAGCATTTTTTTCTATTTTTTAGAATTATATTTTATGCAACCTATTACATATTCTTTTTTTTACAGCTGTATTGAAGTACAATTGACAATTAAAAATTGAATATATTTACTATATACAATGTGATGTTTTGGGATATGTGCACACTGTGAAATGATGACTACAAGCCATGGAATTAACCTATTCATCACCTTGCATAATTTCTTTCATTTATTTGTGGTGAAAACATTTAAGATACACTTTCTTAACAAATGTCAAGTATACAACACAGTATTGTTAACTATAGTCACCATGCTGTATTCATCTCAATAACTTATTGATCTTATAACTGAAAGTTTGTACCCTTTGACCAAGATCTACCCATTTTCCCCTCCTATAGCCCCTGGTAACCATCATTCTGATTCTACTTTTTTTTTTCTCATGAGTTCAACCTTTTTCGATTTTGCATACAAATGAGATCATGCAATATTTGTCTTCGTCTTATTTCATTTAGCATAATGACCTCAACTTTTTTTTTTCTGGTTGGTCATTTTATTTTACTTATTTTTTATTATACTTTAAGTTCTAGGGTACATGTGCACAATGTGCAGGTTTGTTGCATATGTATACACATGCCATGTTGGTGTGCTGCACCCATTAACTTGTCATTTACATTAGGTATATCTCCTAATGCTATCCCTCCCCTCTGCCCCCACCCCATGACAGGCCCTGGTGTGTGATGTTCCCCACTCTGTGTCCAAGTGTTCTCATTATTCAATTCCCACCTATGAGTGAGAACATGCAGTGTTTCGTTTTCTGTCCTTGTGATAGTTTGCTCAGGATGATGGTTTCCAGCCTCATCCATGTCCCTACAACGGACAAGAACTCATCCTTTTTTATGGCTGCATAGTATTCCATGGTGTATATGTGCCACATTTTCTTAATCCAGGCTATCATTGATGGACATTTGGGTTGGTTCCAAGTCTTTGCTATTGTGAATAGTGCCACAGTAAACATACGTGTGCATGTGAATGACCTCAAGTTTTTAAATTTGATTCCATTGTGGTTAAATAATACAGTTAAAATTTTTGAAATTTATTGACATTCTATGGTCCAGTACACAGCCTATCTTGATGAACATATTATACATGCATTTGAGAATGATACGTATTCCTTATGTATTGTTCTAAAATTATCAATTAAGTCAACTTGGTTGATAATATTTTTAAAATATTCTATGCCCTTACAAATTTTTTCTCTAGTGTTTTTATCAGTTATGCCGTAGCAATATTAAAATATCCAACTATAACTGTGCATTTGTCTATTTCTTCTATTAATTTCATCAGTTTTTGCTGAAATAGTCTTATTAGCTAAACAAACAGATATGATTGTTATAGCTTCCTGATATATTAATCATTTAATAATATGAAGTGTTCCTCTTAATTTCAGGCAATACTCCCTGTCTTGAAGTTTATTTTGTCTAATAATGAAATAGACACACAAGCTTGCTTATGCTTATTGTTTGCAGCATATAACTTTTTCTATACTTTTATTTTCAACCTGTTTGTTGTTGTATCAAAACACATTGCTTGTTGTAGCATAGAGTAAGATCATTTTTAAAGCCTGTCTATAAATCCCTGTCTTTTAATTAGAGAGATTAGTCTAACTCCATGTAAAATAATTATTGACATGTTTGGATTTAAGTCTGCCACTTTGCTTTTCAATTTATATTCTATTGGTTCCATTTGATATTTTGTTCTTCTGCTCCTCTTTTCTTGTCTTCTTTTGGTTTAGTTAATTATTGTTATTATTATGTTTTAGAGACATAGAATACATTCACTCTGTTGCCCAGGCTGGAATGCAGTGGTGCAATTATAGCTCACTGCAGCCTTGGACTCCTGGGTTCAAGTGATCCTCCTGACTCAACCTCCTGAATAGCTGGGAGTAGTTGTGCACCACCATGCCTGGATAATTTTTCTCTTTTTTTTGTAAAGACTGGGTCTTGCTATGTTGCCCAGGCTGGTCTTGAACTCCAGGCTTCATGTGATCCTCCTGCCTCGGCTTCCCAAAGTGTTGGGATTATGAGTGGGGCACCATACCCAGCCTAATTAATTTTTTTTTTTTTTTGAGATGGAGTTTTGCTCTTGCTGCCCAGGCTGAAGTGCAATGCTGTGATCTTGGCTCACTGCAACCTCTGCCTCCCAGGTTCAAGTGATTCTCCTGCCTCAGCCTCCTGTGTAGCTGGGATTACAGGCGCCTGCCACCACGCCCAGCTAATTTTTTGTGTTTTTAGTAGAGATGAGGTTTCACCATGTTGGCCAGGCTGGTCTCAAACTCCTGACCTCAGGTGATCCACTAGCCTCGGCCTCCCAAAGTGCTGGGATTACAGGCGCGAGCCACCGTGCCCAGCCCAGCCTAATTAATTTTTTAAAGTATTTCATTTAAATTTCTCTAATGACTTTTAAATTTGTCTTCTTTGTATTATTTGCTAGTGTTTGCTCTAGGGATTTTGATATGCATTCTTAAGATTTTACAGTTTACTTAGAGAGTTAATATTGTAAAACAAGGATATCTACCTTTATTTTTTAAAAATTTGATTATGAGGTGCCTGTTTTTGTCATTGCTGTTGTTTGTTTTATGTATTTACAGTGGAGTTTGTGTAATTCTTAGAACTGTACATTGATGCATTTCACCAAATTTGAGAATTTTTCTGCCATTATATCTTCAAATGCTTTTGTGCTTCATTGTCTCTCGCCTCTCCTTCTAGGAATCCAAATGCATGTATGTCAGATGCGCAGTCTTATTTGCATGAGGTATAGATTGGGGTAGGCAAATTATTGCCTGCAGGCCAAATCTGGCTTGTTTTTGTAGGGCCCTCAAGCTAAGAATGGTTTTTACATTTTTAAAAGATCATAAAACACAACAAAAAGGAAAACAAAAAAGAATGTACAGTAGAGAATTTATGTGGCCTCCAAAACGTAAAATATTTATTATCTGACCCTTTACACAAAAACTTTGCTGTCTCCTCTGTTAGAGAATGGTGTTTGGGGCTGCTATAGTGACTGCAATTTGGAGGGGGAAATCCTAGAAAAGAGGGAGCCATAGATGGAGGGAGCTTGCAAATCTGCTTGCAAACTCCCCTCTACCCCCGTGATGCTCAGACTAGGTATTGGTGTCAGGGAAAAAGGTGTATAAATGTGATCCTCAACCAGCATGATTTCCTTCTTTCAAGGATCAAGGCACTTTCTATTTTCTGATAGTATTTGTTATCTCTCCAGTTCTTTCAAGTAGCAGTTATGTTTATATTTTTCCCAGAGTTTATAATTGTTATCTGTGGGAGTTTTGAGATACAAGCCACTGTTCTATTCCAGAACTTGCCAGACTCATTTTTAATTAAATAGACTATAAATTAGTTTAAAGGGAGTGATAAAATGGGGAAATCAATTAATGCTTTATACTCAGTTTATTCACCCAGGTGTTTTAGTATAGAGTTTGGGGCTACATTTTGTCACCTCATGCAAGGAAACATCTTTTAATTTGCACCTGTATCTATGGAAGAAAACTGCCAAAATCATTAGGATAAGGCTATGCCCCAAATATTCATATTTTAAAACTCTGCCTCAAAATTACAGAATCAGAAAGCTGGTATAGACCTCGGAGGATACACTCAATATAGAAATCCTCTTTACAGCATCTCTGATGGGTGGGCTTTCAGACTCTGATTAAATTCTAGGAATTAAAAGCGTCACAGTTTTTATATTTTCTATAATATATCAATGCCTTTTGATTCAAAATGTTTCTTCCACATCATAAGGTGGCTGATGTAATTAGACTCAAGATTTAGGAACTGCTGAGCTATGGATCAAAGCCAGTTTTCTTCCATCTCTACTGAAATGGGTTTAGTTTTTGCCCTTGGACTATGGAGGCAGCTCTGGCTCAGAAGTGAACATCCCCTTTTTAAAAGAAATGTGAATGGTACCCAGGAATTCATGGCCATGTTTGAGGGCTGTTCTAAGTTCTGAGCTAAATCCCTCCAGGCAATCACTGCACTGAGGAAGCAGCTCACACTGGATGCCCAGAGAAGGCAACAGATGCACTATTTTTCTGACGTACTGTTCTCCAGTTTAATATTGGGCTGGAGTACCTGTGACATGTGGGAAACCATAGATATCCACTTACAAAAACATTCTCCAGTAAACATATTCATTTATGTGTGGCAAATGCAGTTTTCAAAGATATTTGCAAGATGGCTGTGATCTTCCTTTTCAGTCAACTGAATTTTAAGATTCAAATTAAAATAAATATTTTCAGCATGAATTAGCCCCTTCAATGGAAATCTTTTAACCACTTGACAAGATGCGGAGCTATGTACTTTAGTTATCCTGTATTTCTGTCTACCTACTGGTATCCATGTACTTTAATGGGTAAACTGGCCATCAAGTAATAATTTGTGGCCCTCATTTCATGTGCAGGCTCATGCTGTTGCTCTAGTATTATAATTTTACAGATAAATAAAGACCATATCTTAATATTTGTTCTCTAATTTCATTGCAAGTTACAGGGAAGTCGTTAGTCATATGAAGATTTACAACTTGAAAATATAGTTTCCAGCTAAGGCAATTTATCACCCACAAGAATTCTGGGGAAGAATACTATTTTCATCTGTGTTAATTACTGTGCTATCTTACTTTCATTTCCATTTATGTGCTTAAAAGATTTGCTTGCCCACAATCTCATTCTATTTTCTGTATCTACAAATAAGATATCTCAGGGATGTTCAGGCCCTATATTCCTCAAGTGAGAAATTCAAAGATAAAAGAGAGTTTTTGGTTAAAAATAAAATACTTAATCCACATTTTGGGGCTGAGAGAGACAGAAATCAATCATAGATCTTAGATTTAGAATACCCTAAATCTACCACATCTAGGTTATAAGCCAGAGAAACTTAAACTTCATAAGATTCTCTTCTTTCCAAAAAGTGAGAGGGAGAGATGGGGGAGGGGAGTGTGGAGAAGAGCGAGAGAGGGAGAGACAGACAGAGAGAGAGAGAGGTTTTTGTGTCTTGCTAAATAGCATATTTAAGACATAAATGCTAAAACCATAGAAGTCTCTTGAAAATTCTTTTTCTAAAATAGAATGTGGGAAGAAATCATGTTTCTTTGAACCTTTGCCAATAAAAGGGTGTGTGTGTGTTTGTGTGTGTGTGTATGTGTTTCTGTGTGTCTGTGTGTGTTGTGTGTGTGCACACAAGCATAGGTCAGGGCCAGACCAACTGGACATTTGTCCCATTTCTCTCATCAGTGTTGTCTGTAAAACTCATACAGTGTTCTACAAATGAAAGAAAAAAAATTAATGCTCCTATTATTACGACATTCAAACCACTCCTCCTAGTGCTACATTAACAAGTCTTTGCACGTCAAGGAGTAGGGCCGGTGGTGGTGGTGGTGGGGAAAAATCAGGTTCCTGATCCCTATGGCCACTACCAATAGAAATAAGATTATTTTTAGCAATTATCAAAATACAGTAACAGCATCTTTTAAAATTTGTTCTCAATGCTCAATTTCACAGTGACTTGGCTTCACTGTTCGAACTTTATAAGATTTATTCCCACCATTTGCTTTGTATATGAAGTTCAGGAAGCAGCAGTAGAGACAGTTTTTTTTGAGGTTCAGTGGGACTGGTTCCCCCGGCTGTGATATTATTGCAGATGCTCTGCTAGTCACACACACTGACATCTCCTCCAGCACACGTCCACACTCCAGGAAGCGAAAAGGGAAGCTTTGTGTCTTAAGGATGGTGTAGTTTTCTGTCAAGCTTCTCTAACTTTATAGAAATAGCTGCTTCTTAAGCAGCCCCTGTAAGATCTGAGGCCTAGAGATCAACCTAGGGGCTAGTTATTGGTTGCATACATACTGATTCAAAGTTGTGCTAATTCTCAAAGGAATCTTTATAGAGAATTGCCAAGAACTGTCAAAACTCCATTAAATATGTTATTAATGCTAACTAAACTCTCTATGCTTACAGGAGATGCCCCAAAGACATTAGTCACCCAGTAAGTCACTGGTTATTGAACATTAGCCAAATGGCCTAGTCTATAATCATTATGTTGGGCATAAGCTGAGTGCTTTAGTCTCCTTAAGGAAATATTTCTCTTCTTCCCCAACCACGGGCAGACCCAGATCATACTTGCATTGCAAGGAGTAAGAGGGACTAGACATCTATTTACTCCTTAGTTGAAAAGACCAAGGGGCTTCTTTGCTTGAAGTCCAAAATATTTAGCTGTGATGAAACCTTACTTAATAAAATGAATGTTGATTTATGCCATTTTCATGATAGCCTCCAGCTGACATGTACCATTCATAGATTGGCATTTAAAATAGATGAAGATGGACAATAAGTAGACTTTAATATTATTTCTTCAAGGGCGTGGATAAAACTAAATATTTTGGAGGCCTTTATGCACACACAATTGAGTGGTTCTTACAGCATTATTAACATATGAAGCTCTTAGTGCCGGTTTTCTCTCCCAAATGTGTGCTGCATTTCACCACAGGCACTGAAAAATCTGTTACGTTTTATAGGCCGGGCAGACATTGGAACTGCAGTAATACATTTTTTTCTATTTAGGTTGCATTTGTGTGTCACTCATCTATAATAAGAATCTACCCATTAGTATCTGTTTTCATTGCCAGTAGATTTCTTTCTTTGTCTGCTCCCCAAGGTGGTTAATAAAATGATTTTTACAGTGAAACAATGCTAGATTTAAAAAAGTGTAACTTAGTGATCGGATATGAAAAGAAAATTCACTCTCTACCCCCATTTTAAAGAGGATTTAGTTAATACTTTTAAGACATCTGAGTAATTTAATTTATATAACGTTCACTCAGATAGCCCATGTCTCAGAAATCATCCCAAGAAAATAATAATGGTTGTGCACAGTATGCATCCACAAAGTGCTCATCTCACTGCTGTTTTCAATATCACAGTACTGAAAACAACCTAAATGCCTCACAATAAGACATTGTGTCAAAAAAAATAAGGGTGCAAACGTACCACAGAATACTATTATGAAAACAGTACAAAAGAAACCAGAGAAATACATTTTCTGACCAGGAAAGAAGCTTAAAATTGGTACACTCATATGTTTTCAACATGAGTGTGTATGTGTGTTTGTGTGTGTGTGCGCACACACACACATTTACCCGTGTAACACACAACTTATATAAATTCACTATTGGCTTCCTCTGAGTGGAAGGATTTTGAGTGATGAGTGATTTCTGTTTTCCTTCTCCCACCCACCTCCTCAAACAACAACTATTTACTTAGCTAAAAAATATGTAGGTCAACAATTTCGGCTGTGTTCAGCTGGGTGTTGCTGCAGATCTGTGTCAGGCTTGGGATTTTTGCTATGACTCTTGCCTGTATCTATGATTAGCTGCTGGTTGACTGGTGGCTGGTTAGCTGTTTGCAGAGATGTGGTCTTGCATCTTCCAGTAGACTGCCTTGGGCTCATTCACACCATGGTGATGTTCCAGGCCCAGCACGCCAGTAAGCCTCAACGCACAAATGCTTTCCAATCTGCCTTTTCTTCTATTAAAAAAAAATTTTAATTTTGGTTTAAAAAATAAAACGTAAAATAAATTTTACCACCCTATTCATTTTAAGTGTCCAGTTCAGTAGTATCAACTGTATTGACATTGCTGTGTAACAAATCTCTAGAACTATGTCATCTTGCAGAACTGAAACTCTATACCCATTGAACAACATCTCCCTTTTTCCCTCCCCCAAATCCCTGACAACCATCACTCTACTATCTGTTTCTATGAATTCAACTAATCTAGATACCTCATATAAGTGGAATCATAAAGTAATTGTCTTTTTGTTATTGGCTTGTTTCACTTAGTGTAATGTCTTCAAAGTTATTCCATGTGGCATATGATAGAATTTCCTTCATTTTAAAGGCTGAATAATATTCCATTGCATGTATATATCACATTTTTTTAATCTATTCATCCATTTATGGACATTTGGGTTGCTTTCATCTCTTGACTATTGTGAATAAAGATGTAATGAACATGGGTGTGCAAATATCTTTGAGATCCTGCTTTCAATGCTTTTGGATATATACCCAGAGGTAGGATTGCTTTATTACATGGTATTTTTATTATTAAATTTTTGAGGAACCTCTATACTGTTTTCTATAGTGGCTGCACCATTTTACACTCCCACCAACAATGCACAAGGGTTCCAATTTATCCATATTCTTGTCAACACTTGTTATTTTCTGTTTTTTGGATGAGAAATTAGTGGCCCATTAGTGGCTATCCTACTGGGTGTGAGGTGATATCTCATTGCAGTTTTGATTTTCATTTCTAAGTATTAGTGATGCTGAGCATCTTTTCATATGCTTTTGGCCATTTGTATATCTTCTGTGGAGAAGTGTCTATTCAAGTTATTTGGCTCTGTGTGTGTGTGTGTGTGTGTGTGTGTGTGTGTGTATGTTTGTTATATATAATTTTCTGTAATGAGCACTTATTTTTGTATTGAAGAAATTATTAGAAACAATAATAATAAAAAAATCAATGTATCAAGCAAGTTGTTGCAGTAGGTAAATGGGCCAATCTTGAGTGGTTAGTTGGGATAACTTAGGGGTGGGGCCACTGTCTTTACTTAGAATTAAACAATTCAAGAACACTTAAGGCAACACATACAAAGGCAATTTCATTCTAAACCAAGTCCCCTCTACCTTTTGCGGATCAATTAGCTCAAGTGACATAAAACAGGGCAGGCAGGGGATTAAGTAAATGAAGATGAGCTGGCAATGCAGCCATGAAGCAGCAACAGTCCGTGCCCTAAATCCATGTGAAATACCTGGTGATCTTGTATACAAAGTCTTGGTCTGGATACTGCAAATGATTGTTCTCTTGGGGATTTTGATATTTAGGAGAAAACTTTATTATGTAGTCAAGGGTTATAGCTTTTATCTGACCAATTCAGAAGAGGTAACTAGCTAAATCACCAATAATTTTGTAATCTGGGTTTCAAGAAATGCTCTGCAAGCATTTTAGGGTGCAACTTTGTATAAAATAAAGATAAGCAAAGAAAAGCTCATAACAAGCTTTGAACTTTAAAAATTCTATCAAAACTTTAAAGCTCCAGACTTAAATGGTGAATGAAGTGAATTTCCCAAAGGTCTGGACTGGTGACTACTAGCAAACCTGCTGAATGAAATAATTACCTTGAAAGAAAATAATGAGGGATAATGGCATTCAAACCTGTTAACTGGGAATGTAAGCTCTGTGATTTTCTTGGTGGACAGGCTAATACGATAACAGAGTGATCTGAGCAGGTGTGAACACATTCATTCTGCAGAAGCAAATACAAACTGAACATGCAAGGTAATTATGGAGAAGAGATACTGGATTCAATGAGCAAACCATATGTAAAAATAGCTCTATTCCTGCCTTTGAATTCTTTCTTTATTGGAGTCCTAGACAGCATGCATGTCAAAGTCCCGTACTTGGTCTTATTACACCACAAATCTCTTCCAGTAATGTCCTGCCCCTCACCCTCAGTATCATCTCATTTTCTGTACCTCTTTCTTTCTTTGTGTTAAGGTTCCATTTCTCTCTTCCTTCACATTCTAATACCTAACTGAAACTGCATATTGGACCACATTACGTTCTCTCACTGTCCACCTCCTCTGCATTTCACTATTTCTTTCTCTTTTATTCAACCTGATAAGCAGCACTTTATGACAGCTTATTATCTTACAGCTGTTAATGTTCTATATCATTTTCAATCATTCCCCATAGTTTTGACTACATCGTGTCTCAGCTCCTGTGTTTTGGTTCAGCAACAGTGGTTTGGTATTATAGTGTCCATCTACCTACAACATTAATATTACCCACCTTCTCTTCCTCCTGACTTATTTCCTCTAGGACAAGTCCATCTAATTATCCAGTCTTCTCTCTTGCTTTCTGTGCCACAATGCTCTCTACTTCCTAAGATCAGTGTCCTATTTCCTTTCTTGACAGATTAGCTTGTTTTTTTTCTAGCCACAGAGCCTTACACTACATTTATTATATGGTTCATCCTCGTCTTCACTCAGCCTCCCACCTCTAGTCGCTGGTTATGGATCACAGTATTCTATTAGCTTCTGATCATTTTTTAACCTTCTTCTTCCCCTCCTCTAGCATATATAAGGTGATACACCCCTGAAAGATATTTTCTTTCTATTATTCCAAAGTAAGAATGAACAAACATGAAATAATTTATCATTCTATAACCGTCCTCCACCCCCTCCCTTCCAAATTCAGGTCTCCTTTTTCTCTGGTGAGTTCAAACTGTCATATGTTTATTTAGCACATTTTCACATTCAAAGCATTTAAGGAGCTAATTAATCCTTAGAGTACCCTTCTGCAATGCACCTAGGCTATAGAGGCAGTTGACATTAAGGTGGGAGCAAAGCTCAAGAATTTCTGTTTTCCAAATCACTGTTCAGACTACATTTTCTTTCACTCTGTCTCTCTGTGATTGAAATAAGTACCATCATGAATAAATTATGTTGATTAATTTATAAGGAAGCTGCTAGAAAATGGGTGACTTTCCTGGTACTCCCAATTTTTCTATCAGATCCATGTTAGTCTTCTATGAGCAGCTTTGAGGCAGCTGGGAATCAAACCACAGAACAAGATGAAAACATACCATGTTTTTCTTTCTTTTTCATCCAGAAAGACAGAATTATTCACCTATATCTGTAATTACTTCAAGTCATTTCCAAGAATACAGCAAGAAGATCATGTATGTGGATGTGCGTACAAGTGTTGACAAAACGTGGATGATGAGGGGAAGAGGACTACGTTGTAGTATAGTTTTATGTTGGTCTGGTAGATCACATTATTACAGACACAATGAGTGAGAGGAAAGAGCTCCCTTATCCCCTTACCAGGATCTCTTTGCTTTTTTCATAAAAGAAAAAGAAAATACACTCTTTCAGCCCTATGGCTTATATGCTATATGAGGCCATTTGGGATTTATAGTTTGGCTATTAAGGAGGGAAACGAGTTATTGAGTGCCAAATCACTGTTTTATCTGGCTGTTATTATTATGTTACCAAGCAGTAAGGAAGGGCTTTTGTATAATGAGAAAAAATTACTAGCAATTAAATGATGTTCTTTGTTCTTTTTTTCAGTTCAAATGCAATAGGTAATTGTTTAACTGTTACATCCAAATTGTGGAGGCCATTGGTGATCATTAATAAATAAACTGTATGTGCAATTGCATACTGAAGAAGCCAGCTCAGTCAACACTTTTTTGATCAGATAAAAAATACAGCAAACAATCTTAAACATATTGGGCTCAATTACTATTGCCTTGCCCTGCTGTAGACATTGCTCTTCAACCCCTTGGGTAGAATACAGTCATAGTTGAAAGAAAAGTCAGATTAACTGAAACTTTTCCTGTTCATGAACATTATTCATAGAAGAATAGACCATTTCCTTTTGAGAGGTGAAGGGCTTTTGTGGTGCTTATTGAAAGATGCAGGGAGTTTGCCATAGCTATATTGGTGCAATTTTTTTTCAACTAATAGGTCAAATAGTCATCTTAGTCAGTTATACTTCACATGGGTTATCTCATTTGATATTCATTTATCTCCATTTGCAGATGAGGTAACTAAGCTTGGGGGATTAAGTGACTTGGAAAAATTTATATATCTAGGAAATGGTGGAGCTGGGAAGTAACTTCAGAAAGATCGCTCCTGACTATTATATTGTATCACCTCATCCCAGGCTCAGGCATGGGAGAAGGCCCAGAGTTGTGTTTTAAAACTGTAATTGCTAATAAAACTTTCTTTGAAGAATGCAATTGAATGGTTTTCCTTTTATGACATATAAAAATGTCCCCAAGTAAAACAAACACACAAAACAAACAAAAAATATAAAGTACCACCCTTTAAAATTGCCATAAATTCTCATCTATTCATCTCTTTCCCAAGGCTCAAATCTTCACATCTACCTGGCAATGATGATTAGAAAACACATGCACTGTAAAAAATGCTATTCCATTAAAATATTACCTGGTTAACAGAATGCTATTTGTAAAGTCAACAAGATAGTAACAATTCATTTGTGATTTGCTATCCACCTAGATGGAGTGAGCATGTTCTTCAGACCTGAGCTATAGAAATCTCACTTTCTCTAATAATAACAATGCAAAAACCAAACCAAATCAATGTATTGCAATTATAATATGAAGGTAGCCATGACAGCTTTCACTGAATTTCACGCTTCAGATTCATGGCAATTCAACATCACTAAAACCAAGCAAGAATTTCTGTTCATTAAAAGCCATAAAGAAAATAAATGACAAACTATAATTTGGAAAAAGATATTTGCAACACATATGACGAACAGAGGATTAGTATCCAGGCTTTACATGTATACACAGACACACACATACACACACACACACACACACACACACATATTTTTATGTATCCTTTAAATCAATAAGAAAAAGAGATAAACTCATAGTAAAATGAGCAAAACACATACAGTTGGAGACATGGACAAGAATGTTTATAGAATTGCTGTTCCTAAACTTCTTTTTGTTATAAATTACCCAGCCTCAGTATTCCTTTACGGCAACACAAGATGGACGAAGACAGTACCCAAATATCAGCCCTGAACTGGTACAAACCAAAGTTGTATTAATAGTGGAATGGATTGATAGATTGTGTTATATCCTCAATACTACATAGCAGTGAAAGTTAGCAAAGTACATCTTCACACCACCAGTCAGATGATTCTCAAGACGTTGCATGAAAAAAGCAAGTGGAAAAATAACATGTTCTTGTTTTTTAAAAACTATGCTCCAAATCATACAAAACTAAACAAAATGTTATATGGAGCTATAAATTTATGTGACAAAACTATGAAGAAATGCAAGAGAATGCTAAACACATGATTCAAAATAGTGATTACCTCTCAGGAGGATAGACAGGCATAGGATCAAAGAAGGGTACTCAGGAGACATTGAAGTTGACAGTCATTTGTTATATTTAAAATTAGTTGGTAGTAGAGACACATGTTCATTGTATCATTATTCTTTATAAATGTATTAACATTTCATGAATATTATTTTGTACCTCAATATTGAGTATATATATTTTATTTATTTATTTATTTATTTTCGAGACAGAGTCTTGCACTGTTGTCTGGGCTGGAGTGCAATGGCGCGATCTTGGCTCACTGCAACCTCCGCCTCCCAGGTTCAAGTGATTCTCCTGCCTCAGCCTCCTGAGTAGCTAGGATTATAGGCACCTGCCACCACGCCCGGCTAACTTTTTGTATTTTTTAGTAGAGACAGGGTTTCACTATGTTGGCCAGGCTGGTCTCGAACTCCTGACCTCGTGATCCACCTGCCTCAGCCTCCCAAAGTGTTGGGATTACGGGCGTGAGCCACCACGCCCGGCTGAGTATATATATTTTAAAGATGTGATGTAACATTGGTTAAGATAGAGAGATCTAACCCAAACTCTGTGGGCCAACATATTTTGAAAAGGAATTTGTGATGCTGATCTATTCCTTCATGTCAGAGTGCTTCCTTATCCTACAATGCAACCATCTAGCCATAATATTCAAAGATGGGGAATACATCACCCCTCTTGACTGGATCTTCTATCCAAGGGAAAAACCAGAGCCTTAGACAAGCATATGTAGAGAGCTAAGTGTGTATTGTGAAAAGTGGGACAAATATTAAATTGGGTTTATTCAGACCTATGGAGTGTCCATTGTAGGCCTCTTAATTGCATTTCCAGACTGAATTCACAGCATGTATTCCTTCACCTATTCCACCCCAACTTTTTTTCTCAACTTCAGGCCCACACTGTTTCATCAACGTATTCTTTTATTTACAATTTGTTTTCAACAGATTGAGGGGGAATGGACACGAAACCAACAAGCAGGCACCAATCTCAACAGTTAATGAGGCAGGGAGGCATAACAAATCCCAAAAATTATTTCTGAATTGCAAATTTGCCATGAAAGCTGAAAAAATGACTGGCTTCCTCTGATAGACTTGCATTGCCATAAATGATAAATGAAGCACAGATTTCATTATTCATTTTTTAAAGTGAAATTAGCTTACACTACTACATAACATTTATTTAACCCCTTTTAAAATGCATTCATTTAATAGCCCCAGAAATCATCAATAAAGAGGAAGGTTACTACTACCTAGCCTATCTTGGAGCAATTTAAACTCCTGTAGGCAAACTTCCTCATTATCACACAGCCATAACGTGACCTTGGGGGGATAGGTGAGGATGTCACTCTGTATTTCTGTACTTGGACTTCACCATTTACCTAAGACAAATTTTTAGATTTTTTGTCCAAAATGTTTCTTACCTCAACATGATATAAGTTGTCAGGCAAATATGAATTTATCTACATATCTCATTGTGGGGCCATAAGCATTCCAAAAGCATGTGGTCCCACAGAAAAGAGGAATGAAAAAAAATGGTATTTTTAATACTCTGATTAGTAATAAATACATCCTAAGAAAAAGTCCCAGATACGGGGTCTCTAGATATGAAGGAGTTAGGGGTAGCAATGAGAGGGAGGATGAGAAAGCAGAATGAAATGAGGAGCTCTCAGCAAGGCAAAGCCTGGTGGCAGCAGGTGCCCTGCAGTGTACTCTAAATTAGTGGTTAGCAGCTTTCCTTTTTCCAGTTGCAACATACAAGAAGGAGGATGTTGAAGTCTAATCTCACATCTTTGAATATGCCCAGAGTTATATGAAATACTCCATTTCCTGTGTGTAACTCTGCCCCTTTCTCTACCACCCAAGAAAGCATTAATGGAACGTGAGTAAGTCAAAGTGATGCCCTTAGGATAGCTTTGATTTCATGCTCCCTTTCAAAAAATTAAATGATAACTGCTATAGTTGGGATGTTTGTCCCCTCTAAATCTCATGTGGAAATGATCTCTGATGTTGGAGGTGGGACGTAATCGGTGGTGTTTGGGTCATGGGGGACCCGCCCCCATGAATAGCTTGGTGCCCTCCCGGAAGGGTGAGTGAGTTCTTGCTCTATTAGTTCCCATGAGAGCTGGTTGCTAAAAAGAGCCTGGAACCTCCCTCTTCTCTCTTCCTTGCCTTCTCCCTTGCCATGTGATCCCTGCATATGCCAGATCTCCTTCGCCTTCTGCCATGAGTGGAAACAGCCCTGAGGCCCTCACCAGATACACATGCTGGTGCCATGCTTCTTGTACAGCCTGCAGAACTGTGAGCCAAATAAACCTCTTTTTGTTATAAATTACCCAGCCTCAGGCATTCCTTTATGGCAACACAAGGTGGATGAAGACAATACCCAAATATCAGTACTTAAAGTATTATTTTCATCAAATTCCTTGTGACATCCCTAACAACTTATAGATATACATACCAGTTAGTGCCGCTTCTAGTTGCACTCTGTCATCTGGCAAATTCTACACCTTAATTTTTATGGCTAGAGTCTGAATAAGAAGTGATCTCATTCTTTTAATTTCTCATATACCCCTGGGTCTGGTGCTGTAGGTAATGCAATGATAAATACTTCTAAAGAGAGATTGGCAAATGGTTTATACAGTGTTCTTAGAATAAGATGCTGAGGAGGAAGAAATACTGCTTTTTGAAAGGTTTGCCCTTCCATAAGAGACAACAAAGAATGTGCTTTGTTGACTGACTCTAGACAGATTTTTACCCATTTTGTTATTTTGTTCTATTCCACTGTTGCTGTATGTTTTTCTAACTTTTTTGTTTGGCAATTGTGATCTATGAGTATGTCTTTAAAATCATTGAAATACTATTTGAGCCTGGGAATTTCTTACGTGTATACAATATGTTGTGGCATATGGAGAGTCTAGGTGGCAGGCAATTTGGATAGTGGCCACACTCACTAATCAGAAGACAGACTTCACATGTGCTTACTTTGGAAGGTACTATTGATCCCACAGTGACCTTTCCAGTTACACTCACACACAGTTCATAACGGGTTTTCAAGTAGTGTCAATGCATAAAAAGGTTAACTGAGATTTAAATACTGTGTAATGGTTAAAGGCCAATGACTGGGGAACCTCATTGGCTAAGCTTGTTACACCTCACAACCAATGGGACTGTGTGTCATTTTAAAAGTTGTTGAGTTTTGTTCTATTGCTACATAAAGTCAGCAAATATTATCACTATTAATGACAGCTATAATGATGATAATATTGCCCAGGCACCTTGCTAAGCCCTTACTCTTGGAGGTAGGAAGAATATTCTTTATTTTACAAATGAGGAGACCGAATTACAGAATCCTTAAGGTACAAGTAAAAAAACTGGTGTTTGAACTATGTTGTCTTGTATTCTTAACCAAAATGAAATACTGCTTCCCCAGTGGGCCTTTCTTTTTATTTGTTCATTTCATATGGTAGTCTGAGCATCAGCTCGGTCTCATCTTTATTAAGAATGTGATTTTTTTTTTCCCCAACGCATTTGCAACTTTCATTAAAGCACACTACTTGAGCCCCTAACATTTTTAAATAAAGATAACTTACCTGTGATTTTGGATACTCCAGAAGACACCTACTTACCTGCCTATCCTATCTACCATTCCAGATGCCCCTGGTTGTCCAAGATGAGTCTCATGGAGACCTGGAGCCCCAAAGTATCCCTAAACCATGTGCCCAGGGCCCAAGATACAGTACTAGGGTCACTGGGCTCCCCTGGGATTGAAGACAGTCTTCCTTAGGAATCTTTTATTAGGAACTAAGAATTCCCATTTGTTTGATGAGGTTTGTTGAACACATCTTTAGAAATGAAGAAATCTCTAATAAAGATGATTCTCAACCTGTGAATTAGCTATGTTTAATGACTCATCCCAGACCAGCTTTGCACAACTCTCTATTTTATGCTTCTTGACTGTTTCTTTGACTGCCCATCTATGTGTGCTGAGGGAATACAAATTTAAGTTTAGTAGGAGCCTGAGCAAAATGTAATTGAGAAGGTAACTTCCCTCCAAATAATATTAAAGGTAAAATAGAAATGATTTAAAAATTATCAGTGTTACATTCATTGATGTGAATAATCAAGAAATGACTATACAGCCTCATATTTTGGGCCCCAGTAATTCACAATTTGTGATTAAATTCCTGCGCAGTTCCTGTTCAAATTACCACTGCACTATCTCTGAATGAATGGTTAGCTAAGCAAAGTAATAGTGTAAACAAGTTTGCAAAGGGGCATGTTTAACTTGGGAGGGATCGATCTCTTTTTAAAGGCTTTGATACATTAATTATTTACACTGAAATTTTGTTTTTGTAGAACTGATCAGTCCAGTTACAAACTGGAGTAATTAGGTATATTTAAAACAACTAAAAACAACCAAATAACATTCATAATACATTTAATATCAATGGCTTTTTGGTAAAGTAGATCATGCAATTTCATGAATTGCTTTATTATTAAAGTTCCAAGACTTAGTCCCCTGGCTTACCAAACTGAATCTTCGACTCTGGGCACATGATTTAGGGACACCTTGAGGCTTCAGGTTTCTGTGAGCCTCCCCATTGACAACCAGGGGCATCTGGAATGGTAGATGGGATAGGCAGGTAAGTAGGTGCCTTCTGGAGTATCCAGAATCACAGGTAAGTTATCTTTATTTAAAAATGTTAGGGGCTCAAGTAGTATACTTTAATGAAAGTTGCAAATGCATTGAAAAAAATCATATTCTTAGTTTACCAGAGTAAGGGTGAGACAGAACTGATGCCCAGACTCTACCATATAAAATAAGCAAATGAAAAAATGCTTTGAAACCATTTAGGGGAGAAACTCTGATGTTACATATGCCCCCTTACCCTTCCTTTGGCTTTTTCTAGGTGTTTTTTTATTTCGTTTCAGTTGCCAGAAACATTTTAAATGGGTTGAGACAAGGGGAAACAAGGAGTGTTTGATACATGATGGCAGGGGAAACTAAAAAAAGCTTGACTTGGTTATTTTCTCCCCACCTCCAACATATACACAGTACCTGGGACAGAGACAGCCAGTTGACACTCAATAGCTGTTCTCTCCATTTGTAATAGAATCCTGAATTTAGCAGAAAACACGCTTAATACTACATTTCCCAGCCTTAGAATTGTCACGTGGCTAAGGTCTGTCACTAGTGTATAAGTTAAAATTTCACATGTGACTTCTGCAGTGTCCTTAAAGAAAACTGATGCACTGTGCTTTCCTCTCTATTCCTACTGCCTGGAGAGGTGACATGATAGCCAGAGTTAAAGCAATCATCTTGGGTCATAAGCATGAGAGACACACTCTAGGGATGATGGAGCCTATGTACCTGGTAACTACGTGGAACTGCCAAGCCATCCCTATATTGTCAACCTCTAGATTTCTCTTGTGGGCGGATTAAGCTTTGTGTGTTTAAGCCACTGTTAATTTGGGTTTTCTGTCACTCACAGCTGTACCTAATCCTAACTGATACAGCATTTAATCAAGTTCTTTCCTAATAGAGGGAATCTATTGCATGGACAAAGGGCAGAGAAGGCCCTTTGGAAGGGGATTATTTCTTGGTGATTTTATTGACACCAGGTCAAAGCAGTCTTGTGTTTATGAAACATATCATGGGTTGTGGAAATGACTGAGGCACTTAGCCTCTTTGTGTCAGTAGCTTCACACTGCCAACATTTTGCCTTTGTGCGTACCACTTGCTGGTTTGCAACAACAGATACAACTATGAATCCTTCTCGACCTATATATTAACTGTCTGAATGCAAACTTAATACAAACCGGGTTATTCTCTAATGATTGCAGTCAAGATGGGAAGAGTGGAATCTTGGCAATGCAATCTATCACTATGCCAAAGACCCTATGATTGCCTGTTTCAGTACCACACACTAGAAATAACCTGTAAGAGAAAGGCAGACCTACTTTGCTTGCAAATTGCTAAACTCCCCTCCTCATGTCACCATTCTGGAACTGTTGAATTACATCAAAAGTTTACAACCCAAAATTGATCACCTTGGCCAATTTACACAAGAAGGATCAATATAATCAGTTCCCCCCTCTTTAAATGTTAACAAATTCTTTAACATAACACGCCTGACCATGGGATACAGATTAAAATTAGATACAGAATTAAGTTCCTTCTTCACAGTAAAAGAGTCGATTTGAAAATCCTGATAATCAGCCCGAGCTGCCCACAAGGCTTGGCTTTATAGCATTTAATAAGAAAGGAAGCTTGCTTCCCACAAACGTAATGATTTTTGTTTAATTCAGTAAAGGGAAAGACAGAAACAATAAGTGGGTTAGGGATTCTCCAGTTAATGGTCACTATTCCATCCAAGGAAGGAACAGCTTTGAGCTCTGTATGGCAGATCCCTGTCCCCATCCTCTGGGAAACACCTGTCAAGGAGAGTGTAAAGGTCCCCATTCATCTCCTCCTTCTGCTGAGAGAAGGGCTGCATCGTTGTCAAGGGTATGCTAGACTAGCCTTACCTAGAAAGGCCACTTCTACACATACACACAGCAAAGACCATGATCATCCTCAGACAGGCGTGACCGAAGTCAAGCTCAGTGCAACTTCTGATGGAATGATGCATACCCAAAAGCTTCAACATGGGCCTATCTACTACTTGGAGGCAGAACAGACTTGTGGGAAAATTGTAAAGTAGTGCCCTCTTCCCCTTCTTCTGCTTGTGATATCTCTAACAGAGGCCAGTGCCTTCCAGATCCCATTGTTCTCTTTCCATTCCAGTCACACTTTATGTGAGCTGTGATGTTGGATAGGTGGTTACAAGTGAACTCACACTCATTAAGTTTGCATGTTAGGCGTGGCGTGGTGGCTCACGCCTGTAATCCCAGCACTTTGGGAGGCCGAGTGGGTGGATCACTTGAGGTCAGGAGTTCAAGACCAGCCTGGCCAATATGGTGAAACCCTGTCTCTACTAATAAAATATTAGCCAGGTGGGGTGGCGCGTGCCTGTAATCCCAGCTACTCAGGAGGCTGAGGCAGGAGAATAGCTTGAACCTGGGAGGTAGAGGTTGCAGTGAGCTGAGATCATGCCACTGCACTCTAGCCTGGGTGACAGAGCGAGACTCTGCCTTAAAAAAAAAAAAAAAAAAAACCAGGACCTTATAAATGAGTCACAAGGGTGGGAAGGCAGATCATTGCTGGGGAGGCTGAAGTAATGAATGACAGTTATTTTCTGGATTACAAAAGGCAACGTTATAAAAGAGTCTATGTTTCTGGAGTCCTTGCACCAATGCTTCCCTATATTTGCCCTCCTTCACAAGCCTCCCTCTGGCTATAACCTGGTTTTATTTTTTTCTAGCTTCTCTTTTCAATACCAACCACCACCACTTATTGCATGTATGCTTTGTGCCAGGGACTCTAATATACTTTACACACACATGCACATAGCTCATTTCATCATTAAATGAACCCAAATGAGATAGGTACTATGTCATCTCCTTTTCACAAGTGGGAATGATGTGACAAAGAAAGGCAAAACAATGTAAACAAATACGCATTCAACTAAAATACGAACTCTACAAGTGTCGGGATTTTTGTGTTTTTCACACTGTATTTTGTACATCTAGAAACAATGTTTGGCACATAATAGGAACACAATAAATATTGTACCTACCTGTAAGAAGTAGTATTTTTGTCTAGAGTCAATTATTTAAAAACAAATAAACCCACTCAAGCTAGGTTAGGCAAAGGGGGATTTAGGTTCAGGAATACAGGAAACTTTGCAGACCCCCCCAAGTGACAGGAAATACAGCCAGACTACACGGATACTAGGAAGTGTTGAGGCAGATCATTTGTTTCTGTCTGTCCCTTTGGGGCCATGAGGTCTCCCATACATGGTGCGTCTCTGTTCCTAATTTCTTTTCTGCAGATAGAAGCTTCACTGCAAAGTTTACAGCTCCTCTTTCTTCACATAAGCTTGCACATTAATTTGGTTTGCTGTAATAGTAACTCTGCCTTCAATTTCACAGATACCAGGTAAAACGTTGTTTCCCCTGCCCATTTCCATAGGCAATTGGGCCAGGTTTCCATCCCAGACCGTATTAGCTGTGATCAGTAGGCGGAGTCATGTGAGCCACCCGTTCCAACCAGCGGATGGATCAGATTTCCTAAAGAGGTTGTGTAGGCAAGGCAAATATGACTGACATCTCTCAACTAGGCAGGTGGCCAGAGACCCAGAGTCGTGTTAGAAGAGATATGCTATATGCCAGAGGCTTCTAGGACAGAAGTCAGCACACTACTTCTGTAAAGGGCCAGATGGTAAATACTTTAGGTTTTGCAGGCCAGACATGATTGCAGTGCAAAAGCTGCCATGGACAATAAGTAAAAGAATAGGTGTGGTGATGTTCCAATACAAGATTACAAAAACAATATAACAATATAAAAACAGACAGATGGCTGGATTTGGCCTGAGGGCTGTACTTTGCAGACTCTTGTTCTAGGACAAAGGCCTCATCAGTAAATAGAACACTTATCCATATTGCTAGCAAACTGGCTTCAGGTTCTCTGAACAAACGATATTATTTTGTTTTTACTGATTTCTTCTTGTCTTTAATCATTAATGAATTGCAGTGACCTTGCTGTTATGATGTAGAACATCCTGCTAAACAGGGAATGTAAATACTTTGCTATATGATAAGGAGGGTGCTTGAAGAACCAGGTTATACCTATCAGAGCCGTTTAAATGGGAGTGAGTGATTATGCTACCTATTGCTAAAGTGGTGTAATTATCCAAGGACAAAGGGCTGTTTTTGTGGAAACAATTCATTGCCATCCCTCCCCACCTCTTGCCAACCCTCTATCAGGATCTTAAGTGAGACATATATTTTAGTGGGTGCTGTGTTCTCTCACTCATTTCATAGGGTACCTCTTTCCAAGGTCTCTTAATATAGCATGAGAAATAAAATAAGGGTCCAAAAAAGGATCGGAACTGCAACCAATGTGTGTCGCCATTGACTGCATGGATTGTTTGTCAAGTAGAAAGGCAGAGTTTTAAATGTAGTTTTATTTTAAAGAGTCGGTGTTTGTAGATGCAGCCCATGTAGCTGGGCTAAGCTTGTAATAACTTCGCAAGTGCTGTGAAGAAGCCCCAATTTCTCTCTGAAAGTGGTTTTGTCATACTGTAATATAAAAGGATAAGGGAGTAATCTTACCGTGTGTTGCTGGGTGGATGCTGTTCCTGCAGTTTATTATATTTAGGTAATGCTTAACTGCACACTTGATAGACATTACTTTTATGTTGTGGCTCCTGGACTGTTTTATGCTCCCCGGCCATTATGCTAAGAAATGAGGTTCTCTTACCTTTCAGAGTTAAAGTCCCCTGCTCCTACCCCATGTCCGAATAAAAGACTCTGACAGTGTAACTATACAGGTAAGCTCTCACTTTCTCAACTAAAAAAGAATGAGTCTACTCTGAAAGTCTTGGGGCCCTTAAAGTGGACGGATTTGTCAGTAAAATAACAGGGAGTCAGTTGAGTCAACACATTAATTAAATGCCCTTATACAGAGCTGTCCTCAAAATAAGGAGCCATTGCCCAGCCACTGGTGGTGGATTGGGGGGGGAGGAGAAGGCAATGAGGGTAGCTGTGGTAAGCACTAGTTCCTAATTATACATCTCTTCAAAGCTGAGGTTGAGCTGCCCACTTCCACGTCACTCCTCCCTTAGGCAGCATTATGCTTCCCTGACTTCTCCCTTGACCCCCACCCCCACCTTGGTAATGAGCTATGTTATGGGTAACTTATCCCAAGAAAAGAAAGATCATGAGGATAAATGATAGATCTGGCCTTTACAGCCAAAACAGTTTCTGCGATCCAATTCTCTTAAGTCTGGTGTTGCAGAATGACATTTTAAACACTTGAAGAATAGCACCTTCAGTAAATTGGCTTTAGGTTTTTTGTTCTTTGTTTTTAATAATCTCAAACTTATAGAAAAGTTGCAAGTATAGTACAAATGAAATGTTTCCCCCTGAACCATTTAAGGGTAAGTTGATGCCTCATCACCCCATAATACTAGTTTAGTGCATATTTCCTACAAACAAGAACACTGTCCTACTTAACCACAATGCTACCACCCAAATCAGGACATTAATTATTACTATCTCACCCTCAAATCCCATTCAGGTTTTGCCAGTTGTTCCAATAATGTTTTCTATAGCAAAAGGATCCAGTTCAGACTCAGGTGTAACACTTGATTGTCATACTTGAGGGTAAAGGGGGCCATGACTGTTTACCGTCCTTTAGTCTAAGATGTTTCCTTAATTTAATTTTGATTTTCTTGACCTTGACACTTCAAAGATTATGGGCCAGTTGTTTTGTCACTTGTCCCTCATTTTGGGTTGTCTGTTTCATCCTAATTAGGTTCCAGTTATGGACCTTTGGTAGGAACGTCCCAGAAGTGCTGCTGGATCTTCTCACTGCATTCTATCACGTGGCATGTCATTTCTACTTGTTTCATTCTTGTTGATGTCCACTTTGATAACTTGAGTAAGATAATGTCTGCCAGACATCTCTGATGTAAATTTAATCTTTCCCCATTTATCTCATTTTGTAATTCTTTAGTTTAAAATAATGTTAGACTTACAGCAAATATATAGCACAGAGAGTGTTATATACCCATCACTCAGTTCCCCTAGAGTAAGCATCTTCAATTACCATATTAATATTTTGGGAGAAGGTACATTGAAGCCACGTAGAAATCCGTTCCTTGTCAAGCTTTCAACATATTCATTTAAAAGTGTATCTCACCATAAACTCATGGTTTCCTATTTTCTCCAAAAGATAATTACCATTACCATAAATAACTATTTATTTATTTTTATTGAGGTGGAACTCACATAACATAAAATTAACCAGTTTAAAGTGAATAATTCAGCAGCGCTTAGTACATTCATGATGTTGTCCCACTACTACCTCTATCTCGTTCCAAAGCATTTTTATGACCCTAAAATAAAACCCTGTACTCACTAAACAGTTTCTCCCCATTCCCTTCTTTCCCTAGCTCCTGACAACCACTAATCTGCTTTCTGTATCTGTGAACTTACCTATCCTGGATATTCATAGAAATGGAATAATATGTGACATTTTATGTCTGGCTTATTTCATTTAGCATATTGTTTTCAAGATTTATCCATGTTGCTGCATGCATCAGTATTTTACTCCTTTGTATAGCTGGGTAATATTCCATTATATGTATATATTACAACTTGCTTATATATTCATCTCTTGATGGACATTTAGGTTGTTTCCATATCTTGGCTATTGAGAACAGTGCTGCTATGAACATTTGTGTATGAGTATTTGTTTGTACACCTATTTTCCATTCTTTCGGGTGTGTTTTAAATGTAGCTTTATTTTAAAGAGTCAGTGTTTGTAGATGCAGCCCGTGTAGCTGGGCTAAGCTTGTAATAACTTCACAAGTGCTGTGGAGAAGCCCAAATTCTACCCAAGAGTAGAATTGTTGGGTCATATGGTAGTTCCACAGTTAACTTTTTGAGCAACTACTAAACTGATTTCTAAGCAGCTACATTCCCATCAGCAAAGTTTGAGAGTTCCAATTTCTCCATATCCTCACTAACGCTTTTTATTTTCTGGGTTTTTTTTTCTTTCTTTTAATTCTAGACATCCTAGTGAGTATGATGTGGTATCTCACTGGGGTTTTGTTTTGTATTTCTTTAATGATTAATAATGCTGAGCATCTTTTCACATGCCTATTGGTTATTTGAATATCTTCTTTAGAGAAATGTCTATTCAAATCCTTTGCTCATTTTTTTAATTGAATTTTTTTGTCTTTTTGATGTTCTTTATATTTTCTATAAGAGAACTTTGTAAGAGTTTTTTAAAAATATATTCTGGGTAATAGAAAATATATAATTTGCAAATATTTTATCCCTTTCTGTAAGTTATCTTTTTACTTTCTGGATAATATTCTTTGATGCACACTTTTTATTTTGATGAAGTCCAATTTACCTTTTGTTTGTTTTTTGTACTTTTATTTTCATATCTAGGAATCGACTATCAAAAATGAGGCCATGAAGATTAACCCCTGTGTTATTCTTCTAAGAGTTTTGTAGTTTTAGTTCTTTATTAGGTTTGTTGATCCATTTGGGGTTAATTTTTATATATGGTGTGAGACAAAGGTCCAACTTCATTCTTTTGCATGTGGATATCCAGTTGTCCCAGTGCCATTTATTAGAGAAACTATTCTCTCCTCATTGAATGGCCTTGGCCCCCTTGTTGAAAATCAATTGCCCATAGATATATGATTTTATTGCTGGACTGTCAATTCTATTCAATTTGTCTATGTATCTATCTTAATGCCAGCATACGGTGTTCTGATTATTGTAGGTTTGCAGTGTTTTGAAATTGGGAAGTGTGAGTCTTCTCACTGTGTTCTCCTTTTATGAGGTTGTGTTGGTTTTTTTTTTTTTTTTTTTTTTTTTTAGCTATTCAGGGCCTTTGCAATTCCATATGAACTTTAGAATAGGCTTTTCCATTTCTGCAATAAAAGGTCTTTGGAAGTTTGATAGGGAATTCACTGAATCTATAGATTACTTTGGGGAGTATTGCCATCTTAACAATTTTAAATCTTCCAGTTCATGAACACGAGATGTCTTTTCATTTATTTATGTCTTATTTAATTTCTTTCAACAACATTGTATAATTTTCAGTGTACAAGACTTGTGCCTCTTTGGTTAAATTTATTCCTAGATGTTTTATTCTTTTGGATACTATTGTAAATGGATTTTTTAAAAAAATGTCTTCTTAGATTGTTCATTGCTCTTGTATAGAAACACAATTGTTTTTGGTGTGTTGATCTTGTACATTGCAGGATTGCTGATTCTTTTGTTAGCCCTAGCAGTTTTTTGTGTGTGGGTTTACTGGCATTTTCTACATACAGGATCATGTTACTAGAAAATTCAGTATTTATTTTGATGCTTAAATTGTCCCAGATTTGGCCAGTGGGACACTCTTTCAAACTTGCTCCTGTGTCCCTTAGGTACATCCTCATTATTCTGGGTACCTCCTTGCTTTCTAGCATAATGAGATATTCCATGATGACTTTGTATTCTCCCTGCTCAAGCTCCAGAATTAGCCCTTTCTCTACAGAGTCATGGTTTCTTTTACTGGAGGAGGATATTGAGAAACCAAGGTTTGAATGGTAGATATGGTCATTGCTATTGGGGTGTTCCCATGGCCTCTCCATGAATAGAACTAGGGAATATATGTATGTATACTATACATGTGTATATATATATTATATATATAATATATATACACAAATTCATATCTATATTTATTTTTTCTATTTATATATATTGTTTACATTTATATATATTGATAACCATCAGTTTACACTAATAACTCTATCCCAATACCATAGGGATCATTCTAGTTTTTTCTTTTTCCACAGTTTTGCTTATCTCAGACAGTGAGAAACCTTGCTTCTATTTTTTTTTTTTTTTTGACAGAGCGTCTCACTCTGTCACCCAAGCTGGAGTGCAGTGGCATGATCATGGCTGACTGAAGCCTCAACCTCCTGGCCTCCTGGGTTTGAGTGATTCTCACGACTCATCCTCCTGAGTAGCTGGGACTATAGGTGTGCGTCATCATGTCCGGCTTATTTTTTATTTTACTTTTTGTGAGACAGTGTCTTCCTATGTTGCTCAGGCTGGTCTTGAAGTCCTGGCCTCAAGTGATCCTCCCACCTTGGCCTCCCAAAGTGCTGGGATTACAGGTATGAGCCACTGTGCCAGGCCCCATCATTCTTAATGTATTTACTTATTTGATAAATCATCCTGCATGCAGTAATTTCTCATTGTTGCCTCAACCCCCTTACTGGGAAAGTATGCTTCTTGCCCTACTTGGACTGTGAACTCCGTGCCAGGCTGTTGTCACTGCCTGCCATGTGGATTCCTTCTAATCCCACTTATGGCCCCACAGACCTTCCCAGCCTGTCCCACCATGTGGCTCAAGTTCTGACACCCTTCATTAGGCTACCTCTTGCTTGGCTGTCCCTCCACAGGTCACCCTCTTCACCCAATTTTTGCTCTGTTACCCCTTACTAGGCCACACATATGTGTGGATGCCCCCCTCATCTTGTTTTGATTCTAGCATCTTTCTGTAGGCTGGTAAAGGAGCCATACTATATACATATTTAGCACAGGCAAATTTAACTATAAACACTTATACCAGAAAGGAGGAGAAAAGAGGAAGAGGAAAGAAAGAGGTGAGGAGGGAGAGGAAAAGAGAAGGAAAGGAGGAGAAAAAGATGTAGAAGGAGAGAAAGAGGGAAGAGAGAGAGAGAGAGAGACAAAGAGAAACACCACTAAGACAGTGCAGTTGATTTTACTCACCTTTGCACTTAATGGGTATATGCCCTTGACTGAACATTAAATTATTACAGTACTCTTATTAGGTAGCCACTATGTGCCCCAATTTATATATGTGTCAATTGAGGCTTAAAGAGGTTAAGTGTTGCCTCAGTTCACAAAGCTAGTATGTGTGACAGAACGGGGATTCTAAACTGTCTGGCTGACTCAAGAGCTACGCGTTCCTGTGTCCAGGGACGTGAAACCCATTTCCTGCTGTGGCAGCCCATTCCAGCCTTGCATTACCTTGACTATCAGAATGTTTTGTCCTTTTTTACAATTGAAAATCTGTCTCCCTGAAGTTTTTCCACCCATTGGTGTTGGTTTCACCCCTTGGGGATATATAAAACAATTCTGATTGCTCTTCCACATGACAGCCCTTAAAATATTTGTGGACAGCTCTCATATCCCCTGAGTTTTCTGTTCTCTAGGCTAGGCATTTTTAGTTCCTACAACTATTCCTCTTATGAGTGGGAAAATGTCTTTCTTCTAGCTTGTTATACTGCACTAATCTTCTACGGTAAGAAGGATTCAGTTCATGCCCCAAACATACCCTATTATATTCAGGACAAAAGGAGAGTCTGACATTTGCTTTTCAATTGAAGTGGCAAATATGGAATTCAACCTGCCTTCCCCTGCAGACGTTTATTAGTATATGAGACATAAGTGCCACATCCTCTTTTTCACATAAGCCTTTCTGTACATAAGGTTAAACCATTGGTATAGACCCCATTTTTTTTTTTTTTAGGAAAGTTCAAGAATTTTCATGGACTATTACTCCCATCCATATGTCATTAGGAATATGTAGTATTACAACTAGCTCAGTACATTTCATAATTACCTGGAGCTCATATGTCTGATCTAGCATCCAGAATATATACAAAACTCCTACAACTTGACAACAAAAAAGACAAACAACTCAAAAAAATGGAAAAGGGAGTTGAATAGATATTTCTACAAAGGAGATATACAAGTAACCAACAAGCACACGAAAAGATGCTCAACATCATTAGTCATTAGGGAAATTCATATCAAAACCACAAGGGGCTACAACTTCACACCCACTAGAATGGCTAGAATTTTTAAAAAATAAACAGAAAATAACAAGTGTTAGTGAGGATGTGGAGAAACTGTGTAATATTGTATCATGCTTCTCTGGTAGGAATACAAAATGGTACAGCTACTATGGAAAACAGTTTGCTTCTTGCTCTAAAAGTTAAATGTAGAACTACTATATGACCCAGCAATTCCACTCCTAGGTATACACCTCAAAGAACTGAAAATAGGTGGTCAAACAAAAACTTGTATACAAACGCTCATAGCAACACTGTTCTCAATGGCCAAAAGGTGGAAACAACCCAAATTTTCATCAACAGATGTAGGGATAAAAAAGTTGTGGTATATACACAAATGGAATATTATTCAGCCATAAAAAATGAAGTACAGTGGCCGGGTGTGGTGGCTCACGTCTGTAATCCCAGCAATTTGGGAGGCCGAGGCAGGCAGATCACGAGGTCAGGAGATTGAGACCATCCTGGCTAACACGGTGAAACCCTGTCTCTACTAAAAACACAAAAAATTAGCCGGGTGTGGTGGTGAGTGCCTGTAGTCCCAGCTACTCGGGAGGCTGAGGCAGGAGAATGGCGTGAACCCAGGAGGCGGAGCTTGCAGTGAGCCAAGATGGCGCCACTGCACTCCAGCCTAGGCGACAGAGTGAGACTCCGTATCAAAAAAAAAAAAAAAAAAATGAAGTACTGTTACATGCTGTAGCATGTGTGAACCTTGAAAACATTAAGTGCTTAAAGAAGCCTGACACAAAAGACCACATGTTGTATGATCCATTTGTATGAAATATCCTGAATAGGTAAATTCATAGAGACAGAAAGCAAAGTGGTTGCTATGGGCTGAAAGGAAGGGAGAATATGGAATAATTGCCTAAAGTGTATGGGGTCTCCTTTGCAAGGGATGAAAATGTTTTGGAACTGGATAGAAGTGATGATTGCTTAACATTATAAATGTACTTAATGCAACTTAATTTTACACTTTAAAAAGGTCAGTTTTATGTCATGTGAATTCTACCTCAATAAAATTACCTGGAGCTCTCTGGAAGGTGAGAGGATGGTGGGGAGGGCAAACAAAATGTTTTCCTTTATTTCTGTCATTCAAGGTTGAGTTACTTGTTTCAAAAGATGTTTTAAAGAAATGAATGAAGCTGAAGCTGAAAAAAAAAATCATGCTAGCTTAAACCATGGCAACTGTACATTATCTGAGTTAGGGCACGTGTTTTCTAGCCAGATTATTCTAAAAACCATGCTAATTAAGTAAAATAATGGCAATTATAATGAAATGACAACCAACATCGGGCTTCATGGATGAGTATACTTATCACTTAAACATACAGTTGTTAAATCAGGGCATTTTTTCCATTACGTACTATTTTGGATGGTACCAATCCTTATTTTCTGGAAGAAATCAATTTTAACTAGAACCATTGCATTTTAAATTTCCATGCAGTGTAGGAATAAGTTAGTATTCATTAATATTTTCCATACGTACTTTCACTTGCAAGGTGTTTTCTTTCTGGATTCAACAGTCTATCAGGGAGCTATGAAAAGGTATCATCAAAGAGGCAAAATCCCAACTGCCTCCAAAACAGGCAAATTTTACTTCTGCTACACAGCCCTTGAGTGTATCTCAAATATCTTTCATTGTTAATGAGCCAAATTCTCCAAGGGCTTCCACTTCTCCCCAGGGGAAAGTTAGACACGTGGAGAAACTGCATCAACATACAAACCACCAGGGTGCCATTTGGCAAATTTCAGCTTCCATGTTCTGGGACCCTAGAGGAGATTAATATTGTTTCCCAGGCTGTCAAAGTTCTTCTCACGTGTAGTTGGGAAAATCAATTAAAGTATTGAGTAAAATTTGCACGTACTATTTAGATATGCCGAGACAAACATCTAAAACTAGATTGCCATCCTGGAAATTAGTGGATGAAATAATGTTCTCTGAGTGCTCTGGTTTGGGTACTTAACTATGTTTTCATTTATAAAAAATCAGGGAGAAAGTTGGAGGGTTCCGTGAAAATTATTTTAAATATTGTTCAACATCACCTACAGCAAAGTCAGTTTTTCATTCACAAATCTCACTGTGCATGTTTCTCCAGACCTTCATCTTCCTCTGGTTATATAGAGCACATTATGCCAGTATCCTAGAAAGAGGGATGGCAATTAACTGCATGGGTAATTTGCTATCTAAGTCAATCATTTTGTAAGGGGTATATGAGTACCAGAAGAACTTACAGTAACTGTTAAATCAGTTAGTAAATTAGCAGGATAAGCCATTATATCGAAATTGATTTTTTCTCTTCTTCCTTTTCCTTCCCTTCAATTGTCTATAAGTGTATTGTTTGTAATTATACATCACTACAGACTGACAATCATTGAGTAACCAAAACAATTCCACCACCATATCCATCATCTGGCTCATTACCACCACATTTCACATATGGGAGCAATGGCTACAGAAAGCACTAAATAAACTGGTGTTAGTCTAAAGAAAAGTTACATTTACTTTTTAAAAGAAAGGCTAGGTTTGGCCGGGAACGGTGGCTCACGCCTGTAATCCCAGCACTTTGGGAGGCCGAGGCAGGTGGATCACTTGAACCCAGGAGTTCAAGACCAGCCTGGGCAACATGGCAAAACCCTGTTTCTGCTAAAAATACAAAAATTAGCCAGGCGTGGTGGCGCATGCCTGTAATCTCAGCTACTCAGGAGGCTGAGGTGTGAGAATTGCTTGAACCCAGGAAGCGGAAATTTCAGTGAGCCGAGATCACACCACTACACTCCAGCCTGGGCAACAGAGTGAGACTCTGTCTCAAAAAAAAAAATAATAATAATAAAAATGTTTATTTTAAGAAAAAATATACAGCTGAGAATAATGCATTTTCTCATGCTCTTTGCTTTGAAGTTTGATCCTCAAATATTTTTGTTTGCTGGAGTGTTTTTCTTTTTTTCCTTTCTTTTTTTTTTTTTTTTTTTCCAGAGATGGAGTCTTGCTTTGTTGCCTAGGCTGGAGTGCAGTGGCCCGATCTGGGCTCACTGCAAGCTTCGCCTCCCAGGTTCACGCCATTCTCCTGCCTCAGCCTCCTGAGTAGCTGGGACTACAGGCACCCGCCATCACGCCTGGCTAATTTTTTTTTTTTTTTTTCGTATTTTTAGTAGAGACGAGGTTTCACTGTTTTAGCCAGGATGGTCTCGATCTCCTGACCTCATGATCCACCCGCCTTGGCCTCTCAAAGTGCTGGGATTACAGGCGTGAGCCACCACACCCGGCCCGCTTGTGTGTTTTTCAATAACTCTGATATGACTTGTAGAATGGCATCAAGAAAACTCTGTTACTACAGATGTTGAGGTTATTCTTCCTATTCTAGTTACCATTGCTAAGGAACAAACCACTTCAAAATGTAAAGGTTGAAACCAGCAGTCATTTTATCACCTCTCCTGGTTTCTGTGGGTCAGGAAGTTGGGGAGGGTTCATCTGGGAGGTTCTGGCTTGGAGTCCCCCTGCAGTCCCAGTCAAACAGTGGCTGGGGCTGGAGAGTTGTGAGCTGGAGCAGAAGGGGCTTGCAAGGCATCTCTCTCTGTTCATGCAATTTTGGCACTTCTCCATGTGGTCTCTTCACACAGGCTAATTTGGACTTCCTCAGAATGTGGCAGACTCAGGGCTGTCTGAAACCTTCAAGGATGATTATTCCAGCAAACAAGGCAGACACTCTGTCACCTAAGACCTAGCCTCAGAAGTCTTGCTGCATTATTTCTACCTCATTACTGATTGCAAGCAAGACACAAGCCCAGACAGATTTAAGGCGGGGTGGGGGTTGGGGTGGGGTGGGGTGTGGGGAGAGGCGGGCCTGGGAGGGAGGGGCCAACTGCATCTTGAAGAGGGAGTGGCAACTTTCTAGAGAGCATGTGGGGTGGAAGATATTATTGCAACCACCTTTGGATAATATAATTTGCCGCACCTGGTTTGATCACAGCTTTTCTGTTATTTTGCTCTCCTCTAAGTTCCTGGTCAATTGAGGTTTTTCCTTTTGGCAATCAAATGCAACATCATGATTATGTTTTTATTAGGTTCTGTCATATATATGGTGCTGTGCCAGACACTTCAGGCTTGATACAAAAAAAATCATGGTCTCTTCCCTCTGAGAGATTATCTTCAAATGAAAAGAATGTAAACAGATAAGTAATACACATTTTATTCTCCCCTTTTTGGTCAAATAAAAGAAAATGGAAAGAGTAATAAAATAAACTTATTACATTCTCAAAATAACACCCCAAAAGACCCTTCCCTTTAAGAAAGAGACTATAAATGCATTTTATGTTACTAGATACTTCACTTAGGAATTCTTTGTTTGAAAGTAATGGAATAGTAACTCAATGTAGCTTAGGAAAAAAAAGGAGGGATCATAATAAGAATAGAAGAGTATCTCAGAAAGCCCAAGGACAGAAACGTTTCTGGGCCTCGAGAACAACCTGGAATGAGAACTCAGATGTCATTTGAGATTTCTTTATTGTTCTCTGCAGTCCAGCTTTCGCTGCTTCTTTTATCCACGTCATAAAAAACACGGCAAATTTAGTGCTTAGGATTCCATGTACTTGCATAGCCACTAGAGAGAAACTATTTTCTTTGCTATCTCCATATCCAAATGGGTTCAGCTGACCCATGGTTTCACAACAAATGTGGCTAAGGGCTGGAGTGGCAGTATGTGACTATGACAGCTTCACTGTAATCGTGTAGCTCTAAAGAGGGGTCAAGGCTCAGAAAAGGCGTGCTGAGGAATTAATCCAATAGGTGTCTACTAGACCAAGATTGGGGAACATACAAAGAATTGATGCCGTGCATAGATAGAATAAGAAACTGACCACCTGATACTTTTTAAAAGCTTGTTAAAGGCCCTATCAGATCCAAACATCTCTCTCAATAATCTATCAAAATGTGACTCTCTTCTTTCTCATGTTCCCATAGTTATTTTGGAGGAGAAAATGAAGTCAGCTCAACATTTTATTTTTAATCAAATGTTTTATCCTCAGATGCACTGGTTGACATATTACATATGTCAGACCATGACCAGAATAGTGGACTCAAGTGTCTTGACATATTGGTGTGTCACAGTCAGTTGTGCGATATCACAAGCCATATGATGGAGTCAAACATTCTGAAGTTTAAAAGACCTACTTCAAAAAGAATATAAAATTACAGCAGACTCAAGGATAGTCCTATAATACCACCATTTCTAGTTTCTAGTCCTATGCTTTTTCTTTTTGTTCCAGAGACACCCAGGCTGGAGTGCACAGTCACAGCTCACTGCAGCCTCAACTCCTGGGCTCAGGCAATTCTCCCACCTCAGCCTCCTGAGTAGCTGAGACTACAGGCGTGCACCACCATGCCCAGCTTAGTTTTTATTTTTTGTAGAGATGGGGTCTCCCTACATTGTCTAGCTTGGTCTTGAACTCCTGGCCTCAAATGACCCTCCCACCTCAGCCTCTCAAAGTGCTGGGATTACAGGCATGAGCCACCATGCCTGGCCAATATGATTTCTTGAGTGGACAAAAATTACAGATTGTGCACAAGGCATTGCATAAATGCTGGCATGTTATAGGAGCTGGGTCATAGATGTAATATCATCAGAAACATGCATTGCCATGGAAATCAAGTTTAAAAACTCCTGCATTAAGAACCTCGAAGAGCTTGAGAAAAGGTATAGGACAGATTAATTTCAATTTGATTGTGGGACTAGGGAGATGTTGTGAGAGAAGCTCTGGGCAGGCTCTGCAAAAGGTGTGGGTGGGAAGCTATATCCTGGACAGGAAGGAGAGAACCAGAACAGGTCCTTGGAGAGAAGGCTGCTAAAGTAGATATGAGGGAAGGGGAAAGAAGGCAGGGCATGGAAGAGAATCTTCACATATCTTATAATTTTGCCCAGGACAAGTCCTGTTTGTGCAACCTCATTATCATATACTTAACATTTTTTCATCAGGACAAACTTTCTGTAATGAGATTCCACCTGTCTCATTAACAAGTTAATCAAAGCATTCATGAGCCATACACAGAAACCCACAAGCTCATCTCTTAACACTTGGCAATCTGTACAGCACTTGAGGAAAAAAAGATTGAATACACATGCCAAGGCCAATTTATCTCAAATTAGCAACCAAGAAAATAAATGTAAGAGTAAATGGCAGAAAGGGATCATGATAGTCCATTTCCGTAGGGAGGTGGACTAATAGACGCCCACAGATGAGCTCTAAGTACCTGAATAAGTATTGTGATATTTTCTGTCCTTCATATTTCTAGTTTGCTGTTTTGACCTTCAAGGGAATATTCACAATGTTAAAATGAAAAGGAAAAAAACTTGCACATCCTCAAATTAGGTATGCTGCCACCAGGTGGTTGTAGTATGGCACAGCCATGTCGTCCAGGCAATTAGCATACAGTATAAACAGGTGTCTTAGAAAGAGGATTAGCACACTATTCCCATATTCTATTTTTAAAAAGTTATTACAACGAAAAAGCTTTGGTTAAATGTATAAGGAGATAATTTGCTTATAGATTTTAAGATTTTGCTTTGTTTCAGTTTTGTCTTTGTAAAGAAATGTATGCTTATGTACAATTTGGTATCAGTTTTACTAATCTTTAATTTTGTGATATCACTTTGAATTATACGTTGTAGTCAAAAAGCCACCCTGTAGGCTGGGCCTCAACCTCCTGTAACTTACACTGGATATCAAAATGACCAGGGTACTTATCTCTCAGTGAGGGGCCTACTCTTTTGTCTTTTTGTAGGTAGCCAATTCAACTTGCCTAACTGGTCTGAGATAAGTTCTTTTTGACTTTTCAGTTTACAGAAGCCCTTCTTCTTTTCTCTAAACCTAACCAGGGAATAAGTTAAGAAAAGCACCTTGCTATTTAGACCAATAGTTTGTGTTCTCCATGATGTTATTTGCCATATTTCATCAATAAAGTGTATTGAAGGGAACACCATGGATTTACTAACACTTTCTTTATGGTGTGAAAAGTAGGGAGAAATGTACTCATTCATTATATGAAAAATCCCAACTGGAGATGCCTTAAAATGTGCAAAATATATATTAGTTAGAATTGATAAAATAAGGCAGTAATCTCTCTAATAGACCATTTAATTGCTTTGACTAAAACTACAAGTTCCTTGATTTGCACAAAAAGGTCTCTGATTTGCTTCGCATATCACTTCTAGCTATGTAGTTGAGAGAGTGGCCAGAAAGATCTTTCCAAAACTGGGTTTTTAAAAGGCCAATATTCCATGCTTAAAACAGAATATTCTGAATTAGAAATACATTGGTAGAAAAATTTGTATTGATTATACCATAATATGTCCAACTCTTACGTTTGGATTATGTGAGATTAATATCATCATATCATCATCATCATCATCATCATTGCCATCCACCATTCAGCTATTTCTTGAGCAATTACTACTCACCAGGCTCTGTGCTAGGTGCTGCCTATTGTTACAACAGAACTCAACCAAAGATATCCTGTCAGTTATTCACAAGCCCTCTGGCAACACCTTCTTCATGCTGCAAACCCACATGCACTGTATTTTCGCTATAGCTTTCCATGAAAGAGCAGATGTTATAAAGATCACCCGAAAGTGAATCAGAAGAGTCACAGTCTTTGATGCAACATATAGTAGCACATTCAGGACTCTGTATTTGGCTATGTGAAATTGTTTGGGGAGAATCAAATCTTTCTGGAGCCTTGACTTATCTGTACTTTTATCGTGCCATTTTATGTGTCTTATCTCATATAGGCAATTTAAGTAAAATGACCCATTTACCTGATGTGGCATTTGTTACAAAGGTCATTTCCCACTGTGCCATAGTGAAATAATTAGCATGATGATGTGATGTACGTCTGTTTTGGTATTGTTCTGAACACAGATAATTTATCCCAAAGCATTGTCTTTTGGCACCAAGACATTTATCTGTTCTTCAAAGGTACTTCTGCAAGAGATGATATTATGAAGATAATGAAAGTATGTCCATTACTTTCAGAACGAGTCATTTAGCAAGATGACAAGTGTTGTCCAGGCTTTGTTGCCGGAGTTCTCTGTCTTTTGGGTTCTGACAGTCAGACCACAGGAAAGTGAGCAACTTTAGCATCTGTTGTTGCTTCCTCCTCCCAATCTAAAACATTATTTTTATATAGGGAAAGAATGCAAATTGAGAAACACTTTAGTTTTCTATAATATCATTTATGTACACAGGGGGTTTCGACACTTTTTCTTACCCAGGAATTACTTCCTCATTGTCCACCACCACTATAAGAATGAGAAGGTAGATGTTATCATGTCAGCTTAAAATTCACAGGCAGTTTTCACAAAAGAAGAAAATGGGTTAGGCATGCAGGAAAGAAAGGGTTTCATAAACTATTTGCACAAGAAAAATAAATGATGTTTCCAAAAGACACAAAAGAATGACAGGTAAGATTGCCAATTCAAGATGGCAGATTTAATGAAAAAATTAGCCTCTGATTTCTCCTACAACATTACAAAAATTAAAATAAAGGGATACCATAAAAGGCATAAGCCTCCAATGGAAAGTAAATATGAGAGGTGAGCAGGTAATATTAATAAAATTTTGGGAGCTGGAAAGCTTATGGCCAAGTAATACGTGATTTTAAAATAAAATAAAAAAAAGGCCTAATCCTAAACTGGCAATGGGAAAAGAGAAACAATTTACATTGGCAAATTTTATATTAAGAAACAATTAACAGCCTGGGCAACATGGTGAAACCCCATCTCTACAAATAATAATAAAAAAAAATCAGCTGGACGTGGTAGCGCATGCCTGTAGTTCCAACTACTCAGGAGGCTGAGGTGGGATGATCACCTGAGCTTGGGAGGTCAAGGCTGCAGTGAGCCGTGATCGTGCCACTGCACTCCAGTCTGGGCAACAGAGTGAGACTCTGTCTCAACACAGACAAACTGAAAAACAATTAGATCTAACAAATATCCTCTTCTTCTGAATGCATTGGAGAACCAGCCTTCCTACACCTTGACAGAAGATTGTGAATTTATTTTCTGCAGAAGGTAAAATAGAGGTTCTGGGAAGGGAATGCCAGTCACAGTGGAGGGTTGGGTACTATACTGAAAACAGAAGTATTAAGTCAAAATGTACACTGGGTACTGTAATGAAAACAGGAGTGTTAGTTGAATCTTGAGATCCCCAGCCGTCTCTCCCAACTCCTGTCTCAGAACACCATCATCTAGGCAAGAAATCTGAAGTGCTTTCTTTGGTGAATCTAACTCACATAACAGGAAAGACCTAAAAATACTGAAATCAGTTATTCCCCAAAGAAATGACTCAACCAGAGTACCCTACAAGGAAACATACAAGCTCAGAGCTTATAATTGGCTTTTCAGTTTCTCATTCTTCAATATGAGCAGACAGCCAAGGATGACCAGACAAATGAGGAAAGTCTCAAATATGAATGACAGAGACCATAACAACAAACAAGCACATATATAAAAATCAAACAAAAGTAACCGGGTAGGAACAGACTATGCAGTGAGATATATTATATGAGAAAATATCCATGAAATAATAACAAGTTTTATACACATACACAAACATTCAGGAAATAAGGAAAATATCCTAGAAATTAAAAATATAGCAGAAATACACTCAAAAGATAAAGTTTTAAAGATGAGTTTTAAAGATAAAGTTTTAAAGATAAAGTTATTGGAAAGCAATTAGGAAGTAGAGCAAAAAGAATGATAGAAACAAATAGAAAATTAGAGGATTATTACAGGAAACTCAACATTATAATATTAAGGAGTTTCAGAAAAAGAGGACAGAGAAAATGTAGGAAAGAAGATCAAAGGAATAATTCAAGAAAAATTTCCACTCCTACAAGGCATAAATCTCCATATTGAAAAGGCCCAGGGCTAAAGCACATCACTATGAAATTTCAGGATATCTGGGACCAAGAAGAGATACTACAAACATTCAGGAGGATGAACCAGACTCAGAATGGCATAAAACTCAATTGCAATATGGGAAGCTAGAAGCTGATGGCACAAACTTTCAAAATGTTAAGAGAAAATTATTATCGACCTAGAATGCTATACCCAGCCAAACTATTAATCAATTATGAGGGCAAAATAAACAAACTTTCAGATTTGAGAAATTTCAAAACATTTTCCCCTCTCCCCAAGCACCCTTTTTCAGAAAATAACTAGGGCATATCTTCCACCCAAATAGAGGTGTAAACCAAGAAAGCGGAAGGCTTGTAATAAAAGTCACATGGGATCCAGCTTAGAACAGGGACAAAGGGAATCCCCAGAATGATTTCTTACATGGGAAAGAATAGGTACATAGAAAGCTAAGGGAACAAATAAAGACAACTATTAACTATCCATGTCGGTTTAATCAAAATAATATAATTATATAATTATAAGGTAAGGATGGGAAGACAGGAAAGGAATATGTGTATATATTTGTATATAGTTGGAGACAATATAAGTTAATAAGTCTTGTTTTCAATAGTGGAATAGTGATTGATTATTTCTAAAGCCAAAAAATAGCAAAGTAACAATGTAATCATATTGTTTAGACCTGCATTGCTAAATACAATAGTCACTGCCACATGTGGCTATGGGACACTTGACATGGGGCTAGTGCAACTGAGAATAAGTTTTTCAATTTATTTAATTTGAACTGATTAAAGTTTAAAGATCTTATACTCAATTCAGTTATTGGAAAGCTTTTAAGTGTTTGGAACAATTTATGTATATGAATTTTTTTTCAAATTATAGGGAAGCTACACACAGATCAAACATTTTTGATGAAAATTTTACATCCAAATTGAGATGTGCTGTTAATGTAAACTGCATACCAGATTTCAGAAACTTAGTATGAAAAAAAGATGCAAAAGATCTCACTGACTTTTTATATTGAATATATCTTGATATGATAATATTTGGGGCATACCCGGTTAAATGAAATTTTTTTTACCTTTTTGTTTTGACTTTTAAAATGTTGCTACTAGAACATTTACAATTCACATATGTGGTTCTCATTATATTTCTAGCAGACGGTGCTGATTTAGACTAATAGCATTACAGCATTAAATATCAAAAGATCCACTAAAATAGATGAAAGTCAACTTCAGGGATCAAGATATAGGGCATGGAGGAGGTCAAAGGGCCACTGTTTGTCATAGTACTATAGAATCATATTCTATGATATAATAGAATTATTTTTATTGAGACAATAGTTGTACATATTTATGGGGTACATGTGATATTTTCATATATTTAGATCTGAGCAATGCAGGTCTAAATAATATGATTACATTGTTACTTTGCTATTTTTTAGTTTTAGATATAATCAATCAATATCCCACTGTTGAAAACAAGACTTATTCTTTTTTATTGTACCCAACTGCCTACAATGTGTAATGATCAAATCAGGGTATTTAGGATATCTATCACCTCAAACATTTATCATTTCTTTGCGTAGGGAACATTTTAAATCTTCCAGCTATTTTGAAATTAGAATTATTGTTATATTACTATAGAACTGTGTTTTATTACTTGACTCCTTAATCTTGTGTATGTACAATTTTGACAAAGAAAAAATACAGGATTGAAAAACCAATTTCTTAATATTCTTTTGGCTTCACAAGGCTACACCTATTTTCATTTTCACTTGGTGGTTTCCTTTGGAGGAAGAGTAATATCAGAAATAATGTTTTCAAAAGAACCAAGATGCCAAGAAACTCCCCAGTACTGATATACCATGTGTCCACCCTGCCATCTCTGTGTGTGCATTAGCTAGCAAGCTGTTCTTTAAGCAGTATTTTTTCCCCCATAGGAATGGGTTGAGGCTTAGGAATGAAAGGTACAAAAACAATAAAAATTCAATTTTCTGAAGGATTCAAGCTGTATAAATAAACAAAACCCCATGACGGGTTATCATTAAGGTATGAAACCTCCTTTATTACCTCCTCCAACTTACCCACTCTCTACAATTCTGTTCAGGGAAACCATAGCATATTTTAAAAAATGAACTATTGTTACTAATCAAAAAAGCAGATAGCAACCTTAAGGCTCTGTCACTCCAGTGAGAAATAAGGTTGGGTTTATGATGTTTCTGGTCAGTTTCAGTACTGTAGTAATTAGAAATGATTTTCTGGATTTTTCTTCAGTCTTACTAAGCAGGAGGACTCCCAAGAGAGAAAGGTGACAATTTGCAGTTCAGCTAACAGGCACGACAATGCATTTGAAATAGCAGTCTCCTAGAGAATTGTCAGGAGAGACTGAAAAAAAATTCATGTGGGAAAATGGAGGAAAGCATTAAAAAAAAAAACAAAAAACAACTCTTCTCTTCACTCTCCTCTTCTTGCCAACTCCAGTGTTCCATTCAAAAGCATTGTTATAATAAAGAGAAAAGGCTTATCCTTATCATTTTTTTGTGTGTGTATTTGCATTTGAAATAGATTTTTATCTAAAACCCATTTACATTTCTGTAATCACTTTAATAGTTGACCTGTATACATTCAGAATAATTTTAATACTTAAGAGGGACAAGAAAAACTTAGAGGTCCCAAAGGAGAAACAAGGAAATGACTAAAAAGTAAAAACAATAAAGCCTATTCAGGCTAGCGAAAAAGATGACAGAGGGCCAAGTGAATACTGGCTTTCAAAGAAACAATCGGCTTAGGATTAGTGCAAATGAAGGACAGAGGATCTATCAAAGGGAGATTTCTGATCAGTGAAGGTCATTAGTGCCTGGAATACTTTATTACAGAGGTTGTAAAATGTCCTTCTTTGATAGCCTTTGGCAAAAGGATAAATATGTATTTTGTACAGGATTTCATATAGTTTTGAAAAAGTTAGGGAAATTAATCATATGGCCCTTTTAAGATATTTTTCAGCCACTGGAGTCTCTAATCATTTACTCATTTGAAACGACTTATTGAATATCTACCATAGACCAAACACTGTGCTAGGCTCAGAAGAGACAGCAGTGAACAAGAAAGACATCCCCATACCCCTGAAGCTTATTAAATGCTTCCTTCACCATTGAATGCGAATTTAAAGTCCAGCTTTATGAAGGAGCTGGGCTGAGTAATAGCCAATATTCCTTCAGTTTGAAAATTCAAGATAAATTGGCAAGGTCATTTTTCATCAATGGCAGAGGGGGCAGCAAAACCCAGAAAAAGCCAGTTCTGAGGTTAAACAACAAGCTAGATTTTATTAATTGTAATTTCTTAATTTCTTGAGGTCTTTTTCCAAAAAAAGTCTATGCTGGGAAATTTTTTCAGGTATGACATTTAGAAATCTATATGTCAAATGATAAGCCAGGATCTTATCATTTCAAAACATTTAACAATCATGAGTTTATCCCCCGAACATGGAAGTATGTAGCCCTTGGAAGCTACCGACAAGTATTTCTCAAAATCATCTGGTCATTGGTGAAACACCTGCTTAAAACAAACTTCTTGTAGTTAAGACATATGCAAATTTCATCCTGGGAACTACATTGCTCTTCAACCTCCAGCTTCTGAGAAAGAAAGCAAAGAGATTTTACTTAAAACAGTTCTTTAGGAAGGATGAAGGCAGCCAGAGTTGATAACAATCAGCTCAAGTAAGTCTGAACAAACAAAGCAGTATGGGACCTATTCAGAAGTCAGACAGACCTCCATGATATCCATCTCTTCTAGAAGTATAGTTTTCCAAAGTTTCAGGCCACCTTTACTCTCCGCTCTGATAAAGATAATTCTCACCTTTTTTTCTTGTCCCTAAATGATAACAGGAAGTGAGATAACTGCTGAACATGCCAGCCACTGGAGGTCTTTAGGAGGCCTGAATTTCTTACATTCCAGACGGAGGCATTATGATACAAGAAAGATGGGGTTGTCCCTCAGAGTTATCCTCTTCCAGGGAATGCTCACTCAGTATAAACTATTGTTTGGGTAAACAGATTGTATTCTCTTCGTATCCTTTTTTCTTTTGAGACAGAGTCTTGCTCTGTTGCCCAGGCTGGAGTGCATTGGCGTGATATTGGGTCACTGAAGTCTCTGCCTCCCGGGTTCAAGCAATTCTCCTGCCTGAGCCTCCCGAGTAGTTGGGACTATAGGCGCATGCCACCACACCAAGCTAATTTTTGTATTTTTAGGAGAGACAGGATTTCACCATGTTGGCCAGGTTGGTCTCGAACTCCTGAGCTCAGTCAGGTGATCTACCTGCCTCGGCCTCCTAAAGTGCTGGCATTACAGGCGTGATCCACCACACCTGGCCTTTTCTTCTTATCCTCTTCATATACCATGTTCAAAAAAGTAATAAAATTCAGTTAGGAATAACGGTCATAGGTTTGCCTCCTTCCCACATAGAATGAGAAACTGTACAGAGAAACCATTTTACTAAGCGCATTCATGGACGGGGCTGGGAATCCCCACCTTCTTGGCGTACAAGGCACTATAGTGTAGTGGGTAAAAGTGTTTTAGCTCAGGAGTCAATTTCCTGGGTTCAAATCTCAACTCTGCTCTTACAATTGTGTTGCTTGGGACAAGTGACTTAATCCTCTGGTGTCTTCATTTCCTCTTTTCTTTTCTTTTTTTTTCTTGAGATGGAGCCTCGCTCTGTTACCCAGGCTGGAGTGCAGTGGCACAATCTCGGCTCACTGCAACCTCCACCTCCTGGGTTCAAGCAATTCTCCTGCCTCAGCCTCCAGAGTAGCTGGGATTACAGGCGCACACTGCCACACCCGGTTAATTTTTTGTATTTTTAGTGGAGACGCAGTTTCACCGTGTTGGTCAGGCTGGTTTCAAACTCCTGACCTCAAGTGATCCGCCCGCCTCGGCCTCCCAAAGTGCTGGGATTACGGACGTGAGCCACCATGCCTGGCTCATTTCCTCCTTTCTAAAGCAAAGATAATATGGGCTGAACTGTGTAACCCCCCAACCCAAACTAATATGTTGAAGTTCTAACACACAGTACCTCAGAATGTAAACCTATTTAGCGATAAAGTCTTTAAAGAGATAATTAAATTAAAATTAGGCCATTAGGGTGGGGCCCTCATCTAATATGACTGTTGCCCTTATGAGAGGAAGAAACCTTGAGCGGGGATGGGAAGGGTATGATGGCACAGAGGAAAGTGCATGTGAAGTGGCAGCAAGAGAGTGGCCATTTGCAAGCCATGGATTGAAGCATCAGAGGAAACCATCTCTGCTGATACCTTGAACGTGGACTTTCAGTCTCCAGAACTGTGAGTAAATAAATTTCTGTTGTTTAAGCCACCTAGTCTGTGGTATTTTATGACAGCCTTAGCAACTAATACACAGCACTTATCCTTGTAAGACTGCTGTGTGAATTAAATTAGTTAATTCATGTAAAATGCCTGAAATGTAGGCTGGCACATAGTTAACACTGTATGTTCATCAATGGAACAACAAAAAGGGACTATCTTTGCTGTATGCAGTTTAATTTAAGGCCAGCAGCTCATTGGTCCCTGACCTTACTTGGGACTGGGGGTCAGACCTCTTCCTGTTCTTTTTGCTAAAGACCTGAATAAAAGTAGACACAGATTCTTCCTTGAAGGGAATTCCAGATTCTAGGCCACCTGATAGGAATGTTGTAACTGGCTTTTTGGTGGGCACAGGAGGACATGTTCAGCCTTCCCCTCTGGAACATCATTTCACTAAGAAGTTTGCTTTTTTTACCCTATGGCTGTGAATCATTCCTATGAACATTGGTTTAACTTTATTATGCACCATCACAGCCTATCAGTTTGTAATAACACAAGTTTTATAGATTCTATATATCAGACACTGTTGAGTATAAAAACATAATGATTTTAGCACATGTGAATTAATTTTTTCTAACTCTAGTAGATTAAAAACGCACTGGGCTAAGCAAAAAATAGGTTAGAGTTTCACAGGAGAGTATTCGTTTTAATGAACGAATTTGCTTATTATTCAGGATCAAGTGATGGTGCATACTTTCAACTAACCTAAAGAAGTTGCTTTATATCTACTGCATTTAGTATTACTGATCCCCTATAATGATACTTTCTTTCTAGAGACCATTAAAATGATTGTTTCATACCTCTTAGAAGTCTGACAATGGGATGGCAAGTCCTATTCTGATTCGATGAGCATGAAATGGTTGCCTATCCTCAAATGTTCCTGGTTTTCAGCCTGCCAAAGTGTCTCGAGGATAGCACTGCTAATAGAACCCTCTATTTAATTGCAAATAGATAATCTGGGTTTCAAAGCACTTAATGATCATGAGGTGACTCATTATCACCTCAACTCTCTAAACATCAATTTCCTTAACTAAAAAATAGACATGATAATCCCCACCTTGCACAATTTAATGGCTTGTTTACAAAGGACAAAGTGCAGCTAAGCCTTGAACAATGCAGGAGTTGGGGTGCCAACCCCGGCACAGCAAAAAATTTACAAGTAACTTTTGACTCCCCCAAAACTTAGCTACAAATAGCCTATAGTTGACTGGAAGTCATACCAGTAATGCAAACAGTCAATTAACACATATTTTGTATGTTATATGTATCATATACTGTATTCTTACAATAAAATAAGCTAGAAAAAAAGAAAACGTTATTAAGAAGATCATAAGGAAGAGGAAATACATGTACAGTACTGAACTGTGCTTATCAATATCATAAATTTACATCACCTGTTTACAAAATGAATTGTCCCTCTGAAATGGCGGGCAACCACAAATGCAGATCTCAATCTATGGTACATATCAAGCAATTCAACTGTTTCTTGTAGTGGCATGACTTTTCTCTGCTTCTTGGGACCACTTTGTATGGGTCCCATGTTGTTATTCAAGGATTATAGTATTGCCCTAAACATGATGAAAAATACGCAAGAACTGAGAGAGATCACTTCTTACAGTGATACACAATTTACTGGAGAGACAACTGCTCATGCAGAGATGACTAGCATCTCATGGCCTTTTAGGCAGATACTCGCAACACTTGAGCTCATCGCAATAGCAACAGGAGGGGGCTAGAAATTATTACAGTAGTACAGTATATAGAGTTAATGTTAAATAGTCATGATTTAATACTGCATCTATACATTTGTTTACATTTCTCTTAACTGCAAATGATGCCATATATGATCTGTTTGTGTGCATATATTTTAAAACATATTTTAAATCTATTTTTTATAATAGATTTGTGTATATTTTATAGTAGTAGATGATAAAATACATGAGTATCTACATTATATTTTATGCATTCGTGATGTACATTTTCCTTAATTTTTTTTGATATTGATATGGACAGGAGACAGGGAAATACTGGGTAGAAGAGGGTGGTTCCCTGTCAAAGGCACTACCCTCAAGCCTGGATACCCGTGGCCTAAGTGAGAACTGGCATTCCTGTTTTTGTGCCCAAAAAGTTACCTTTTGACCCATCACGCCCCCTATCCTGTACCGATATAAACTTTGAACCCCAGGCTCCAGAAGCAGACGAGGGGAAGAGGAGAGAAGCAGACAAATGGCAGACCAGTGAGGCAGAGAACAAGACGGGGACAGTCAGAGAATCAGCCACTGTACGGCCAAACTCCAGGGCAATATCATCTTCCCACTCCATCCCTTGTCTAGCTCCCCATCCATCCTGCTGAGAGCCACCTCCATCATTCAATAAACCCCCCCACATTCATCCTTCTAGTCTGTGTGTGATCTGATTCTTCCAGGATGCTGGACAAGAGCCTGGGGTACAGAAAGCTGTCATGTTTACCCCCTGCCCTTGCAAAAGGCAGAGCCCACTGGTTAATCCTTAAGCCATCTGCAGGCAGCAAGGCTAAAAGAGTGCACTGTAACATGCACCCACTTGGGCTTTAGGAGTGGCAGACACCCATCCCTAGATGCTGCTGTGGGGCTGCAGTCCAAAAATGCTCGTCCTGGTTCCTGTACCTGCCCATCTGTGTGCTTCCCATCCCATAAGGGGTTTGAGCTTGCGGTGGCTGAACAGAGAACCACACCCCTGTCACACATCCTGCAAGCAGAGCCAGGGAACTCTCCCATTTCAATATTTCTGGGTTATGCATTTGGTCTGCAAGTTTTTTCAAATTGTCACAAATCTTCAAAAATTTTTCCAATATATATTTTGAAACAAAATTCTGTATGAGTGAACCCATACAGTTCAAGCCTGTGTTGTTCAAGGGTCAACTGTATAATCATAGATAACCACACACTATTCTTTGCTGAGCACTTATGTATTAAACTTTGTGAATAATTCTCTGCATGCATTACCTCATTTAAATTCTCAAAATGACACCATGAGGTAGATATCATTATTATACTATTACATATAATCCACATTTTACTTAGGAATAAACAAATGCATAAGTTGACTAACTTGCCCAAGGTTCACATAACTAGTGAATGGCACTGCACCAAGACTAGAATTCAATTCTTAGCTCAAGGGCCATCATCTCAAAGAGACTTTTCTTGACTCCTCTTTGTCTATTTGAGTTGATATAGTGGAATAACAGAGACTGGGTAATTAATAAAGCACAGAAATTTATTTCTTACAGTTCTGGAGGCTGGGAAGCCCAAAATTAAGGTGCCAGCAGATTTAGTGTCTGGTAAGGGCTTGCTCTCTGCTTCCAAGATGGTGCCATGTTTCTGCAACCTCTGGAGGGGATAAATGCTGTGTCTTCACGTGGCAGAAGGGACAGAAAGACAAAAAAGGGCCAGACAGCTCTCTGAAGCCACTTTTATATGGACATTAATCCCATTCATGAGGCTGGAGCCCTCAGGATTTAATCACTTCTCAAAAAGCCCTGCCTCTTAATACCACCACAATGAGAATTAAATTTCAATATGAATTTCAGAAAGACACAGACATTAAAACCATAGCATCCCCTAAACTAAAGTTGTCATTCTCTGTCATATCACTCATCATTTTGTCTTATTTTCTTTTTAACACTCATCATTATCAAAATTAGTATTCATTTGGTTTCTTGTTTGCCTCCCCTTCCCCAGTAGAATGTAAGCTCCATGAGAGCAGGGAGCTAGCCTGTGTTGTTTACCCTAAAGTCTAGAACAGTGTCTGGCACATAATGGGATAGAATATTTGTTGAATGAATTGATACTTGTCTGAACACAAAGCTTCTTGGTAAACTGGAAAATTCTGTCCCTTCTGCTATGTGAAGACACAGCATTCATCCCCTCCAGAGGATGCAGCAACATGGCACCACCTTGGAAGCAGAAAGCAAGCCCTTACCAGACACTAAATCTGCTGGCACCTTAATTTTGGACTTCCCAGCCTCCAAGCCTGCAAGATATTGCCATCATTGCCTGATCTTGGTTTGTTAATCATAGTGAGCTGGGCCTGGGAAAGCCCAGGGAATGTTTTAACTGAGGAAAGGGGTTTGATACACTTCCCTAGTGGGTAACCCAAGTAGGATTTTGCAGTCAGGGCAAGACAACTCCTAGGAGAAGTGTTGAAAATAAACATTCGACTATACTTCAATTTTCTGTATGACATGTGCAAAGCACCCTTAGAGGGCCCTTTATTCTGGTGAGAAACATGACTATGAAAGTAATCATAACCTCTGTGAACCTCAGAAATGGCTTAATTGAGAAAAAATACCTGCCCTGTAGAAATTCACAGAATCAACATAATCAACATGAAGACAAAATGAGATGATGCATATGAAAGTGCTTTGCAAAATTTAAAGTTCTGTGATACAAGTGTAAGGTGGTATTATTATGTTTATTTGATCAACTTAAATTTCCATTTCAATGGCTAACATATAATTTATTTACTGGAAAGTATTCCCATAATCATCTGGTTATGGAAACTCTCCAAATGTTTCCAGCTCTAAGTTTATTGCATCAAACTTAGAGCTAGAAACATTGGTCTTTGCAAAGGAGCAAGTGGAAGAGATTTAACTGTGGTGCAGGGAACCTGGGAAAATGAGGGGTAGGGTGTGTGGATAATCCAAGGTAGAAGGCAGACTTACTTCTCATTGTATAGTTATTTGTAGTGCTAGAGACTTTTAAAAATTAACCATTTATGGGCTTGGCTTTGCATTTACATGACAACAGAAGAGCAAAAGACAAATGGGACTGGGCACGGTGGCTCACGCCTGTAATCCCAGCACTTTGGGAGGCTGAGGCAGGTGGGTCACCTGAGGTCAGGAGTTCAAGACCAGCCTGGCCAACATGGTGAAACCCCGCCTCTACTAAAAATACAAAATTAGCCAGGCGTGGTGGTGCATGCCTGTAATCCCAGCTACTTGGGAGGCTGAGGCAGGAGAATTGCTTGAACCCGGGAGGCAGAGGTTGCAGTGAGCCGAGATCACGCCACTGCACTCTAGCCTGGGCAACAAGAGCAAAACTCTGTCTCAAGAAGAAAAAAAAAAGTAACAATTTACATTATATCTTAAGGGAAACAAATGAAACAAAGAAGCAATAAGATTAATTGTGAGCAGAAGCATGATGATAGATATCTAAGCCAAGAAGCTTTCAAATGAAAGGAGGTACCAACTCTTGCTCTCTTTTCTAGTCGGATTGGCCTGCTTGGTATCCCCTGAATGCTCCATGCTCATTTTTGCCCTGGTACTTATTAGTAGACACTTTGTAGTGCAGCTGCCCTGCTCATAATTTTCCTTTCTCTGAAAATGACCCTGGATATAAAGCAGTAATTCCTGTCTTCTGCTCATAGTTGATTGGTTTAGGAGTAGGTGTTAAAATTGAGAAGCACTGCCTAGAAAGAAGATTCATGAAATGCCCAAGATCTCTCTGTAGTTACCTTGGTTCCTGACCTCTTTGAGTTGGTTTTTCAAGTTTCAAGAAAGATTCTAATAACATTTCAACAAGCACAACCCTCTACTGCTCACTATTTAAGACAGCTGTAGGTGAGTGAGAATGAGATGTAGTATTTTTTAAGTCCCCCAGGTGATCCCAATATGCACTCAAGGCTGAGAACCGTTACTCTACCCCAATGATACACAAACTGTAATGTACATATGACTTACATAAAGATCTTATAAAAATGCAGATTCTCATTCAGTAGGTCTGCGGTGGGGCCCAAGATGCTTCATTTCCAACAATTTCCCAGATGATGTTGATTCCACTGATGTAGAGATCACATCAGAGCAGCAAAGCTCTGTGTGGTTTCTGTTGCTTGAAACCAAAAGAACCTTGATTAAATACAGTACCTTTTCTCAGGTTGCAACCCTATCTTGTAAGGCTCTACCCACTTTATCTATTTGGATCTTACTCATCATTCAAGAGTCGATTATAATCTCATTTCCTTTATGAAGTCTTCCTTAAGTCATTGCAACCCTCTCTTTCCTTGTTGATTGCCCATGGTACATATAGCCTCCATTACATAATAAGTCATTTAATTGTCTTGGATAGAGTTCACTTACAAATGTTGGTAAATGTACAATTATTTCCTGTGTAAATCTCATCTCTTCCCAAGGAGTCCGTGTTTATATTTCTTGAAGTTTTATATATATATGTATGTGTGTGTGTGTGCATATATATATATATATATATATATATATTCTCTAATATATATATTAAAGATTAAAAAAAGATTTTTAAAAGTTTCCAGCTGTGGATTCATTTCTGCATGTTGGGTACAAATAATACCTGAAAATTAAGTGATGGCCATTTCATTTTACAGATAATTGGGGAATCTTCTCTTTTATGTATGTGTGTGTGTGTGTGTGTGTGTATATATATATATATATATATATATATATATATCTTTAATCTACCATGACCTCCAATCCAGTAGTGGGAACATGGCAGGTATTTAATTAATACTTGTTGAATTAAAGGCATATGGAAAAGGAAAGTGTGACTACCACCATTACCTAGGATATGTAAAGCTAAAAACAAACAAAAAAGTAGAAGAGGTCACAAAACAGATTGAAAGAATGACCTTACATGGCTTATGGTCATGGGCTCAGGAGGATAGATATATTTGCAGAGAGTTTTGGCTAGGGTGGGGTTCATGGCCTAGGGAAAAAAAGTGGATCTGAAATGCTTACACGCAGGTCAAGCGTGCAGAGCCCCACTGCCTCGTATAGCCCAGATGCCTTTTGGCACAGGTACTAACCAGACATTCCCCTGGACTCGGTGGGTTTGTTTCAAACCAAAGAAAGAAAAGAAGAGAAATGAACACTAGAGCTAAAAAGCTACTCCAGAGATCATCTTTTATCCAGCCTTCTCATTTTAAGGATAAGGAAGCTGAGGCTCAGAACTTACCATGTTACAGATGAACAAATCTTTTTTTTTTTTGAGACAGAGTCTTGCTCTGTTGCCCAGGCTGGAATGCAGTGGCACAATCTCGACTCACTGCAACCTCCACCCCTGGGTTTAAGCAATTCTCTTGCCTCAGCCTCCCAAGTACTGGGCTTATAGGTGTGTTCCACCACAACTGCCTAATTTTTGTAATTTTAGTAGAGACAGGGTTTTGTCATGTTGGCCAGGCTGGTCTTGAACTCCTGACCTCAGGTGATCCACCTGCCTCGGCCTCCCAGTGTTGGGATTACAGGCGTTAGCCACTGTGCCAGGCCAAGATGAACAAATCTTGGCCCAGAACGCAGGTCTCTAATTAGTAGGACAATGTTGCTCCATGCAATAATGGAACTTGTGAGAATTTTTAATCTTCATAGAAATCCCCAGTCTCATAGTATCTTTTGTTACTTTTGTCAGGGCTGGGGGATTCTGATATCTTAATGAAAGAGCTGTGAAATGGCAGAGGTAGTCAGGCCTTGCAATATGTGGGGAAGAGAGTGCAGCATGAATGAATGTAGCTTGCTGAATACTGCCTTCTTTTTTTTTTTTTCACTACAAAATAATTTATTCGAACACACAGCTACAGTGGGAGACTCCTGTGTACAAGCACATTGACGCTGCTGACCACCCTCAACTAGGGGACCCTTTTCTTCCCCCTTGCTGTGCCTTCTTAACTCCAGTCCTCTTTTTAGTCTCAGTGAGCCCCGTTACCTTAAATGGATTCAATTGAACATAATTCCCTTGCTAGGCACTCATTTTGGTATGAGTAGAGTATAGATTTTCTCAAGTATGAAAGATTGAAAAAATGAAAAATTAAATGAGAAAATTCCTCTTGAATGATGAGGCCTCTCCTTCTGGAGACCACCAGTCCTTCACCACTCTCTTTCTAGTGTGCTGCTGAGTGGGTTGACCAACTAATATGGGGTCCTAATGCCTTCATGCTACTTCATGATTCAAAGTAATCTCAGAGCAACTGGGTCCACTTCCTTGTGATGCAGATATACAAAGCCCTTTTAGAAAGTCTATGTATTGTTAAGAGAAAGCAGAAGGGAAAAAAAAGTTTCCAGCTGTGGATTCAAATTCATTTCTCATGTTGGGTAGAAAAAATACCTGAAAATTGAGTTGGCCATTTTGTTTCAGAGAGAATTGGGGAATCTTCTTTTTGAAGCTTTACTGTATTCTGCTTTAGCAGAAAAAATAAAAGGATGAGAAATTGAGCAGAAGGACTCAAAGAGAAATAAAATTTTGATTTTTCAAATAGACACGGGCCAAAGATAAAAGGCCAACTAGCTTTCTTTTCCTATACTTCAGTTTGTCTTGTTCTCATATTAACCCATGTATTGTTGTGTTTAGCTTAACCCCACAATAAGTAGCACCAATGTTTACCAACAAATCAATACTTTTTGTGGAAAAACAAGAGTCATTAGGGTGAGCTAGAATAAGGGTGGTAGCTGATTCAATTTCCCTAAAAATCTGACTCAGTTTCTTTATTTTAAAAAAAGACAGGGAAAAAAGATTTCGTGTGTGCTAGTGTGAACAATTTTGCTATAGTGTACCACTACTTAGAAAAGATGGCAACTCAATGTTTAAAACCCAAATAAATGTTATAGTCTGCCTTTATAAAACACAACCAAAGAAAAATAAACAAAAACACTTGCTGTCCTCTAGAATAGTTATTTATGTAGTAAACACACTTTTGCCACAACAGGGCACATTAGAGAATAATTAAACTCACTGGGTCATCTCCATTTTGAAGCCACCTTGATTTAACACTGCACAGGGAAGTAATTAGATGAATTTGAAACCATAGTCTTAGGGGAGAAAAATAGCCCAGAATGTATTCCAAGGAGGGATTGTAGGCAGCCTCAGCTACCATTATTATACAGAAGATTGTAAAAAATAAAAGTGGAGAACAGGTTGTAGAGTACTTTGTACTCAGTAGCTTCCAGCCTGGCTTTTTAGCGTCTAATGTCTATGCTTGCAAGTTCTGGGAATTCTCTACCCTCAGAATCGGGAAGTGCTTTTCAGAGAGCCAAATTCTAAGTTTCCACAGCTGAATCTCTAAGAGAGATTGTAAACCTGGCTTGATAGGGCATTGATTTTAATCTTTTTTTTTTTTATTACCTTTCCCTTCAGTATCCCCTATGTCCACACTCCTAACTCAAGTTTAGAATGTGTAAGTGGAAGGATAAAATAAGTGGAAAGTTCACATTTGGAAATAAGCAAAACTCTAAATGTGTGGGGATAGTAACAGTACAGTGGTTAAGAGTTCAGGTCCTGAATTCAAATAGACCTGGGTTTGTGTCCCTGATCTACTGTGTGCCACTTGGATTTATCTCCTACTTCAGCTCCCCATTTAGCTCCTCTCTAAGTGTCATGGAGAGCAGGGGGTAGGGTATAAGTAAATACTAAAATCACCTTTTTACTAAAAACTCTAACATATTGGCACAGAACATGACATTCCTAGCTTAAGCAGGTGGGAACAAGAAGCAGAGATATAGGCCATTGCCATTAAGTGACCTCGTATGTACTTGTAGTATCTGAGACATGGGAAAATTTGAATATGGGAAACTTTTCTTTCTAGCTTTCTCTCCTCCTTGAGGGCAGGGGCTATGTCAAATCACCCTTTATAGGCTTGGTAGTGCCTTGCTACAGTGCCTGGCATTCAACAAGGGAATGAATGAAGCACAGTGTATGCGGCAGAAAGACATGATTTCCCAGGAGACAGAATTGGGCTGTGTTCCCTGTGTTCTCCAAGACATAATAACTGAGGAGTGTGGGGCGGAGTGCCGCTGTGGAAATACTACAGGGGTCAAAGCAGGTTGAACCCGGAGACAAAAATGCAGTTGCACGTGGCACTGCCTATTAACATACGTGCTCATGATTAAAGTAAACATGGGACAAAGTTCAATATGTCCTAGGGAACATGAGAAAAAAACATGCACCTTCTCAGGGAGCCACTGTCACCTTGGGTTCTCTGGAGCATTCTTTTTTTTTTTTTTTTTCATTTGCCCCACTCTTCCCTCCTGGTCAATTTTCCTCAAGCCTCTGGAAGGCATTTCTATTTGTACCGCTTCTTTGGCATGAGGAGAATGGCTTGGTGACCTGTGGATCTCTCCCTGACCCAGAGCCTCTGGACTCCTCTGAGGAGGATAATTATGTTTCAATGGGCAGGTGCTGAAGCAATGTTGGCATGCCAAGATTGAATCAGCAAGAACAGCTATCAAGGATGGGACTGTGCAGGAAAAGCAGGATTTTTTTTTATGGTTCTATGCACCTGCTAGCTGCCACTTATTCACCTGCTCATTGGTGTGTTGGCTGGATTTTTTTTTTTTTTTTAATGAGACTTTCCCTAGGTGTATTTGGCAAATGATGTGTTGAAGCTATTTATTCTCTGCCTCCCATGGACCCTCAGGCTCACCTCAAATCATCCAGGCCTTGGCTGTTTTCCCCTTATTTCTTATTTCTTGCCACCTGGTGTCCTGTCAGGCCAATTTTTGGCTGCATTGGTTTTTGTCTGCTGAGTTGTGCTTGGCAGAATTACCTCTCCCAGAACAGCTATGCACTAGAGATAGTTACATGGCCATTTGGGCAATGGGCTGTAGGGGCCATAGCTTGGTCCTGAGTGGAATGCACAGGCAGTGAGGGCACAAAGCTCAAGTGCTGCAGTGTATGGCTGGGACAGTCTTCGGCATTGGCAGGCCTGCAAAAGTGGCCCCCCAACTCCATCCCCCATACCCTACACACAGGCTATGTCATGTACAGGTTGGGAATGTGGGTTCTGGTATCAGACTATTTGACCTCAAATTCTAATTCTGCCTCTTATTAACTCAATGACCTTGAATGAGTCACTTGACATCCCCCAGCCTGAGTTTCCCTGTTGAAAATATGGAAGGAAAATATAAGAGTGACTACCCCCTAGACTGTTGTGGGCATTACACTGGATAATCCACGTAAAGCACTTGGCAGAGTGCCTGGCAAATAAGAAGTGCTCTACAAATGTCAACCCTTATTTTAAAATTCATGGAAGTGTATTTAGACTTTGGGGATTTCATTTCTGCTTCAAATTTGTGCTTCCCCAGTTGGTTTTCTTGGCACAGGTCTCTGGGGAATGGAGCATTTTAGGCAGAGATATGGGAGAAGTGAGGCAAAACTACTGGAACCTACTCTGAGGCCTGAAGTAAAACCTTCCAAGCTGGAGGCGTAACGCTGGGGGATTAGGCTGCTTACAAGCTAGGAAATGATGGTCTCTGGGCTCTGCCAGAATCTCCTTTAGGCAGAGTACTCTGTTCTGCCTAAGGCCTCCCCTGGCTGTTAAAGCATCTGCTTAGACTGTATTTGTTTGTATAACTGCCAGATCCTGGGGCACTCAGATGCTTATGTTCATCTTGAAGCTGTTTTAGTATTTACTAGCTTAAAAAAAATCCTTGGAATTTAAATATGAAAACCAGCAGTAAAACAAGGGTAATGATCCAAAATCAGGCATGCAAAATCAGGAAGCATCAAACTTATAACTATGTACCAAAACAAATATTTATAAGTTAAGGTAGCAATAGAAAATGCTACAGAATGAGCCAATTAATGTTGCCATGGTTAACAAATTGTAATTTTGACATATCTCTAGGATAGCTTTATCAGTAATATCAGTATTATGCTTTTAAATGTTGAGTTTTATGGGTAATGGGTTAATGTATCATTACTTCCTTTCTTGGGGTAAATCAGAAGCTCTCCCTTACTTTGGTCATTGTTTCGGAAAAACTTACTAAGAATGGATGTTATGAGTAGGATGAATAAATTAATGCCTTTACAGTATAAAGCTTTACTTTTGGCCAGGAGCGGTGGCTCACGGCTGTAATCCCAGAACTTTGGGAGGCCAAGGCGGGTGGATCACAAGGTCAAGAGATTGAGACCATCCTGGCCAACATTGCAAAACCCTGTTTCTACTAAAAATACAAAAATTAGCCAGGCGTGGTGGCGGGTGCCTGTAATCCCAGCTACTTGGGAGACAGAGGCAGGCGAATCTCTTGAACCTGGGAGGCAGAGGTTGCAGTGAGCCGAGATCATACCACTGCACTCCAGCCTGGCAACAGAGTGAGACTCCATCTCAAAAAAAAAAAAAAAAAAAAATCTTTACTTTCAGTACTCAATGATCTATAAGTTTTTGGGATTCAAAGATCTTTTCTGGATCTCCTTATTTATTTATTTTTGGTACAGGGTCTTGCTCTGTTGCCCAGGCTGAAGTGCAGTAGCAAGATCCTATGGTAACTCACTGCAACCTTGAACTCCTGGGCTCCAGTGATCCTCCTGCATCAACCATCTGAGTAGTGGGGACTGCAGGCTGTGTGCCACCATGCCTAGCTAATTTTCTAATTTTTTGTAGAGATAGGGTCTTGCTTTGTTTCCTGGGCTTGTCTTAAACTCCTGGCCTCAAGCAATCCTCCTGCCCTGGCCTTCCAAAGTGCTGAGATTTCAGGCATGAGCCACTGAGTCCAACCCAGATCTCTTTCAGATACCTAAGAAACCCTAGAGAATGTTTTGCAATTTGCCAAGGAGTATGGAAAAAAAGAGCTCATCATTTTGGCACCTGCTTTAATGGCAGAGGTGACACTGATGAATCCCTAAGCTGCATAGGTCTTTGAGATGGAGGCAGGTTCTAAGGTAGAATGGCCTGATGAACAGTGAGCAGACCGTTGGTATGCCAAACCTAGAGCCTTCTTAGGAAGTCCTGAGTGGCTCCAGATGGCTCCCAGGAGGTCATGTTATTTTCAGGATCTCAGATAATGCAATTACTATCATTGGAAAGAAATGTTCAAGAATGTTAGACATCTAGAGATAATCAGAATTTATTGAAATGGATTTAGAAATTAAACAACATGTTCCTAGATGGTACATAACAGAGAGGCCTTGGCCCTTGAATCTTATAGGCCTTGGGCCCACTGTTTATCCAACCTGCCCTCAGAAAGTAGGCTAAACTCAGGGAATATCCACCTCTATCATCAGTCATTATGTCTGTGCTGATCTCCAGTGGTTGCTACATAGCCTTTAGCCAAGACCTGTTTAGAATCACCCCATTTACAAGAAGGTAATCTCAAGTTTTACTATCACTTTAACTCTAAATTTTGACCTTAGGGTTACCCCAGAAACTTCAGAGAAGCCATGAGTTTTAAATATCATCCGGTCTAAATCTTTTTATTTTATAGATGGAGAAATGCAGCAAAGAGGAGAGTGATTTGCTCACGGTCACATAGCTAGAACACAGAAGGGCCTTCACTAGAATCCAGGTACCCTAACTCCCTATTTAATATTCTCTGAAGTCCCCTTAAAAATAAGGTTTTGCAGCCTCACCAGCCCAGACTGTTGCTTTGATTGTATGCAAACAAAGCATGGCTTTTTTTTTTTTAATTTTTTTAATTTTAATTTTTTTTTTCTTTTGAGACAGAGTCTCGCTCTGTCGCCCAGGCTGGAGTGCAGTGGCGCGATCTTGGCTCACTGCAAGCTCTGCCTCCTGGGTTCACGCCATTCTCCTGCCTCAGCCTCCCGAGTAGCTGGGATTACAGGCAAATCCACCACACGCGGCTAATTTTTTGTATTTTTAGTAGAGATGGGGTTTCATCGTGTTAGCCAGGATGGTCTCGATCTCCTGACCTTGTGATCCGCCCACCTCGGCCTCCCAGAAAGCATGTTTTAATGGTTTTGAGGAATTATAGAGAGTACTAAACACATTTTAGGATGGAAATGAAGTCTAGAGTATTTTGATAAAGTCGCCACTTTGTTTTTCCACTAAGGATTTGCCTCTGCAACTCTCTCAAGGAGTTAAAATTCTCTACAGTTGTCAGTAATTGTGTGTGTGCATAAATAGGCAGTACAATTCAATAGAGGAGTTAAATATGTGATTAAGAGATATCTTGCAATCAGTGGGAAACTGTTGTAGCTTAGCACAAAGAAGGCCGTTTTTTGTTGTTGTTGGGAGAGACTTGTTTTCTTTTAGTCTTTTGATGCTTTATTAATTGTGATAAGGATGGTTAAAAATGATATTTTCCTCATAGGAATAGCATAGTCTTAGAAAATTTCAGCTTGCTCAACACTCAAAGAGTTTAAGAATATTATGTATGACATTGAGATCCACATTTTGTTCTTATCCTAACCTTGACATGAGTTCTGAGTCTAGTAATTTCTTGTTCACTGTGATGTTACCAAAATATGACTCTAGAAAAATTTCAAAAACTATATGCCTTGTGAAAAAAAGGAAAGCTAATAGAAAGTAGGCCCTTAGAAAATGAGGCAATTATTAAGCCAGGCATGGCAGAGCATGGTTCTCTTACCCAAGTCTAGGACTTGTAAAAACACAGATGGCCGGGCATGGTGACTCACATCTGCAATCCCAGCATTTTGGGAGGCCGAGGCGGGTAGATCTCCTGAGGTCAGGAGTTTGAGACCAGCCTGGCCAATATGGTGAAACCCCATCTCTACTAAAAATACAAAAATTAGCTGGGTGTGGTGGCAGGTGCCTGTAATCCCAGCTACGTGGGAGGCTGAGGCAGGAGAATCACTTGAACTAGGGAGGTGGAGGTTGCAGTGAGTCGAGATGGTGCCGTTGCACTTTAGCCTAGGTGACAAGAGCGAGACTTCATTGCCGGAAAAAAACAAAACAGAACAAAAAAACCAAACACAGGTTACTGGGCCCCTCCCTGAGAGCTTCTTTTTTTTTTTTTTTTAATTTTCTTAAACATCATTTATTTATTCATTTTAATCCACAAATAAAAATTGTTTATATTTATCATGAACAACATGTTTTGAAATATGTATACATTGTGGAATGGCTAAATTGAGCTAATTAACATACGCATTACTTCACATACTTATCACTTTTTTGTCACTTAAAATCTTCTCTCTGATCAATTTTCAAGTATACTATACATTGTTATTAACTATAGTCACCACATTGTACAAAAGATTTCTTGAACTATTTCTCCAATCTAACTGAAATTTTGTATCCTTTAACAAACATCTCTCCCGCCTTCCACTCAAAGCTCTAGTAACCACTACTTTGATGAATTCAACTTTTTTAGATTCTACATATAGGTGAGATCACGCAGTATTTGTCTTTCTTTGCTTTACTTATGTCACTTAACACAGTGCCCTCCAGGTTCATCCATGTTGTTGCAAATGACAGAACTTTCTTTTTTTAAGGCTGAATGGTACTCCATTTTGTATCTATACCACATTTTCTTTATCCATCTGTTGATAAACACTTAGGTTGATTTCATATTTTTACTATTGTGAATAGTGCTGCAATAAACATGAGAATGCAGATATCTCGTTGACATACTGATTTCATTTCCTTTGGATTTATACCCAGTAGTGGGATTGCTGGATCACATATAGTAGTTCTAGTTTTAGTTTTTTTGCAGAATTTTCATACTGTTCTCCATAATGGCTGTACTAATTTTCATTCCCATCAATAGTGTAGAAGGGTTTCCCTTGCTTCATATCCTTTCCAGCATTTATCTTTCATCTTTTTGATAAAAGTCATTTAACAGAATAGGTGAGATGATATCTCATTGTGGTTTTAATTTTCATTTCTCTAAGAAATACAAGGCATCCAAGTAGGAAAAGAAGAAGTCAAGCTCTTTCTCTTCACAGATGATATGATCCTATCCCTAGAAAACCCTAAAGACTCTGCCAAAAGGCTCCTGGAACTGATAAATGACTTCAGTAAAGTTTAAGATACAAAATCAATGTACAAAAATCAGTAGCACTTCTACACAATAGTAAGGTTCAAGCTGAGAGCCAAATCAAGAATGCAATCCCATTTACAATAGCCACACACACACACACACACACAAAAAAAAAAAAAATACCTAGAAATACATCTAACCAAGGAGGTGAAAGATCTTTACAAGGAGAACTACAAAACACTGCTAAAAGAAATCACAGATGACACAAACAAATGGAAAAACATTCCATGCTCATGTAAACTACTGTCATTTTAAACAGAAGTAGAAAAATCTTTTTTTTTTTTGTCAGAGTCTTGCTCTGTCAGGCCTAGGCTGGAGTGCAGTGGCGTGATCTCTGCTCACTGCAACCTCTGCCTCCTGGGTTCAAGCAATTCTCCCGCCTCAGTCTCCCAAGTAGCTGGGATTACAGGCGCCCGCCACCATGCGTGGCTAATTTTCTGTATTTTTTTAGTAGAGACAGGTTTTTACCATATTGGTCAGGTCTTGAACTCCCGACCTCAGGTGATCTGCCCACCTTGGCCTCCCAAAGTGCTGAGATTACAGGCATGAGCCACTGTGCCTGGCAAAAAAAAAAAAAAAAAATTAAATTTCACATGTAACCAAAAAAAGGGCCCAAATAGCCAAAGCAATCATAAGTAAAAAGAACAAAGCTGGAGGCATCAATCACATTACCCAACTCAAACTATACTATAAGGCTACAGTAACCAAAAGAGCATGGTACTGGTACAAAAACAGACACATAGACCAATGGAGCAGAATAGAGAGCCCAGAAATAAAGCCATGAACCTACAGTCATCTGCTCTTTGACAAATTGAAAAAAAAAAAGGAATGGGGAAAGGACTCCCTATTCAATAAATGATGCTGGGATATCTGGTTAGCCATATGCAGAATAAAACTGAACCCCTACTTTTCACCATATACAAAAATGATCTCAAGATGTATTACAGATTTAAATGTAAGACCTCAAACTATAAGAATCCTAGAAAAACACCTAGGAAACACCACTCTGGACTTGATAAAGAATTTATAACTAAGTCCTCAAAAGTAATTGCAACAAAACCAAAGATTGACAAGTGGTACCTAATTAAACTAAAGATCCTCTACGTAGCAAAAGAAACTATCAACAGAGTAAATAGACAACCTACAGAATAGGAGAAAATATTTGTAAACTATGCATCTGATGAGGGTCTAATATCTAGAATCTATAAGAAACTTGAACAATTCAAAAAGCAAAAAACAAATAACCCTATTAAAAAATGAGCAAAGGACATGAACAGACACTTCTCAAGAGAAGGCATACAAGCAGCCAACAAACTAATGAAGAAATGCTCCACATCACTACTCATCAGAGAAATTCAAATCCAAACCATAATGAGATACCATTTCACACCAGTCAGCATGGCTGTTATTAAAAAGTTAAAAAACAACAGATGCTGGCGAGGCTGCAGAGAAAAGGGAATGCTTATACACTGCTGGTGGGAATGTAAATTAGTTCAGCCCCTGTGGAAAGCAGTTTGGAGATTTCTCAAAGAACTTAAAACAGAGCTATCAGTCAACCCAGCAACCCCATTACTGGGTATATACCCAAAGGAAAATACATTATTCTATCGAAAAGACACATGCACTCATCTGTTCATTGCAGCACTATTCACAATAGCAAAGACATGGAATCAACCTAGGTGTCCATCAATGGTGGATTGGAGAACGAAAATATGGTGCATATACACCATGGAATACTACACAGCTATAAAAATATAAAAGCCTGTTCTTTGCAGTAACATGGATGCAGCTGGAGGTCATTATCCTAAGCAAATGAATGCAGGAACAGAAAACCAAATACTGCATGTTCTCACTTATAAGTGGTATAAGTGGGAGCTAAACATTGGATACTGATGGACATAAAGATGAGAACAATAGACACTGGGGACTACTAGAAATAGGAAGGAGGGAGGAGGGCAAGGGTTGAAAAACAATTGGGTACCATGTTCAGTACCTGGGTGACAGGATCATTCATACCCTAAATCTTAGCATCACACACTACACCCAGGTAACAAACCTGTATATGTATCCCCTAAATCTAAAATAGAAGTTGAAAAAAATTTTCATTTCTCTGGTGATTAGTGATGTTGAACATTTTTTCATATACCTGTTGGGCATTTGTATGACTTCTTTTGAGAAATATCTCTTCAAATCCTTTTCCATTTTTTAATTGGGTTGTTTTCTTATTATTAATGCAGTTTCAGATCTAACAAGTTCCCAGGTGACGCTGATGCTGCTGGTCCAAAGACCACACTTTGAGAACCACTAATGTAGTTCATTCAAAAAAAAAAAAAAAGTAAAGAGTACTTACTATTTACAGAGTACCTTGAGAATCGCACTGTGCTGAGAGAGCTGATGGAGGTACATGGTCCAAAGTCAAAGCAACAGGATCCCTGTGTGCCATGAACACGGGCCCATGACCTAGACCATGAACTGAAGTAGTGAGTTATGAGCAGGGATCACATTTTGAGGACCTCTGGTATAGAGAGTGCAGAGGCAAAGTGTTCCTCAGACATAGGTAAGGGACCAGATGACTGCAATACAGTGTAATAATAAGGTGATGCTTTGGGTATATACTTTAGGCAGAGACTTTCATGCCATCATACTTTCATGATATTATAAAGATAGTATGAAAGAAATAGCTAATATTTTGAGTACTTTCTTTTTATCATAGTATATATCTTGATAGTATGTTAAGTATTTTACATGGATAAACCCATCCACTCCTCACAGCAATCCTGAGGTAGGCACTATTATTATCGTTATTTTACAGATGAAGAGACTGAGACCCAGAAAAGTTAAGTGACTTGTTCAGGGTCATATATCTAGTAAGTAGCAGAGGTAGGCTTAGAATTCAAATCCAGGTCTGTGCCCTTAGCCACTATACTACATTCTCAGAAGAAAAGTGTGATTAACTTTCATGGGTTGAGAGAGAGAGAGAGAGAGAGAAAGGGAGAGAGAGAGAAAGGTGAGCAGGGAAGGGCTTCTAAAGATGACATCTAAGGTAGGTATTAATGAAAACATAGAAAATGGAAAACTGTGTTAGAGAAGGGAGAGGATCATTCCAGATATAGATGGCAATACACTGAATATGTGCTCTTCCATTTGGGTTAGCAAGTGGAGAAGATAAGGGTGGAGATAATAGGGAAGAAAAAAATAAAAATTTCAAAGTTCTAGTGCAGCCTGGCAGAAAGAGGAGTTCCTGGGTGCCAAAGAGAACAGCACGAAGGCACCTGGGCGGGAGGGTCAAGGCATTACAGAGACGGAAGGCAGTGGCAGATTTGAGGAGTCACCTGCATAATCTCTGGAGATAGACAGTTAATTTGCATGTCTGCCACTTACAAGCTATGGGGCTTCGGCCAATTTCTCCAAGCCCTTTGGGTGTTAATTTCTTCATCTGTAATTAGGTACTGATCACAGTACCTTCTTCGGAGAATTGTTGGGATGCTTAAATGAGACAATACACATAAAAGAATATGAACAGTACCTGGCATATAGTAAATGCTTAATAAATTATATTTGTTTTACTTTTGCAAAATAGTAATTCCTAATTTAGCATATGCTAAACATCATAGGAGCCTGGTGACTCTCAAAGTGTGGTCACCCAGTAGCACTGGCATCATCTGGTAAGTTGTTAGAAATGCACATATGCACATTCTAGAGATCCACCTCAGTCCTGGTGAACCAATAAGCCTGGGAGTGGGACCCAGCAGTCTGTTTTAGCAAGCTCCTCCAGATTATCTGATGTGTGAGAAAGTTTGAGAACCATTATTCTAAGCATTTCACATGAATCAAATTCATTTATTCCTCATAACAACCCCTTGTGAGTGAGGTACTATTATCATCTCTATTTTACAGATGAGGCACAGAAAGGTAAAGTCCAGGATCACCCAGCTAGTAACTAGTGGAAACAGGATTTGTACCCCATTTAAATTTTTTTTTTAATTTCAAAAATCTTTTAGCACGAACCTTTCTGTGTTTCTTTTCACTTCCTTTTGGTTTCAGATCATATCATAGCCTTTTCCCTTCTATCCTGATGTTTTTGGTATCCTGCACGAAAAAGAACCAGCTATGGCTTTCTCTACACCCTTTTTGACCCATTGCTCTCTAACACCCATAATGCTTTGCATGGGGCTGGTAATAGACGAAAAGTCAGGTATTGTTTAGGCCGCTCCACTTGAATGATTCTGTGTATTGCCTGCTGAGATGGAGAAGTCTGATGTAGAAAACACCATTGTCAGCAGTGTCAACTTAGATTAAAAAGGACAGTGACTGTTTGGGGAACCATTAGACAAATTGTTTTGACTCGCTCTAACAATTTAAATATCTTTCATTTTATTTTGCATATAAAAAGATTTGAATTTCATGACTTGACCACACCACCAAATCATCTCTGGGCAGAAAGTGCAATCCTGATTGACCTTAAGTGATCAGGCTTTTTTATCAATATGCTCCTAATCAGCAGGCATATTAAGGTCTGGATAGCATGAACTCTGCAGTCTGAAATTGAAATGGTGCCTAGTCTCTTTTCTTTAGTAGGCATACCTAACTTTCTTTATTTCTTAGCTACATTGATGGCATGTTTTCAGGAATGGCTGGTATATCCTTAAAAAAACCCAGGGCCGGGCGCGGTGGCTCACGCCTGTAATCCCAGCACTTTGGGAGGCCGAGGAGGGCGGATCACGAGATCAGGAGATCGAAACCATCCTGGCTAACACGGTGAAACTCCGTCTCTACTAAAAATACAAAAAATTAGCCGGGCACAGTGGCGGGCGCCTGTAGTCCCAGCTACTCGGGAGGCTGAGGCAGGAGAATGGCGCGAACCCGGCAGGCGGAGCTTGCGGAGAGCCGAGATGGCGCCACTGCACTCCAACCTGGGCGACAGAGCGAGACTCGGTCTCAAAAACAAAACAAAACAAAAACCCAGAACAGAACATGCACTTATGCACTTTGGGCCAGATCTGAAAGATTCTGATAATTCTAACCCCTACTAAAATCTAGTTCTTCCTGAAGAATTAGAACAAATACTCCACTAACTTTGGCTCTTAAATACTCAGATTGTAACCATGCCTGATCTCTATACAAAGGGATAAGGATCTTATTGCTTTGGAAGACCTAATAATATTCAGGGAATGGATATTTGGTAAGATTTCTTGCTGATTATGACCTTTTTGGAGGGAAATCTAAATGATATAGATGTATAGGAAGGTATCTTATATTGTCATATGAAGCAAAAGAACTACAAGGAATGATGGGGATTATAATTACAAGAAAACAGTTCTCAAAAGGCCACGTTATATTCTAAAATGTATTTTTACCTTAAAAATGTCAGAATATCCTACAAGCTCTCTCATGACCGATTTATTTTTAGACAGGGGTGTGGTAGTGATTAGGTCTTGTCATAAATAATTTTTTTTTATTAAGGTGAAATTCATGTAACATAAAATTAATCATTTTAAAGTGAATATTTCAGTGTCATTTAGTACATTCCAATTCAACCACGACCTCTATCTAGTTGTGAAATATTTTCATTACTCCCCAAAATAAATCTCATATTCATTAAGCAGTTCTTCCCCATTACCCCATCCCCCAACCCCTGACAACACCAGTCTGTTTTCTATCGCTTATGGATTTACTTATTCTGGATATTTTACATAAATTGAGTAATACGATATGTGACCTTTTGTGTCTGGCTTCTTTTACTTAGTACATTTTCAGGGTTTAACGACATCATAGCATGTATCAGTACTTTATTCTTTTTATGGCTAAATAATATTCCATTGTATGTATATATCAGAATTTGTTTATCCATTCTTCAGTTGATGGACACTTGGGTTGTTTTCACCTTTTGGCTATTGTGAATAACGCTGCTATAAATATGTGTGCATATGTGAGTATTTGTTTTCAATTATTTGGGGTATAAACCTAGAAGTGGAATTGTTGGGTCATGTGGTAATTCTATATTTAATTTATTGAGGAACCTCAGTAGCTGAACCATTTTACATTCTCACCAGTAATATATGAGGGTTCCAATTTATCCACATCCTTACCAACACTTGTTATTTTCCACTTTCGTTTTTGTTATTAAATTCTAGCCATCCTAGTGGGTGTGAAGTGGTATCTCATTGTGGTTTTGACTTGCATTTCCCTAAGGACTAATGATGTTGAGCATCTTTCATATGTTTATTGGACATTTTTATATCCTCTTTAAAGTAATATCTATTCAAATCATTTGCCCATTTTTAAGCTGGGTTGTTTGGTTTTTTTGTTGTTGAGTTTTAAGAGTTTTTTACATATTCTAGATACTAGATCTTTATCAGATATATGATTTGCAAATATTTTCTCTCATATAAATTGTCTTTTGTCATAAATAATTTGATTTTCTTCTCTTTGTCATAAATAATTCGATTTTCCTCTTTTCAGTTACATTATACAACTGCACTTCTCCGTCACCCCTGCATGAGAGAAGTAGGGACATGCATCACTTTTAGGCGGAAGCTCTGAAAACTAGCATGCTATTTGATTTAGGTGATCCCAAGTTAATTCCCCAGCCATGGGTAATACTCCAGATCATAGCTGCTCTGTCAGCTTGCATCTTAGAATGAGGATGTCATGTAGCAAAGTCTACCAGTTGACTCAAGATGAACATGTATCACAAAAAACAAACTTTTGTTGTTTTAAGCCATGGAGGTTTATTGTTGTTACTGCAATGCAATTTAGCTTTTCCTGCCTAATTCAAAGGGTCAAGTAAATCACTAACACGATTATCATAGGGAGTAGTTACTGCATTGCACAGTGTTTCCTACAAATGAAATCATAGGGAAGGAAAGTTGTGAATTGCACACTAACTGGGCAAACTGCTTTTGTTCTTCCTCTTCTCCTGAGTTTTTATACAATAACTGGTGTTAGTTTTTAGGAACCATAAATCTGATTAGGATATGGGTTGAGCAACCTTTATTTAAAATGCTTGGGACCAGAAGTGTTTTAGATTTCAGATTTTTTTTGAATATTTGCATATGTGTAATGAAATGTCTTGGGGATGGGACCCAAGTCTAAATATGAAATTGATTTATGTTTCATATATACCTTATGTACATAGCTTGAAGGTAATTTTATAAAATATTTGAAATAATTTTGTGCATGAAACAAAGTTTGTGTCAGGTATTTATATGTGGAATTTTCCACTTGTGGCATCACATTGGCACTCAAAAAGTTTCAGATTGGAGCATTTCAGATTTCAGATTTTCAGATTAGGATTGCTCAACCTGTATTATCTTGCTCAAAGTCCTTTTGTGACTTCTAATTGCCCCAAAATCCTTAACATGGTTCAAAATCTTTAACACAATCAACAAAGCCCTTCATGACATCACCCTTGCCTACCTCTTCAGTATAATCTCATGTCATTCTTGCTTTCTGTTTCTTGGATTATTTTGGTAAATACATATTTTCCTAGAAAATCATCCATTCCATCTAAAATTCAGTTGTTTTCCACATTTGTTTCTACCTCAGGGGCTTTGCATTTGTTCCCTTTCCTAGGGATGTTCTTCACCACTACCCCCACCACCTCTCCACCTCCTTTGCTGCTGGGTCAACTTCACCCATCTCATGAGTATTAGAATAATTTCTTAAGGAGGACTTGCTTGATTTGGCACTCTGGGTTAAATATTTTTTGTCTGTGTCCTCACAGCATTCTAGTCCTTTGGCTGGCCCATCACTTGTATGATAATTATAATTGCAATGAATCTGATTACTTCTATATCTTACTCTAATAGAATATAAACTCCTTGAGGGCAGAGACCTTGCTTATATTATTCAATGTTGTATTTCTAGTGCTTTGAATCATGTCTGGTGTGTGGTAGGAAGGAAGAATGACTGAATTCATTTTTCAGCCATCTTTTACAAAATCAAGGTAGAGCTAGGGCTCAGTATTCAATCATATATTTGACATCATGCTAGCTTTACTACCTTTCATGAACCAGTCTTGTAGTCTGGAATCACAATTCACCTTCTGTTGTAAGCATTTTGAATTTATGAAAAGGCTGCATCTTTCTGATATTGATAGACTCTAAGTTTTTTTAAAGTCTCATTTTCAAGAAATAGAGTTCAGAGTTGCCTTATTAGTCTGGGGCAGCTCAAGCATGCTTAAATCTCTGAGCCTCTTATGAAAGTGGCTATGATTACAGATCAAGGATGTAGTCTACTTTAATAGTCCTGATGTGTACTTTTAACAACAAAGATGCTGTTCTAGTTTCAGTTATTTGGGGTTTATTATCATTTTACTTTCATCTTTTATATATGAGGACAAATAAATTATAAGAAGTAGAAAATATTCTGATTTTTCCCCCTTAAAGAATTAAGCAGAACATTCAATTCTATTCTATTGCCCAGCTAGACTGTATTACTTTTATTCTACATTCACAAGCATTTATTGAGGAGCTGAGCACTTAGTCTTCTTCTGGGTGGGGCACACAAAGTAGAATAAGATATGGTCCCTGTCTTCAACAAATTCATTATTTGGGAAAAGAAATCAGGTGCAACTTCCTAAGTAAATACTTTCATACTTTATATCTACATAACACTCTTACCCATCAATATAGATTAAAAAATCTGCTGTTATTACAATATGGTCCAGTAATGTGATTGATGGATATGCATTTAAAAGATGTTCAGTTTATTTAACTACAACAGATATAGAAACCCATCCATTCAGAGACTACTGCATAAAGCTGAAGATAAAGCTGCGTGAACCTGAATGGATGTATTGACTTCTCAGGTCTCCCAGAGTTTTCCATAGTGACTTACAACTGCTGATGACACATGGTATGAGGAGTCTGCCAAGTGTAAGCCACTCTTCTTTGTTAATCTCATGGGTGGTTTCCATGTATTCTTGTCCCATTCATTCTCTCTTCCACCAGCTGTTAGAGACTATAGCTACTTGTGTTCATGCTCACCAAGTACAAGTAAGTGGGGCAAAAAATCTCATTACATTCTGATTGTTTACAGTAAGGGCAGGAAATTCCAGGTCAATTTCCTAAGTGTAGTAACTCTCAGCAAGACAGGGCCTCTGTGTTGTCTAAGTCAGAGGATGACATTTTCTTTTAAATGAAGGGAAACAGTAAATATTTTCAGATTTGTAGGCCATATATAAATGAATGAGTGCATTTATTCACAAATGAAACTTGATTTACAAAATGGGGCAGTTGGCTGGATTTGGCCTATTAGCCACAGTTTTTCCATTCCTGGGCCCAGTCAGTGGGGCATCATTCAATAGCAGTATGCAACCTGTGAGGCTCTATAGAACAGTCCTGCTTCAAGCCTGAGGTATGTTCTAGGAAAAATGATTTTAAAAACTGTTGAGTTATCCTCATCCCTTCCACAAAATTGCATTGAATCTACAAAATCTATATAGATGCAACATTTCTAATGCCACTTATATAGATCAGGAAATTATGTTTAAGATGAGAGGTGAAAGATAAACAAAATTAAGTGAGGTAAAGAGGTAGGCAAAGAGTATTCCAGGCAGAGGAAATAGTACGTGCAAAGATCAAGATTTGAGAAAGGAGGTAGCATCCATGGTAGGCATTGTTGCCTCCTGAACATCCATATGCCCTTTGTTATTTTTAATGGGATTTCAATTTTATTAAGATATCCAATCCTATCTCTGGATGTAAAGGGGAATACTGATAGTTTAGACTAATAAATGTGCAGCATTCTCTTGGTGACTGTTATTTGTCCAGCAGTTGGCACCTGACCTAAGTTAGCCTAATAAAACATAGAACAAAGTACCTAGTCCATGTTTCAAGGAGAAGAGATTTTCCCCTCTCTGTCCTCCTGGATATGATCAAAAAAAGCTTGAATCCCTTATTTCCATTGCCAATCATCTTGCTACATAGAGGCTAACCAGCTTTAACATGCAACCAAACTGTGGAGAGCTTAGCACAAAGCTGAAGGGAACTGATTTCTATCATACCTAGAGCCTGCCATGCTATTGAACCTTCAGTTTTGAGTTAATAAATTTCCTTTTTATTTGAACTAATTTGAGGGAGGTTTGCCTGTTACCTACAGTCATAAATATCTTAAGTGATAGCATATTTGATAAGGTGAAAGAAATTCTACCGAGATCTATAACTATATGTAACAAAACTATTGAGTGGAACAAGGTGAGGCTGGAGAGGTATGCAGAGGCAAAGTCTTGTAGGCCTTGTTTCTCCTGGCAACGTACACTAGTTTCAGGGCATCCATACAGAAAGAGTCCTTCTCCCAAACAGGCAGACAGCAAAAGATAAAAAGAGAAGGCATGCTTATGATACTTAGAACTTTATTTGTATAAACACCATAGCTCAGTCCGTTTAAGCCCTATATATTTATCACTGCTTATTCTTGTGGTTTAACTAGTTCCATTTTATCTACATCGATTTCACATCAGAGATGTTAGGGCCAAGCAAATGTTTTTGAATACAGTAAAAGATATGAAAATAACATTGGAGGGCTTCATGTTGTTCCCTGTTTAAGTGTCAGAGTCAAGTCCTAAAAGACTTTATAAAAAATTATTCCAGAATGAAAAAAATGTAATAAGATATGGAGAAAAGATCTAAGAGACTGAAACTTTCCAATCACATGAAGAACAGATTAAGTAAAAGCAAAAACCAAAGTTGAGAAGAAAACTTTGAGCTGAACAGGGTCAATATAACGCAAAATAAATGAGGCAAGTAAGACCAGACATTTTCTGGTGAAATTTTTATAATTGAAAACATAAAAATAAGTCCTACGAACATGTAGGTATATTAAACATTACTCCATTTACACTAGGGACAGTGTAGGGGGAGAGGAGAGACCAAGGAATACTGTTTCATACTTGACTGTGAGAAGACAAAAAAAAGGTACAAGATTTTAAACCCAAGAGTAAATTAAAAACGTGGCTATTTTTTTCCCAAGTAGCTAAACAGAAAGCAAAGAAAAATATAGTACATAAAACAAACCAAACAGCAAGAAAATATTAAATAGTTTCAGACTTAATTGACAAAAGAAAGACACAACTATTTGCAACTTATGAGAGACATTTAAAATAAAGCGAAAGTTAAAAATAGGCAAAAATATAACAAGGTACAATAAAAATTGTGGTCATTAAAAATAAAGTAGAATTCAATAAGTGAGACAGTATCATTTTATATTGGTAAAATTGCATATGGTCAATGAAAATAAGAGGCATGGCCTTTATATAATAATGAACAATGTGGCCAGGTAATGCTACTAAGTAATTAAGTAGCACCATATGTATTACTTAATTTAATGTTCAGAATAATATTATGTGGTAGACGTGGTTATTATACTCATATTACAGATAAAACAACTAAACAGAAAGAGATTAAATAACTTGCTCAAGGTTCTTACTGTTAAGGACATAACTGGAATTTGAACAAGGGCCTTTCTGACTGAAGAATCTGTAAGATACTACACCAGTGTTATCTGAAAGATTAATCTGACATCAGAATTACCTGAGGTGTTTACTAAAAATGCAAACTCCTGGCATCACCTCAGATATATTCTAGAGCTTGGAAATTTGCATTTTAACAAGTATTCTACTTGATTCTTATGCATGGTAAAATTTGAGAACCACTGCCTGTGGCTGTCTTGAAGAAAATGAGAGAAACACAACTGAAGTGGAAAGTTTTAATCCACCTTTTCTAGCTTAGATTAAATAGAAGAAACAATAAACAATTTAAATATTAATCAGAGTGCCATAACAAACTTAAAACAGTACAGAGACTATGCATTACTTTCAAATATGCATTTTACATTTTCAAAATTGATTACATATTAGATCCTAAAAGAAAATAAGTTCCAAAAAACAAGGATTGTAAAGATCATAATATTTCATCATAATGTGATCAAACTAAAATTTAACAATTTAAAGAAAGGGACATAACCAATACCTTTCTAAATAACTATTTAATCAAGTAAGAAAATTTATAGCTGTGACTATAGAACTCCATTAGCATAGTGTATATAAAAATTTATGAGCCCACCCACCAGAGTATCTAAAATGAAATACAAAATAACAAGTTTTTTTTTCTCATTTTAAAATTATTTTTAATTTTTGTGGGCATATAGTAGGTGTATATATTTATGGGGTATATGGGAATATTTTTATAAAGCATGCAATATATAATAATCACATCAGGGTAAATGGGGTATCTATTACCTCAACCATTTAACCTTTGTGTTATAAGCAATCCGATTACACTCTTCTAGTTATAAATGTATATTGTTGACTATAGTCACCCTGTTTTGCGATCAAATAGTGTGTCTTATTCATTTTTTCTAACTATTTTTTGGTACACATTAACCATCCCTACCTCCCACTGCAGCCCTGCACTACCCTTCTCAGCCTTTGGTAACCACCCTTCTACTCTCTTATCTCCATTCAATTGTTCAATTGTTTTGATTTTTAGATCCCACAAATAGGTGAGAACATATGATGTTTGTCTTTCTGTGCCTGGCTTATTCGGTTAACATAATGATCTCCAGTTCCATCCATGCTGTTGCAAATGACAGGATCTCATCCTTCTTCATGGCTGAATAGTACTCCATTGTGTATAAGCACCATACTTTCTTTTTAAATTTTTTTTATTATACTTTACATTCTGGGGTACATGTGCAGAACCTGCAGGTTTGTTACATAGGTATACACATGCCATGGTGGTTTGCTGCACCCATCAACCCATCATCTACATTAGGTATTTCTCCTAATGCTATCCCTCCCCTAGCCCCCCACACCCCTACAGGCCCCCGTGTGTGATGTTCCCTGCCCTGTGTCCATGTGTTCTCATTGTTCAACTCCCACTTATGAGTGAGAACATGGCAGTGTTCGGTTTTCTGTTCTTGTGTTAGTTTGCTGAGAATGATGGTTTCCAGCATCATCCATGTCCCTGCAAAGGACATGAACTCATTCCTTTTTATGGCTGCATAGTATTCCATGGTGTATATGTGCCACATTTCCTTTATCCAGTCTATCGTTGATGGGCATTTGGGTTGGTTCGAAGTCTTTGCTGTTGTGAACAGTGTTGCAATAAACATACGTGTACATGTGTCTTTATAGTAGAATGATTTATAATCCTTTGGGTATATACCCAGTAATGGGATTGCTGGGTCAAATGGTATTCCTAGTTCTAGATCCTTGATGAATTGCCACACTGTCTTCTACAATGCTTGAACTAATTTACACTCCCACCAACAGTGTAAAAGCATTCCTATTTCTCCACATCATCTCCAGCATCCATTGTTTCCTGACATTTTAATGATAGCCATTCTAACTGGCGTGAGGTGGTATCTCATTGTGGTTTTGATTTGTGTTTCTCTAATGACCAGTGATGATGAGCTTTTTTTCATATGTTTGTTGGCTGCATAAATGTCTTCTTTTGAGAAATGTCTGTTTATATCCTTCGCCCACTTTTTGACAGGGCTTTTTTTTCTCTTGTAAATGTGTTTAAGTTCTTTGTAGATTCTGGATATTAGCCCTTTGTCAGATGGATAGATTGCAAAAATTTTCTCCCATTCTTTAGATTGCCTGTTCACTCTGACGACAGTTTATTTTGCTGTGCTGGAGCTCTATAATTTAATCAGATCCCATTTGTCTATTTTGGCTTTTGTTGCCATTGCTTTCGGAAGTACCATATTTTCCTTATCCATTCATCTGTTGATGGACACTTAGGTTGCTTCCAAATCTTCACTTTTGTAATTACTGCTCCAACAAATATAGGAGTACAGATATCTTTTTAATATACTGATTTCCTTTCTTTTGGATATATACCAAGCAGTGGGATTGATGGATTGTATCGTACGTCTATTTTCAGTTTTTTGAGGAACCTCCAAACTGCTCTCCATTCTGGTTGTACTAAGTTACATTTCCATCCTAATTTGCATTCCCATGAGAAGTTCATGAGGATTCCCCTTTCTCCATATATTCACCAGCATTTGTTATTGCCTCTCTTTTGGATATAAGCCCTTTTAACTAGGGTGAGATGACATCTCATTGTAGTTTTGATTTGCATTTCTCTGATGATCAATGATGTTGAGCAAGAAAATAACAAGTATCGACAAAGACATAAAGCAAATAGTACTCCCACCCATTGCTGGTGGGAGTGAAATAGGGACAATCACTTTAGGGAATGGTTTGGCAGTATCTGATTAAGCTACCAATATGCCTCCCCTATGACATATGCTCACCAGCCCCCAAATGTAAACTTCCTATATACTCAATGTAGAATGCATAAATAAATTGTGGCATACTCACACAATTGAATACTATATAGTAGTATTCACAGAACAATCTACAATTATATAAAACAATATGGATGAAACTTATAAATATAATGTTGTGTGAAAGAAACCGGACACAAATGCATACATTCTGTATAATTTCATTTACGCAAAGTACAAAACAGTCAAAAGTAATCTATGATGCTAGAAGTCAGAATAGTGATTACCTTGGTGGTAACGACTAGAGAGTATCATGAAAAGGGCTTCTGGAATACTGGTTATGTTCTGTGTCTTGGACTGAAAACTGATTACATAAGTGTGTTGAGTTTATGAGAATTCGTCAAGCTGTACATTTATAATCTCTGCACTTATGTATGTATATGATATTTTGATACAAAGTTAATTAAAAACTTATGACTAGATTGACTATGCTTCTATGTTTATCTGAGACAGATTTGAGAAAGAAAGAAATAGAAATTATGCAAATGAAAAATAAGATACCTGAACTTAGGAACTTAGGAGCTTGATGGACAGATTATCTTATAACTGATAAGAGAAAACTACATGTAAAGCTTCATGGAGAGATGAAAAATGGTGTGGTGGGGGGAGGTAAAAACATAGAGGGTAGAGTGGGAAACTCTATTATATGTTTAACTGAAGTCCCAGAAGTCTACAGAGAAAAACGGAGGACAGAGAGAATATTAGGGGAGACCTTAACAGAGAATTGTTGATAATTAACTGAAGACATCAAACCACAGATTGAAGCATCCAAACTAATCCCAAATGGGATAAATGAAAATAAATCCATGCCTAGACACATGATAAGATTGTGGAATACCAAAACCAGTCATTAATCAGAGAAAGGATATGTTACTTTCAAGGAACAACAGATATGTCGACGTCTGAATACTCAAAGGCAACAATGGAAGTCAGGAGTCTGTGTAATAAAGTCTTTTATGAGATAAAAAATGTAACTGTCAATTATAGAATTCTATATCTAGCTAAAAAGAAATATCCTTTAAGAATGAAGGCAATATAAAAAACAGCCTGAGATAAATGAAAATCTCGGTGAGTTTGTCACAAAGAGAGCTGCAGGAAAGGTAACGCTAAAGCGTGTACTTTTGTGCAGCAGAAAGATGATCCTAGATGTCAGGTCAGAGTGGATGAAAGGAATAAAGAGCAAGGATGTTAGTAAAACCTGGATAAATATAAATAAACATTGACAGCTTAAAATAAATAATTATTATATAATAATGCCATAGTAAACAACTGAAAGCCAGTATAGGCAGGAAAGCATTAGTTAAGATAAAGAGGGCCACTTCATGATGATAAATGACAATGTTTGCTTTATATATTTTGATTCCATGTTACTGGACTATACAGTTTTAGACTTATTATATTTTCCTGGTGGGTTAAACCTTTTATTATTATGAAGTGACATATTGCCAGAGAAAATTTACTAAGTACAATGATAGGGATGTGCAGAGAATACAAGGCAGCCTAGAGAGGTTCAGGAAATGAGGGATGGTTAAAGAACAATGACTGGTCAGCCTTTCTGAAGGAAGTTATATCTGAACTAATTCTCAAAAGATCATAAAGGAGTTAGTCAGGCAAAGTAGGACATGCCAAACAAAGATGATAGCATGAGCAAGGCATAAATGCAAGAAACAGCAAATTTGCTAGGAGCGTGAATTGTGAGGAAGGAAAGAAGGAAGGAAGAAAAAAAGGAAGGAAGGAAGGAAGAGTAGGATATGAAAGCAGATAAATAGGAGGAAACAAAATATAAAAGTTTTATGTCAATCTAAGAACCTTGGAATTAATCCTGTAAGCAATAGAAAACCATTTAATAGTTAACATGGTGGGGATAGGGTGGGGGCAGAGTGACAAGGTCATACTATATTTCAGAAGGATCACTATAGTAGTTGTCTGGAGGACAGAGTGGAGTAGGGCAAAGTAGACACAGATAAATTTGTTTTGGAGACATTGTAATTATTCTGACCACAGATGATGGTGACATGAACTCAGGTAGTATTAGTGAGGATGAAAAGAAAACACATACAAGTAAAATTATATAGGCATTCACGAAATATTTTTTGAAAGAATGGATGTGATTATCTCAAGCAATATCCCCCTAAAACAGTTCATTGGATAATTCCACTTCTAAGAATTTATCCTAAGATTAATTAGAATTATTCACAAAGATTTATGCAGAAGATATTCTGTGTAAACAGTGCCGAATTAGATTTTTAAAATATTGAAAATAACCTACAGGTCCAACAGTAGAAAAATGGTTAAATAAATTACAGTAGAGCCCTAAAGTTAAATATTATGTAGTATTAAAAAGGGTTTTCAAAAGACACTTAATGACAAGGAGAAATTCTTAAAATATAAGCAGAATGAAAGCAAGACACAAAATTGTTTATAATGCAGTATCAATTTTAGAAAAGATACATTTTTGAATATACGTGAAAACATTTGTGTGGTGGGCAGAATAATGCCCCCCTTCCCAAAGATGTCCATGCCCTGATTCCCAAAGCCTGTGAATATATTACCTTACATGGCAAAAGGAACTTTGCAGATATGATTATGTTTAAGGACCTTGAGATGAGGAAATTCTCCTGGCTTATTTCTGTGGGTTCAATCTAATTACACTGGTCCTCACAAGTCGAGAATCTTACCTGGCTGTGGTCAGAGGGAGATGCTTCTATTGAAGAAAGTCACGGAAAGTTGCAGCTTCGCTGCCTTTGAAAATAGAGAAAGGAGACTATTAGCCAAGGAATGCTTAAAAAGGCAAGGAAATGAATTCTCTCGTAGAACTTCCAGAAAGGAATGCAGCTATGACAACACCTTGATTTTAGCCCAGTAAGCCCTCCATCAGACTTTGGACCTACAGGACTGTAAGATAATAAATTTGTGTTGTTCCAAGTTACTAAATTTGTGGTAATTGGTTATGGTCTCAAATAGAAAACTAAAGTACTTTGAAAAAAATAACACCAAGAAGAGTGTTACTGGAGCGACCGTCTCGGGGTGGTAGAATTCTAGGTGATTTTTACTATAATGATAATGGTTTTGGGTATGTTCTTTATCATCTAGAGTGGAAGGGAGGGACAGAGGGAGAAAATTGGTAGTCTTCTCTAATCTTGTGTATAAAATCTTATGCACATTCAATTATTTCCTCTACATGAATTTCTTGAAGTGGAATTACTGAGTCAAAGGCTACACACATTTTTAAGCTCCTTGAAAATTCAATGGCAGATTCCTTTCCGAAATATTGTACCAATTTGTACACCTGACCAATATTTCTTTTCCCTGAAATTTTGGTGAATTTGTCATGCTGGTTTTCTTTTATTCACTTTATGACCCCCAAATAAATAAATTAATTAAACACTACTAAATACAAAGCCAAGAAAAAGGAAGCTAAACCTGAAATACAAGTTGAATACTGTATTTTCAAGTTACCTTGTAACATGCATACTTGGGCCCACTTCACCTTATAGAGCCTGCTCAGCGGTACTTCTTAAGCCACTCTAAGTTCTATGACTCCAGTTCATTATTACTTGCTTTCTCATTACTCTGTTGAAATTCAGAAGGGCCAACAGCTTCTTCAAGGTTTAATAGTCATTCTGGAACACCCTAAAGTGCCCCTCCTTCTAAAGAGACATTTCTTTGGCATAACCTCCCTTGTAGCCTTTTTTTCCCTTTCCTGCATCACGCCTCTCTCCCTGAGATTCTCTCTGTAACACGTTTCCAAAATAAGTGTTTAAGTACCTGAATCTTTAACAAGTCTGTATTTTGCTAGGATTGAATCTTCACTTTGCCTGTGGGGGGAGGACATCATTCTTCAGCTGATTCCAATCAAGACACTCAGGCTGGTAAATAACATTAAGGTGTGTCTTTAAAGGACAGATTAAATTTCAAAATAGAAACAAAATCTATGTGACCCTTATTATTTGCTGCACAGTGTTCCTGAAAACTATTATAAACTGAATTAAATTTTTTGTAGAAACAATTATTATTGGGTTCAATAACTGCACTAAGGATTCAGTAGCTAAAAAATGATAGCTTTAAGCAATGATATATAATAAATATTTTTGTCTTACAAATGTTTTCTAAAACATGTATTTAACACGCAAAAAATGCAGCTTCACTATCCTATGTCAATCAAAGGTGTGAAAAATACATTACATATTCCACATTTAATTAATAACATTTTCATGTCTTTTTAGAATTCAGAAGACACATAAGGGAATGATTTAGATAACCCAGTTGTCTTTTAAAAAGCTGTCCAAGTAATTTTTAACTGATGTCTTCTTTTTCTCTTGATATATCTCCCAACACGAAGCAGTGACATTTAAAATCATTCCTCTGACCTTAGAACTACTCTCAAAGTACTAAGTACTCAACAAATGTTTCTTGTTGATGATGATGATTGCATTCATCAGACCAAAAAACATTTTCAAGCGTAAGGGCTGACCCACCATTTCTCCCTTTCACCCTCTCTTACCTCCCACAGTTTATTCAAAGCTACAGACAGAGCTAGTCAACCTTGGAGTGAAGTAATATCACGAGGAAGCACAAAGTGTTGTTAAGTCATTTCTTTTAATCACCCTTTGCTGCCACAGTGGTAGATTGCCAGCTCTATTCAATGTGATTATTTCGGCCTGACTACCCTACTATAGAAGATTTGAGCAGCCTACCCTGTAACCTCTGATCTTGTTCCTCTCTGAATCTCAATCCAGAGGAAACCCCTTTCCCTAAACAAACAACAAACAAAAACAGAACACTAGGTAGACTAGCTGTTAGCAATCTGAGAAATAGAAAATGTTTTCTATACAACCATCATTGTTAATTGATACAGTCCAATGCCCAATAACTTACCCATTTATGAGATGTTTATCAACAAGCTACTATGAAAGATACAAAAACTGTAAAATTATTTTTTAAGATGCATCCTGAGCAATTCACATTTTGTTAAGGGTTTTTTAAAAGCAAACAAACCAATCTACCAGGTTATGAGCATCATCTTTTAAAAAGGCGCTTTCAGCATTGTCTTATTTGAAAAGACAGGCATAAAACAGTATCTGATTGTGCTGGAGACTGTGGAAAACACTGAATAAGGGGATAAATTTGAGCAGAAATAATGTTTGAGCCTTTGAAGCAAAGGCAACGTTGAAAGAAAGAGGTAGTGCATTGTACAACTTTGAATCCCACATCTTCATCCTCTTAGCAGATGCCTTGATTCCTTGTTTTGTTAAATAAAAGTAAGCTCTCCCTTGTCTCTGAAATTTCTCAATGTCACCCATTCAATTGTCCTTCTTACCTACTTCAATGCAAGAAAGAAGCCCATCTCATTCAATTCCACTCTTTCCAGAACTATGGAAATTTGTCTACTTCCATTTCACGCCCACATTTCCTACATCTTCAATCTCTTCCCTGCACTAGCTTATTCTGCTTAGCTTTTAAGCATGATCAAGTCTTCTCATATGCTAAAAAACAATAAAACACCAAAATTCCCTATCTTAATTCTGTGACTTCTTTTAAGGTGCTTATTCTTAAGCTAGAACTTACTGAGCTCTCACTATGTTCCAAGCAACTGTTCCTAACTCAAACTCTTTACATGAGTTATTTCATTTTATCCTCACATCAACCTTACGAGGTAAGTAATATTATTCCCAATTGACAGAGCAAACTGAGGCTTCTGAGCTTAAGCAACTTACCCAAAATCATGCAAGTATTTAGTGGTGGAGTTGGAATTTGAATCCATAACTAACTCCAAATTCTAAGCTCTTAAGCTCTTAAACACTGCACTGGGATACATGTGCTATTTCTTTCTCTCTCTCCCCCTCTCTCTCCTTCCCTCCCTTATGTCCTTCTTCATTCCCCCTTTTCTTTCATTATTCTCTTTTTCAAAAGAATACACATAGCCTCTATGCTTCCCTACCTCACTCATTACGTTCTGGCAATGATTTTTGCTTCTACAACTACATTACAATCACTCTATCAAATAATCTTTTAATCATCAAATTTGACCTTTTCTTTCCCTGTCATTTTTCAGGACTCATCTTTTACCTTTCTAGAGCATTTAACACAGATGAAAATATCATTGTTTTTCATATTCTTTTTTCCCTTGACTGCAGTAACATTGTACAATCCCAGCCCTAATTTGACCTGTCCAAAAATTCATTTGTTCATTCACTTATTCATCTACTCATTCATTCAATAAATATTTATTACAAATTTATCTTGTGTTGGGCCTTGTTCTGTGTGCTAAGAATACCACCACGTAGAAGACAAAGTTTCTGCCCTCAGAGAGCTTACATTTTAGTGGAGGGTGAGAGGCAATAAACAAAATTGTTAAAAAGAGTGTATTAGTCCATTTTCACGCTGCTGATAAATACATACCTGAGACTAGGTAATTTATAAAGAAAAAGAGGTTTAAATGGACTCACAGTTCCACGTGGCTGGGGAGGCCTCACAATCAGGGTAGAAGGCAAAAGGCACGTCTTACATGGCAGCAAACAAAAGAGATTGAGAGCCAAGTGAAAGGGGTTTCGTCTTAGAAAGCCATAAGATCCCGTGAGACTTTTTCACTACCACAAGAACAGTATAGGGGAAACTGCCCCCATGATTCAGTTATCTCCCACCAGGTCCCTCCCACAACACGTGGGAATTATGGGAGCAAAAATTCAAGATGAGATTTGGTTGAGGACACAGCCAAATCATATCAAAGAGCAAAATATATGATGTGTTATTAAAAAAGAAGTGTGTCTGGGCTGAGGAACTGCAAATACAAAGTTTTTGACGTAGAAACAGCATGGAAGCCATTGTAGCTGGAACACAGTAAGTGGGAGGAGAGAGGTAGGTCAGTGGCCAGAGAGGTAAGCTGAGGCCAAATCATGTAGGGCTTTATAGAACATATGAGGAGTTTGGATTTTGCTTGGGGTGAGATGGAAAGTCATTGGAAGATTTGAGCAAAGTAGTAAACAAAATATGACTTTTAAGTAATCACTTTGTCTACTGTGTTGCCAACAGACTGAAGGAGGACGAAGGTAGAAGCAGAAAGATCAATTCTGTCATAATAATGTCAGTGAGGGCTGGGTGCGGTGGCTCACGCCTGTAATCCCAGCACTTTGGGAGGCCAAGGCAGGTGGATCACCTGAGGTCAGGAGTTCGAGACCAGCATAGCCAACATGGTGAAACCCCGTCTCTACTAAAAAATACAAAAAATTAGCTGGGCCTGGTGGCGGGTGCCTGTAATCCCAGCTACTCGGGAGGCTGAGGCAGGAGAATCACTTGAACCTGGGAGGCAGAGGTTGCAGTGTGCTGAGATCGTGCCATTGAGCTCCAGCCTGGGCAACAAGAGCAAAACTCCATCTCAAAAAAAGAAAAATAATAATATCAGTGAGAAAGGATTATGATTTGGAATGTGTTAACAGTGGAGGTTGTGACATGTGACTGAATTGGAGATACAGTTTGAAGGTAGTCCTAGTAGGGTGTACTAACAGATCAACTGTGGAGTATGAGATGAGGAGAGAAGTCCAGAGTTTTGGTCTGAGTTTGAGGAAATCCAGGTGTGGTGGAAACTGAAAATTATACAAGTTGTGAATACAAAATTACATATAAAAATAAAGTATGAAAGTAAATATTTCTTTTGAATGTGTAGTGGCCTGCCTTCCAGATGGCCCCTAATGATCTTGACTATTCTCTCTCATGAGAGATCCTGAGCTGAAACCACCTAGCTAAATCATTCCTGAATTCCTGACCCACAAAACTGTGTGAGATAGTAAATGTTTATATTTTAAGACATTACATTTTGGAGGAGCAATGTTTTTTAATGCAAGAAAATATATCTAGAAAAACTTTTGGTGCCAGGAATGGAGTGCTACCATAATAAAAACTTAAAATATGGAGAAGCTTTGGAACTAGTAGTGAGAAGAAGCTGGAAGGATTTTGAGGAGATGTTAGTAAAGATGTAAGGAACATGAAAGAGACTTAGCAGAATCTTGATGGACATTAAGGAAGCTGAAGATGAGGTCTTAAAGGAAAGTAGGAAAATGTTATTGAAAACTGGAAGAAAGGGGATCCTTGTTATACAAGTGTTGAAAGTTAAGCAACACTGTCACCTATGTAATGTGGAAAGTAGAAAATATAGTACCTGAAGAACTGCATGATCTAGCTATGGAGATTTTCAGGCAGAATGTTGAGGGGGTCTCCTGGTTTCTTCTTGCTGTTTACAACAAAATATGAGAAAAGAGTGGTAAGCTTCAGGAAGGACTGTAAAACAAAATGGAGCCAGGCTTGCTGGTTTTGAAAATTTCCAGCCTCTCCAGATGGCAGACATTATTGAAATTAAGAAATTGCTTTGGGGCAAGTATCAAATCCAGGTCACAGTCAGAAAAACAGAGTACAAAAGAAAAGCTCAGAATGTCTGTAAAATTCTTTAAGACCTTAAAAAAATGCAAAATAGTGCCTCAGAGATCCATTTAGTTAAACAATACGACTTCCAAGAGGTTGAAGATTGTTGTCCCTCGAGAGTCTCAGTAGAAGCTCAGGGTAGAAAAAGGCTTATCTTGAGGAGATTTTGTTCCATGGAGTGAACCCCCCAAAATATTCATAGGATATATGCAAAGTTTGAAAAATAATTATTTGAAAGAAACACTGCTAGCTTGCATTTAAAGGGACAGAAAGCTACAAAATGAAAGGAGGACTTTGGACCCTAAAACTTTTTTTCTATTTTTTTTTTTTTTTGAGACGGAGTCTGGCTCTGTCGCCCAGGCTGGAGAGCAGTGGCGCGATCTCGGCTCACTGCAAGCTCCGCCTCCCGGGTTGAAGCCATTCTCCTGCCTCAGTCTCCCGAGTAGCTGGGACTACAGGCGCCCGCCACCACACCAGGCTAATTTTTTGTATTTTTAGTAGAGATGGGGTTTCACCGTGTTAGCCAGGATTGTCTCGATCTCCTGACCTCGTGATCCGCTGGACACTAAAACTTCTACAGACAGGGAAGCAGGTTGAGAAAACTGTGCAGCTGAAAACATGGACTCAGGGCAGAACCAAGAGCACAGGAGGCAGAGCCAAGGGCCGTGCCAAATAATTTCTGGGCGGGAGTAGCACCAAAGCCTAATAAAGGAACTTCCAGCATTTGCCCAGCTACATTTCAGAATTTCTTTGGACCAGTGTACCTCCTGTTTTCCTCCCTCTTAAGCAAGAGTGTCTGTAGTGGCTATCATAGCTATGCCTCTCCCACTATTGTACACTGGATGTGTGGAGGGCAGTTATATGGTTTGGCTCTGTGCCTCCACCCAAATCTCATCTCAAATTATAATCCCCACATGTCGAGGGGGGGACTTGGTGAGAGGTGATTGGTCATGGGGGCGGTTTCCCCCATGCTGTTCTCTGATAGTGAGGGAGTTCTCATGAGATCTGGTTGTTTGATAAGTGTCTGGTACCTCCCCTCTTCGCTCTCTTTCGCTCTCTCTCGCTCTCTCTTTCTCAAAACCTGAAAGGTGTTTGCTTACCTTTCGCCTTCCACCATGATTGTAAGTTTCCTGAGGCCTGCTAGTCATGCTTCTTGTGGAACTGTGAGTCAATTAAACCTCTTTCCTTTATAATTACCCAGTCTCAGGTAATATTCTTTATAGCAGTGTGAAAATGGACTAATAACGGCAGGTAGGTTTTCTCTTTAGTTGACAGGTCTTTGGAGCAAGAAAAAGTATTTACGAGGGTCTGTACTTAAGAAACTGTAATAGAGGAGCCTCATCTACACCAGGGCATGATTTAGATCAGGTGATTCCAGGCTCTGAGCTAATGTTGGAATGATATTATACTTTTTGGGACTTGGGAGAGAGTGAGTGTATTTTTCATATGGGAGGGGCATAAATCTGTGGTGGCCAGAGGGAGGACTGTGGTAGCAGGTCTCCAAACTGATCTTTAGTGATTCTTCTGTCCTGGTATTTATGCTCTAGTGTGGTCCCTTCACACCCTGAATAGGACTGGTCTGTGTAACCAGTACAATAGTGCAGAAATGACAGTATGTGACTGCTGAGGTTAAATTATAAAAGACATTGTGACTTTTACCTTGCTATTTTTGGGATCTCTCACTTTTGGGGAAGTCAGCTGTCATGCTGTAAATAACCCTATTGAGCACTCCACATGGGTAGAAATAAAGATCTCCTACCAACAACCAGCAGAATTTGCCAGTCATGTGAATGAGTCATTGTGGGAGTGGATCCTCCAGCTTCAGTCAAGTCTTCAGATAACTGCAGCCCGGGCCAACATCTTAACTGCAGCCTCGTGAGAGACTCTGAATGAAAACTACCAACTTAAGATTCTTTGAAATTCTTGATCCACAGATAGCATAAAATAATACCTGGTTTAGTAAGTTAAAACACTAGATTTTAGGGTAATTTGTTATACAACATGAAACCTTAGGTGGGTCCGTGAAAGTAATTTGTGATAGACAACTGTTACAGAATGACACATGATATCAAAATAAATCATTTATTTTTAAAAAAGCTGACACAAATCTAAGAACATAACATAATACTTTTATTAATTAACTGCCTAGTACACCAGTATCCTATTTTTTTCTATAGTTTTTGTCTGCATATTCTTTGAAAAAAAGACAATATTCTTTCTAGCATGGTTACTCAATTTTTTATTACTCAGTTTTCACACTTTTTTTTCAGCTTCACAACATGTTATTGGTAATGTCATGTACAGTTTCAGCATTTTTGTTGAATTTGGGAAACCTATCAAATTTATTTAATTTATGTGAAGCATGAGTTCAGAGTACTTCAAATTTTTTTTGTACAGTGAGTAATATTAAATATTATATGAATAGATGATACTCATTAACCAGTTTTGAGTCAATGTGCTTGTTGTAGTGGAACTATTATGAGTTTCATATTATCTTCATCAATGACAGTACATTGTGTCAAATCAGCAAGAAATTTGAATCTTTTTCCAATTTATTCATATGATTCACTTCTCTTCACTATTTGGATTCTTAAACACTCCAAGAACCTATTCATTACTTCTATTCAAAATGTATCTCTTCTTAATGAATTACTGCTTTTGGCATAATCTGGAAAAATGTTTCATTTCTCAATGTCAGAATAATTTTTATTGATTCAATCACTCATCTTTATCACTTTTGCTTCATGTTTCATTAATTTTTTATCTGAATTTTCTCTGTGCTTTAATAAATATACTTAAAGATGACAAAAGAAGTACCTTTCGTATTCGGCCAAATCAGGAGTCTGTAAATTTTCACTTGTTTTACTGAAACTTTCTGTGATGGTTAATTTTACATGTCAACTTGACTGGGCTATGGGATGCCCAGATAGCTGCTAAAACATTATTTCTCACTGTGTCTGTGAGGGTGTTTCTGGAGGAGATTAGCATTTGGATCAATAGACTCTGTAAAGAAGGTCTGCCCTCACCAATGTGGGTGGACATCATCTTATCCATTGAGGGCCTAAATAGAACAAAGCTCTCTCTTCTTGAGCATGGACATTCATTTTTCTCTGCCTTCAGATATCAGAGCTCCTGGTTCTTAGATCTTTGGACTTCAGGAATTATATGGATGACACACCTCCAACCTCAGACTGGGAGTTACACCATCACCTCCCCTGGTTCTCAGGCCTTTGGATTCAAAACTGCATTACACACCACTGGCTCTTCTGGTTTTCTAACTTGCAGAGGGCATATCATGGGACTTATTGATTTCTATAATTGTGTGAGTTCAGTTCCATAATAAATCTCCTCATATATACCTATATATATCTTATTGGTTCTGATTCTCTGGAGAATGCTGACTAAAATACTTTCCAAAGAATATTTTCAAGTCATCTTTACAACATCAGAATAATTTGTGTCTTAATAAATTTTACAAAACCATACGACTATGTGAATACATTGATAAGACCCACATTTAGAGTATTGTAAGGGCCCATAAAAATAAGCAGCACAAAGTCTTTATTAGCTACACGGTAAGTCCACCTCTGGTTCTGAGAAATTACATGAATAGTGACGTCCTTTACTAAGATGAAGAAGAGTATAGGAAACTTAAAAAAGAACAGCAGGAGTTCATTTTTGAACATGTTCAATTTTTGATATCTACTGGTAGGGTTAGCATATAATTTCTTGTCCAAACCATTACACTTTTGAGTGTGAAAAAGAGCACTATTTCATAAACGATAGTTTATAAATTGGGACCATTCCAGACAAATTGAGATGTATAATTACCCTACCTATTGAGCATGTAAGTAGAGATATCGAGTAGGCAATTGCTTACAGAAGGTTAGAGTTCAGGAGAGAGTTCTGACCTGAAGTACAAATTTGTGGAGGGGACATTAATATTTAAGTGCTATTTAATGTCATGAAACTAAATATAATCATCCAGAGAAGGAATGTAGAGTAGACAAGAATGCTGAGATCTGAGCTTTGAAATGCTCAACATTTTAGAGGTCAGGAAGACAAAGATTAACCAAGTAAGAAAAGCCAGTGAGATAGAAGGAAAACCAAGAGCATGGTATTTATGAAACCATGTAAAGAAAAAGTTTCGAGTGTCTGATCATGTGAGCCAAATGTTGCTAAGTCTAGTGAAATGAGAATTCAGAAATGATCTTTGGGTAGAACCAGCTGTATAATTTGCTGGGTCCAGTGAAAAAATGAAAATGTGGGACTCTTTGTTCAAAAGTTATTAAGAATTTCAGGATGGCAACAACAGAGCATTAACCCAAGCATAAGGCTCTTGTACGTATAGGGCCCTATATGACTGTGTAGGTTACATGAACACCATGAAACTGGCCCTGCCTTTGGGCCTTACAACCTGGGGGCCACTGATGACAATTACAAGAACAGTTTTGGTAGAATTATCTGAGTAAATGGCTAATTGATTTTTAGTGTTAAATCAAGTTTAGCCTAAATCGGCCTCCTGACATATTCTAAGTTTGGCCTAAAGGTTTCATTGTACATAGCATACTGTAATTTAAATGGAGATGTAAATAGATTATAACCTACTCTTGTGCCAATCTCTGAGATTTGGCCAATCAAAGGGGGGCAACTGTTCAAACTGTGTTCAAATAAGGCAAATGCCAGGCTATAACCAATCTGGCTGTTTGTGTACCACACTTCCGTTTTCTGTACGTCACTTTCCTTTTACTGTCTAAAAATCTTCTTCCACTATGTGGCTACCCAGGAGTTTCTCTCTGCCTACTCTGGCTCAGGAGGCTGTCCAATTCATGAACGATTCTTTGCTCAATTAAACTCTGTTAAATTTAACTTGGCTAAAGATCTTCTTTTAACACTGGAAAGAATCGAAAGAGAAGTATAGGTACAAACATAGATAACTGTCTTGATGTTCTTTTTTTTTTCTTAAAAAATTTTGACCTTTTAGCAAGATAAAATGGGATGGTGGCTGGAGTGAGTGTTAAGCTCAAGGGAATGTTTGCTTAAGATGAGAGAAGGACAGAATATTTGTATGCTGCCTAGAATGGCCCATTAGAGGGAGAAATTTTGATTATGCAGAGTAGTAGGATGATTACAAGAGCGATGTCCTTGATAAGGTGATGAGATGGGATTCAGAACACATGTGAAGCAACAGACAGGTCTTTCCTTTTAACAGGAGGAAAGGCAGAATGTATAGTAGAGGATGCAGGGAAGTTAGTAGACTTGGAGGTGAAATTGTGATGTAGTTCTCTTCTGATTGCTTCTGTTTTCTCAGAAAATAAGAAGCAAGACCATGAGTTGAGACCAAGGAGGAGTAAGGGAGGTTGTGTTGGAGATTTGCAGAATAAGGAGAAGGTGTCTTTTGTTTACTGTTGTACAACTTATATTAGCATGGTATCTGGTACATATTAGTCACAGCTACAGGAGCCCTCCAACTCTGTTCTTTCTACTCTCAGGATATCTCTTGACCCTGTTCCTTTCTTCACATTCTCAAACTACCCACACTGTTTTACGTCTGCATGATTCCTTGCTTAACTGGTTTTCCACCTTTAGTTTTTCTTTCCTCCAAATTATCCCCCACTGTGGTATTAATATGCCTGTATTCCTCAATCAAAGAATGTTGGGTGAATAAATCAATAAACAAATAAATGGTTACACAAACATCAACATTTGACAATTACAAACAAGATGAATTTTTTTTTTTTTTTTTTTTTTTTTTACAGAGGAAAGCTAAACATAAGGCGAAATGTGTGGATCTCAAGCTTGGGTTTAGAGAACTCCTACGGATAAAGGTCATATACCTTGTCAAACGTAGAGAGAGAGGAGAAAAAGAGAGAGAAAGAGAAAATAAAAAGTAAAATTATATCACTCTTGGCTTTATGTCAGAGTAACTTTTGTCTCTCAAAAAATAAAAGAAAATGATAAAAATAAGTCAACAGTTATGTTGCTTGTCTGAAAATAACCAGAAGTTTTTAAGACTTTTAAAAAGTGTTTGTTATTGTTTTCTAATAGCAAATCAAATACATGCTCATTGAAGAACATTTGAAACAAACAGAAAAGTGTAAAAGACAAAATACAACTGCTGCCCAGACATTGTTAACATCACCATTCATTTTTCTGGTCGTATATTTTAAATTGACTTCATACTCTTCTTACAGTGTATTCTGCTATTTTTAGTCATTTATAAGCATTCTCACTGTTATTAAATATTCTTCTAAAATATTCATTATAATGGCTGCAGTAGATTCTATCATGTAGGTGTACCATAATGTAAGCATTTCTTTATTGTTGATCATTTATGTTTAGCTTTTCTTTTTGAGTAAGCTAAAACTATCATGAGACTGAAGTATGATCATGATCATTATCTTTCCATTTTGATGAGTTCAGAGGAGTGAGATCCAGCAGGCAATTATCAGCTTCTCTCCCCTTCCTTGATCTTTGTCACATCACTTTATATTCTCTATCTAAACTAAAGTTTATACCCTTCTTTCTAAAGAATAATTCCAGGGAAGCAGTCCACATTTTAAAAAACATCTGAGCTCTAGAGCAGACACATTTTTGCTACTGTCTTTTTTTTTTTTTTTTTTTTTTAAATCCTTTAAGATAACACAGCAGGGACAAAACACTTAAAAGAAACATACTGCTATAAAAGCTACACAATCTCTCTTAGATAACGCTGCTAGACCTCTTTTGAAATTGGACTCTACTTGTAGTTTACATTTTGTTATAGCTGAATTTATTAAGATCCCATGAAGATGGAAGTAGTGTGGGGAGCTGAGAGTAGATGCCTCCTACTTTGTCTCTATTCCTATTTGCAGGTGACTTGGAAATTCCCAAATTACAGAGAATAAAAAAACTTTGTAATTCAGAGTTTGTGAAATTCCCAGAACACCTGTTTTAAAGGCATGCTGCTCTGTTGATGAATCACCCAAGCTTTATAAAATGATTCATCATTAATCATTACAAAAAATAAGCTTAACAATTCATAAGCTCAAAATAATGCTATATTATTAGCTTCATATTTATTAAAACCACATTACTTTGACTACATTTGGAAACAAAGGAACTTCTAAAAGTTTACTCCAAAAAATGACAGAACTTTTCATTCCTTCAATGTTCTATTTAGCCATATCCATCAAAATGACATTTTTTAGCAGAGGAAAAACTTGGTAAATTACTTTTTTTTCCTAAAAGGGGAATAGTATTTCTAGGTCTTTGGTCTATGTTTCTGCATAGATCATTGAATAGAAAAAAAACACAGTTTTTTTCTCTTACTATACTTTCAAAACTCAACACAGAACACTTCTGTGAACAAATATGTGGGTGCCTCTCCCACAGCAAGCAATTCTCTGACACTAGCTAGGTATCCCACAATTCAAGCTGACACTGACCAGAGTTAGTGCAGACCTCACAGGTTAAGGGTTCAGTCCCATAAGACTTCCCTCACCCAACTTCAGAAACCAATGACAGGTAGTAAGTTTTCAAGTTACCTACAACTTCTGTCTGACTTGGTAAAAATCAGAGGTTTGCATGACCCCATTTTCAGGTTCCATTTGCAAGAGCAGTTCACAGACTCCAGGAAAAGAGTTTACTTACTGTTACTTATTTATTACAAAGGATATTGTAAAGAATGTAAATGGAAAGCCAGATGAAGAGATACATAGGGCAAGGTTCAGAGAGATCTTGAGCACAGGAGCTTCTGTCTCTGTAGAGTTGGGGTGCAGCCACCCTCCCAGCATGCTAATGTGTCCTTGCTCACCAACCTGGAAGCTCTCCAGAACCGCATACTTTTGGAATTTTTATGGAGGCTTTGTCATGTAGGTATGAACAATTACTAACTCAATTTCTAGCCCCTCTTCCCTCCCTCTCTGGAGAAGGGGCTGGGAGTGGGGTTGAAAGTTCCAAGCTCCTAATCATGCCTTGGTCTTTCTGGTGACCAGCCCCCATGCAGGAGCCCACCAAGACACCTCATTAGAATAAAAGATGCTCCTGTCACCTGGGAAATTACAAGAGTTTTAGAAGCTTTATGCCAGGAACCAGGGACAAAGACTAATATATTATTATTTCACAAGCACATACTTACCTCTACACAAAACTATGTGTTGTTATACTTAAAGTGTGAGAGTCTGGGCTCTGGAAATTTCCTGTCACTTGGCTATGTTTCCAAGTATTTGAAGTCTCCATTTCTAAGTCACGGATGAGAAAACTGAGGCCAGGATGGTTCACTAGTAAGATCAGGGTCACATCTGTGCTCAAACAAAGCTTTAAGGAGAACTAACAACCCCTGGGTTTCCAATCTATTGCTGAACCAGTGAGTGAATCTGTCTGTGTTTTCTAGGCACAGTTTAGTTCAGCTCTGCTTTTCCACACCTGCCTGGGGCTTTTCCTAATCAGCGTCAGACCAGGAGCCTTAATTGTGATGTCTGTAGACCGGTCTCTGTCTTTCCTTATGTGCCTTAAAAGCATGTATATACAGGGGAAGCTTATACTGGGAGTGGATGAATACAGGGGACTCTATATGCTTTGGAACCACATTGGAGAAGCTCTACTGGGGCAAATCACTTAACCTATTTGAGCCTTTATTGCCTCATATTTAAAATGGGATTGTCTTAGTTCCTATGTTTGAGGATTTTATAGTATTTAATGAGTTCACTTAACACCATGCTTGGCACAAAAAAGGCACTCTATATTTACTCTAGAAAAATAGCATACTACTGTGCTGGCAAAGCATTAGATTGTGGATCCATCTTTTTTTTTTTTCTTTTGTTCTGTGAATGAAGCTATGAAGCTTGCTCTGGTGTTTTCTATCATACACATGGATGAAGCACTTAGTTCCAGAATTAACATGATAAGAGTAAGACTCCTGATGTGGTTTGGCTGTGTCCCCACCCAAATATCATCTTGAATTGTAGTTCCTATAATCCCCAGGTGCCACGGGAGGGACCCAGTGGGAGGTAATTTAATCATGAGGGCGCTTACCCTCATGCTGTTCTTGTGATAGTGGTGAGTTCTCATGACATCTGATGGTTTTATAAGGGGCTTTTCCCCCTTTTGCTCGGCACTTCTCCTTGTTGCCATCATGTGAAGAAGGACGTGTTTGCTTCCCTTTCTGCCATGACTGTATATTTCTGGAGGCCTCCCCAGCCATGTGGAACTGTGAGTCAATTAAACCTCTTTTCTTCATAGAAGCCTGAGAACAGACTAATGGAGTAAATTGGTACCACAGAGAGTGGGGTGCCACTAAAAGGATACCGGAAAATGTGGAAGTGACTTTGGAATTGGGTAACAGGCAGAGGTTGGAACAATTTGGAGGGCTCAGAAGAAGACAGGGAAATGTGGGAAAGTTTGGAACTTCCTAGAGACTTGTTGAATAGCTTTGACCAAGATGCTGATAGTGATATGGACAATGAAGTCCAGGCTAAGGTGATCTCAGATGAAGATGAGGGACTTGTTGGGAACTGGAGTAAAGGTCACTCTTACTATGCAAAGAGACTGGCAGCATTTTGCCCCTGCCCTAGAGATCTGTGGAACTTTGAACTTGAGAGAGATGATTTAGGGTATTTGACAGAAGAAATTTCTAAGCAGCAAAGTGTTCAAGAGGAAGCAGAGCATAAAAGTTTGGAAAATTTGCAGCCTGATGATGTGATAGAAAAGAAATACTCATTTTCTGGGGAGAAATTCAAGCCTGCTGTGTAAATTTGCATAAGTAATGAGGAGCCAAATGTTATTCACCAAGATAATGGGGCAAACCATCTCCAGGGGATGTCAGAGACCTTCATAGCAGCCCCTCCTATCATAGGCCTGGAGCACTAGGAGGGAAAAATGGTTTCCTGGGCTGGGCCCAGGGCGCCCCCTGCTGTATGCAGCCTCATAGCATGGTGCTCTGTGTCCCAGTTGCTTCGGCTCCAGCTGTGGCTAAAAGGGGCCAACGTACAGCTCAGGCATTTGCTTCAGAGGGTGCAAGCTCCAAGCCTTGGTGGTTTCCATTTGGTGTTGAGCCTGTGGGTGCACAGAAGTCAAGAATAGAGGTTTGAGAACCTCTGCCTAGATTTCAGAGGATGTATGGAAATGCCTGGATGTCCAGCCAAAAGTTTGCTGCAGGGGTGGAGCCTTCATGGAGAACCTCTGCTAAGGCAGTGCAGAAGGGAAATGTGGGGTTGGAGCCCCCACACAGAGTCCCTACTGGGACACTGCATAGTGGAGCTGTGAGAAGAGGGCCATTGTCTTCCAGACCCCAGAATGGTAGATCCACTGACACCTTGCACTGTGCATCTGGAAAAGCCACAGACACTCAATGCCAGCCCATGAAAGCAGCCAGGGAGCAGGGGAGCTGTACCCTGCAAAGCCACAGGGGCAGAGCTGCCCAAGGCTGTGGGAGCCCATCTCTTGCATCAGCATGACCTGGATGTGAGACATGGAGTAAAAGGACATAATTTTGAAACTTTAAGTTTTAATCACTGCCCTATTGGATGTCGGACTTGCATGGGGCCTATAGCCCCTTTGTTTTGCCCAATTTCTCTCATTTGGAATGGGTGTATTTACCCAATGTCTGTAACCCCATTGTATCTAGGACATAACTAACTTGCTTTTGATTTTACAGGCTCATAGGTGGAAGGGACTTGCCTTGTCTTAGATTAAGCCTTTGGACTTGGACTTTTGAGTTAATGCTGGAATGAGTTAAGACTTTGGGGGACTGTTGGAAGGGCATGACTGTGTTTTGAAATATGAGGACATGAGATTTTGGAGGGGCCAGGGGTAGAATGATGTGGTTTGGCTGTGTCCCCACCCAAATCTCATATTGCATTATAGTTCCCATAATCCCCATGTGTCATGGGAGGGACACTGTGGAAGGCAATTTAATCATGGGAGCAGTTACCTTCATGCTATTCTCATGATAGTGAGTGAGTTCTCATGAGATCTGATGGTTTTATAAGGGACTTTCCCCCCTTTTGCTTGGCACTTCTCCTTGCTGCTGCCATGTGAAGAAGAACGTGTTTGTGTCCCTTTCTGCCATAACTGTAAGTTTCCTGATTTTAAGTTTCCCAGCCATGCTGAACTGTGAGTCAATTAAACTTCTTTCCTTTATAAATAACCCAGTCCTGGATATGTCTTTATTAGCAGCATGAGAATGGACTAATGCAACTCCCAAATGCAGTTATTTGTCCAGGACCTTAAATAATGTTGCAATTTTCAAAAACTACTTCAAAGTTACCTTGGAAAAAAATAGTAATGGGCAGAGCTTCCTTCTCATGCTTCCATTTCATTAAGCATGAAAATAGAAATATAAGAAGTGCTAAGAGAAATTACCTGCCCATTTTATTGAAGGTTTCCCTCCCCCAGGATGGCATCTAATTGCTTCTTGAATAGTTCTAGTGAGTTGCTTTTAAAAATGTGTCTTTTTGTTTCTAAAAGCATTTTCCATATCTATGACTTGGAAGGATATGAGGTTACATCAAATTTATACTTGCTCTTTGGCTTAAAATACATGCTTTGTATACAACAGACTAACATACATTGGAGCAAATAACAGGTCCCAAATCAGAAAGAACTCAAGCACTTTATCACTACACCTTGTTGTTAGCTGCCTTGGACCCTGGGTAATTTCTCTTAAGGGAGAAAACGTTGGAGCTGCAAGACATAGGATTAATTACTTTAACCTACTTCTATTTACGAATGTACAATTCCTGTGGATCAGTCTCAAGCTCACTGCTTCTGAATAACAAAACAGCATAATTTAGGCTCACCCACTAAGGTCCTGTCCTCATTACTGCAAACTAGACCCAGAACAATCTCTTTCCTAATGATGGCCCTTTTCTGGCCATTTTGGCATTATTTCAAGATCATATTAAGACAGTTTTTCAGTAACTACCAAAAGACAATTATTATTTCAAAAATTAGAGCAATAAGAGCATATCAAACTCTTCAAAGGAAAGAAACCCTAGAATATATAGCTACTGAAGATATAAATTAGTGAGTACATGAAAGTGACAAGGAAAACAATTCTCCAGCCAAGAAGAAAATGAGTTGACTCTCATCTTATGTGACATGTGTTTTCACTCCTTTTGCCTGAACAATAGCCAGCATCAGCAGAATCCAGATTTTATTGTGACCACTGGAAAATGCTTCTTTCCCTGAAAAGTATGGGAAAGATATGTAAGGAAACGGAATTTAAGAAAAAGTGTAATGGGAAAGTGGGGTGGGAGAATTTGAAGTCCCAAGGCTCTACCAAATAAAGAAGCCTTCTCAACCCTAAACTGTCAAGTGGTAGGTTTGGCAGCAAGTCCCCACTCTGTAGGACCTTTTGCTGAAGTCCCAAGTTCCATCAGGAGTAAATAATTTCTTTTGGTTGGGGGATTGTCCCTTATTCAAATGTAAGTCCCCTAAAGGATTAAACTCAAAAGTTGTCATTCCTAGAGGAATTAAGTTACTAGGCACTTCCCAGCAAGGTGGAGAGTGAAAAGAAGACAGAAAGGGATGAAAAGGAGGCTTTGGAGGGTGCTAAAACAAACTGAGAAACTGAATGGTGAAAGATTCTTCTTCCTGTAGGCTATGAAGAAAAGGTCTAACTTTATAGCAGAAACCAAATGTTTCAAAAGAGCAAGTGCATTTTGGATGGGAGAGGGGGCATGCGAGCAAAGGGAGAGTTGTGGAGGGGTATGGGTGCACACAAAGACAATGCAGCCTTGGGAGCTGTTTTTATATTAAACAAGATTAGATATGTGTACATATGTGTTGGGGTGAGGGTGCGGTGGGGTTTGGGTTCCAGAAGGAATGGCTGGAGAGTTAACATTCCATGTGGCCATGTGGTTAGTTAGAAGCCTAAACTCTTTTTGAGGCCAAAGCATGTTGAGTTGTAGTTCTCTATACTTTGTGCTTTGTATGCTAGTATGAGGAAAAGCTTTACCAACTGTAACCCAGTTGTTCGTTGACTCACGAACTTCCAGCTGCGTAGAAGCAGAGTCTCAGCCTTGCAACCTGCAAATGTTCCCCAGTTATTTCTGAGAGTCCCCAGAGGAGTGCTTCATATGTGCCTATAAACTAATCGATTGGTTAGTCCCACTGAGTGGAGTCTTCTATATTTTTCTTCTGTTCCCATCTGTCTATATCCTCTCCCCTTAAAATATCCTTTAGGGACTTCACTGCTGTTATAGACCATAATGATAAGGCCATTGTCTATGTCAAAGATGTTCCTCATCTTCTGCCTCTAGCTTCCTTTCTATATAGGAGCATCAAAGCCAGTCCAAAGAACACAGTGCAAATGGAGCTCATTCCAGCTCTTTGGGTCTTTCACTATAGTCCTCCCCAGCACCCCTCTCCCAATCAAACCTTTTTCTTTCTTTAACCAATTGCAAAACAAAAGCCCTGCACATATGACTGGAAGCCATTCCCTGTATTTTGGGCAAAAGTGAGCATACAAATGTATGTGTATTCATGGGTAGGTGTGGGTGAAGATGTGATGGAGTGTGAAGGAGAGGTAAAGATGCCAGTGAGTAGGTGCCACCCATTTCTTTGATGGCCTGATTATTCCAAATAAGCAGACTGGAATGGATGGATAATTACTGGGTCCTCCATCACAGCAGGGGAACAGCTTCCACATATTCATCTACAATTGGATTGTTACCAGTGGAAGTATCCGAGTTACCAGTGGCGAATCTGTATGGGTCTGCGGCAACTTTAATTTTTGCCACTTCAGAAGAAAGAATTCGACTGAGGGTCAAAAGGCAGAAAAAGAGAACAAGGTCAATTTCAGAGCAGGTGTGGATGTTTATTTAAAAAGGCTTTAGAACAGGAAAGAAAGGAAGGTACGCTTGGAAGAGACCCAAGCAGGCACATGAAGGTTAAGTGCCTGAAGGTCAAGTGCCCTGTTTAACTGTGATCCTAGGGCTTTATAGGCTCGCCTCTTTCCCATGCTTCTTCCCTTAGGGTGGGCTGCCCACGTGCGCAGTGCCCTCCCTATCCTTGGGAAGTGAGCACGCGCAGTGTGTTTAGGAAGTTGTACACATGCCCACCTACCTGAGGCTTCCTTCCCTTTTCCGGTGGAGTGTCTCTGGAAGGTCATACGTCACCATTTTATCTCTTTACGCACATGCCTAGGAAGTAGTTTACCCCTGGTGCCTGCATTCAATTAACAATTTAATGTTAGCAGCTGTGGATCATCAGGAGATTGTCTCTTCCTTGCATCCTGGTACCCGCTGCTGAATTATCATTTTTAGAGAGGCAATGTGATAATTGTCGGACCATCACCTGACATTCCTAGTGGGTAGGGGGGAAGAGCCCTCTCCTGCCCTGCCCCGCTCATGCCTATCTAATTACCTGTAACAGGATGGCTCAGGTTAATCAGGGAGATGGTGGTCAGGAAATACCAGCATTTTCACCTTCCTTCGGTTTGTTGTTTAAAGTAGCTCAGGTCTTTTGTGAGCCAGGCTTTCTGTGCCCCCTCCCCAAATGTTAGAAATTATCTTTGTTGAATAGAAAGACATAAGCAAGATTAACATTGACTTTTCAGTCAAATTTGAAGATCTGAAAATTTCCAACAGCTTCTGTGTTTTCTAGATGAGGAAAATGAAGCCCAGACTTTTCCCTATCTTTTTTTTTTTTCTTTTTTTTTTAGACTGAGTGTTGCTCTGTTGCCCAGGCTGGAGTGCAGGCTGGAGTGCAGTGGCAAAATCTCAGCTCAGTGCAACCTCCACCTCCCAGATACAAGCGATTCTCATGCCTCAGCCTCCCGAGTAGCTGAGATTACAAGCACATGCCACCATGCCTGACTAATTTTTGTATTTTTAGTAGAGATGGAGTTTTCCCATGTTGGCCAGGCTGGTCTAGAACTCCTGACCTCAAGTGATCCATCTGCCTCGGCCTCCCAAAGTGCTGGGATTACAGGCTTGAGCCACGATGCCCAGCCTCCTATCTTCTTCATCAGTGTTAAAATATCCTCCAGGAATTAGATGGAGCCCATGTATCCAGTTAGAGGCACACAGTAGGCACTCAATAAATATGTGTTGAGCCCAGTTACATCAGGGGCCTGGCATGTTGCTTTTTCTCCAGGATGTTAAGCAAAACAATTCATGAGCTCAGGATATGACTACTATGGATGCATTTATTCCACTTGCTTAGCAATTGAAAATGATGAAGCCATAGACTTGTCCAAGGCAATATCGCAGAAATGTTGATGGAGTACAGAAGATTGTATTATGTTTTCTGAGTAGAATTCAGTGGTTTTGGAGGTGGCCCTTGCTAAAGATTGGAAGCAGGACATGCTCTTTGTAATGGTCTTATCAACTCTACTAGCAAAGGATGCAGATGCTTCAAATTACAGAGGCAATTTTTACTTTCCAAATGATTTCAAGACTGATGTTTTAAGTGGCTTTAATAGAGGAGAAGCTGCACAGAAAAGGTGATCTTTGTCTACCTCGTCAAATAAAGAAACAAAATACAAAATAAAAGACTCTTAAAATAAGCAAGAACTTCTTAAAGGATTTTCTAACACAACCACATACATGCATAAGAATTCAGAAGTGCAGGAAGCCACTGTTTTTAATACAATCAGGTTCACAGCACCAAAGCAGTTGAGTAGAAAGAATAAGCAAGGATGTTTGTAGTGATATTCAGAGGTTAACAAAAAATTAACAGAGCCAGACTCCAAATGAAATGGTTATGGGCCAAGAATAACTAGATGTGTGGGAGTGGAAAAAGGCTTTAAAACGCTGAAACCTCAATAAAAGTTCAGGGCAAGAAGATTGAATCCAAAGTATTAACACCCACTGAAAAAGAAAATAAAGTTGTGTGCACTAAATTGGAAATGCTTGAAAATCGAGATTTCACTGAAACTTTCTTCTGGAGAGAACCATTGTTTCTAACTTTCATAAAACAAAGGAAAAAAATGTTTAAAGAGGGGATCATATGGACATATCATTATGGTACTACTAAATTGGGAGAAAAATACAAAGCAAAGTGTATGGAAAGGTAGCAGCTAAGAAATGATTGCTATTCATTTACTTTTCATAATTAATCCGTTGCTGACAAAGAAAAAAATTCAATTTTTTTTTAAACAGGATGTCACTCTGTTGCCCAGGTTGGAGTGCACTGGTGTGATCACAGCCCACTGTAGCCTTAACCTCCCGGGCTTAAGTGATCCTTCCACCTCAGCCTCCTGAGTAGCTGGGACTATGGGAGTGCACCACCAGCCTGGCTAATTTTCTTTTTTTTCTAAATAGAGATGAGGTCTGACTATGTTGCCCAGGCTGGTCTAGAACTCCTGGGCTCAAACAACCCTCCTGCCTTGGCCTCCCAAAATGCTGGGGTTACAGGCCCCAGCCCCTGCATGTGGCCTACGAAACAAACTTGAAAGAGATGAAATCTTGGCCAGATGAGGTGGCTGAGGTCTGTAACCCCAGCACTTTGGGAGGCCAAGGAGGGAAGACTGCTTGAGCCTAGACGTTCGAGACCAGCCTGGGAAATATAGCAAGACCCCATCTCTACAATAAATAAGTAAATAGATAGATAAATAAATAATATCTAGGGAAAGATAATGCTGAAAAACTGACTGGGTGAAATGGGCTGAATTTCCTGCCATGCCACTTAGATGAGTGTAGGGGTCAAGGGAGAGCTTCCCCTTCACCTTCTGAAAGTTTGCTGAAAAGGAACTGACAAAAAGTAGATTAAGGGGAGAAAAAAGACATACAGATTTATTTTAATGTGCATAGCATAGAGGAATCCCAGTGGGGTCCAGATATTTATGTACCCTTCTTCCTAGGGGAAGGGGAGATGGTGGTATAGGAGTAAATAATTTTTGGGGGAGAATGAATGAACCCGGGGGCAGACATCATTTTGTGAATGATTCTCTTTGGAAATTGAATGGGACGGGAAAACAAGCAATGGTTTGGGATAAAGTTTGCTGGACCCTAGGTGTGGTGTTTAATTTTCAGTCTCTGTCTTTGTGATATGAATTTTAATCTTCTCTGATTAATATAATTTCAAGAAAAGATCAAAGGCAATTGTGTTTCTCTTTGGTGGTTCTGGTGTCTATATAGATAAAGGAACTTCAGAAAACAGCCACATCCACATCCTGTGCTTTGGAAAGACACATGTGAGGGTAGCAAGGGTTGGGTGTGGTGGCTCACGCCTGTAATCCCAGCACTTTGGGAGGCCCAAGGCAGATGGATCACCTGAGGTCAGGAATTCGAGACCAGTCTGGTCAACATGGTGAGACGCCATCTGTACTAAAAATACAAAAATTAGCCAGGTGTGCTGGCATGCACCTGTAATCCCAGCTACTCAGGAGGCTGAGGTGGGAGAATTGCTTGAACCTGGGAGGTGGAGGCTGCAGTGAGCCGAGATCACGTCACTGCACTCCAGCCTGGGTGACGGAGTGAGACTCCGTCTAAAAAAATAAAATTAAAAAAAAAAAAGACGTCTGTATAACAAAGTGGTTTCTATTTTTCATAAGATGTTCAAGCTAATTTGATGTTATGAGAAGTTGTCTACAACAAATAATTCTATACAAGTGCTTTTTCTACACTTTACATTTATATTAATTATCCTTTGTAAAGAAGAGACTATATTGTGGGTTTTCATATTGTCTTGTGGGAAAGTGAGGAGACAGCTTAACTGTATTTTGTTGAGCTGGGATATATAACAAACACTTGCCCTTCCATTCACCTCCTACATTTCCAATAGCCTCATAACCAGTTTCCTCCAGTTCAGACTCCCCTTATTCATATACCCTTCTTACTGCTGCCAGAATAAACTCTGTAAAACGCAAATCTGACAATGTCAATTCTTTGCTTGGAACTTGTCAATGACACCGAAATTGCCTTTCCAGACTCATCTCCAGTTGCTCCCCTTAAGCACACTTCACTTAACTGTGTCAAATTACTCACTGTTCCCAAAGGGAGGAAGCTGCACAGTCTTTGTGCGTCCTATTTTTCATGTCCAAAATGTCTTTTCCCAACTTTTTTTAACCTGACAATGTCATCTTGCCATTAGCTCAAATGACACATCCTCATTGAAACGTTCCAGAGCCCATCAGCTAGAATCATCATGATTTTTTGTACATCTTTTCAGAGTAATATTTTTGAAATCTGGATCTCTCTTATCAATATGTATATTTATTATGGTGGTGATCCCCCACTCTACTGAAACCTGTTATTCTATAGTACATCTCAGAATTAAGGAGCCATTAGAGTTGTTTCCTCATCTTTGTTACCGTAGCACTGGCATTCATTCATTTAGCATCTCTTTAATTACATGCCCATGAAGTACCAGACACTATGCCAGGTTCTGGGAATATAATAGTGAAAGACACAGACAAGTCATTGTACTCAGTACATTTTTGTTTGAGACACTGACCAAATAAACAAAATAAACACAAAATTAGAAAAAAACACAACAAGTAAACCTCAAGTTAACCAACAAATAAAGTCATGGAATTTCCTGATAGTGTTACGAAGTAAAAACAGGTGCTGCAATAGTGCATCATTTTGGAATGTGTTTCTTATTTTGATTGTGTCAGGTGCAAACTCATTTCCTTTCCTTTCCTGGGCATATCACTGGCCTACGTTTCCTAGCCTTCTTGCATCTAGGTGGGGCCATGTGACTAGTTCTTGCCATTGGAATGTGAGAGGAGGCCAGATGTGTCACGGCTTGTCTGAGGCAGGTAAGAACAGGTGAACCTTTTCCATATTCTCTCTTTTCTCTTGTCACCCAGCCAGAAACAGAGGTTACAGTGGAGGTCTCTGAGGCACTGGGGATGGCAGATCACATCGTGAGAGAAGTCTAGACTCCTGAATGGCACTGTAGAATGCTTCCCACCAATCACCTACTTGGACTATGTGGTAAATAAGAAATAAATCTTTATTCTGTTTAGGCATTGGTATATTGGAGCTCTTTGCTACAATAGTTAGACTGCCTTGACTTAGCAGTGATCATAGCCTCCCATGGCCCAGGGGTCAACATAAGAATTTGAGACAGCAACATGGGTATCTCCAAAAAGCATTTTTCCCCCTCCCTCTTGCAAGCTGTCACAAAGGATCTTGATCCCCACATTCAACATGTAGGTAATTCAACTCTTCCCATCACATGCCCATTACTCAATCAAGGAAGTGACATTAACAGCCTGCCAAAGCAAAAGAACCCTAACCTATCCCAGAGGAAAGCTTCTTAGTTAGGCAAGCAAATTTTCTAATTGTCTTTTGTTCTTCTGATGTATAGTTAGCTAATTATAGACAGTCCCTGACTTGCCATGGTTGAACTTCAGATTTTCTGACATGAAAGAGATATGCATTCAGGAGAAACTGTACTTCAAGTACCCAGACAACCCTTCTGTTTTTCACTTTCAGTGCAGTATTTAATAAATCACATGAGATATTCAACACTTTATTATAAAATAGGCTTTGTGTTAGATGATTTTGCCTAATGTAAGTGTTTTGAGCTTATTTAAGGTAAGCTGGGCGAGGCTATGATGTTTGGTAGGTTAGCTGTATTAAATGCATTATGGTATTTTCTACTTACAATGGGTTTATTAGGATGTAACCCCATGGTAAGTTGAGGAGCATCTGTATTGCTATAGACACTTTCTATAGTGCTTTAATCATTCTTATAACCATGAAATAGTATCATATGTCAACTGGAAACTTGAAGCAAAACAAGATGAAAGATTTGACCTCTGTCTTGATGTGATGACCCATTGAACACACACTGCTCCAACAAGAACTAGAATGTGTACAAAGGCATATTCTACCTGTCAATTAATTAAGCCCATGCTTTTTCAGTAGTCTTGGTTCATGACATACAGGCTAATTTGGTCAAGCATTATCAATTATAGAGAAACATTTGCTGAGACTGGGGCAGAGATAATGTGGTTGCTTCCAAGTGAAGCCACACATGGCTCTAGAAATAAAGAATGCAGAATATTGTCTCTAACCTACTTTGCCTAGGCTGGGTCATTTTTGCTGAAAAGGAAATAAGGGATAATAATTTCCTTAAGTTCCTGTGTACCTACTGGGTCATGTTAAAAGAATGGACAGATTTAATATTTAATGTATATTATTCAATTCAGCGTTTGAGAATATGGATGGGGATGATGGTGGTCTTAATGTGAATAGGGAGGTCATGTGGGCTATTCAGGTGAAAGAGGCCCAAATGGCATCAAAGCTTTCAAATTGCTAATGCAGTTGAGAATGTAATATTTAGAAATTTCGTGAAAAACCTTACAAATGAAAATCTGTAAGCTTGATGAGAAATTGATGAATAGAGACGTGATTGTTTTTTACTCATCATTTTATTGGGAATAATGTGCTGCTTGGAATGCTCTAAGATCATTCCAAAACAAAGCCAAGCAATGTGGTATGACTGCAACTGAGAGGAAAAACACAGTACCTGGCAGCCAAGTTTGACAGGATGTCCATGGCTCTAAGGTGCAGAAGAAGGGAGCAGTGACAGATTCTTCCAGACACTTGGCTACAGACATTTACCAAAGGACCAAATTTCGAATGGATTCGGTATACAGAGATTTATAGGTTCTATTCTGGTCATTCCAGGCATCTAAATGAAAGGCAGCACACTGCAGAATAACAGCCTGAATAATGAAGTAAAACTCACTTGTTTGAATACTGGCTATATCAGTTACGACTATGTGACCATGCACATATTACTCAACCTCTCTGAGCTTCAGTTTCCTTTATCTGTGAAATGGGGATACCTATTCGATGAGTATTAAATGACATAATATGTGAAAAAAACATTTATGTAGCACAGTGATTAACACATTTTAAGAGTTTAGTAAATGGCAGGTATTAATAATACAGCCTTGAAAAATGAACTTCTTCCACTTCTACTCTCAACCCTCCCCCCATTCTCAATATGCATGATATATGCATGGGTAGATTTGGCAAATGGGCTAAGCAGGAGTACTGTGAAGTAGATCCACAAAGTTAAGTTCTAACAATTTCATTATTTCAAAATATTTCAAATCAATGCCAGAAAGGGAAATAGACATGTTAGCAATTTTGATACAATAAGATTTTGTTGATGAGTAAATTGTCTTCTTTCACAAAAGGTAAACCTGTCAACTTTGGTCTTGAACAAAATCATAGATGTAATTAAAAACCTCAGAGAATAAGTGGAATTATTTAAATTAGATTCCATAACTCTATATTTTATAATTATGGGAAGCTGCTTATTCAAAATTATGTGTAAAGGCATGATTGTGGAATTTCCTTGCTAATAATGGTAAAATACTAATAAAAAAGTCCGTTTTTCATCAGTTCCATGGTGCTTATCATGTAACCAATTTCAGTAGCATTATTTCATTAATACTAATTGAAAGGGGAGCAAACTTTTACAGTTCAGGTTTAAATTACGCGAGAGAGTTAAAAATAATGGTTGTAAGAAACGAACTGCTGTTTTGTTTGTCACTACAATATAAAATGGTTTAATAATTTTTATTGACAGGTCTTGTACAGGGTATATTGGCTGTTTCTTATGCACCACTTTGAATCTTCTGGTTTTGTCTCCCAACAAGTCATACCTGTGTGACTGAGCAGGCTTTGAGCAGCTTTGATGAAGGCGCCATCAAACAGTGCCTTATCTATGGTCAGCCACAAATGCCTCTTACTTCTCTGATTCCTTGGTGAGGAATGCTCCAACAGTGTATTTGACATTCAAACAAGAGCAACCTGGAAGTAGAGTAGGGTAAATTAGTACCCTGTAAGGCAATCTTTAGCCAATGGAGGGCAGAGCTGTTGGTTAAATGCTTTTCCCTTCCTTTTAGGTGGATGGTCTTGGGTTGCATTTCGTGAAGCTAATTAGATAAGCCTACATGATTGAGCACCCGTAGTGGTGGCTCAGCTGGTAATGTGTACTTGAATTGGTTCTCTCTCCTTCCTTGTTTCATGCCCCTGTCCCTCATTCCTGCTCTTGGTATCACTTTCCCAAGGAAACTTACTCACATATAAACTTTTCTTTTAGATTTTGTTCCTGGGGGAACCCAGGCTAGAGAATTGGTGTAGATACCTTTAAAGCAATTCAGAGTCAATAAGGAGAAGGCCCAAATACTGTGCGTATTTATCTCTCTTCTTTACGTTACTCAAAAATAAAGTAAATTTGTTATGATTCATTTAGTTTTATCTGTATTTAACATTTGAAGTTTGCCTTTTTGCTCAAGGATGGAGATATAAAATAGAGATTTATAGCAGAGCACTGATACCAAAAAGCTCAATGTTCTAAAATCAGTGTCCTTTCTCATCTTGCATAGTCACCATGGTATTTCACCTAAATCAGGAATAACTGAATTAGGCGCCTGGCTAAGTCTACGGGTCAAGACAGCCAAGTTCTGGTAGCATTTTGACCCCATATGACAATGGTTAAGATTTAACAATCACTTTTTAGGAAAAATTCAGCTTAAAGTGAGGGCAAAAACATGTTTGGTGGCGAAGGTGTCTTTGGAACTGCTTCTAATTATCCAAGTCATCTTTCTTCTGAGGCCCGCTTAGCTCTGAAACAACAAATTAAACTGTACTCAACTGTAATAGTAATTGCATTTCAAATATTATAAACACTGAAGTTGGGTTATGCTTATGATGTCTTAAGGATGTGGATGACAAATACATTTTCTCATAAACCAACCCTGAATGCTTGACAGTGCATTCCTGGGGCCCTGTGTTGAAGGTTTCTGGTGATCAATGAGAAATAATCCATGATCAATTGGCCCACTGAATGTTTTCTACCCCTGATTTAGGGGTTTCAGGTTGTCATCTGAAGGATTTTCTTGCCACTGACATCTATCCAATTTACGAAAGTCTTAATATAAGTTTGATATCTTACAAACTCTGGCAGGTTCATCATTACAAAATCCAAGTAGGATGTATTTTCTGAAAAAAGTGACTTGCCCAAATTGGGGTCATCTTCAGAGAGTATGACTTTAGACCTTATTCTCTACTCTGAAGCTTCCTCTAAGTTTTGGTCCAGAAAACCCCATAAGAGTTACAGAGTTACTAAATGAACTGTACTGTAAAGTCATATGTGTGTGTCAAATGATTTTTATCAGCTTTTGGGTGTGTTACTCTATTAATCTGACTTACTCATTAGAACAATTGAAAATTTAGATGAACTATTTTACATTTGATATCTTTTAACACATGAACACATCCTAAAGCTCAGAGAAAATCACAAAATTTAGTTAAACTTTAGTTATCAAATTATATTATCTCCATTTGCCTCAACCTACATCATTTGGATCAAATAGAATGCAAGTGCCATAACACAGATCCTATGGTGCTATATTTATTTCAGATATTCCCCATAAATTATTTATTGCAAATTTAAAATATTGGGAAAATTTGTAGCGCAGATAGATTATCCAGGAATCCTTGAGTAAATCCTCTTTGCCTGTTAAGAAGTGCTGAGAAAAGCTGATCTAAATGTTTCCTCATATTTTTAAATTTCACTAATGACTTTAATGCAAGTTCCTTGTAGAGAGGCAGTGGTTTCTCTCTGCAAGATTCATGACATGTTTACTGCCTTTTTTTTCTTCCTGATGGACATGTCTACACTGCAAGAGACATAAGATCCTGGGTATTTGAAAATTAAAGAACAGCAGCAAAAGGCCAGATGCCGTAGTTATAAAAGTTGCAAAAGTATCATAAACACCAGGTGTGCCATATAAATGCACAGGTTTTTTTTACACTGCCACACTATTATCATATGGTTCCAACATCTGTTCGTTCCTGTCCGGGCTTCCCACAGACAGTATTTATTAAAATCAAATACGCACTAACTCTCACTTATGTGCCTTGAGCAGGAAGTGCCACAGTGGCCTTATTATGGCATGTAAGTGGGCCAATAAAAATTGATTTTTATCAGTAAAGTTCCAATTATCCTTACAAGCCAATATAGTATCGTCTGTATGCCTTGTACTTGCTAATGACTCTGTGGTTTCTATGACAGTGGGGCCAATACAAAAGTTTTTGTTACTAATTCCAAATAATTGGAGGATGAGAGGAGAGGCCAGTTTAGCTTTGTAAAGAGTCTCTATTAAAAATTATTACTTAAAAAATGTTATTTTCTGATTTTCAACTAGAGGACATATTCGAAATTATAAATGAATGTAAAGAAGTAAATATTTTAATGAAAGTATTAAAAGGCTTCACGAATTTATATCATAAAGTGATACATTAAAAGCAACCAACCTAGCAAAGAGAAAATGACACTGGTCTGGAAATCATGAACCTTATGTTCTGGTTCTTAATCTATCCCTACCACTCTTTAGGTCTTAGTTTTCTCATCTGGGAAAATGAGCAGACTGGAAAATCTGTACTATGTTCCCTTCCTATTTTGATTATTTATGACTCTAATGATAAAAAAAATTCAGTGACAGAAACTTTTTTCTTTAGCTCTTGATTTAATAAATTCTCCCGTTTTTTACAAAAATATTTTCCTGTTGACTTAATAGAAAATATCCACATTGTATCTGAGATATCACAAACACCAAACCAGTAGATTTCAAATTAATGAGTAGTTTGACAGGGTTGTTTTTTGAACAAAAAGAAAATATTAAAAAGAAATGAGAAACAATGTACTACCAAGTGAATGTTAAAAGAATTGGGTATCTGGCCAGGTGCGGTGGCTCATGCCTATAATCCCAGCACTTTGGGAGGGTGAGGAGGGCTGATCACCTGAGGCCAGGAGTTGGAGACCAGCCTGGCCAACATGGCGAAATCCCATCTCTACTAAAAACACAAAAAATTAGCCAGATGGGGTGGTGCGTGCCTGTAATCCCAGCTACTTGGGAGGCTGAGGCAGGAGAATCGCTTAAACCTGGAAGGCCGAGGTTGCAGGGAGTTGAGATTGCGCCACTGCACCCCAGCCTGGGTGACAGAGCAAGACTCTGTCTAAAAAAAAATAAATAAATAAAAACAGAATTGGGTATCTGTTTATTGGGTATCTGTTTAAATAGGAATATTAGAACCCCCACCTACCTCATATCATACATAGAAATAAATTCCAGAAGGATGAAAGATTCTAAATATTTCTTACAAAACCATACAGATATGTGGCGAACACCGAAGAACTGTTAAGATGTCTCTTTGATGAAGGACTTACTGCCCCAGCTGCTGAGAATGCTGTTAGTAGATGGTCTTCAGAAGATTCCGGCCCCTTCAGTGATTGCCTCAGCTGCAGAAAGCTGCCTCTCCCAAGGTCACACCCCTTCCCATGGGAGCAGTCCACATCCAATGACTGATCACATGCAGGAATATATAGGCATGGCCATCTCAGTTCAATTAAAGAGCTGCCCATGAGGTAGGCTGAGGTTGTCATTGGCTTAGCATGGCAGCTCAACTTCTGCCTCTGACTAATTGTTTCCTTTTCCTTCAATTTACAGGTGTTGATGCCAAGAACGCTAATAAAAATCCAGAGGGCTAAAGTTTGTCTCAGATTCTGCATACGGAGGAACTCAAGCTGTGACAACATGTTAGAATAAAATGTAAAAGAATACCTATCTTTTTAAAAAATTTAATTTAATTTAATTTTAAGTTCTGGGATACATGTGCAGGATGTGTAGGTTTGTTGCATAGGTAAACATGTACCATGGTGATTTGCTGCACCTATCAACCCATCACCTAGGTATTAAGACCCACGTACATTAACTATTTATCCTGGTGCTCTTCCTCCCCCCGTACCCCCTGACAGGCCCCAGTGTATGTTGTTCCCCTCCCTGTGTCCATGTGTTCTCATTGTTCAGCTCCCACTTATAAGAAGTGAGAACATGCAGTGTTTGGTTTTCTGTTCCTGTGTTCATTTGCTGAGGATCATGGCTTCCAGCTCCATCCATGTCCCTGCAAAGGACATAATCTCATTCATTTTTATGGCTGCATAGTATTCCATGGTGTATATGCACCACATTTTCTTTATTCTGTCTATCACTGATGGACATTTGGATTGATTCCATGTCTTTGCTATTGTGAATAGTGCTGCAGTGAATATATGTGTGCATGTATCTTTATATTAGAATGATATATATTCCTTTGGGTATACACCCAGTAATGGAATTGCTGGGCCAAATGGTATTTCTGGTTCTAGATCTCTAGATCTAGAGGAATCATCACACTGTCTTCCACAATGGTTGAACAAATTTACATTCCCACCAACAGTGTAAAAGTGTTCCTATTTCTCCACAGCCTCACCAGCATCTGTTGTTTCTTGACTTTTTAATAATTACCATTCTGACTGGCGTGAGGTGGTGTCTTATTGTGGTTTTGGTGTGCATTTCTAATGATCAGTGATGTTGAGCTTTTTTTCTTGTGTTTGTTGACCACATACTTGTCTTCTTTTGAGAAGTGTCTTTTCATGTCCTTTTTCCACTTTTTGATGGGGTTGTTTGTTTTTTTTCTTGGAAATTTGTTTAAGTTTCTTGTAGATTCTGGATATTAGACCTTTGTCTGATGGGTAGACTGCAAAAATTTTCTCCCACTCTGTAGGTTGTCTGCTCACTCTGATGATAGTTTCTTTTGCTGTGAAGAAGCTCTTTAGTTTAATTATATCCCATTTGTCAATTTTTGCTTTTGTTGCAATTACTTTTGATGTTTTTGTCGTGAAATCTTTGCCCATGTCTATGTTCTGAATGGCAAAGAATATCTATCTTTAAAATAATCTTGAGTGTGGGAAAGTGTTCTTAAACAGAATATAAAAGCCAAAATCCATAAAGAAAGAAATGGAAAGATCTGACAAAATGAAAAGTAAAAGCTTCTTTCAGCATTATGAAAGACATCCTAAGCAAAATTAAAAGGCATTTTTTGAGGAAATATTTTTTAACATAAATAATAGACAAAGTTCATATCTGCAATATATAAAGACCTCCTACAAATAAATAAGAAGCCACCGTCTGCCCAAAAAAGGATAATATATATGAGCAAGAAATTTTTTAAAAGAGATGTTGTGGCCAGGCGCAGTGGCTCATGCCTGTAATCCTAGCACTTTGGCAGGCCAAGGTGGACAGATTGCCTGAGCTCAGGAGTTTGAGACCAGACTGGGCAACATGGTGAAACCCCATCTCTACTAAAATACAAAAAAAAAAAAAAAACAAAAAAAAAACCAACAAAAAAAACACAAAATAATTAGCCGGGCGTGGCGGTGTACACCTGTAGTCCCAGCTACTCAGGAGGCTGAGGCAATTGCTTGAACCCGGGAGGCAGAGGTTGCAGTGAGCGGAGATCGTGCCGCTGCACTCCAGCCTGGTGGCAGAGCGAGACTCCTTCTCAAAAAAATAAAAAAAATAAAAAAAAAATAAATGTTGCCAATAATGTAGGAAAGATGTTCTCAGCCTTTCTTGCAATCAAAGAGAGAATTGTCAACATAGAGAATAAGCTAACTTGTAAAATGAAAAAGGTTGATAGTATACACAATTGGCAAGAGGATGGGGGAAATGGGTACTCAAGATATTTGTGGAAATGTAAATGTTATTTTGAAAGGCATTTGGGCAGTAATTTCTCAACATTTTAAATGTGTATGCTCTTTGATCTAGCAATTTTTCTTTTAGGAATATATGCTGCAGAAATATTAACACATGCACACAAAAAGGTGCATGAGAAGGTTTATGCAAGACTTATTTTTAATAGGAAGAATTGGCTATCTATTTGAATAGGAAAATCAGAACCCCTATCTATCTCATATCATACATAAAAATAAATTCCAGAAGGATGAAAGATTCTAAATATAAGAAAACAAAACCACACAGACGTGTGGTGAACACTGAAGGATTGCTTAGATGTCTCTTTGGTGAAGGACTTTCTGTCCCAGTAAGTCCTTTGAAACAAGCATCCCAAAAGAGGGGACAACTGTTTAAAAATATTGTGCATTATTAAATGCTATAGATATGCTAAAAAGAGTGAGCTTGATCTATGTGTATTGTCATGGAAGGATATTTGTGTCGTGATATATTGCTAACAAAAGAGAAGTTGTATAAAAATGCATAACACACATATGCATACATGCATGCATTTTATAAGTGCATAGGGACATTCTGGAAAGAAATGCACACGAGGAGAGGGAAGTTGGTTGTGGTACTGTAGAAAGACAACATTTACTTTTACTCTAGATACCTCTGAATTATTTAATACTTTTACATGGAACTTGCATTACTTTTGTAATTGAAACAATTTAAAAGAGAAGGAATGAAATGCACTAGAGGAACAAACTTGATGCTTTTTCTTTGTTTGGCTTCACCATTATTCATATTACTACTACCACTAGAGACAGTCACTTGGAATTTTCTTTTGTCCAAATGCTGTATAATGTATTCCATCGTATTCCATTTTTCTGAAAATGATCTAATTTACATGATCAAATAGCACTTGATTCTCATTCACACAAATGTCTTGAAAACCAGGTAAGTGAAGTGAGCTACTGACATTTATAGAATATAATCTATATATTAAAATTTCTGGATTCAAGTTCACAAGATTCATTTTATTCCCCGCAAAGGCTGTGGTCACCTAAAAGGGAATGAAATATCTAAGAAGGGAATGAGCTCTGAAAAGTGGAAAGTAGGGTTTCAGAATATGAGAACATCCCTGAGGCCATTTCTTCACAGAATAAAGTGGAGTCAAAATTTGGAAATGCCGGTGGTGAACTGGAGATGTGCCAACAACTTTGTGCTGTGTAAACCAATTTAAAGAAAGTTAGTGTTGGGAGGTGAGGTTTACACCTTCATCCTTTGCTGGCTGATGCTAAGTTAAATCCTTCACCCTCCACTCCCGCAAAAACCCCTGCTCCTTTGAAGTTCTTGCCCTCTAGCTATGCCACCATCAGTTTCTCTTCAGCTCCCTTACGTATTGACTTTCTCCTCACTATCTTACTTTCAGTGAAGACTTTGATTTCTATTCTTCCCAAATTCTGCTGTCATCTGGAGACTTCGGGGTTTGTTCGGATAATCCTTCCAACCTCAGGGGTTTCCAAATCAGTGTGCACTGGAAACGTGTAAAAGTTTTTCAAAGTGTGTATTTCTGAGTTTTGCCTACTACATCAGAATCTCTCAAGGTGGGGGGGCCTTAGCTTCTGGAATGTCTAAAACCACCACAGATTATCATTCTAATACAGTCAGAACCGCGAATCACTTGCAGCCTTGCTCTTTGTCTGCCTCAACCTGTAACTTTGCATTCAACTTTTCTGGCTACGTAGTAGACATTTTCATTACCGTAGCTGCCCAACAGGTTCTTCCTTCCAGCTGCTCAGATAGAGTCGATTTATCAAGAGAGAGGAATTGCAATAAAGAGTTTAATACATATAGAGCCAGCTAAATGGGAGACTAAAGTTTTATTATTACTCAAATCGTTTCCCCGAATATTCAGAGCCTAGGGTTTTTAAAAAATAGTTCAGTGGGCAGGTGGCTAGGGAATGCGTGTTGCTGATCAATTGGGGATGCAATCATAGTGGTGTGGAAAATGGTCTGGGTGGAACCATCCAGTTACCAGAAATGCAAAAGTCTGAAAAGACATCTCAAAAGGCCAATTTTTTGTTCTACAATAGTGATGTTATTTACAGGAGTAACTGGGGAAGCTGCAAATCTTCTGACCTCTGGAATAATGGCTGGTAATTGTTTAACTATGCCTACATCTTATCAGAATCCAGGGCCCTCTCATTCTCCTAACCTGGTGGCCTTTCATTAGTTTTACAAAGGCAGGTTAGCTCTTTGGGAAGGGCTACTATCATTTAAACTATAAACTACATTTCTCCTAAAGTTAGCTAGTCTCATGACAAGGAGTGACCAAGGGCAGTTTGGAGGTTAAAGGCAAGATGGAGTTGGTTAGACAGTAAAAGATCTCTTTTACTGTCAACAGTTCTCTCATTGTTATAATTTTTGCAAAGGCAGTTTCATTTCTTGAAACCTCACCACCTATGAAATCTTAAACTCCAAGAATCCATTCTCTGGTTATGACCTCAAGTTTTCCAACTCACTCTCCTCAATTCTACTATAGCTAGTCTTCACTGTAGTGAGATATCCACTACCTTGAACAGCTCCAGTTCTTGTAGACTTTTTGTCCCTTACTGGCTTCTCAAAGATCATGTAATTTTCCCTTCTGCTGTACCAGTCCAGCATAACTCCAACCCTCAGGTATACAAAATTATCTTTACTCTCTGCCTTTGCCCAGTCTCATTTATTCTCTACATTGCAGGCTGAGTAACCTTTTTAAATGCAAATTTAACCACAGGAACTTCCCCCACCCCTCCAAATTGCCTTGCTTAATCCTTTAAATGGCTCCCCATAGTTCTTAGGATAAAGTCCCAATTCCACAGTATGCCATATAAAATCAGCAATAATTTTTGCCCTGTGTGCATTTGTTTCTGGGCTCAGTTCCTACCTCTCTCTATTTCAAAATCTATGCTTCATCTACACTGAGATGCTAGTACCTTCCCCCACACTCATCATGATGTTTCTTATTTATGAGCATGTCCTCTCTGTCTGGAATGCCCTCAGCCCTCTTTGCAAGCCTAGCTCCTATTTATCCTTTAAAGACTCCTCTCAGGAGGCATCTCCTCCCTGATGAAATCTCAGAGGTGACTTAGTTTTTAAAACTCAAATTCTCTAGGCACTTTATATTTGGTACCTAGACCCAGGGTGATATTAAAATATTGAGCAATCAGATACCAGTGCATGCTGGTTGTGCATCAAACCTGCTCAGGCAATAAAATACTGTAATATTTAAAGAGTCTCTCTCCTTTCCTGTCTCCTCTTTCCCTCATTGGTTCCACTTATCAGCAAAACCCTGGGCAACTGAGCTGGGGCAGAATCAGCAGCTGAAACTTTCATTGTGTACCAATAAAAATGTCATTAGAAACCTTGAGGCTTAACTTTTTCCATCCTCATGCGTCATTGCTAAGGGATTCCTTCAGACCACTTCTATATTTCTGCCTGCTCCACCCTGGTAATCAGTGCCTTACATACAATGGTAGGCTCTGGGTTAGTAATAATATCTTTTCAAGAAAGGTGACTGGTAAGAATTTCTCAGGGACACACCTAAATAAACCAAAACCCAAGGTCAATATATTACAGTGACAAAAAGGAGATTTGTTGGATTGAAAGAAAACAATCCCAAGTTAGAGATGTGTTTCACTTTCTCTTTTTTGATATGAATAGTTTCTATATATAGTTGTCACACCTATGAAGAATGTAATTTTTAGAGGACCAGGCCATATTTATCTATTTGCCATGTTTAAGATAGTGCTAGAGATATAATAGTTATTCAATAAATATTTGTTGACTGACTCAATGAATGAAAGGATGGATGTACCATTCTTTAGTAGAGATGAGCAATTATTACTTGGTAAAAGAAAGCAGAAACTAAGAAGGATGTTATACTTCTACTAAGAATACTTCTACTAAGAAAACTACAACAGTTGGAGGGAGCAATTTAAAGTTGAGCTGAAATTCTTTAGTATTGTTATCTCAAGTGCCACAATAAGGAATTCATTCTTTTGTACTGTGAAAACTCACTTGTGTGATACCTAGCATGTAATGCCAAACCATTTGCATGCTGTTCAAAGAATTGTTCTGCATATAGATTGGTTTGTGTACCCATATGTATAAAAATTCAATTTAAAGGAGCAGCAGAATTAGTCAATGAGATTGAAGTTTCTCTTCAACATTCACTGTAGACGAAAGAGGTGCCCATGCTTATTTGTATGTTTAAGGAGGGAAGCTGGAGGAGGTATCTGATGCATGTCTTGCAAAGAATAAACAATATTAACATTTTTCCTGTGTATCATTGTTTTCTCTCTTGCTTGCTCTCTTTACTGCAGATGTTGTGGCTATTTCTTGATGGTTTTCAGGCTCCAGTTCATTAAGATTACTGCAATTGGTGCCTCTGCTGAGGATTTCACTACTGTCTTTCACCAGCAGGTACACAGCAACATGAATATGCTTCTAAATCACATTTATGCTTACTTCAAAATTATAACAGCTGGATTATCTGACTCTGTACTGTCGCTCTTGTCAAATAAATAAATTAACCCCTAAATCTCTTCTAGAGCAAAGCCAAAATCAGTGTTCCTGTAAACTTTCCAAAGTTAAAATACAGGGGTTTTTCTCCTGTATTGTTTTAAGCAGGGTAAAAATACTGAATTTAAAATATTGGAAAAATATTAGATAGACTCAACCATGAAATAAAACTGTTTTATATTTCCCCATAGCTATCTTTTCACATGCAGGGTAGGTCTCTCTTCATTGATTGGTTTCCTTTTATTACATAGTGTTCTGGGAGAAGCAAAGTAATCTTGAGCACCATAAGTGTAACCACCCAAGGGGTTCACCTTGCCCGCTGCCTAGACAGAGCCAATTCATCAAGACAAGGGAATTGCAGTCAAGAAAGAGTAATTCACGCAGAGCCAGCTGTGTGGGAGATCGGAGTTTTATTATTACTCAAATCAGTCTCCCCGAGTATTGGGGGAGCAGAGTTTTTAAGGATAACTTGGTGGGTGGGGGGAAGCCAGTGAGTCAGGAGTGCTGATTGGTCAGAGATGAAATCATAGGGAGTCGGAGCTGTCTTCTTGCCTCTGAGTCAGTTCCTGGGTGGGGCCATAAGATCAGATGAGCCAGTTCATTGATCTGGGTGGTGCCAGCTGATCCATCAAGTGCAGGGTCTGCACAATTTCTCAAGCAGTGATCTTAGGAGCAGTTTAGGGAGGGTCAGAATCTTGTAGCCTCCAGCTGCATGACTTCTAAACCATCATTTCTAATCTTGTGGTTACTGTTAGTCCTACAAAGGCAACCTAGTCCCAGGCAGGAAGGAGGTCTGCTTTGGGAAAGGGCTGTTACCGTCTTTGTTTAAACTAAGTTTCTCCCAAAGTTAGTTCAGACTACGCCCAGGAATGAACAAGGCCAGCTTGGAGGCTAGAAGCAAGATGGAGTCAGTTAAGTTAGAACACTTTCACTGTCTCAGTCATAATTTTGCAAAGGCGATTTCATAAGGGTCAAAGAAACTGTGAACTTGTGGATTAAACTTGCAAAAATGCTTTCTTGATGAGGACTGTTTGTCTTTCTTGTCTTCTGATATATATCAATTTGCAAATTAAAATAGAATCTTTAAGGCCTCTCTGATTTCTGTTTGAATTTGAAATGGGATACAGCTCCCAGATTCCTTTATCTGACATTCTAACTCATAGGGGTACTGCTCAAAGCTGCCAGAACATGTTTTTCATTCCGTAAGTGTCAACTGAGCCCTTAATCCTCTTCAAGTTGGTTAAATAAGTTAGTGCGGGAAGTTGTGTCATGAGAAGGAATCCCACAGACTTGGAACTAAAAAGATTTAGGGGGAATTAGTTAGGTCCTCTTGAGATAAGGCAGGGTTGCTTTATCTAACTGGTCACTCCTTTTACATGACTGATAGAGGATGAAAAAAATGTCTCTGAACTTCTCAATCTAGATTTATTTTTGCAGCTTAACTCAGCCTTGGCTCATGTGCCTGCCCATCTCCATTATTAGAGTCAAAGAAGGGTTTTTGGTGTGTGAATTTTCCTCTGGAATCAGATAGAGAAAGATAAGCAGATGAATAGAGCTTTGCATTTACATGACAACAGAAGAGCAAAAGACAAATGGCGCCAGACATGGTGACTCATGCCTATAATCCCAGCACTTTGGGAGGCCAAGGCTGGTGGATCACCTGAGGTCAGGGGTTCGAGACCAACCTGGCCAACCTAATGAAAACCCGTCTCCACTAAACATACAAAAATTAACTGAGTGTGGTGGCACACACCTGTAATTCCAGCTACTCAGGAGGCTGAGGCAGGAGAGTCACTTGAACCGGGGAGGCAGAAATTGCTGTGAGCCGAGATCATGCCATTGCACTCCAGCCTGAGTAACAGAGCAAGACTTTGTCTCAGAAAAAGAAAAAGAAAAAAAAAAAAGACAAATAGAAAGAAAAGACACCCTGTGCAATTGTGTCTTTCTTTCAACAATTTGTCGACACATGTGTTTGGATTGTACTCATCATTGGTTTATATTGGACAAAGAATAACCCTATCAGTTCCTGTGTTGAAAAGAGGGCAAATTCATGTGAACTGGAGCAATCTTTACATGGAATAAGTGCAAAAGGAGACCTTGGCTACTTATGATACAGAATCTTCTACCTTGAGGGTCAGCATACTGGGGTCTGCCTGTTCTGGTAAATAAAGTTTCATTGGAACACAGCCACATTCATTCATTTATATGTTGTTTATAGCTGCTTCTAAGTAGTTGTGACAGCAGTTGTATGACTCACAAAGCTTAACATAATTACTGTCTGGCCCTTGACAGAAAAAGTTTTCCAACCCTGTTCTACCCAACACAGATCAGGAAGAGATGCCATGGTCCTGAGAGGTGGTCAATAGATATGATCACTTTTTGGGAAACATTTATAGTTTAAAGTTTAAAAATGTTAGTTGCAGACAATTATTTAGAAATTATAGCAGTATATCAGTTAATTGATTTGATAAAATTAATATATATACTGTTTATCAATATAAATAATTTACATTATGGACTTGTTTTATTGTATTATTCAGACTTTGTAGTCACTGGAAAGGTATAGAAACGAAGGCGCTATCTAAAATGATAGTAATAATTCATATCAGTCAATAGCATTGATTAGGCACTCATGTGGTACAGAACTCTATTCCAGGCCCAGGAGGAAGAAGGGAAGAGCCCAAAAGAAACAGATGCTGTTATAACTGAGGATCCTACTAAATGGTCTAATTAAGAAGCTGTTGTATATTCCTGCAGTGATTCCAGAAAACTCATAAAGTAATATAAACCCATGAAAGCAAATGAAAAGAGCTCAGAATCTAGGACAGAAAGATAAGGGATGAATTCCCTGTATGTCAGTCACCTAGATGCTTCTTCAGGCCTTCATCCTGTGGATTTGCCCTGATTCTTTTGGTTGTTCAGGAATTTGTTTAAACATAGATTTCATACTTTGGCTTTTGACTTTCATCTTGCTGATTTTTGCCCATTGATAAGTATATTGAGATTATTTTGGAACTTGTATCTGAAGTTGAATGTAAAGACATTTTATTCTGACATTTCCTGAAAAATATATGCGTGACTTGTTTGTCTTCATCCAAGTGATAGAGGCACAAGAATCCTAGAGGTAGCTGTGACCTTAGAGGCGATCTACAGCAAAGCTTTCTCAAACATTAATTTTCATCTGGATAACCTGGGGATCTTATTAAAATGCAGATTCTAATTCAATAGGTCTGGAGTGGATCCTGAGAAGTCTGCAGATGAGACTTTGAAGAGCAAGGTGCTAGAGGATCAGCTGGTAAGAATTTGTTCTGCAATATCTCTGAAGATTTTCACTAGCTTCATTGTGAATACTGTTAAGGTACACAAAGAACTCACAACCTTCAAGGCAACCTGGTTCATCATGGAGAATTTTAATGCTTAGAATATCTTTATGTCGTCAATATTATACCTTGCGAAGTTTTTTTTTTTTGTTTGTTTGTTTTGAGATGGAGTTTTGCTCTTGTCACCCAGGCTGGAGTGCAATGGTGCAATCTCGGCCCACTGCAACTTCAGCCTCCCAGGTTCAAGCAATTCTCCTGCCTCAGCCTTCCGAGTAGTTGGAATTACAAGTGTGCACCACCATGCCTGGCTAATTTTTATATTTTTAGTAGAGACAGGGTTTCCCCACATTGGCCAGGCTGGTCTCAAACTCCTGACCTCAGGTGATCTGCCTGCCTCGGCCTCCCAAAGTGCTGGGATTACAGGCATGAGCCACCATGCCCGACCGTGAAGTTTTTTACGATGAGTTCAATTTCTTGTAAATTTAATAATGGTTGCTATTGAATTGCCACTTTTGAGATTATCAGCCAATTCTTTCTTCTTGGCCAAATTTAAGCCCTCTAGGAGACTCTGTATTATAAGTGGGTTGTTGTCCAAGGGAAGTAACTAGTGATGAGAGATTGGATTTGGAGCTTCACTTAGTTGCTGGCTGACTACTTCGCTTTCCCTATATGCTTCCTTTTCTTTCTCCTTCTCTCCAGTCTTCTGAACTGAACACACATCATACGTACAGTTTATCATATGTACACACATCAATACCAATTGGAGGTATTCAAGCCCCAGGATAGTATGCCATCTGACCTCAGTGGTGTGCTGGTAAATGATTAACAACTGTTTTTGGGGGTGAGGGTGTGGAATGGTAACACATTACTATTAAAGTTAAATGCTTGCCAATTTCCATGGTGTAAATACCCCTACCATCGCTTATTTCTAACTAAAATTCCTAAAAATTTAATAGCCAGTAAGAATCTCCAGCACAGCTCCATCTGACCCCTCATAGTAAATAACAGTTAACAATTATAGAGCACTTACTATGTAAGAGGCAATATGTTACACATTGTACATCTGGCCTCTAACAAAATTAAAATGAGACCCTATTTATTCATTCAACAAGTCACAGAATTTCCTTCATGGTAGGTGCCAGAGAAATAAAGATGAATGGGAATCAACCTCTGCCCTCAACCTATTCATGGAGTCTAGTGGGAGAGACAGATACATAAATAAATTACAGTGCAACATAATAAATAATGGGACAGATGGTGAAGGTAACTGATTTAGTACCCATTTTGGTCCCTGCTGGGGGTAAGGGAAGTGGAAGAGAGGCCATTTTCTTTACCTTCTTGCAAAAGCCCATGCTTACCATGTCAAAATATCTTTTGTGAATACATTTTATGTAGATATTCTTTATATCTAAGGGAATTGAAGAGCATATCAGTTTCTTTAAAAAGAAAATTTTTGACATGCATGTTACGTCTTGGAATTGGGTCTAAATTATCTGTCATATAGGCTTCTGAAAGAGAATATGGAATACAGAGAAGAAACCTTTTGAGAAGTGACAATTTGCAGACCTCAGGAGTACTATCCTTATTCAAATTCAATTTCATTTTAGAAAGCTTGAAGGCATTGGACTATTACAGAGATAAAAAGCCAAGTATTAATCTTTTGAGTTAGTATCTTATTCAAGATGTTGAACCTGAGAAGAGTTTGCAGAACTCTAATTCTTTTAAAACTAAAGATCAAGCAAAAAAAGTTTTAAGAAATGGTGACTTGATGGCTACTTCTTATTTGATTGTTGCTAACAATTAATGTAATTTATTACAACCACTGACTGCTTATTTATTTTATTGCCTGAAGTCCTTATGGAAGTAGGATGGGCCAAAATAATAAAATACTATTTTATTTTGCTTCCAAGCTTCTTTGCCTCAGTACTCTATTTGTCTGTCACTTTTCTACTGGCTTACACAGGCCAGAATTATATTTTAGCATTGTGATCGGAGTGTGAAAACAGGGTTTGGGGTATATCAAAAACCAATCTTGATGTGCCAGAATGGTGTGCCAGAAAACAAGGTTGTTATGCTTCTTTCTCTTCTATCTGTCCTATGTGGACCTAGCATGAGTGATGTGATTATTTAGTGCAGAATTCTTGATATTTCGCGAGGAACCCTACTAAGCAAGCTTGCTTTGGTTTCTCACAGGATTAAGGAAGACAGAATAAAGAATGATGCTTTGAAAAGAGAACAGTGAGGGACCTAGGAACCAGTCACAACCTCCTAATTCCCTGCAAGGCCTTGGGGATGCTGTGCTGAAATTTTTAAATACAAAACGGCTGTAAAGGTTTACATTTTACCGAGTTAGTATGAAGGGGAAAAAAGGTAAATGGGAAAACTCAATAATTGATGATCAAGTTCATTAATTGGATATATTTCTATATTATTAAATGATTTACTTTTATGTTTATTTTACATAGCTTTTCATTTGGTTTTACTTTTCTATAGGCCTTTGTAGATGAACAAGTCTCTCTGGACTGTTACCCAAAAGAGGAATTTATTGACATTTTAATGTTGGCTTTTTTTTTTCTGCCGAGTAATAGTCAAATGGGGAAGCTACTACAAGTTAGGATGACCAACAAATTTACCATTCAAACCAGGACATTCTTGAGAATGAAAGGAGGTGCTGTTATTAATATACTATAATAATTATTCTGGTAGATTAGGAATAAACAGACTGTCAATTAGCAAACTGGAATGTATGGCCATCCTAACTGTGGGTCGTTTAATCACTGCCATTTGGTTGCCATTGGATTTCTGTTTTTTTTTTCTTAAGCTCCAACAGAATAAATGCCATGGGATTTCATTGAAACATCTGAAAAACATGAAGCCATGCAGTTTTTACAAAATTGCCTGGGATTCGCATATGTTCCTATCGTGGAAATTAGAATAGGGTCAAGAAATAGTAATTCTCTCCCTTATGACTGAAACAAGAGAGTGAGAAGAAGGCTTCCAAAGTTAGATGATCCTTTTTCTAGGTCATTACTTCCCTGAGCTTATGTACCTGCATTCCACAGGGCTCAGAAAGCTTTCGCTACTCTATATTCCTGTTACAAATGTTGCCTGAGCCCAGATTTTTCTCATATCTCACCTGGGCTATAGCAAAAATCTTCTTACTGATCTCCCTGCCTATAGTCTTTCTACATGTCAAATCCTTTCTCCATATCATAGGCAGATTGGTTTATCTAAAATGTAAAGCTGACCATATCACTCTCTATTTCAACATTTTCCAGCAGCTCCTGTTCCCTACAGTACAAGATCAAAATCACTTTGCAGGGCACACAAGACCCCCCATAAATTTATTCCTGTCTAATTCTTCAGCATCACTCTTTAGCAACAATAAATTGTTTCAATTTCTCCATACACACCATGCTATCTTTTACTTTTATTCATTTTTGAACTTATCTTCACATGTAGAAAACTGTGCAAAGGGAGTCTTCCCCCACAGGAGGAAGGATAGTGTTTGACTCTGAGAATATCTGAATTCATCACTTGTCATTTATCTTTTATTTACATACAGCAAAATTCACTGCTTTTGGTGACTATTCTATAAGTTTTGGCAAATATACACAGTTATGTAACCACAACCACTACAATCAAGTTCCAGTTTCATCACTCTCCTCTCTTCCCGCAAAATGATCTTGTTTGTTACCTTTGTAATCAAGCCTTTATTCCCTGGCAATCACCAATCTGTTCTGTACCCTTATAATTTTGCCTTTTATAGAATATCATGTAAATGGAATGATGCAATATATATGTATTACTCAGCATAATGGAGACTCATCCTTGTTGTTGCATGTATCAGTATTTCATTCCTTTTTATTGTTGAGTAAATGTTCCATTGGATGGATGTACCATATTCTGTTTATCCATTCCTCTGTTAAGGAACATTTGGGTTGTTTCCAGTTATGGGTAACTATGAATAAAGCTGCTATGAACATTTTCAAACAGATTTTCCTGTGAACACAGGTTTTTATTCTGCTTAGACAGAAGCCCAGGAGTGGGATGACTGGGTTGTATGGTAAGCGTATGTTTATAAGAAAACTGCCAAACTATTTTCCAAAGTGGCTGTACTGTTTTGCATTCCCACAACCAATATATGAGGGTTTCTGTTCCTCCACATCCTCAACAAAATTTGATATGGCCAGTAATTTTAATGTAAGCCATCCTATTAGGTGTGTGTAGTATAATTTCATTGCGGTTTTCATTTGCGTTTTTATAATGACTAATTACACAGAGCATCTTTTCATATGCTTTTATGCTGTCTGTTTATCTTCTTTGAAGTGTCTGATCAAATATTTTACCCATGTCTTTATTGGATTTTTAGTGTTCTCATTGTTAAGTTTTGAGAATTCTTTATATATTTTTAATGAAATTATTTTGTCAGAAATATGATTTGCATATATTTTTTCCCATTCTGCGGCTTCTTTTCTATTCTCTTAACAGTGTCTTTTGTAGAGCAAACATTTTCAATTTTGATTAAGTTTATGAATTGTTTCTTTTAAGCATCAGGCTTTTGCTGTCATATATAAAAGTTGTCTGTCTAACCCAAGGGGTATTAGTTTGCTAGGGGTGTTATATACCACAGACGGGGGTGCTTAAACAACAGAAATTTATTTTCTCACAGTCTGGAGGCTAGAAGTCCAAGATCAAGATGTCAGCAGGTTTGGTTTCTCCTCAGGTCTCTCTTCTTGGCTTCTCTTCTCACTGTGTCCCACATGGTCTTCCTTTTGTTAGTGCATCTTCGTGTTTGTGTATTAGTCAGTGTTTCTTAGAGAAACACAACTAATAGGATAAATATTTATATATAATGTATAATATATATATATATATATATATATATATATATATATATATATATAATGTATGATTTATTATGAGGAGTTGGCTCATGCAATTATGGAGGCTAAGTCCCACAACCTGCAGTCTGCAAACTGGAAAGCCATTGGTGTAGTTCAGTCCAAGTCCGAAGATCTGAAAACCAGGGAAACTGATGGTGTAAGTCTCAGTCGAAGGGTGGAAGAAGACTGATGTTCCAACTAAATAGGCAGAAGGAGCAAATTCTCCCTTCCTTCAACTTTTGTTCTTAAAAGATTGGATGATGCCCACCCATATTGAAGAAAGTAATCTTCTTTACCGAGCCCACCAATTCAAATGCTAATCTCATCCAGAGACACCCTCACAGACACACCCAGAAATAATATTTAGCTAAATATCTGAGTACCCCGTGATCCAGTTGATACATACAATTAACCATCACAGTCCTAATTTTCTCTTCACACTCTTCTTAAAAGGGTACCAGTCATATTGGATTAGGCCCCATGCATATGACATCATTTTACCTTAATTTGCTCTTTAAAGACCCTATCTCCAAATAAAGTCACATTCTGAGGTACTGGGGGTTAAGACTTCAATGTATGAATTGAAGGGTTGTCACAATTTAACTCATGACACAGGTCAAAGATTTTCTTTTATGTTTTCTGCTAAATGTAAATTATTTTAGTAGAGAAATTGTAAAGTTATTGGTGAGGACAGAGACTGATTTGCTGAATGCTGTACTGCGAATGCCTAGCACAATGCTTGGTATACAAAAATCCTCACCAAAAGCTTGTTGAATGAATGAGTGAATGAATGTGGATCTCATTCATTATTCCATTTATGCTCTTCGAATCTCAAAAAACGCTTGTAGCTGCCCTGCTGGAGGACCTTTATTGTATTTAATGATTCAAATTATTGCCTGATAACTTAACAAGAACTATTCAAAATTGCCCCAAATGGAAATATCTACTAAAGACAAACATGAGCTTACTCTATGACTCATCAGTTTCATTCCCGGGTATATACCCTACAGATTCGTATGTATGTTCACCAAGACACAAATACAAGAATGTTCAAAACAACACCACCTATAAAAGACAAAACTGGATGCATCCAGAATGCTCATCAACAGAAAAATTGATACATTTTGACATATTCACAAAATGTGACACTAGACAGAAATGATACTATGGTTTGGATGTCCTCTCCAAAACTCATGTTTGAAATTTAGTTTCCATGGTGACAGTATTACGAGGTGAGACTATTAAGAGGTAATTAGGCCATAAGGTGCCTACCTTCATAAATGGATTAATACTATTATTGCAGGAGTGGGTTAGTTATTGAGAGGGTGGGCTTTTGGTAAAACGATGAAGTTCAACCCCCATCTTTTCTCTGTTTTATGTGCTCATTTGCCCTTCCACCTTCCGCCATAGGATGACACAGCACAAAGACCTTTGCCAGATGCCAGCATCTTGATATGAACTGTCCTAACCTCCAGAACTGTGAGAAATAAATTTATTTTCTTTATAAATTACCCAGTCTGTAGGATTCTGTTACAGCAACAGGAAACAAGCTAAGAAAAATAACAATAAATGTATTACTTATATATGCAACAACATGAATGTATCTTAAAACATTGATCAAGCACAGATAAAAAGAACACAAATTTCATTACTTCATTTATGTAAAGCTAAAAAACAGGCAAAACTTACCTATGGTTATAGAACTCATGACAGTTGTTACCTTTAGGGAAGAGGGAATTTGGAGAGAATATTAGGGGGCTTCTGTGGTGCTGGTAATGTTCTATTTATTTACATGGGTGGTAGGTACATGTAGGTTCACTTTGTAAAATATAATTGAACTCTGATTTATTATTTGAGTTTACTTTTAAAAAATTATGCCATATGGACATGACCTTGTTGTTTCTGTACAAACTGTGAGAAGACCTGGGAAGGTATTTTACTGAGCTTTATTAAAAAACAAAGCAAAATAGAATATAGATTATTTTCCTATTATAAAATGTTATCTGTTTCTTTTTCCCTTCTAAGTTTTTTTTTTTACATGTGTTCAACATCAAACTTCGTTGGCTGTGTGCATACAAATCGGGAAAAGGAAAAGTATCAGCACAAAAAGGGAAAGCTCCTCTTGGGGAAGTTCTGAGGAAACACTAGGATCTGGTCAAGCTTATATGGTCTTATCTTTTGAGTGCCCATAGCCTAGTCACAAGTGGCAATTCAGGTTATCACACAAAGTTGAATTTGTCATACCAGCTGCCTTTCTTATTAACAGTAAAGCCACTGAACTGTATACTTTTTCACTGTTGATCTATTTGTCATTTGCACTCAAATTTCACTAGTGGGGAAATTTCTTTATAAACAGGTGCTCAGCATCATGTTTCTGAAATGTTAAGATATGTTGTGCAAATTGCTACCCACCTAGAGAGGTGGTACATGCTAATTTAAAGTTGCCTATTATAAAGTCATTATTTCTTGGTACTCTTAGGGCACAAGTGGAAGTGATAACTTTTGAAAAATGAGGTTGTTGGCCGGGCGCGGTGGCTCACGCCTGTAATCCCAGCACTATGGGAGGCCGAGGCGGGCGGATCACGAGATCAGGAGATCGAGACCATCCTGGCTAACACAGTGAAGCCCCTTCTCTACTAAAAATACAAAAAAGCCGGGCGTGGTGGTGGGTGCCTGTAGTCCCAGCTACTCAGGAGGCTGAGGCAAGAGAATGGCGTGAACCCGGGAGGTAGAGCTTGCAGTGAGCCGAGATCGCGTCACTGCACTCCAGCCTGGGTGACAGAGCGAGACTCCGTCTTAAAAAAAAAAAAAAAAAAGAAAAGAAAAATAAGGTTGTTGAACATCAAGAGATGCCCTGTGTGATGTGTGTGTGTGTGTGTGTGTGTGTGTGTGTGTGTGCATGTTTTGAAAGACAAGAGCATTAAAATTAATGTCTGTTCTAGGAGTTCCTCACTTTGATGGATATATCTGGAGCAATTAAGGAGATTTGTTCTCCTTAATCGAAATTTTTACTCAATTATCCTTTTAAATTAATCCAAAGTTTTACAAGAAAGACAGGAAAATATAAAATGCTGATGAATAGTATCATTTTCTTTTCTTTTTTCTTTTTTTTTTGAGACGGAGCCTTGCTCTGTCGCCCAGGCTGGAGTGCAGTGGCGTAATCTCAGCTTACTGCAACCTCCGCCTCCCAGGTTCAAGCGATTCTCCTGCCTCAGCCTCCCGAGTAGCTGGGATTACAGACACCCCACCAGCATGCCTGGCTAATTTTTGTATTTTTTTAGTAGAAACGGGGTTGCACCATGTTGGCCAGGTTGGTCTCGAGCTCCTGACCTCAGGAGATCTGCCTGCCTCGGCCTCCCAAAGTGTTGGGATTACAGGCGTGAACCACCGTGCCCGGCCCCATTTTCTTATCAGTATGCTTTATCATATATTGTAATCTACTTTCCAAATGCCCATATGAAATTATCTCTGGGATGATCTAATCAGTATTTTAGCAGTTGGCTGTTTCTGTGGCTATTGGAGAAAAAAAATCAAAGATGGACTTGATGTTCTGTGATGGTATGCCAATAAGTGAACATGAAAAAAGTCCAATAGTCAACTTGCTATCAAACTACCTAGTGACTACATTGAGCCCATAAGTTCCTTTTAGACTCTTTTCAAATACAGAACTTCCAGTAATGACGACAAAGTGAAGTGGTTGTGTGAAACTTTGTACAGTTAATAATTATAAAATCCAGGAAAAAAAAATCCCAACAGTTTAATTTACTGGAAGGTATCTAAGAGCAGACAGAACAGAAGAAAGAGAAAAGCTTACTCTTGAAAAGCTGCAATTAGAGGGGGAAGAACTGCAAATTTGTGACTTTCTTTTCTGAGGATTTCCCCTCTCTCCATGGCTACAGCAGAAAAAAAAAAATTCACAGCATTATGACAGCAGGAAAAAATCCAAAGCTGGAAATGCAGGTATAGATTTAAGGAGGGAAATTTTGGAAGCAAAGGAGTGAAACACAAAATCTGAGCACTAACTCTACCCTAAAGCTGGCTGATTGTTAAACTATGCATATGTAGGGGAGATACCAGGGCATCTGTTGGAAAAAACAGGCAAGGCACAGAGAGGAATTTACCCCAGAAAAGCAGCTGCACTAGGTGAGATCTGTGTTTTCTGTTTTAAAAAAAAAAATCCAAGTGTGTTTCCCAACCTATGCAGGTGGCTGAATACTGAAGTTTTACTGGCTTGATGTGTCAGAGGACAGCAGAGAAATTTAGGGAAAAAATTCCATAAGCAACAGAACTAAACAGAGGGCGAACCCCAATATCTGAGCGTAAGCTATGCCGAAGTCCTTGGCTGACCAACAAGATATTCAGGTGCAGGTGAACTCCCAGGAAGCCAGGGTAAAAATAGTAGCATCAAGAAACTGTAAGAACTGAGCAAATATATCAGCTGCTGTACACCACAGGAGAGACAGAGTTTGCCATTTGAATTCATACAATTTACCTATAGAGCAACAAAAAAACCATCCTCAGAACACAATATAATCCAGAATCACCAGAATGTATCTATAATGTCCAATTTTAGCACAAAATTATAGATATGCAAAGAAACATGAAAGTCTTACCCACATTCAGGAAAAAGCTATTCAATAGAAAACAAATGCATCAGAATGGTTCTAAATGTTGGGTATAGCTGACAAGGTTTCAAAGGTGGCACTATAAATGTATGCATAGAGTTAAAAAGAGAAATGAAATTAGTGGGTGAACAGAGAAAGAATCTCTGAGAGAAATGAAAAACATTTTAAAAATGAAAATTCAAGAATTCAAAAGTACAATACTGGAAATGAAAATTCACCAGATAGGCTCAAGAGCAGGTTGGAGATGAAGAAAAATAATAGTGAACTTGAAGACAGATCAATTAAAATTATACAACTCAAAGAAGAGAGAGAAAATCATAGAAGAAAAGTAGGTGGAGACTGACTTTTGAGACAAAATCAAGAAGAGAAGAGATACTTTAAAATGTAATTTAGTAAGAATTAATTTAAATTAATTTAATTAATTTTAATGTAATTGTTTTAAATGTAAGTGGACTAAATATTTCTATTAAAAGGCAGACATATTGTGAGACTGGATACAAGAAAGAACTATGTACTGTTCAGAGGAGACACACTTTAAATAGAAGGATATAAGTAGGTTGAAAGATAAAGGATGGAAAATTATATATAAATCAAACTGTAAGTATAAGAAAACTGGTGTGGTTAATTTAATGAAGTAGATTTCTAGACAAGATGCATTATTAGCTTCAAAAAAGAAAACTTCATAATTATAAAAGTGTTAGTATATCATGAAGATATAACAATTATAAACATATAGGCACCTTGTATTAAAGCTTCAAAATACAGTAAATGAAAACTGGTAGAGGCAAAAAGAGAAATAAATGCACAAACATTTAGAAGTTTCAACATACCTCTTTCAATAATTGGTAGAACAACTGGACTAAAAATAAGTAAATATAAGGAAGATCTAAGTGTCCATTTTAATTACCTTAACTTAATTAGGACTCATGGAACATTTCCCTCAACAATAGTGCAATTCCCATATTTTTCAAGTGCCTATGGAACATTCACCAAGCTAAGCCATATACTATGACATACATTAGTCTTAACAAATTTTTAAAAATTGAAATCATATACAGTGTCTTTCCCACCATGAAAAAATTAAATTAGAAATCAACAATATGACATCTTACAAATTCTCAAATATTTGGATACTAAAAATTGACTTCTAAATAACCCACAGATCAATTAGAAATTTGAAAATGTTGTATGCTGAATAATAATGAAAACATATCATTGCAAAATTTATGGGATACAGCTAATATAGTGCTCAGAGGAAAGCTTAAAATGTTTGCATTAGAAAATAAGGAAACCCTAATATCAATACAATTTTATTCTACTTTCTAAAGCTAAAATATGCAGAAAAATTTAAACCAAAGTAAGTAAAAGTGCACAAATATTAAAGATGATAGATGTTTTAATGAAATGGAAAATGGATAAGCAATAGAGAAAAATCAATAAAACCAAAGTTTGGTTTGTTGACAAGGTCCAAAAAATTGGTACATGTCTAGTTAGACTGATTTAAGAAAAAAAAGAAAAGATACAAAGTATATTTTCTTTGGAATGAAAAGGGGCATCACCATAGACCTTTCAGACTGTAAAATAATAATATGAGAATGTTATAATAAATTAATGCCAATACATTTGACAACTTAGGAGATATGGAAAAACATATTAAAAGGCACAAATGATCAAAATTGATGTAAGAAGAAATATAAAAATCCAAGTAGCCACATCTACTGAAAAAATTGAATTTGCAAGCAAAAGTCTTCCTACAAAGAAAACTCCAAACCTAGATGGTTACATGGATGAATTCTCTCAAACAAGTAAGGAATAAATAACATCAATCCTTTAAGGTAGGTCAGCTGAGATTATCCAGTCTAAGGAACAGAAAGAAAAACAAATGAAGAAAAAAGACCAAAACCTCAGAGACCTGTGAGACATCAAATGTAACAACAGATGCAAAATGGAAGTCCCAGAAAAAGAGGAGAAAAAGAGAACAGTTAGAAAGAACTTCTGAATAAATAATGGCTAAATTTTTTTTTTGTAATTGATGGAAAACTTTAATCTCACATGCAAGAAGCTCAATGAATTCCAATTAAGATAAACTGAAAGCAATCCACACATCATAATCAAACTGTCAAAAGCCAAAGACAGAGCCCACGAAAGCAGCAAGAGAGAAGGCAACTAATCAAGGTATCTTCAATAAGATTGATAGATCAGAAACCATGGAGGCCAGAGGCCTTGGGATGAAATATTCAAAGTGCTAATAGAAAAAAAAAAATATGCCAACCAAGAACTCTATGTTCAGCAAAACTATCTTTCAAAAATGAAGGAGAAAGTAAGACAGTCCTAGATAAGCACAAACTGAGAGAAGTCATCACTAGCAAACTTGCCCTACAAGAGCTAAAATGAGAACTCTTCATGCTGAAATAAAATAAAACTAGAGAGTAACTTGTATTCACATGAAGAAATGAAGAGGACTGGTAAAGATAAATACAGAGGTAAATATTGAAGAGTATAAATATATATTTTGCTTGGATCTCTTTCTTTTCACCTTTCTGATTATAAAAACAATATAATGCAGTAATTCGAAATCTGTATTAATGGGCACACAATGAATAAAATATAATTTCTATGACAATAGCAGCACAAAGGTTGGGGGAAGGATAGGATCTATGTAAGAGCAGAGTTTTTTGTATACTATTGAAATTAAGTTGGTATTAATCTGAGCTAGATTGCTGTATGTTAAGATGTTAATTGTGGGTGGGCGTGGTGGCTCACGCCTGTAATCCCAGCACTTTGGGAGGCCGAGGTGGGCGGATCACCTGAGGTCAGGGGTTTGAGACCAGCCTGACCAACATGGAGAAACCCCATGTCCACTAAAACTACAAAATTAGCCGGGTGTGGTGACACATGCCTGTAATCCCAGCTACTCAGGAGGCTGAGGCAGGAGAATCGCTTGAACCCGGGAGGCGAGGTTGCAGTGAGCCGAGATCACGCCATTGCACTCCAGCCTGGGCAACAAGAGTGAAACTCCGTCTCAAAAAAAAAAAAAAAAAAAAAGATGTTAATTGTAATACCTATGGCAACCACAAAGAAAATGACTCAAAAAATATAGTAAAAGAAACAATAAAGGAGTAAATATGATACACAGTAAAGTGTTTACTTCGCACTAAAAAACATAATAATGGAGGAATTAAGGAACAAAATGACAGGACATATAGAAAACAAACAGCAAAATAGCAGATGTAAATACTATCTTATCAGTAGCCATATTAAATGTAAATGGATTAATAACTCCAACTAAAATATACAGAGATAGGCAGAATGGATAAAAAACGATGCAACTATATTCTGTCTATAGGGGGTACACTTCATATTCAGACATATATAGGCTGAAAGTAAAAGGATGAAAAAATATATATCATGGAAACAGTAAACAAGAGCAAACAGGAGCAGGTATATTAATATCAGACAAAATAGACTTTAAGACAAAATTGTTATTAGAGATCATGAAGATTTTAGTTCATGATTTTAGTTACTAAAATGTCAATCCATCCAGAAAACAACATAATTATTGAAATGCAGGTGCCTAACAACGGAGCCCAAAAATACATTGACTTCAACATTCAAGTCTTATTATTTGAGCAAAAAAAAAAAACAGATTAAGTTGAAGAGACATATAGGCAATTCAGCAATAATTATTGGAGACTTCAATGCTCAACTTTCCATAATGGATAGAGCAACTAAAGAATAGTAACGAACTAGAGACTTAAACAACACTGTAAACCAACTAGACTCTGTGGAGCGGAATATAGTAACAGTGGAATATATATTCTTTTTCAGCTCACATGGAACAGTCTCCAGGACAGACCACATAATAGGCCACAAAACAAGCCTTAATCAATTTTGAGAGATTGAAATTATACAAAGTGTGTTCTCTCCCACAATAGAATGAAATTAGAAATCAATAGCAAAGGAAATTTGGAAAATTTACAAATATGTGAAGTTAAAAAACACATGCCTTAATCACCAATGGGTCAAAGAATACATCACAAAGGAAATTAGAAAATATTTTAAAATGAATGAAAATAAAATACAGGCACATCTTATTTTATTACATTTCATTTTATTGTGTTTTACAGATACTGCTTTTTTTTTTTTAACAACTTGAAGGTGTGTGTCTCTGTTTAACATTTTGGTAATTCTCAAAATATTTCAAACTATTTCATTATTATTATATCTGTTATGGTGATCTGTGATCAGTAATCTTTGATGTTACTATGGTAATTGTTTTGAGGCACCACAAACTCCTCCCATCTAAGACAAAAAACTTAATCGATAAATGTGGGTGTTCTGCTCCACTGACCAGCTGTTTCTCTTTCTCTCTTCCTCTCTTTGGTCCTTCCTATTCCCTGAGACACAACGATATTGAAATTAGACCAATTAATTACCATAAAATGACCTCCAAGTGTCCAAGTGAAAGGACGAGTTGCACATCTCTCACTTTAAATCAAAAGCTAGAAATGATTAAGCTTAGTGACAAAGGCACACAAAGCCCATAAAGACTGAAAGCTAGGCTTCTTACACCAGTTAGGCAAGTTGTGAATGCAAAGGAAAAGTTCTTGAAGGAAATTAAAAGTGCTACTCCAGCTGAAACATGTATGATAAGAAAGTGAAAACAATCTTATTGATGATATGAAGGTTTTAGTGGTCTAGATAGAAGATCAAACCAGCTACAATACCCTTAAGCCAAAGCTGATTCCAGAGAAAGGCCCTAGCGCTCTTCAATTTTATGAAGGCTGAGAGAGGCAAAGAAGCTGCAGAAGAAAATTTGAAGCTAGCAGAGGTTTAAGGAAATCAGCCCTCTTCACAGCATAAAATTGCAAAATGAAGCAACAAGTGCCAGTGCAGAAGCTGCACCAAGTTATCCAGAAGATCTAGATAAGATCATTGATGGTGACTACACTAAGCAACACGTTTCTGTTATAGACAAAACAGCCTTATTTTGGAAGAACATGCTATCTAGGACTTTCATCGCTAGACAGAAGTAAATGCCTGGCTCCAAAGCTTCAAAGGACAGGCTGACTCTCTTGTTAGGGGCTAATGTAGCTGGTGACTTTAAGTTGAAGCCAATGTCCACTTGCCAATCTGAAAATCCTAGGGCTCTCAAGAAATATGCTAAGTCTACTCTGCCTGTGCTCTTGAAATGAAACCACAAAGCTTGAATGACAGCACATCTGTTTACAGCATGATTTACCAAATATTGAAAGTGTGCTGTTGAGACCTACTGCTCAGAAAAAAAGATTCCCTTCAAAATATTACTACTCATTGACAATATAACTGGTTACTCAGGGCCTCTGATGGAGATGTACAAGGAGATTAATGCTGTTTTCATGCTTGCCAACTAAATATCCATCCTGTAGCCCACTGATCAATAAGTGATTTCAATGTTCGAGTCTTATTATTTAAGAAATACGTTTCAAGAGGTTGTAGCTGCCATTGATAGTGATTCCTCTGATGCATCTGGGCAAAGTAAATTGAAAACCTTCTGGAAAGAATTCACCATTCTAGATGCCATTAAGAGCATTTGTGATTCAGGGGAGGAGGTCAAAATAGCAACATTTACAGGAATTCAAGACGTGGATTCCAACCTTCATGAATAACTTTGGAGGGATTCAAGACTTCGGCAGAGGTAATAACTGCTGATGTCATAGAAATAACAAGAGGAGTAGAATAATGAGTGGAACCTAAAGATGTGACCGAATTGCTGCAATCTCATGATAAATTTGAAAGAGATGAGGAATTGCTTCTTATGAATGAGCAAAGGAAGTGATTTCTTGAGACGGAATTTACTTCTGGTGAAGATGCTGTGAACGTTGTTGAAATGACAGTAAAAGATTTAGAATATTAAGCCAGGCACAGTGGCTCACGCCTGTAATCCCAGCATTTTGGGAGGCCGAGGTAGGCGGATCACGAGGTCAGGAGATTGAGACCATCCTGGCTAACATGGTGAAACCCCGTCTCTACTGAAAATACAAAAAATTAGCCAGGCTTGGTGGAGGGTGCCTGCAGTCCCAGCTACTCGGGAGGCTGAGGCAGGAGAATGGCATGAACCCGGGAGGCGGAGCTTGCAGTGAGCCGAATTGGTGCCACTGTACTCCAGCCTGGGCGACAGAGCCAGACTCCGTCTCAAAAAAAAAAAAAGATATAGAACATTATGTAATGTAAACTTAGCTCATAAAGTAGTGTCAGGGATTGAGAGGACTGACTCCAATTTTGAAAGAAGTTCTCCTGTGGGTAAAATGCTATCAAATGGCATTGCATGCTTCGGAAAAGTCTTTTGTAAAAGGAAGAGTCAATCAATGCCACAAACATCATTGTTGTCTAATTTAAAAAACTGTCACAGCACCCCAACCTTCAGCAACCACCATCATGATCAGTTAGCATCCATCAACATCAAGGCAAGACCCTACACCAGCAAAAAGATTATGAATTGCTGAACGCGTGGATGATCGTTAGCATTTTTCAGACAATAAAATACTTTCAAATTAAAATATGTAATTTTCTTTAGATATAATGCTATTGCACACTTAATAGACTATAAGGGCCACAGGGACATTTGCCAGTATAAACAAATTTCCTATATGAGGAACTCCTAGTCTTGGGATGGACATCTAGGCACTAGGCCTTTCACCAGGTAAAAGAAGTATCCTTGGGCCAGGCGCAATGGCTCATGCCTGTAATCCTAGCACTTTGGGAGGCCGAAGCCAGTGGATTACCTGAGGTCAAAAGTTCGAGACCAGCCTGGCCAACATGGAGAAACCCTGTCTCTACTAAAAATACAAAAATTAGCCAGGCATGGTGGTGCGCACCTGTAATCCCAGCTACTCGGGAGGCTGAGACAGGAGAATCGCTTGAACCCAGGAGGCAGAGGTTGCAGTGAGCCAAGATCGCACCACTGTACTCCAGCCTGGATAACAGAGCAAGACTCCATCTCAAAAAAAAAAAAAAAAAAAAAAAAGAAGAAGTATTCTCTGCAAGGCACACTGTAAACACTCATGGTCTGCTCCCCTTTCTTTTCTGTTAGCACAGGACTGCTAGCTGCTCTGGTACTGGAATCCCAATTTAGCTGAGGGCTCTCACAACAGCATGATATAAAGTTAATATATAAAAATCAATTGTGTTTCTATATGGTTGCAACAAATGGTTGGATAATAAAATAAAAATATAGTTTATTTTAAAATAGCATCAAAACCATGAAATACTTTGGGATAAATTTAACAAAAGATTATATGGCTACTGAAAACTTTAAAACAATTTTAAAGAAATTAAAAAATACCTAAATGAAATGAAAAAGTACCTAAATGACTTAACATTCAAATATGGGTAAGTTCAATATTACTAAGATGCTAATTTTCCCCAAGTTGATGTATAGATTCAACCCAATTCCAATCTAACTTTTAGCAAGATGCTTTATACAAATTCATACAAGTTAATTCTAAAATTTATAAGAAAATACAATGGCTTAAAAGGATCAAACAATTTTAAAAAGAATAAAGTTGGGCGACTTATGCCACCTGATTTCAGAACTTATAAAGCTACAGTAAAGAAGATAATATTGTTTTTGTGAATGGATTGACATGTATATTAGTAAACAGAAACAGCCCAGAAATAGAGTCAGTCATATATAGCCTATTGATTTGTAACAGAGGTGGCAAGGTAATTCAATGGTGGAAAGAAAAGTCATTTCAACAAACTGTGCTGAAACAACTGCTTATCTGTATGGAAAAAACCCGAATATTTACTGCTACCTAAAACCATACTGAAAAATCTAAACAAACCATACAATTAAATGTAAGAGTTAAAAGTATACAAATTCTAGAAGAAAATGTAGAAGACATCAGAGTAGGCAAAATTTTCTTAGAAAAGAAGCATAAACCACACAAAAACAGAGACCTTGGAAAATGTCAAAAGCTTTACTCTTTGAAAGCTATCATTTAGAAATGAAAAGGTAAGCCACAGAGTAGAAAACAATAATCACAAAACATGTCAGACAAATGGCTTTCATCCAGAAAATATAAATAACTCTTATAACTCAATGATAAGAGGAAATTTTAATATAAAATGAGAAAAATGTCTGAATAGACACTTCACAAAAGAATATATACCAGTGGCCCAAAACACATAAAGAGATGCCCAACATCTTTAGTTATCAGGAGGAACATGCAAATTAAAATGACAATGAGATATTACTATATCCCCAGCAAAAAGGCTAAAAATAAAATTGCAATACTAAATATTGGAGAGAATGCCAGAGTACCTGAAATTCTCATGTACTGCTGGTGAGAATATAAAATTGTACAAATATTTGGTAGTTTGACAGTTTGTTTTAAAGTTAAGCAGTCACCTTTCATACCTCCTATCTAGTCCATTCCTAGATATTTATTCAAAGAAACAAAAATGTTTATTCACATTAAGACTTCTATATAAATGTTTATAGTAGCTTTATTAATTGTAAAAACAAGAAGCAACCCAGATATACCTGAACTTGGAAACGGATAAACAATCTTAGGTATATCCACACAATGCTATACATAATGACCAACAAGAGAGAATGAGCTATTAACACCTGCAACAATATGGGTGAATCTTCAACACATGCTAAGTAAAAGAAGCCATACATAAAACAGTGCATATATTATGTTTTTATTTATATTAAATTCTGGAAAATACAAACTGATCCCTATTGATAGAAAGCATATAGGGTGGTTGCCCGGGTTTGGGGTGGAAATGGTAATGAACTATAAGGGAGTATGAGGGAACTTTTTTTTAGGGGTCAAAGAAATGTTTTTTTATCTTGATCATAGTAGTGGTTGCACAGGTGTATATATTTGTGAGTACCTCCTAAAACTGTACACTTAAAATGAGTAAGTTTATTATATGCACATTATATCTCAATAAAATTGCTCAAAAATGAAAAAATACTGTATGATTGAAATAGCTATTTTTATCTGATCAACTGATAATGAGCATATTATTAGGGTAGTTGTTTTCATGTGCCCAACATCCTTTTGCTCTTCTTTTAATAACAACAGCTTCATATTCCTTTAGGTAACTACCCTCCAGCAACACTTTCAATCTTTGTCATTTTAATTGGACAGATTCCATCTTCCAGATTACAGATTTGGGAAATGTGATCCTGTGGGCCTGGTAAATCAGAGTCAAGGTAATTAGGTCAGCATGTGCCTGTGACCCAAGGATGCGATAACTACCAAAATTTTGCTGGGGCTGTTGGGAACAGGTAATTCTTTTTCCTCCTGGTAGACTGTGAAAGCACATCTGAGTCATTAGAAGAAATTGAGTTCTGATGATATTTTCGGAAGCCCTGAATCTAGCTATGCTTGAAGTAACACACCTGTTGCAAGATACTCTAGTTATTTGGGCCAATCAATTTATTTCTTTGCTTAAATTTATTTTTAAATGTGTTGCTGTCATTTTCAATAGTTAATACAAAAATGAAATCAGTTCTATGAGTTTTGACATTTGTTACAGTTGTAAATTGTCAGATTTTGTAGAGATGACCTAAATTGTATTGACAAAATAATCTCTGCTCCCGCAACCTGGCAGCTATGATGTACATGAGGAATTTATAAGCCTACAAGAAAAATAGGGTTGGGGAACCATGGTGATCTATAAAAGCAATTATGAATATTTTTAAATGTATAAAAATAAATTTATCAGTATACTAATGACTATATTAGTGGTAATTTATACTGTGTAGTAAAGAATTTTCCCTTGCCTGAAGAGGTCTGGCCTTCGTTCCTGTCTCCTGGGGAGGTAACCTTTAAACCCTTGCAGTTCCTTAAAGTGATATGAGTATGTTTGTTATTCATGGTGGGGCCCTCAGATCACACTTGATAGTTTATGCAAATGAGGTGACTCATCATGGGTCCATTAGACCATGTGGTATCAGTCTGATCTCCAGGAAGTTGCTGGAAATTGAGTTCAACCACATGGGCAACCAACCAATGAATTATGCCTATATAACGAAATCCTAATAAAAACTCTGGACACCAAAATTTGCCAGGCATGGTGGCACATGTCTGTAATCCCAGCTACTTGGGAGGCTGAGGCAGCAGAATCGCTTGAACCCAGGAGTGGGAGGTTGCAGTGAGCCAAGTTAGGGCCACTGCACTCCAGCCTGGGTGACAGAGCAAGACTCCGTCTCTAAAAAACAAAATAGGCCGGGTGCGGTGGCTCACGCCTGTAATCCCAGCACTTTGGGAGGCCAAGGCGGGGGTGGATCACCTGAGACCAGGAGTTCAAGACCAGCCTGGCCAACATGGTGAAACCCTGTCTCTACTAAAAAAGTACAAAAATTAGCTGGGCGTGGTAGCAGGTGCCTGTAATCCCATCTACTCAGGAGGCTGAGGCAGGAGAATTGCTTGAACCCGGGAGGTGGAGGTTGCAGTGAGCTGAGATCGCGCCACTGCACTCCAGCTGGGCAACAAGAGCAAGACTCTGTCTCAAAGAAAAAAAAAAAATTCTGGACACCAATGCTCAGGTGAGCTTTCCTGGTTGGAAACACTTGGTGTGTATTATCACACATCTACACTGGGAGGGTAATGCCTACTGACTACAATGGAAGCTTTGTGTTTAGGACGGTCTCATACTCTGCACTATGTGTTTCTTCCTTTGTGTCTGTACTCTTTTCCCTTAAAAACTGTAACTGTGAGTATAATAGCTTTCAGTGAGTTCTAAGAGTCCTTATTGTGAATTATCAAACCTAAAGATGGTTTTGGGAAACCCCTGAACATGCAGCTGATGTCAGAAGTAACGACAGTCTTGGGGACCGTGCCCTCTAACTTTGTAGTTATACACTAAATCCTTGAAGTTGGTGTCAGAAATCTTGGGCAGAATAGGCAGTCTGAAGGCTTGGGCCCTCAAACCTCATGGTTTGTCTAACTCTGGGTATACACACTTAATAGTAAATGGTTCTGTACAGTTAATTTAAATTTATTATTACTTACTTCCTGGACATGAAGGATTACCTTCCTCAGAGGTGAATTTACCATGAAGCTAATGTAGCTTATGCTTCAAGGCCCCTCATTTGCAGGAGCACCTTCTAAGGCTTGAGTGTTTACATGACAACGTGTTCACATGGTCATATGTTTTTGTAAAATTTGTAAAACTTGCAAAAGTAGGATATTTAACCTCATTTGGTTCAGGCTACCGTGCATTTTGTGTCTAGTTTTATATTTATAATTTTGTGTTCTTTTCTTAAAAGAGAGCCTTCCAAACTTCAGGCCAATAAAATTTGATCCATCCCTGGTCTTCTCTCAAAATTATCAGACAATGGCAAATTCATTTTGCTCTGTTGTGGATAATATGCCTACTAAGTGACAATTTGATGTGTGTGTGTGTGTATGTGTTTCCCTCCATACTGAAAAGTACTTTTCTGATTTTAAGACTCTAAATATCAGTGTAGTGCCTTTCTATTTTCAGATAGCATCATGATTCCAGAAAACATTTCATGTGTCTCAGTCCTTTTCTTGCTAATGGATGCAACTCCAAGGTCAGGGTTCATGTTCTTTCTTTTATGGCTGTATTGTAAAACCATTACTCTTCCTCACCTATTTGCCAATCTTTCCTCAACCATTTGCCTTTTTTTTCTCTTATCAAATTCCCTTCTTTTTAAACTACCTCCAACAGAAGTAACCCATATAACTAAAACCAAATTCTTGTGGCTGTAGAAATTATGCCAAAGTAAATTCTTGCATGGTAGAATTTCACTTAAGGAAAGTTTGTGGTTGGTGAAGGTCTGTATTATCTCTCTCTCTCTCTCTCTCTCTCTCTCTCTCTCTCTCTCTCTCTCTCTCTCTCTATATATATATATATATATATATATATATATATATAGTTGTTATTGTTGTTGTTGTTGTTGAGACAGAGTCTCGCTCTGCCACCCAGGCTGGAGTGCAATGGTGCGATTTCGGCTCACTGCAACCTCTGCCTCCTGGGTTCAAGCAATTCTCTTACCTCAGCCTTCTGAGTAGCTGGGATTACAGGCGTGTGCCACCACACCCGGCTAATTTTTGTACTTTTAGTAGATATGGGGTTTCACCGTGTTGGCCAGGCTGGTCTTTTGAACTCCTGACCTCAAGTCATCCGCCTGCTTCAGCCTCCCAAAGTGCTGGGATTACAGGTGTGAGTCACCGTGACTGGCCCCTCTCTCTCTATTTTTAAACAGCTCTAATTTAACCTATTTTATTTTTAAAATAAAGGGAAATTATTTTATTTTCATGCTTTTGTAAGACTTTTCACATAAATACAATGATGAATTGGAGAAAAATCTTTTAACACACTATATGGCTTAACGTATAGTTGAAAAATATGATATCTTAACACCACATTTTTGTGGGTAAATAATGCTCCACATAAATGATCTGTTCAACAGATACAAACACACACACACAAACACACACACACACACACTCTCTCTCAAATTGCAAATCAGTAGGCATGTTATCCACAAGAAGGCAAAATAAATTTGCAAGCTTCTGGTAAATATAGTTTTTACCATATGCCAGGAGCTGAGTTATTTCTTATAACTGAAGTTTATTCCTTTGAAAGCCACAAGCTTAATTTTGGGGGAAGAAATATTTCTAAAATATATGGCATGGAGAGACGTCTTCTTAAGTAAAAGCCACTGAACATAATTTAGGTTTCTGATTAATCAGGCTCATCAAAGTGAATATCAACTATGGTGCTAACTTGTACATGTTACACTGCTTTCAGAGCCAGTTCATGTATTTCAGACTCTCTGGCCCTATGATAATGCTGTGGTTTCTGAGTTCCTTTCTCTTCTCTCTATCTCTCTCTCTGTCTCTCTCTCTCCTTCATTAGTGCCATCCACCACTGTCAACTATAACTTCCTTTTGTGGTCAGCACTGCCTCATTCTAACAATACCGCCTTCACACACACTTCCAGTGTACTACTTCTAAACTCTTATGACCTAAGAAATCAGAACATCCTTTTGTTTGAATTCTGTGTAAAATAGGAGTAAACAGCTCTAAGGACCTAGGGGGAGGGAGGTCCTCTGACTAAATCAATGTATATTCTTGCAAGAATTTCATTATATATAATTGGGCTTCATAGAAAATATTTTAGTTTCTTCCTGATTTTTATCTATACTTTGGATTGAGTTGCCAAATAATAATTCTTTAGATAAGAAATATATTCCTGAAATTGAAAATATTCTATGTGTTAAGTAGATTACATGCCAGTGCAGTCATATATGCTCTTCTTATTCACAGTACATGAGTAAGGCTATAAATCATCTCACACAAACCTTGGAGATTAGGAAAATACAATTGACTTCAAATATCAAATCTTTGTAAGACGGTATTTGATTAGCTGTATGTGGACAAAGTAAAAAGTTGTTTATGAGTTCTAAAGAGTTTGGGAAGATCCGAAAGTCTAATCCAGGTGAACTAGGTACAATCTCATAAAGGTAGGACGAACACTGGGATTCAGCAAGTGAACTGAACCCTAATTTTATTATCTTGTAGCTGAGAATAGCAATTCTCAACCTCTTTTTGCCTCAGGATTTTCCACACTATCATGAGTAACCATAGTTTGCTAGAGATTCTACTGGGGAAAAAAGTATCTTTCTTATGTCAGAATACTTTTTGTAGCAATTCATCCAACTCAAAGCAATTTAAATAATGAAGATAATTTATAATCCTATATAGCTGAAAATTCCAAAGTAGTTTTAGGTAAGGCTTGATCCTGCAGTTCTATCAAGTCCCAGAAGACAGTATTTCTTTTGATGTTTCTTCTGTCTTCCTTGATTAACTTGTCATCATAAGACTTATTTCCCTCATAGCCCCATGATGGCTGTCAGCAGCACCCCAGCATACATGTTTCCTTTTTCATATGCAGCAGAAAAAAGTAAGCATTTTTGCCTTAGCATTTCCAGCAAAACTCCTCAGATTCACTAACTGCACTGGCTTCACTCACATCACCCATCGAACCAATCTACATGGGTTGGGGGAAGGAACGAGCTTAATGGTTTCACATGTAGTTTTCCTTTCTAAATGTATCAAACTCAAATGCCTATATAAGCCAGAACAAAGATATAATTAAAGAAAATGGGCCTGATGTGTACACTAATATATTAGAGAGTCTGTGTCCCATAGAAAAGACTCAGATCCTACTCAGACCCTTGCAACTGATGCCACAGAAAGAAGAATCAGTGTTGGTGGGTATTGTGGCTTTTCAAGGGAAGTTGGAAATCCAGATTTTTATGTGAAGTTTTAGAATTCTTTATTTAATTTCAAACTCCTTATATACTATACCACAGGCCTACAAAAAGCATCTGCAGATTGAATCCAGACTATCAGGATGCAACGTATGTCCTAAAGAACAGAATGCAATGACCTGCTGTTGCAAGGATTCTGGTCCAATGAATGATTGTCTTTCTCATTGTCCATTAATCAATTGGCATTTTAGTTTTCTGTTTTAGTCTCTGTGAGCTTGCTTAATGGGAATCCTTCCCTGAGGGACAAATCCTTTCTTAGTGCACCAACCAAATCAAATTTCTAAACCTACCAGGATGAGAATCAAACCCAGGAAGTAATGAAATTACTAAAGCCTTTACCATCTTTCATGGATCATGAAAGCCAGCCCAATATCCCTCCCTGATTCACTGTGAGTCACTTGCACCTTTCTATCCAGGTTGTAACACCTTTCCTTCAAACAAATAAACTGTACTATGAAAGACCCCCCAACATGTCTCCTCTTAGCAATGTGTTATTTTTGCTACAGTATGATTTGATTCATAAAATGTAGATTTACTCTGAACTTCTGAAAAAGGCACCAATTATATAAAACAAGGTATACTTCTAGATTTAATTTCTTTTTCCTAAGTAGACATGGAAATGTGTAATTTGGGAATATTTTGGTTGCAAGTATCAGAAGTCAAATGCAAACTAACTTAAGCAAAATAAAGTGGATGTAATGGGGAATGTACCTCTGAAGTCAGAGGGGCATTTCATTAGCTGTAGACACAGCTAGATCTAGAAGCTCCAATTCTTTCTCTACCTGCCACTTCTACTTGTTTTCATTCTCACAGAGCCCCACCCCCACTCCCCATAGAGGCACAGGAGTGAGAGAATGTGACCGTCAGCCACCCCAGAGGTGTTTTGCAGCAATTTCAACAGAAATACTGTGGCTAGCCTGACTTTAATCATATGCTCATCCCTGGACCAATCATTGGGGACAAGGAAAAGGGGTACTTTGGCTAGATCTGGGCCATAAGACCACCCTTGTCTCATAAGACCACCCTAAGATTAAAATAATATAAACTGTGTTTCCCCATAGGAAAGAAGGGTTCTACTCCCAAGAGAAAGAGGTAAAGTTTGTGGACAGACAAAAGCAACACAAATCCACTATAACAATTTACAACCGGGGGGAGGGGGGAGGGATAGCATTGGGAGATATACCTAATGCTAGATGACGAGTTAGTGGGTGCAGCGCACCAGCATGGCACATGTATACATATGTAACTAACCTGCACAATGTGCACATGTACCCTAAAACTTAAAGTATAATAAAAAAATAAATAAATAAATAAATAAAGAAAAGCAGGAAAAAAAAATAACGTATATCCACATAAGAAAAAAAAAAAACAATTTACAACCTTTGGAATTAATCCTTTGCTTTATCTACTACAGATAGAAACACTATTCTGCTGATGAAGAGGACACATTCAAATAAGTTCTATATTAAATCTAATTAAAACACAATAAAAGAGAATCTTCTACAGTAATGTGAAATTCCTTGGAAAGTACAGTGCTACTTCATTATATAAAACACAGAGATGGAAGAGACCCAGCAACGATGCAGGCCATCCATCAAGTGGTGTATTTTAAGCCTTTCTCCTTCCCAGGCCAGTCTAGCCGGAGTGTCAAATTATGCCACTTATGCCACATTTCTTAACTTAATAATCCTCTCAGTCAGGACATTTTGGGCTGATTGAACATCATTCTAAGCTCATGTGAGTCCACAGCAAAGTGAGATCTCAAAAAACCGTTAAAGGACTGGGAGGGAAAGTATAAGTGGTACATGTGGATTCTTACATAAATCTGAATACAATTTTGAGCATTTAAAGTTGTGTACTGCTACGCTATGATGCCAGGCCTTCAGGAAGTGCTCTCTGTAAGCCAGGATGATGTCTTTGAATTGACAAGGAGCAGAAGAGGCTAGTATGAGGCACTGCTACGACATCTGGTATTCTCTGGTGCCATTGACCAGTTTGGGATTTTGGGGTAGCAGTTTAGAATCACTAATGTGGTCAACTGAGAGCTATTGATGGTGCTCCTCTTCCCCTCAAAAGCTTAGCACTCAGGTGCCTCAGTGTTGAAAACTCTAATTTTAGAATTTGTGTGTTTGGTTTATGCATCTTTCTTTTTCCACAGTCCTCTTTTAAAGTGATCACTCTCCCCATTCCAGAGGTAACATATTAAGTCATTCTGTATATAAATGGTGTCTATTCTATTCTGTTTTCATCTTGCAGAAGGAACACTTACATATTCAGAGACCTCTTGGAACTTGGAGCTGGGGGTGGCACAAAAAGAGTGTCAAGAGCAAAATTTAAAACTGGCCAGCTTGCCAGAGTCTGGCCCTATTGCCCATCAGTTTCATAGCCCCTCAAGTGGAGGAGGTCTCTTTAGCTCCACTACAGACTCTTCTAGGAAGCTCCTGATGTGTTAGGGCTACTAGACCTACAGGCTTTTCCCTATAGGAGTAGAGGCTGCAACTCTGGAAAAGGCGTAAAGGTTAAACAGCCACACTGGCCAGGGAGTTAGGGGGAGTGTGGTCCAACAAAAGGATAGACCCTAGAGCAAGACTCGGCCGGTTTTGTTTCCGGGGAAGATCAGTAGAGCATATCCCTTAGGACAGAAGTTGGATACAGTATGCAGAGCAGGAATGCTTAGGTTGAGTTATAAGGAATGAGAATTTGGTCAATTACATTCTCTTAATGTCTAATTATCCCTCCTTGGTCTTGCTTAACAAATTCCTCCTCTTCTTTTTAACATACGATTTAAACGTTTGTAAACTGTTATCACACCCTTGCTTAATGACCACTTAGCAAAGCCGCATTTTAAATCCCTTTCATCTTTTACTGTAAATCAACCCCTTTCTTCAATGGATCTTTTTGTTCTCTCATTGCTGGTAAGCCTTTTCTCTTTTCTCTTTCCTTCCTTCCTTCCTTCCTTCCTTCCTTCCTTCCTTCCTTCCTTCCTTCCTTCCTTCCTTCCTCCCTTCCTTCCTTTTCTTTCTTTCCTTTTCTTTTCTTTCTTTCTCTTTCTTTCTTTCTTCTCTCTTTCTCTCTTTTCTCTTCCTCCCTCCCTCCCTCTCTCCCTCCTTCCTTCCTTTCTCCTTTCCTTCCTTTTTCATTTTCCTTTTCTTATTCTTTTTTCTTAAATCTTATTCTGGAATTAAAACATTCCAGCCTTGTTAATTGGTCCTGGGCGATTACCTGCTTTGGTCGAATTCTCCTTCCACTTTTCAGCACCTTTTCTTTATCTACAGAACTGCTATAGGAGTGGATTCCATATTCTTCAATAATTGCTACAATACAGCCCTGTTTCTCAAATTTTATTGTACATCAAAATCGCCTGGGAGTGTTCCTTTAAAATATAATTTATTTTGTTCCATTTTCCTGATGAAGTAGCAATTCATTAATTACTTCCCCAGTTTTAAAAGAAGTACCCATAGGTAATTGTGATGCAAGTGATCCAGAGGCTACACCCTGAGAAACACTGCTATAGACCTTAGAGGAACCAGAAACCATTCTCCATTAATCACCTATGCTAGTGCTTTGCCAAAGGTGGTGGTGGTGCACAAAATAATTTCAGGTGGTCCACAAATGCTATTGATATTAAATTATACAGGATTACATAATGAGAAAGCTTTGCCTTTTACATTCTTTTTCCATTCTCACTTTAGTACAAGTTTGTTTTGAACATTTACCTGACACTTTCTAATTAAACTTTTCACAAAGGAAAAACAGATCTCAAAGCCACAGGCAGCAAAATTTAGCTAGATTTTAAGAATATTGTTTTGTTTTCATTGCATTTACTTTTACTCTTGCCTTCCATTTATGGCAAATGATACTGGTTTGCATTTACTGTAATGAGGTAAACTCTCCTTTTCAAATAAATAAAAACAATTTAAGTAATTTAAAGAAATAATGTATTAAATAAATAATAGTAAAATTAGCATGTGTATAAAGCAAAAATTGTGAAGGAAGCTTTTTGGTGGTAAAGAGAGATAATAAACTTGGGAAGGTGATTCACAGAAATCTCAAGTGTGAGAACCAAAGCTGTGCCCAGGTAAAGCCATTAGTTTGACCTTTTTTTTTTTATTTTGCTGAATCATCTGTTGTCATTACCAATATTTTCGAGTAGGAGATCAATTGTTGTATTGTTGTCTCTTGGTAATATTTATAATTCACCAAAAATCACTTGCGCTGTTTGACTTACACTATCAATTTTTAATAAATCCAATCTTTTCATGGCTGTGAGTTCACAATTTTGATATTTGAGTTTCTACTATTGAATGAGGACTCATTTCTTTCCTTCTTCTTTTGGCTATCTGTGAGTCACTCCTATTTGCATAGAACACAGTGCTAGACACTGTAGTATGGAGAAAGAAATGTAAGAACCATCCTCTAGGACTTTAAAATCTAGTTGGAGAGTCAAAAGGAAAACACATAACAAAAGCTAGTGAAGGGGATTAGAATACGCCATCCCAAAATATGCCACTTTTGCATGAGGCTTATTTAGAGCTGAAAGCAATTGAAAATCGACTGAGGAATAAAAATGAAATCCAAAGCCCCCCAACTGACTGAGGAGACCCCAGAGAAACCTTGGAAGCTATTCCCAGTCATGATGAGATGGGAGGTTGGACACACCTTGTTATATTCCAATCCTCACTAATGGCCATTAGGCTTTCTTCCCTAAGGGCTAAACAAAGCCAGACCCTTTGAAAGGCTCTACTGCTTATGTCAATCAACGGTCTATGTTGCCTCACCCTTTTCTGGTTTTGCCACAACAATCAACCAGCATTCCTCCCTGATAAAAGACCACTGTCCACGGAGTGGTTCTGGCCTATCTGTGGAGAATGTGCAGTGACAGTTTTCATCATTGCTTCACCTTTTGATGTCAGAGGGCCAAATACTCCACCCTCAGATCATGCTAATGCTGCCACTTTTTGTACATGGGACTCATAAAGGGGCATAAGGCTCAATTGTGCATGTGCACGTTTTTCCTTTCATAAATATTCATGACTCCTCCTATAGCTTATTAAATATGGATATTTAGCCACCCTGCTCAGTGTAAATTCTTGCTCCCTTTGCCCCTCTCTCAAAGTGTCTGTTTCTGGCCAGAGGCTATGCTTCCCCGCCTGTCAAAATAGCCACCTTGCAGGCTGCAACCCTTTATGAGAAATAAAGCTCTCATTTCTAAATCTGTGAACCTCATCATTCTTCAGTTGAAACAACAAATGCAGGAAGAATTCTTTGCTCTCCCTTTATCTGCATAAAAGCAGGGCATAAATTTCCCTTTGTGATGGTGTTTTCTCCCTATTCCAGGAAGGGAAAGAAGAGTAACTTTTATCATTGGAGATGGAGAGTCCATACCAAGATGAGTTTGCATAAACAGACCTTACTAAAATAATCCTTATCTTTTATTACATTCCCATTTTTTTTATTATACTTTAAGTTCTAGGGTACATGTGCACAATGTGCAGGTTTGTTACATATGTATACATGTGCCATGTTGGTGTGCTGCACCCGTTAACTCGTCATTTACATTAGGTATATCTCCTAATGCTATCCCTCCCCACTCCCCCCACTCCACGACAGGCCCCCGTGTGTGATGTTCCCCACCCTGTGTCCAAGTGTTCTCATTGTTCAATTCCCACCTATGAGTAAGAACATGCAGGGTTTGGTTTTCTGTCCTTGCGATAGTTTGCTCAGAATCATGGTTTCCAGCTTCATCCATGTCCCTACAAAGGACATGAACTCATCGTTTTTTACGGCTGCATGGTATTCCATGGTGTATATGTGCCACATTTTCTTAATCCAGTCTATCGTTGATGGACATTTGGGTTGGTTCCAAGTCTTTGCTATTGGGAATAGTGCCACAATAAACATACGTGTGCATGTGTCTTTATAGCAGCATGATTTATAATCTTTTGGTATATACCCAGTAATGGGATGGCTGGGTCAAATGGTATTTCTAGTTCTAGATCCTTGATGAATCGCCACACTGACTTCCATAATGGTTGAACTAGTTTACAGTCCCACCAACAGTGTGAAAGTGTTCCTATTTCTCCACATTCTCTCCAGCACCTGTTGTTTCCTGACTTTTTAATGATTGCCATTCTAACTGGTGTGAGATGGTATCTCATTGTGGTTTTGATTTGCATTTCTCTGATGACCAGTGATGGTGACCATTTTTTCATGTCTATTGGCTGCATAAATGTCTTCTTTTGAGAAGTGTGTGCTCATATCCTTTGCTCACTTTTTGATGGGGTTGTTTTATTTTTTCTTGTAAATTTGTTTAAATTATTTGTAGATTGTGGATATTAGCCCTTTGTCAGATGGGTAGATTGTAAAAATTTTCTCCCATTCTGTAGGTTGCCTGTTCACTCTGATGGTAGTTTCTTTTGCTGTGCAGAAGCTCTTTAGTTTAATTAGATCCCATTTGTCAATTTTGGCTTTTGTTGCCATTGCTTTTGGTGTTTTAGTCATGAAGTCCTTGCCCATGCCTATGTCCTGAATGGTATTGCCTAGGTTTCCTTCTAGGGTTTTTATGGTTTTAGGTCTAACATTTAAGTCTTTAATCCATCTTGAATTAATTTTTGTATAAGGTGTAAGGAAGGGATCCAGTTTCAGCTTTCTACATATGGCTAGCCAGTTTTCCCAGCACCATTTATTAAATAGGGAATCCTTTCCCCATTGCTTGTTTTTCTCAGGTTTGTCAAAGATCGGATAGTTGTAGATATGCGGCGTTATTTCTGAGGGCTCTGTTCTGTTCCATTGATCTATATCTCTGTTTTGGTACCAGTACCATGCTGTTTTGGTTACTGTAGCCTTGTAGTATAGTTTGAAGTCAGGTAGTGTGATGCCTCCAGCTTTGTTCTTTTGGCTTAGGATTCTCTTGGCAATGCAGGCTCTTTTTTGGTTCCATATGAATTTTAAAGTAGTTTTTTCCAATTCTGTGAAGAAAAGAAAGTTATTGGTAGCTTGATGGGGATGGCATTGAATCTATAAATTACCTTGGGCAGTATGGCCATTTTCATGATATTGATTCTTCCTATCCATGAGCATGGAATGTTCTTCCATTTGTTTGTGTCCTCTTTTATTTCGTTGAGCAGTGGTTTGTAGTTCTCCTTGAAGAGGTCCTTCACATCCCTTGTAAATTGGATTCCTAGGTATTTTATTCTCTTTGAAGCAATTGTGAATGGGAGTTCACTCATGATTTGGCTCTCTGTTTGTCTGTTATTGGTGCATAGGAATGCTTGTGATTTTTGCACGTTGATTTTGTATCCTGAGACTTTGCTGAAGTTGCTTATCAGCTTAAGGAGATTTGGGGCTGAGATGATGGGGTTTTCTAAATATACAATCACGTCATCTGCAAACAGGGACAATTTGACTTCCTCTTTTCCTAATTGAATACCCTTTATTTCCTTCTCCTGCCTGATTGCCCCGGCCAGAAGTTCCAACACTATGTTGAATAGGAGTGGTGAGAGAGGGCATCCCTGTCTTGTGCCAGTTTTCAAAAGGAATGCTTCCAGTTTTTGCACATTCAGTATGATATTGGCTGTGGGTTTGTCATAAATAGCTCTTATTATTTTTAGATACATCCCATCAATACCTAGTTTATTGAGAGTTTTTAGCATGAAGGGCTGTTGAATTTTGTCAAAGGCCTTTTCTGCATCTGTTAAGTTAATCATGTGTTTTTTGTCTTTAGTTCTGTTCATATGCTGGATTACATTTATTGATTTGCGTATGTTGAACCAGCCTTGCATCCCACGGATGAAGCCAACTTGATCATGGTGGATAAGCTTTTTGATGTGCTGCTGGATTCAGTTTGCCAGTATTTTATGGAGGATTTTTGCATCGATGTTCATCAGGGATATTGGTCTAAAATTCTCTTTTTTTGTTGTGTCTCTGCCAGGGTTTGGTATCAAAATGATACTGGCATCATAAAATGAGTTAGGGAGGATTCCCTCTTTTTCTATTGATTGGAATAGTTTCAGAAGGAATGGTACCAGCTCCTCTTTGTACCTCTGGTAGAATTCAGCTGTGAATCTGTCTGGTCCTGGACTTTTTTTGGTTGGTAGGCTATTAATTATTGCCTCAATCTCAGAGCCTGTTATTGGTCTATTCAGGGATTCAACTTTTTCCTGGTTTAGTCTTGGGAGGGTGTATGTGTCCAGGAATTTATCCATTTCTTCTAGATTTTTTAATTTATTTGCGCAGAGGAGTTTATAGTATTCTCTGATGGTAGTTTGTATTTCTGTGGGATCATTGGTAATATTCCCTTTATCATTTTTTATTGCATCTATTTGATTCTTCTCTCTTTTCTTATTAGTCTTGCTAGTGGTCTATCAATTTTGCTGATCTTTTCAAAAAACCAGCTCCTGGATTCATTCATTTTTTGAAGGGTTTTTTGTGTCTCTATCTCCTTCAGTTCTGCTCTGATCTTAGTTATTTCTTGCCTTCTGCTAGCTTTTAAATGTGTTTGCTCTTGCTTCTCTAGTTCTTTTAATTGTGATGTTAGGGTGTCAATTTTAGATCTTTCCTGCTTTCTCTTGTGGGCATTTAGTGCTATAAATTTCCCTCTACACACTACTTTAAATGTGTCCCAGAGATTCTGGCATGTTGTGTCTTTGTTCTCATTGGTTTCAAAGAACATCTTTATTTCTGCCTTCATTTCGTTATGTACCCAGTAGTCATTCAGGAGCAGGTTGTTCCGTTTACACGTAGTTGAGCAGTTTTGAATGAGTTTCTTAATCCTGAGTTCTAGTTTGATTGCACTGTGGTCTGAGAGACTGTTTGTTATAATTTCCATTCTTTCACATTTGCTGAGGAGAGCTTTACTTCCAACTGTGTGGTCAATTTTGGAATCAGTGCGATGTGGTGCTGAGAAGAATGTATATTCTGTTGATTTGGGGTGGAGAGTTCTGTAGATGTCTATTAGGTCTGCTTGGTGCAGAGCTGAGTTCAAGTCCTGGCTATCCTTGTTAACTTTCTGTCTTGTTGATCTGTCTAATGTTGACAGTGGGGTGTTAAAGTCTCCCATTATTATTATGTGGGAGTCTAAATCTCTTTGCAGGTCTCCAAGGGCTTGCTTTATGAATCTGGGTGCTCCTGTATTGGGTGCATATATATTTAAGATAGTTAGCTCTTCTTGCTGAATTGATCCCTTTACCAGTATGTCATGGCCTTCTTTGTCTCTTTTGATTTTTGTTGGTTTAAAGTCTGTTTTATCAGACACTAGGATTGCAACCCCTGCTTTTTGTTGTTTTCCATTTGCTTGGTAGATCTTCTTCCATCCCTTTATTTTGAGCCTATGTGTGTCTCTGCATGTGAGATTGTTCTCCTGAATACAGCACACTGATGGGTCTTGACTCTTTATCCAATTTGCCAGTCTGTATCTTTTAATTGGAGCATTTAACCCATTTACATTTAAGGTTAATATTGTTATGTGTGAATTTGATCCTGTCATTATGATGTTAGCTGGTTATTTTGCTCGTTAGTTGATGCAATTTCTTCCTAGCATCGATGGTCTTTACAATTTGGCATGTTTTTGCAGTAGCTGGTACTGGTTGTTCCTTTCCACGTTTAGTGCTTCCTTCAGGAGCTCTTGTAAGGCAGGCCTGGTGGTGACACAATCTCTCAGCATTTGTTTGCCTGTAAAGTATTTTATTTCTCCTTCACTTATGAAGCTTAGTTTGGCTGGATATGAAATTCTGGGTTGAAAATTCTTTTCTTTAAGAATGTTGAATATTGGCCCCCACTCTCTTCTGGCTTGTAGAGTTTCTGCTGAGAGATGCACTGTTAGTCTGATGGGCTTCCCTTTGTGGGTAACCCGACCTTTCTCTCTGGCTGCCCTTAACATTTTTTCTTTCATTTCAACTTTGGTGAATCTGACAATTATGTGTCTTGGAGTTGATCTTCTCGAGGAGTATCTCTGTGGCATTCTCTGTATTTCCTGAATTTGAATGTTGGCCTGCCTTGCTAATTTGGGGAAGTTCTCCTGGATAATATCCTGAAGAGTGTTTTCCAACTTGGCTCCATTCTCCCCATTACTTTCAGGTACACCAATCTGACATGGATTTGGTCTTTTCACATAGTCCCATATTTCTTGGAGGATTTGTTCATTTCTTTTTACTCTTTTTTCTCTAAACTTCTCACTTCATTTCATTCATTTGATCTTCAATCACTGATACCCTTTCTTCCACTTGATCAAATTGGCTACTGAAGCTTGTGCATGCTTCACGTAGTTCTCGTGCCATGGTTTTTAGCTCCATCAGGTCATTTGAGGTCTTCTCTACACTGTTTATTCTAGTTAGCCATTGTCCAATCTTTTTTCAAGATTTTTAGCTTCTTTGCGATGGGTTCGAACATCCTCCTTTAGCTCGGAGAAGTTTGTTATTACCGATCGTCTGAAGACTTCTTCTCTCAACTCGTCAAAGTCTTTCTCTGTCTAGCTTTGTTCTGTTGCTGGCGAGGAGCTGCATTCCTTTGGAGAAGAGGTGCTCTGATTGTTAGAATTTTCACCTTTTCTGCTCTGGTTTCTCCCCATCTCTGTGGTTTTATCTACCTTTGGTCTTTGATTATGGTGACTTACAGATGTGGTTTTGGTGTGGATGTCCTTTCCGTTTGTTAGTTTTCCTTCTAACAGTCAGGACCCTCAGCTGCAGGTCTGTTGGAGTTTGTTGGAGGTCCACTCCAGACCCTGTTTGCCTGGGTATCACCAGCAGAGGCTGCAGAAGAGCAAATATTGCAGAACGGCAAATGTTGCTGCCTGATCCTTCCTCTGGAAGCTTTGTCTCAGAGGGGCACCTGGCTGTATGAGGTGTCAGTCGGCCCCTATTGGGAGGTGTCTCCCAGTTAGGCTACTCGGTGGTCAGGGCCCCACTTGAGGAGGCAGTCTGTCCATTCTCAGATCTCAAACTCCATGCTGGGAGACCCACTACTCTCTTCAAAGCTGTCAGACAGGGACGTTTAAGTCTGCAGAAGTTTCTGCTGCCTTTTGTTCAGCTATGCTCTGCCCCCAGAGGTGGAGTCTATAGAGGCAGGCAGGCCTCCTTGAGCTGCGGTGGGCTCCACCCAGTTCAAGCTTCCTGGCCACTTTGTTTACCTACTCAAGCCTCAGCAAATGGTGCATGCCCCTCCCCCAGCCTCACTGCCGCCTTGCAGTTTGATCTCAGACTGCTGTGCTAGCAGTGAGTGAGGCTCCGTGGGTGTGGGACCCTCGGAGCCAGGCACAGGATATAATCCACTGGTGTGTGGTTTGCTAAGACCATTGGAAAAGTGCAGTATTAGGGTGGGAGTGTCCCGATTTTCCAGGTACCGTCTGTCATGGTTTCCCTTGGCTAGGAAAGGGAATTCCCCCACCCCTTGTCTTCCTGGGTGAGGTGATGCCCCACCCTGCTCCATGGGCTGCACCCACTGTCTGACAAGCCCCAGTGAGGTGAACCTGGTACCTCAGTTGGAAATGCAGAAATCACCTGTCTTCTGTGTTGCTCATGCTGGGAGCTGTAGACTGGAGCTGTTCCTATTTGGCCATCTTGGAACCTCTCCCATTTGTTTTGTAGTCACTTTCTCATGATTTACCTTCCCTTGAGGCCTGTATTAGGCTGTTCTTGCATTGTGCTAAAGAAATACCTGAGACTGGGTAATTTATAAAGAAAAGAGATTTAATTGGCTCACCATTCTGCAGGCTGTACAAGCATGCACTGGCATCTGCTCAGCTTCTGGGGAGTTCTCAGGGAGCTTTTACTTATGGTGGAATGTGAAGGGAGAGTAGGCACATTACATGGTGAGAACAAGAGCAAGAGAAAGTATTGGGGAGGTGCCACACACTTTAAAAAAACCGGATCTCCCAAGAACTCACTCACTACTATGAGGACAGCACCAAGTCATGAGGGATCCACCCCCATGACCCAAACACCTCTCACTAGACCTCACCTCCAACATTGGGTGTTACATTTCAGTATGAGATTTTGGTTGGGACAAATATCCAAACTATATCAAAGCCCAACCCCCATTTCCTTTGTTAAAATTATATATAAGCCCCTGAGTCTACTTCTTTGAGTTTCACGTCTTTTCTGTGAACTCCCTTGTACATAAATATTAATGAAAATAGTACTCCTCTCCTTCTGTTAATTTGTCTTTTGTTAGTTTAATTCACAGCCCCCCAGGCTCAAGAAAATTTTTTTCTTCCATCTATTAGTATTTATTGAGCACTTCTTAGTTAGCACTTACTATACAGAGCTAAAAGCTCTTCATTCATTATCTCATTTTATCCTCACAATGACCTTCTGAAGTAGGTATTAAATACATATTTATTGAACTCTTACCAGGTGCTTCATGTATGTTCTAAAATTCTCACAATGACCCTGTAAAGTCATGATAATGATCAGTCCCATTTTAATGAGGGGATAATTTTGGCTCCAAAGCCAAAACTCTTTCTGCCTTGCTGTAATCCCAGTTTTACAAATGAGGAAACCGAGGTTTAAAAAGGAAAAAGTAACTTGCTCCAGACCACATGACTGGTAAGTGACAGAACTGGGATTTAGTTTGACTCTAGGGCACATGTCCTTAACCCTTAAGGTATACTGTCTCACAAAACAATGCGCTAACAATGTAAAAGAACAATAGAGCAATGTCATATGGCAGAGTGTGGCAATGATAAGTTTAGCAGAAGAATTTCCAGACATTGTCTTTTTTTCCAGGAGAAAGCTTGTAAAATGTGTATTGTTTTCAATTTCCTTGTACAGTGTATTTGCTTTTATACTTTGTTTTGAGGTTTGTTTTTTTGTCAAAATTAAAGGGCAACTAGTTCAACACCCAGACTCCTCAATGCTTTGGGCCAATTGTCTTGCTGCTCTGATGATACAGATATGCTCCATTTTCTTGTGTTCTATTTGCTGTTTTATCGATACAGTTATGGATAAAAGAAAGCTCTTTGCCCAGATGCATTCTTTGGCCTTAAATTGGCTTGACGGGTGGACACTACCTTTGGACAATTAACCGCTTTAGCAGCAAAAGTCTTTTCAGATCAGCAGTGCTCATAGTCTATTGATGTTTAAATCTCAAATGCCTCGAAATTAATCTTTTCTCCAGCTTTTGAATACAGCAGCTTTTGAATATAGCAGCTTTTTGTTTTTATTTTTGCCTGAGAGGTTCTACATTCTGTTGATATCATGGCTTTCTCCAGTTAAATCAATTTTGTCACTCCCTTTCAAACAAACAAACAAACAAACAAGTAAATAAACAAACCTGTTCCAAATAAAGCCCAGGAAGAAGTTAGGCCATGAAAGATGAAGAGCACTTTGACCTGCAGAAGTGATGATTGTGGTGATGGTGGTGTATAGATGAACATGTGGCAGAGGGAAATGGAAATAAAAAGAAAAAAGCAAAATGGCGTAGGAAACAAGGACAGAAAAAAAAATCCAATTATAGTCGGTTTGTTAGAGTTCTTCTCTTTATATATGCTATCTCATCTAGAGATTCCCTTGAAGACAGAGGCTCTGTGTTACTCCATTCAGGAGTGCTGTAGGAAGGAAGGTATTCCATGAGTGGTATTGTAATTGAATATCAAACCAAGATGGTGCTTGCTTTTCAACCCTGAAAAGAAGGTTTTAGGTTCCTGCTCTACTTGGAAATAAAGTACATATTTCCCATTTATGTAATAGGTTATGTAAATCTTCTTAATGAAACTGAAAGTACCAGTTGAATACTGTGTGAAAGAGTTCCTTTAAAAATGCTCTTGTGGAGTCACAAAGGACAGGATAATTAAAACTCCTTGCAGAGTTTAGTTCTTTGACCTCTCATTAGTTTCAGCATTATAAATTGCCATTTGTTAGCAGCCTAATTTGATTATTAGCCCCTCTGAGCTTACAGCATGCATTCTGAAGAGTGTTCTCTACGTGACTCAGAACGCACGCTGCTGCTGCATACTGGAGATGGAAAATGGAGGAGCAAATTGCCTTGCTCCTGTGTGTTCATGAGTTAGTCATACTAAAGTGGTTAAACAAAGGGAAAGCAGTCCTTTCCAACATCCACAGTTATGAGTTTGATAAAAGAAACTCAGTGGGCAGTATGACTATTTCATTCTGGAAGCAGCTTTATTAGGTGTCATGGAGGGAGGAGGAGAAAGAGGAAATTTTAGTCCCTATAGTTTTATCATTTAAAAAAATTGGCATGTCATATCACCTTATATCACCCTGCATGGTGAAATAGAAACTTACTTCCTCAAGGTATTTCAACAAATGATTGCAAAGATTTAGAGCAGGGGACTACTAGCACACTCATTCTTTGCCTCTCTGGGTAGGTACTGTGGTCTCAGCATTTTAATTAATTTCTTGATATTGCTACTAGGGGGCTTAGCAAGTGTAAACAGGCTTCTTGCCAAAGCCAATGTCCATAAAACAACCTACTTCTATTATTTTTAAGGGAACAAGCTGAATCAGAGGGTTGTGAGAAAGCAGAAAAATACAATAAGAAGAATATGGAAATGAAACACCCCCACCCTCTGTGCTTGCCAAATACAAATAACTGAAAAAATTGCTCCCACTGCCTCCATTACACTCCAGAAGATCAATTAAGGCAAGCATGAAAGTCTTCAACTTTTCCAAGTTTGAGATTGTGAAAGAGGCTTATATGAAGTGAGAGTTACAGTTCGAAAAATGTAGAAGAACATACAATCATAATAGTAGCAGTAATAGTAAGCAGTATATACTACACTCTCTCTCTTTGTGAACTTCTGCTTAATCAGCCACTGAATTAATTAACAGTAAGACCCAGCAAGGAATGGCCATGGTATACTAACTGCTTGTGGCTAATAGAGTGGTTAGAAGTAGTGTGGCTGGAAATATCTAGTTCGCCCAGACATTTCTGCTTCAATCATTTAAGTTGTACGCTTACCAAACATTAGTTGAGCTTGTTCCAAATCTATTTATGCCAGTTGTGCATAATAATATAATTATGTGATTTAATTAACTATTATATAAACTGATGAAATATGAATGCAAAGTGAGTTGTTGCTTCAATGAAATCTCGGCTGAATGTCTTTGTAAGCCTTAGTTAAAACAGGATGCTGAAAAAAATCCGTCAAATTTGGCGTGGGTGAGAAAAAAGCAGAAGATAGGAAAATTACAATAGTTTAGGAAGATTCTACATTCAGATTGCTTCACACGTTTTGTTTTTTAGTTTATTTTATGGAAAATTGCAAACATATCTAAAATTAGAAAGTTGACTGTAATTAACATGATATACTCATCACCCAGCTTCAACAATTATCTCTACAGGTACAATCTGGTTTTATCTATACCTCACCCACTCTCCTGCCAAATTATTTTAAAGCAAATCTCAGCTATCATATCACTTCCTCTTGTGGATCTTTTAAAGTTCTCATTCCACTTTAAAGGAACCCAAATGGGAAAATATTATAGATGTGGCTTGTATAATAGCAAGATAGCACAAAACTCCAAGTGTCAACCCATACCTAAGGAAGAGGCTAGAGGGTAGGAAAAAAATCATGGAAAAGTGATTTTCCATGACATATCTGTATTGGACCCTAGAAGGGAGGAGGTATCCATTAATCAACCTGTTTTTCAAAAAGTATTTGTTAAAATATTTAAAATGTACGACATATTTTAATGATTATTTACTTCAGTTGCTTTATTTGGCTAAACAGTGAACTATTGTACTGAGTCCTACTTACTGATTACAAAGTTTCTGGCATAAAACTAGGTGGTAACGATAAAGATGTAATATAGCTGACATACTGAGGATGATTGCATGTCATGGTTAAGATAAACCATTAACTGGGTAATGGCATATTTTCAAAGCTTATTTCATTTGAATAAAAAGAAATCATGGCTTCTCAGTTAACCGCAACCTCTGCCTCCCGGATTCAAGCGATTCTCCTGCCTCAGCCTCCCGAGTAGCTGGGATTACGGTCACGTGCTACCACACCAGGCTAATTTTGTATTTTTAATAGAGACGGGGTTTCTCCACGTTGGTCAGTCTGGTCTCCAACTCCCGACCTCAGGTGATCTACCCACCTCGGCCTCCCAAAGTGCTGGGATTACAGGCGTGAGCCACTACGCCCAGCCTAAGGTTTGTTTCTTTTGAGAAATCATGGCTTTGATAGTAGCAAAGTTATCATGTTAATTCAGTTCTTTGTCCAAATTCAACTCCTTCTTTTAGCATAGCCACTCCAGTTCACAATGGTGGCATACTTTAATGATTCTGTGCCCCACGTCTCAACCCCCAGACATATCTGACTGGACTAGGGATACTGATGTCAGCCAATTGCTCTTCCTCAAGAATTTGAAGTAAGATACATAAATCTAGTTAGAAAATGGGAGGGTGATTGACCTGAATGGTTGCTTCAGCCAACTTAGGCCATATGAAAGCAGAGGAGGTAAGATGAAGAGAGAGGACACAGAGACAGAGATGCAGAGAGGAGAGAGGCTTTTTCGCTTTTTTTTTTTTTTTTTTTTTGAGATGAAGTCTAGCACTGTCGCCCAGGCTGGAGTGCAGTGGCACGATCTTGGCTCACTGCAACCTCCGCTTCCTGGGTTCAAACGACTCTCCTGTCTCAGCCTCCCAAGTAGCTGGGATTACAGGCACCCACCACCACGCCTGGCTAACTTTTGTATTCTTAGTAGAGACGGGGTTTCATCATGTTGGCTAGGCTGGTCTCAAACTCTTGACCTCATGATCCACCACCTCGGCCTCCCAAAGTGCTGGTATTACAGGCGTGAGCCACCACGCCCAGCCCCAAACTCACTTTTATAACAAAGCCACTTCGTAATAACTAGTCCACTCCCTTGATTACGGCATTAATCCATTGATGAGGACAAAGCCCTCATGACCTGATTACCTCTTATTAGGCCCCACCTCCCAATACTGTTGCATTAGGATTAAGTTTCCAACACATGAACTTTGGGGGGCACACTCAAACTACAGCCGGGTACAAGTAGAGAATCAAAAGGCAGAGACAATAAATCACCTCATAGTTTAAACCAAATGTAGCACTAGCTAGGTTTTCTATGTATGTGTGTATATGTGTACATACACTCATGTGTATGGGTGTGTATGTATGACTATTTAATATCAACCAATACCTATGCTATTTAGAAAGCATTCAGGGCCGTGCCAGTTTAAGGTACTTCATTCACATGTTATCTCATACAGGAAGAAAGGATTATCTACTGGCAAACCCAGGCCTAGGGAATAGGGCAGGATTTCATATTTTGTTCACATTTTTACTGCTATGCTCCTCCATTATTTCAAAGTTGTTTCAGCCTGAAAAACAGGATTTGGGGTTTTTATTTTGTTTCATTCTCCATGAACTTATTCCAGGTCAGTGCCAGAAGATAATGATTTCCCATACATTTTGTTTATTTATTTATTTATTTTGGAGATGGAGTTTTGCTCTTGTTGCCCAGGCTGGAGTGCAACGGCGCCATCTTGGCTCACTGCACCATCCACCTCCTGGGTTCAAATGATTCTCCTGCCTCAGACTTCCAAGTAGCTGGGATTACAGGTATGCGCCACCATGCCTGGCTAATTTTGTGTTTTTTGTAGAGATGGGGTTTCACCATGTTGGTCAGGATGGTCTCGAACTCCTGACCTCAGGTGATCCACCTGCCTCAGCCTTAATGAATAAATGAATTAATGAATAAATGAATTTATTTATTCCTTAATGAATAAGTAATTGGTAGTATTACAGATAAAATTCCTTTAATTAACACTCTGTTAATTCATCACTTGGGCTGTTAAATGGGTATATTGCTATTGAGCAAAATTTGCTTCAAGCAGGACAGAAGGGAGATGATCAAAGCCCTATGCTCAAATTGTAAGAACATACCTTGGCCCACTTGGGTTTAATTTGGGTTCAGATCATAAGCAAATTTGAATCACCCCTGATTTGACCTTAGCCTCTTTTCTATTTATCAGTATTACCTACAATATCCACTCTGCTCTCCTCATGAAATACCCTGAGTGAAATGTCAGGGAATATTTTGCATTTAGGTGGGAGCTAAATAATGTGTACACATGGACATAGAGTGTGGAATAAGAGACATCAGAGACTCAGAAAAGTGGGATAGCCGCACGGGGGTGAGGGATGAGAAATTATTTAATGGGTACGATGTACACTATTCAGGTGATGGTTACACTAGAAGCCCAGATGTCACCACTATGCAATGTATCCATGTAACAAAACTGCACATGTACTTCCTTAATATATAAAAATAATATTTTGTATTATCTTACAAATAACAGTCTGTAAGAATTTCAAAATCTCCAGTTTGAGGAAAACTTGGAAGGGTATTCAGGGAGTATGGTTAGAACTTTTGTTTTGCAAATAGCTCTGTCCAAGTCTAGCACTAGTCAGGCCCACTTTTTCTTTTATTTTTTTCATTTTTCTTTTCTTTTTGATACTGAGTTTCACTCTTGTCACCCAGGCTGGAGTGCAATGGTGCCATCTCGGCTCACTGCAACCTCCGCTTCTCAGGTTCAAGCGGTTCTCCTGTCTCAGCCCCCCGAGTAGCTGGTATTACAGGCGCCTGCTGCCACACCCAGCTAATTATTGTACTTTTAGTAGAGACGGGGTTTCACCATGTTGGCCAGGCTGGTCTCAAACTCCTGACCTCAGGTGATCCACCCACCTCGGCCTCCCAAAGTGCTGGGATTATAAGCATGAGCCACCACTCCCAGCCCCACCTTTGCTTTTCTATGCACTCTCCTAGAGGAAATCACTTGCCTTACCTGGATCTCAGTTTATGCATTTGCAAATTGAGCAACATGATGTAGATTCACTCTGTAAGTCTCTCCTCAGTGGATAATTTTACATCTCATACAATATACTTTCCAAAAGCAACAGCTCACTGAAATAGAATTATCATGTTCTTTTTTCCTTTTAGAAAGTCACTTAATTGGATGGCAATGCCTTTCTTAGCTGGTGAATCTAATATTTGATGGGTACCAGCCTAGTTTGTACTGACACCTTGTGTGGCTTCCCCAAGACATTATGCAATCTAACATGACACTTCCATCCAGCTCATCTGGCCCAGAGGTTAAACATGTTCATTTGCTTATTTTCAGGGCCCTGCATACACATATCTACCAACACTTCTAGCACTTGGTAAAAAACTAATTGCAGAGAGACTTGGCACTTTACCTTTCTGTTTGCTCTTGGCAGGATTGTTGTTTTCCCTTTGCAATTTTATGAGCATTGTATGGTCTTTAATGAATGACCAAAATGTCTTTGTTTTTAGAGTATGACAGAGAACTATCATTCCCCTTTAAAAAAAAATCTTTGGAAAATAGTCTGCTCAATATCTAAGGCTGTCACTCATTCAAAAACATTAAATAGGTCGGGTGCAGTGGCTCACACCCGTAATCCCAGCACTTAGGGAGGCCAAGGCTGGTGGATCATGAGGTCAAGAGATCGAGACTATCCTGGCCAACATGGCGAAACCCCGTCTCTACTAAAAATACAAAAAAAAAAGAAAATTAGCTGGGCGTGGTGCCATGTGCCTTTATTCCTAGCTACTCAGGAGGCTGAGGCAGGAGAATTGCTTGAAACCAGGAGGCGGAGGTTGCAGTGAGCCGAGATTGTGCCACTGTACTCCAGCCTGGCCACAGAGCGGGACTCTGTCTCAAACAAGAACAACAACACAAAAAATTAAATAAATTTAAAACAGAAAAAAATCTCTGCCACAAAATGAAGGCAACTTCTAGAGAATTCCATATGAGCAATTTCTAGTTTCCATTAGGCATTACAAAGCCAACTAATCCTCAACTCTACCTCACTCACATAGTACAGGGCTTCCCCACAGATCTATTCACTGTAGCTTTCCTCAGTCTAATTTCCATCCTCATAAATCTATAGTGTTAATGATACAACTGAAGGAGAGGTTTGGAACAGTCAGTCAGATGTATGCATTCTTTTCTTTGAGGTTTTACATACAAATGTTTTACTTTCTGAGTCCTGAGAAAAATCAAAACAATAAGTTTTATCATAAATAGTATCTTCATCCCCAGGGATAACACTTTTGGCTTCTATGACATTCAAATTGATGTTTCTATTCCTAAGGCATTTCCTTGTTTTTACATAAGTTGTCTTTTCTCACACCATTAAAAAAAAATAACTAAACCTTTGATGTAACTTCCATGCTCTCTTATATCTTCTCTAATAGTACATATTTGATTATTTTATTACACAACATCAGAAGACTATATGGCTAAACTCAGTGCTACTCATATTCTGGAAAAAGTGTTCATCTTTCCAACTGGCTGCTGAAGCAACTCTACCAAGGGAAAAGTAGTTCAGACTTCTCATTCAGGTATTGCTGTCTTGCCTTGAACAGTTTTCTTACACATTTCTTTGCTGTCATGGTTTTTTTCTTACAATAGAAAACAGCTAATAAATAATGTTTCACTGTCTGCTGCTGTTCTGACCCCAGTCTCCTTTCACTTTTCAAGATGGGAGTTTCGAATGAGGAGTACACTGGTTTATTTGCCATATATATTTGTATTTGTTAGTAAGAGATTGCAGCCTACTAATTCTCTAGGGAATGGTGACATTTGGGACCTGTATGGATGTGCTATAGGTTACATTTATAACATTTTGACTCACATGATTGCTTCAGTTATTAAATACTTCAATGTGTTTTGAGAGGGCTAGAGAGTTACCCATAACTTCAAAATTATTTCATTGTTTCCAGCTTCTATTACACTGTAGACAATAGAATTGACAGTGTAGAAAACAGCAGAATAAAGAAATAAGTGACTTTTTCTGTTTCTGAAATTGTCCTCATAAAATTAATAAAACTAAATTGCTAGGCTTTTAACAAAGGCATAAGCCTTGAATTGAAGCATAGCTAAGTATTAGCCATCTTGCCTTACAGCCCACTTCCTTATAGCTGCTTACTGCTTAGAAGTCTCATAATCCCTGTCACAAGGGCCTGACTTCTATAGATAACATCTTTAACATTAAGAAACCTCAAGTTTTCCATTCCAGATCCTGTGTTCCAATGGGTCCAAGGATGTTAGCCAGTCTGAAGACCTCTTCCGAGAAACAGACCCAGCACAGGAATGTGGTTTCTTTATCTCCGTGTCCCATAACTTCACTCCTCACTTCTTGACCAATCAGCAACCCCAGCTCCTGAGCTGCCTACCCATCAAAATTCCCTGAAAAACTCCAGTCCAAACTCCATGGGGAGGTGAATTTGAGGTTTGAGGTTTCCTCCCACTTCCTTGTTTGACTGTCATTTGATTATTAAATATTTCCTTTGCTGCAACTCCCACTGTCTTGGTGTATTGATCTGTTATCTCAGAATGGGCACGGACCTGATGGTCCTATAATACTTCTGTCATCTAGGAGTCTAAGGAAAAACTTAACGTATTTTGGTGAAGAATTTTATAAAGCATAAACTATCAATAACTATCAGGAATATACAGAGCATATTAAAAACACTATATATTAGAACAAAGATAGAAATATATTTCAGGAAGAAAGATTGTTCTTCACAAAGAGGTAATAACACAGCTTGTTAGAAAGAACCAGGCCTTTACCCAAATGATGGTTTGGTGGAATTGAATAGCCACAGACCAGTTGTTGGACTGACATGGCCAGTTATTTCCATCATTTTAGTTAAACTGACACCTGGTTTTTCTACCAAGTTAGGATGAGCTTCTCTGTATGTTCTTTCTAAAACTAGAAGAGTCACCAAATTGTGCCCTGCTCCCAACGTAAAAATTTTTTGCTATATTGAAGATATAGTGTTAATTAATCACTGTGGTGCAGGTAAGGACTTCAACCTGGCTGAATAGAATCTGTGGAATCAGGTACTTCCAGGGCATAAAATTGCATGAAACAAAATATTTGGAATTTTTATCTTCTTCCCCAAGTGAAATGATCTCAGCATTAAAGTACAAACTTGGACAAGAACCAGGCTTCAGCCGTAGCACATTGGTTTTAACTCAGACATGAAGTTCTTTCCTGAGTACTGGATTACAATGGCAAGCAATCCCCTTCTACTCCCTGGCTTGTGGGGAAAAATTAGCTCACTGTAGTGCCAGAGCTGATTCAATGGCTTCTACAAACCCTGGGCCCCTAGGCAAGAACAGTTTAGACAGCATCTCAACAGGAAGTTTAAGAACTGAATGGCCAGTCCAGCCATATGGGTGGTTCAGGGAGGGGACATCTGAGATTGTTTGTTTTCCCTTTTCCTTAAGTACTCATTTACTAACAATTTCTGGTCTGACTCTATCATTCTAATCTACAGGATCAGAAGTGTGTGCAAGCTATAAGTATATCAGATATCTCATAATGGGTGGGGAAGGTATTAATATATGTGTGTGTACCCCAAGTTCTTCCCACTAAGCATAAAATTGAGATTGTGGAAATGGATGGTTCGTTGATAGAGCTTTTTCTTCCCATGTGGCTGCAGCATTCTTTCTAAACCATTCTGACCTCAACTTTCAGTCAAACTGATCAGCTATTGTTCTAGTTAGTGACAGGAACAGATTTTTCCATGTCTATGCTGCTGTGGAATAGGATCTCAGTTAATTAGTTCGGCCCAAAGTTACGGCTGATGTGGTTCTATAATGATTTTGTCTTTATGTGTATAGAAATGGCCTATATCTAGTTTCTCTGTGTTGCCTATTAGGTTGCAAGTTTCTAGGCTTTAAGAAATTCATCTTTTATTTTAATCATGAACTGTACCTGTTATATGATTATAGCTGTACCTGCTGTTGATGGTATTTCACATCAAATATAATTTTAGCATTTGTCCCCATTGAACCTAACTGACATTCAGTCACATCTGAGTGCATCTGGTTAGCTGACAGGAACACCTACAGGCTCGATTTACATTGGTTTGGTCCCTTGGGGAGAAGAGGCATGGGAGAAGGAAAAGAGAAGGGGAAGGAGGGAGATAAGGAGAAGAAGGGAAAGAAATGTCAGGAAGAGTCTTGTAAGTGGGTACCTTGTTGGCAAAGATGAAATAGCAGAGAAAGGATGGGGAGGATAGCTCAGTGTCTGTCTTCTGTTCTATCCCCAAAGTCTTGCATCTAAACTTTTTAAATAGAGGCATTGTAGGCAAAAACAGAAAGATCTGTATTTACAAAGGACTTGAGAAACACATGGTCTAGTATGCCACGGTCAGGTGGTATAGTATGTCATGGTCAGACACAGGTGGAGTATGCCATAGCCTTAATGATTCAGTAAGCAATGGAACACAGAAGTATGTAACTGTGGCATGGTGAGAATTTAATGAATAATGAAGGTAGAGAGTGCTAATGTGGGTCTTCCTCCAGGCTAAAATCATACAATGGGTAGCAAGTTCATGGTATCTGACTCCTCTAAACTTGCTAATCCCTCCTTCTGCATAGAATGCATTCACCACTGATTTTCTGGCACTTCCACAAGAAACCCGGGTAGCAGTTGGGAGCTGCATCATTTATAATCATAACTGGTATATATCCCTTCTAGTCTTGTTTTCTGGTTTGGCAACAACACAAAGTGAAAGTAATCTTGAGTGAAGTCTAAGTCATCAAGAAGTCTTCAGTCTTTAATGGTCCAGCATTGTGGTCAGGTGGCCAAACGTGACACAAAATGGAGGAAAAGGACATCCTATGTGGACACAGTGTGAGCTCAGCTCAAAGAAGATTGAAGGAATTCTAATATGTCTTTGACATCACTATGCTGTGCAGCTTCAGAAACATGAGGAGAACATGGCATGGACATGGAGGGCACCATGCCAAGAAGCAGGTAGGCCACAGTGAGATGCCATGCTCATGTAGCTAGATGGCAGCTTAAATTAATGAGATTAATGAAGGTATCCAGAAAAGAAAATATAAGACCACTCTTTGTAAGTTCACATGAGCCACCCCTTAAGGATATCCACAACTAGCTTTATAAGGCTTGATATGGAGAAGAGGTAGGATACCCATACTTCCTTCATTATCTGTTATTTAACTTACTGTTATCGTTGCTCCTCGACACTTACAGAAATAATAATCCCATATATTTATGTAGCCTTTACAGTTTACAGAGTGCTTTCACCTGCATTCACTGATTTAATACTGAAAGCAACCCTGTGAACTAGTGAGACTGTAGAATTTCCTGAATCCCCTCACAGGGTGTGTGACAGGTGTGCTGTTCTCTGTTCAACTGCCATAAGCTGAAATCCCTTAAGGGAAGGGAAGCACACAGACAGGCAGGTGCAGGAGCCAGGGTGAGCGCTTTGGGCTCAGGCCCCACAGTAGGGTCTAGGGGTGGGTGCCTGCAACCCCAGTGTTACAATGCTCCTTTAGCTCTGCCATCTACAGATGGCTTAAGTGTTAACCAGCTCAGTGCCCCTCTCCCTTTCTGCAAGGGCAGAGGGCCAGTGTGAGAACTTTCTGCATCCCGAGCTCTTGTCGAGTGTCCCAGAAGAATTGGGTCACACACGGATTTGAAGGATCAATGTCAGGGTTTTATGGTGGTGGAGGTGGGTCTCAGAGGGGTGGATGGGGAGCTGGAAGGGGGATGGAGTGGGAAGATGATCTTCCCCTGGAGTTTGGCCATCCAGTGGTGGAACTCCTCTCCAACTGCCCCCAGCCGAACTCCTCTTGATGTTCAGACATTTCTTGTCTTCTTTCTCTGCTGCACTGTTCTGCTGTTCATCTGCTTGTCTCATCTTGTGTCCTTGTCTCCTTGTCTGATTCTGGAGCCTGAGGTTCTGGGTTTATATGGGTCCAGGATAGTGGACATGGCGGGCCAAAACACAACTCTTTGGGCAAGAAAACAGGAATGCCTGTCTTCATTTAGAGCTGCAGGTATCCAGGCTTGAGGGTGGAGCCTTTGCTAGTGAACCACACTCTTTTGCCCAGTATTTTCCTGTCTTCTGTCTGTATCAGTAGTACAGAAGAGAAAAAAAATTGCTTCTCTCTCTCCCCCTAGGTTCTTTGTCTGGTATACAAATTAAATTGACCTAAAACAGATTAACAGCAAAAAAGGGCAATTTTAATTACATATGTATATATGGAAGTCTCACAAAAATAGGAAACTTAAAGAAAGGTCAGATGATTGAAGCTTATATAAGATTCTGATCTACAGAAAGGAATAGAAACTTGGCATTTCTAGGCAGTGGTGAAGACAAATTATAGGAGGATGAGGGGAGAAAATTTACGGTGAATAAAGTTTGCCTTGTTATGCAAGTAAGAGTTTCTCAGGTGATAAAAGTTGTTTCTTAGCAGTTCTCTTCCTAGTACAGTTACCTTTATTAATGAAAATTTCTTTTGTAGATATAAATTCCTTTACAAAAGGGGAGCTTTTCAGAGCTCTGCCTATGTCTGCAATTCCTCAAAATAACCAGCTATACATAATCAATATGTCAAATAAGTATATTTTGGGATGGCATATTCTGGTCTCCTAAAGTCCAGAATTTTTGGAGTGGCATATCCTGAGCTCCAACAGTAACAGGGTATTATAATCATTATACAGATGAATAAAGAAATCTATGGTCTGGAGAGTTGAAAATATTTTTTTCAAAGTAACATCTCTAGAGAGTTGACAAACTACATGTAGAACTCAAACCTTCTGAAGTAGGCAGAATAAAAGCCCCCCAAAGATGTCCATGTCCTAATCTCTGAAACCCATGAGTAAGTTACCTTACATGTCAAAAGAGACTTTGCAAAAGAGACTTTTCCATGAAAATGATCAAGGATCTTGATGTGGGGAGGTTATTTTGGATTATCTGAGTGGGCTAAATCTAATCACATGAATTCTTAAAATCAGAGAACCATTCCCAGCTAAGGGTAGAAAGACATGATGATGGAAGAAGAGTCAGAGAGAGAATCAGTTTTACTGGCTTTAATGATAGAGGACAGAGTCAGGAACCAATGAATGCAGGTGACCTTTAGAAGATAGAAAAGACAAGGAAATGAATTCTCCCTGTATATATTTCCCATTCTGCATTAAAGAATTACCATAAGCTTAACGGTTTAAAGCAACACAAATGTATTGTCTTAGCATCCTGGAAGTCAGAAGTCCAAAAGGGTCTTATAGGCTAAAATCAAGGTGGCAGTAGATCTGCATCCCTTCTGGAGGCTGTCGGCATGGATCTATTTCTTTGCCTTTTCAAACTTTTAGGAACCCCTTGCATGCCTTGGCTTGTGACTCCCTTTCTCGATCTTTAATGTGTATCACTCCAACCTCTCCTTCTGTTGCCACATTTCTCTCTCTGACCTCTGCTTCCATTGTAAGCATCTTTTGACTACATTGGGCCCACCTGGGTAATCCAGGATAATCTCCAGAAAGTAACACAGCTTTGTTGACATCTTGTTTTTAGCCTAGTGAGACAAGTGTCAAACTTCTGACCTACAGAACTGCAATACCTTTGTATGATTAAAGCCATGAAATTTGTGGTAATTTGTTACAGCAGCAATAGAAAACCAGTACACCATTTAATTCTCACACCAGGGAGTTAAAGTATCATATCACATATTGCCTGCAGGCTTGAACAGCTTTGGAGCATTTGAGGAGTATTCCTTTGATATCTACTAATTAGTTCAGGATGGACTTTGGGCTTTCGGAATCTAGCCTTTTTTTGTTCTAGTCAAGAATCTTAGAGGGAATATTTGTTAGAATTTTGAATTTATATCACATTGCACACTTTTATAGGTTTTTACTTATATATCATCTGTATCCTTAGTCCCATCTTACAGAAGACTGCTGAGTCATTAGTCATGAAGCACTAATGTCAGGAATTAGAAACACAGCACTCATTTCCCCAGCTTGCTACTTAATATTCCAAATCATACTCCTTCCTTTCATAAAACTCTTTAAGTACAGCTAAGGAAAACTGCTGTGGTCAAAGATTTTGGTGGAGAAAATTATCTAAGAGAACTGAAGATGAAAATTTTTAAAAAGCCAAGGATTACAAGTATGTAAACCACTGTGTATGTCCTATGTTTACCAACCACATTTTATTTTCTCTTTGGTATTTAATCCTACTTGTTTCATAAATGGCATAAAATATGAAGAGAAGATGAAAAAGAATTAGAGAAAATTAGGATTTGAATGTGAACAAGGCTCACTAGGTTAAATGGTTGGTTTATACGTTTGGGTATCAGATGCATTTAAATAAGCATTGATTTACAAGTCAGTTGTGCCACAAGTTTACAAGTCCCAAAATAGCTAGTCAGCAATCTGGAAGCTGTCGCCCTATCTCGCTACATCCTCGGGAATAAGTCTCAGCAGTCACAGTCTAACTGACAAAAGCTTTGCGGCTGAAGGCAGAATACAGTTTAGTTCCCACTCTCTCATCGGAAGACCGGCTCAGCAAACCTAACAGGAAGAAAAAAATGTATTTGTCAGTAAATGAAAAAGATAGGCCTCAATGGTACATAAAAAAAATCTGGAGGGAAAATTAGATGTGTTTCTTGTGTTGTCACTCCCTGGGCCAATACAACAATTACTTGGAAGATTTCAAACACACAAAGCAAAATAGCCCTAATATGCACAAGACAGTGAATTCAATGCACGTCATTGTCTAACAGTTACTACTTTTGGAAGCAGCTTGTCAAATTCCTATTAGGAATATATGTCTTCTGCAGACAAGCTCCATCCTAAAGGATGATCAGAGTAAACAGAAAGACAAGTACATGACCAAGACCAACACTTACTACCAACCTCACAAAACCCCTCATGACCAAGGCAACTGCTGATGGGCTTGCAGGAAGGTACAGACAGTTTGTGCTCCCAAATCTATCATTGTCCCCATTGTGTAGATAGGGAAGCTGAAGTTAGAGTCTTACACCTACGTAACTAGTAGATGACAGAGTTTGAACTTAAGCCCAGGTCTTCTTGGCTCCCAGTCCATGGCTCTGCCTGCTGTTCTACAGGGACATACAAGGAAAATGTTAATAGAGCTCAGCCAAGTGGTGGCATGGAGACTTTCACTGAGGGAAACAAGGTTAACAAAAATGATATAAAAATAGATTGTGTGTGTGTGTGCAGTAGCACAATGCTGTGTTTTCCATCCTTCTACTGAGTAGGAATTTTCCCGTTAGCTTTAAAGGGTGGTTTCTAAGTTGGTTGCTCCACATATCTCATATCATCCTTCTTTTCGCTGCCAAGAAGACGAATGCATTTGAGTAAAAAGAATTTCTCAATAACTTATTTTCATGGGCAGAAAAGTTTAAAAAGAAATTCTATTTATCATTAAAAATTGGGATGAATATAAGCATCAGTTGATTTCAAACTTTTAATTTTGACATAATTGCAAACTTTTGAGAAAGTTGCAAGGATAATATAGAAAACTTCCAACTGCCCTTTACTCAGCTTCACCCCTCATCAATATTTAATATTTTGCCATGTTTGTTATTTTCATTCTCTGTCTCATATATATATATATAAAAATATATATATATATCTTTCTTTCCGAACTACTTGAGACTATGCCCCATTACCCCTTAACTATTTAGTGTGTTCTCGCCTAAGAACAGGAAACTCTTACATAACCACAGTGTGGTTATCACATTCAGGAAATTTAATATTGATAAAACACTTTAATCTACAGTCCATATTCTACTTTTGTCAATTGACTCATTGATGTCCACTTACAGCATTTTCACCCTGCTGTATAGAATTCAGTCCAATCACACATATTGCATTTAGTTTTCATGTCTCTTTTAGCCTTCTTTAATTTGAAACAGTTTCTTAGCCTTACTTTGTTTTCATGATATTGGCATTTTTTTAAATACAGTTCTTTTTTTATAGAATGTGCTTCAATTTAGGTTTCTCATAATTAGATTCAAGTGAGACTCCCTCCCTCTATGCTACAAAAATGGTGCTGAGTCTGTTTTAGGAAAGCACATTCAGGGGCATACATTGTTGGTCTACCCCTCACTGATGAGAGATGAGGTTAATTTTGATCAACTGATCAAAGCGTCATGTGTTTTCTCCATGTATAGTTACTATTTTCCCCTTGCAACTGATAAGGAAAATGTAGGGAGACATTTCAATACCATGTAAATATCCTGTTTCACATCTATCCTCCTACCTAGCATTTAACATCAATAGATGATTCTTGTCTGAACCAATCTTTACAATGGTGATTACAAAATGGTGTCTTCTAAATCTACCACTCCATCCATACTTAACAGCAGACATTTTATCTATTTCCCATTCTGTCTCTCTCTTTCCATCTCTCCCTCTCTCTCTGTCTTTCTCTCATAATGATGGAGGAATGAATTTCTATTTTATTCAATGGGTTATTGTCCATTACCTGCCTTATTTATTTTGATGCTCAAATTGTGCCAGATTTGTTGGGGGTCGGGTGGGGTTATTTTCAAGCTGGTTATTTCAAAATGCTCTCTTTCATTGTTCTTAATTTCTGGTAAGACAAGTTACTCCAGGCTGATCTTGTACCTTTCCTCCCCTGGCCCTGGCATCAGCCATTTCTCTAAGGAGTCATAATTCCTTTTAATGGGAGTGGTATTTGGAAACCAAGATTTACACACAAAATAAGCTCATTGCTAATTCAGTATTATTGCTGGGGTGTCATATTGATACCTCCAATCCCAATCTTGTCTTCTCCCTTTCTTTATTTTAACTCCCTTTCTTTCACAGTGGGAGACCTGATTCCCTACAACAGCAACATATGTACTCACTTGTTCAAACCTGCAGTACCTATACACGATTTCAGAATTTTCAGTATAATAAATAAACATACTAAAAAGAGTTTCAGGCAAATATTTACTCCACATTTCATGCATGGGTATTATCACAAGAACTCTGAAAATGGTTGGAAGAAAAGAGTAGAGTCTATGTCATCTTTCAGCTTTCCATCTTTGCCTTGTTAAAGTGGCAGGCTCATTAGAAAAGTAACTGCCAGTGTGCTGCTTGGTAGCATTTCAAGCCAGTCTTTTCATTAATAAAAGTCGCACTGGTAATTTTAAATAACACATTTTAAAATTCTTACATAAAAAGAAACTTTGGGAGGTATCGTACTGGAAACTCTCACACACCATTTGGATGTCTGTGTACTGGACATTCATACCTTCTACTAAGAAGAGCCAGAGAAGATTAAGGTTTAAGAAATGAAAAAAGACAAAAATTTATCCCAAATTCAAATACACCAAGGAGGTCCAGGGTGCTCTAGAAACAGGCAAAACTGAAAAAGGAATACCACTCCCTCAAAACACAATCTTATAAGAACACTCTGGGCTCAATCTTTTAAATGCAAAATGTTGCAATAAATGTAAAGTAAAACAAGCCAATCAATCAACCTGTGGACTCCATTACTGGAAGAGTGCTCCAGTTTTGCATAAAAATTCAGAGTGGTTTTCGAATCCCTAAACTTGCCTAGAGTCTTGTAAGATTCCTCAGGTCAAATTTCTTTGTACTACAAGTTGTATAGAATATAAAACTTAACAGGCTTCATGGTCTGCTTTCTATGTGGGTCAGGATTCCTATGTGTTCTAAGTGCTATTGAATCATATATTTTTATGGCATAGAAGGAATTTTGAATGTATTTACTCCAATTCCTTTTCTTATAGATGGAGAAACTGAAGTCTACAGAGGGGAAATGACTTGTCCAAGAGCATAAAGGCTGTAGGGGAAAGAACCATGTTGTAGAAGAGAATTCAAGCACAAGGTGGATGGTTGGACTGAGTTATCTGATGTTCCATTTCTACCCTGAGATTCTGAGTCTGTTTTGTGTTTGCCAGTACAATGATCTTTCTACTCTACCCTCAGGGGCCACTGAGGGGATTGGAAGGGAGAGAAGTTAACTATTTTAAATATTGATTTTCCTAGAAAGATATTTCTTGAAGAAAGAGATTTGGGAATCATAACATGATTCAATTGTAATGCTGTCCAGGACTATATTACAGTCAGAAGTGCTTGCCATATGTGAGTACATCTTTCAAAACATCAAAGTATCTTAGCAGCTAGGAAATCTGATGAATGCCAGAACTTGGCTGAGAATGTTTGTCAAGTTTTGTCAGCCTTGTCACAGCTGGCCTTAGTATGCTTCTTTCTATAGCCAAGTAACTTTTTGGTCAGACAGCCAACTAATGTTTCTAATCACTTCTGAAATTCTTCTGAGCAGCACAACCTATTACTCTGTCTAACAATGGTGTGTAGAGCTATGACACTAATTGTTCTTAGGAGAGAGCCATGCACACACTTTTTCAACATGATGGAGTACAGCTATGGTTCTACTTTAGGGTAGAATGCCAATATCTCAGACTACATCATAGCTGTTTTTTTTTTTTTTAACAATTTGACTAACACTAATTACTCTTGTGAATCTTTATTCAAAATAGTGTTTCCATTATTATGAAGCAAAATGACAGGAAGTGTGCACAATTACAAGTTCAAGTAATAGCTGCTAGACATCTTCTGCACATATTACCTACTCTCTGCCTTCCAAGTCTACAAATGTTTCAGATGATGATTTGAGAATGATGAAGACATTTTAGCTTATAGAATGCAGTATATAAAGGTGACCATCAGTTCATTGGTAAGTACCCTCCCCCATCCCCTTAAAAAATGCCATCATGGCAAAAGTGTCCTCCTGGCCTTTAATAACTCTCTTATTTCGTTCCACAAATATTTACTTAATGCCTATATGTAACAGGCACTATGCTTGATATTGGAGAAACACTGGTAAACAAGACCTACAGACTCCCTCACTGTTTTGGTGTTTAGAGTGCATTGGGATATACATACATAAACAGGTAAAATACAAATGGGTTAAGGTAGGGGGAGATCTAAGAAACTAAGGGGAAACTAATCCAGTTATAGAACTCTTGGATGTGACATTTAAACTGGTATCTGAAGAACAACGAGTTATACAGGTGAGGGAGGTTGGGGAGAGAATGTTTTCCAAGACAGGAAGAATACAAGAAAATGCCCAGAGCAGAGAACAACAGCAAGAGAAAAGCAGCATATAATGGGACTACAATAGTACAATTTAGAATGTAAGTTTGTGAGACGTAAGAAATGTGGCTAGATTATAAATCAGTTCCCCTGAGAGCTATAACCTTGTCTATTTTGTTCAAAATAGCATTGCTATTATCTACCACAATTCCTGTCACATAGTACAAATTCAAAACATATTTGTTGAATAACAAAAATAACAATGACAATAAAGATAACAGTCATTTAATTATGAGACAGAAAGCATTCTAAGTGCTTTGGTAATGTGTAAATTGATTAAATCCTCACAGCACACTATGAGGCTCTTCTTCTTTTCTTCTTGCTATTATTTTTATTATTATTATCCTCTTTTTACATATGAGGAAACAGAGGCTCAGTGAGGTTAACTCAATAGCCCAGACAGCCTAGGTAGTGATCGGCAGATTCAAGATTTAAACCCAGATAATCACAGACTCTCCTGATTCTAAGGATCTAGATTTTGCTGTGAAGAGTTTTAAATTTCCCCTAATGCTACGGGCAATCACTGAAAGGCTCAATAAGTTGAATATTGCCAATATGAGTCTGGCAGCAATGTGAAGAATGGATTTAAGTGGGAGCAAGACTAGAGGTAAGGCGATGAACTATGAAGGTTTTGTGATAATTCACGCAACTGGTGATTGTGGATTGAACTATGATGTTGACAGTACAGATGGAGAGAAATAGTCAGATGTGAGAGAGGGAAAGAGAGTTATATTCAATAAGACCTAGTAGTTGATTGAGTGGGGGTGTATATGAGAGAGACAAAGGAATAACGGAAGACTTTCAGGTTTCCAACCATTGCGATTGGGTATTTGGTCAGTGCAACTCACCAACACAGACAACATGAGGAAAAGGAGCAGGTCTGAGGCAGTTGGTGAGGAGATCACAATTTAATTTTGAGCATGATGAGTTTAAGCTTATTTGGGGGGCATTCAAGTGGACATGCCCAACAGACATTTTCAACAGACTTGTCTGATGCTTAGAGAGGAGATTCAGTATGGACACAGAGATGTGGGAGTCACCAATATATAGCTGGCATTTGCAGCTAATGTAGGCAATTATAACCATGCTGGAAAATTGTGTACACTGATAAAAGCAGAAAATCTGAGACAGAGCCTAAATAAACACAAACATCTAACTGACAGATAGAGGAAAAAGAGCCTTTAAAGGAGATTGTGATGGTGCAGCTAAAGGAGTAGGAGGAAAGCCAGAAGGATGACTATAAAGAAAGCAGAGGGAAAAAAATTTCCCAGGAAGAATAAAATGATCAACAATGTTAAATACTGCTGAGAAAATCTTCCAATGTGTTTAGCAACATGGAGGCCTTTGATGACCTTGGAAAGATGGGTTTCATTATGAAGGGGTGTGTGGCAGTATGTGAGAGGAGGAAAAAGTCATATTTCAGTGTGTTACAGGGTAATTTACAGGAAAAGAAATCAAATAAAACGTTACAGAACCAAATTCTAGTTGTTCCCATGGAAACAAGATTCAGGGACACTGAAGGATTTGGGGTGAAAAGAGAAATCAGAAGTCCTAGGATAACTGTTAATTAGTTTAACAGAATGGAACTTAGGAGTAGATGGCATAAGGATGTAGCAAGAGGTAATATGTGGATGGAGAAAAAAGGTCAAGAATTTGCAGGGAATCTCAATATACATGTGGTTCATCGATTAAATTGGATTTAGAGCAAAAATCAATCAGTGTATAACTCAGTGCTCTGAAAGAATCTCACTGTCCTAAATTAACTTCTGCTGAACTCTCTGGGTATATTCAGAAGCCATGATTAGTGACACTGGTGTGGCTGCAGGGCTAATGGTGGCTCCATCTAGTTCTTGTTTGAATTGTCATAGACAGAAACCCTACACTGTAAGCATCTGTGTCCTGTATATAGACCTTTATATCACTCCTTGGGCGATGGAGCAGTAAGTCATTCAAAGGCAGAAGCTGTCTCTTTTGTTATTAGATTCTTTAGGCCCTTCAGGATCTTGGGATTTCTTCTCTTATGAGGAAGCCTGGATTTTCTCTTTTCCAGACTTCTTGTGCAGTCCTTTATGCCCAAGACTGAGAGTGCAGATCTCCTGAAACACAGATACTGGGAGGTACTACAAACTACTGGCTGTAAAAAATGGGCTTTGGAGTTAGTCGTGAATACGAGTCTCAGCTATACCTCTTAAAGAAGTACACAAAATAGACTGATTCATAATGGCAAAGGTTTATAAATTGGACATCATTAAAATGAATATTTAATATAGTTATGGCTATGGCTGCATTTAGGTCTACCATTTTATTATTTGATTTCCATTGGTATTCTTGTTGGTGCCTCTATTCTCTCTCTTTCTAGCCTTCTTTTGGGTCACTTGAATATTTCCAAACTCCATTTTAATTTAACTATTGGTTTTTAACTTTATCTCTTTGTGTTACTTTTTAATTGTTTCCCAGAGATAACAATAAACACCCTTAACTTTCCAGTCTACTTAGACTCAATACTGGACTACTTCATGAAAAATGTAGAATCTTGAAACCACAGAGGTCCATTAACCTCTCCTCCACCATCCTTTTTGTTATAGTTATCGTAAGTATTACATTTATATACATGATAAACCTCACAAGACTTAAAGTACCCACATGTATTTTAAATAAAATGAGAAAAATATGGTTGTTTATATTTACCTAGATGTATACCAGCCTTGAGGAACATACAATGGCTCGTAGAGGAGGAGCTGGTGAAGGGAGCTGAGAAAAAGCAGCCAGAAGTGTAAGAGGAAAACCAGGACAGTATAGTCTAAGGGAAGCCAGGGTAGGAGAAGGTTTTGAAAAGAAGGGGGTGGTAAACAGTGTCCAAAGTTACTTAAAAGTCAAATAAAAGGAATAAAAGTGGTGGCGCGTTTAGTTACATTTAGGGAGGTAATTGGTAAAAGCTGATTTGGTAGAGTGAGTTGGGTACAAATCAAGTTGGAGTGAGTTGAGTAAGTGGTAGGGGAGAGAAACTAGAAACAGGGAAGATAGACAACTCTTGAGAAATTGTAAAGAAGGGGAGAAGAGAGATAGGTTAATAGCTGGAAAGGGATATGGGGTCAGTGAAGATTTCAGTTATTTTAATCAGACAGTCTGAGAATACATGAAAGTCAGTAGGAAGGATCCAGTCGAAAGGATGAGGTTACACATATAGGCTGGAAAAGCTGTAGTTGATAGTGTAAGAATCTTGTGAAGATGGAAAGACATAGGATACACAGCACAGGAGAAAGATTAGCTCTGAAAGATGACAGGATGTGTACAGTGGTAGGTTAATATACTTGCTGTCAGGAAGATGTGGGAGTTGACATATGATAGCTTCTTTTTTTCTCTGAAAAGTAGGAGGTGATATCATCATCTGTGAGAGGAGAGGAGTATGTGTTGGAGGCTGAAGAAGAATAAAGAAGGTTTGGAATAGTTGTGAGTAGAGACTGAGATGTAATAACCTCTCAGACCACAATAAAGGTGTTTTACTATGTATGTTATTAGGAGACACATTGTTGTTTGGCTTTAGTTTTAGAAGCAGCTGGACTATTGATTACTTTACAAAAAAAAAAATACAACTATCAAGTGGCTTGCATATTTGCAGTGGCACTATGGTGTAACAGACATTGTGGGCCTAGAGCCAGATTGCTTGGGTTTGAATCTCAGCACTACCACTCACTACCTATCTGACCTTGGAAAAGTTACTTGAACTCTATATGCCTTGATTTCATCATCTGTAAAATAAGGGCAATAATATTATTAGTCCTAACCTCATAGGGTTGCTGTGAGAATTAAAGTTAGTTAATATGTGTAATGTTGTTAGCCTTGCACATAGTAAGAACTGAACAGCTCAGTAATTGTTAGTTATTATTTTTTGCTGATCAACTGATTCTTATTCTACTGTCTAGTCTAGGAGGGATGCTAAATTAGAGTCAAAAGCTTGCTAAGTGGCTTGAAACCAAGACATGGAGAGTTAGTTGGACTATTAGACTCGCTGGTGTCCTCAAGCTATGATAACCTGATGTGTCCATCTCTACTATGCCTGCTGCTCCTGTTACTTATACTTATGGGTCAGAGCCCTTAGGAATGCTTTGTAGAATACTGCATGTAAATGAATACTTAATGATTGACTGATGTGATGAATTTGGATAGAGATAAGTTGACACATATCTGAGGGCAGATGGAAGACAGAATGTCTACATAATTTCATCTGGTGATAGCCAAAGTCACAAAATTGAATCATCCAAATTAAATCAGAGAATTAGAGAATCTTGTATTTGGAAGAGCCCTTTAAGGCCATCTGGTCGAACCTTCAACTCAGCATTGGAATACTCCCTACAGCCTCTGTAAGAGAGAATATCAGGCCAGTTGGGAAAGAGACTGGCAAATGATGTAAAACCAAATGGCATTTCAAACAAAATGTGGATACCTAGGCTCTGGGTGGTTTGGTTTTAAACCGGCTCCACAGAAGACAAAACACCAGGAAGAGTCCAAGTTGTAAAACTGTTTCTTTCTAGATATAGAAAGCAAAGGCAGAAGCCTCACTTGTCATTCCTGTTGCTAACTTTGCTTGCTAGCTGACAATGGTGCTCTACTTTGAATCAATTTGCCCATCTGTGAAAAGGAAACACCATGTTTCAATCTTCCATGAGTGTTTCCCAAAAATGAAAGTCCTTATATATCTGCAGACAAAGTGTCTTTGGACTAGAAGCCAGCCAGTCTGCCGAGTTGGGTAATCAAATCTCAGGGTGAGCTTTTTGCTTGCTTTAAGGTAGAAAGTACCTGTGACATTTTGGTTGACTAGGTTTGGGCTGGTCCTCCACAGAAGTGTGTGTTATCAAATGTGTCGGAAAGACCCAGAATCACTACCTTCCTCCTTCTCCCTGATCTCTTTCATCTACTTTTAGATGCCTGAAATCTGAAAGATTCGAATTTTAGCTTTTTGGCTTATGGTATCAGTATCTGTTAACTTGTAATGCCCCTGGCAAAGGTAAGACATTGAGTTTCTGTCAGTCATTTACCCCTTAGTGGGAGTGAGGAAGACTGTGAAAGTTGGAATAGGAGGAAAGAGAAAGAGGACACTAAATGCCTGGAGAGGGGGGAATAATGGGGAGAGTGAAAGAAAATTTTGTATAGTTCACAATTTATCCTAGGACCCGCCTTGCTCCAGAAGCAAAACAGAGCAACATGGTTCCATCTAAGCCTCTATTCTCTACTCTCCCCTTCATTTCCCCTCCCACGCCCCAGCTATTTCCAAATTAGGAGGTGAATGAGCTCTGTTTTCAGATTTTATTTTTCACTTTAAAAAGTCTTTTAAATTATTTTGCCTTTTCAAATACACTTTTGTTTAATGAGAGAAAATGTTCAGTCCAGGCCTGTAGTTGTGCTAACACTCAGTCTAAGAAAACCATTCAGTTCTATTACTCTTCCAACACACTGATTTATTTTAAGGGTGCAAAAGATCCAAAGGTATTGACTAGGTTGCACTGAACACTGGGAAATCCTAAAAGTTTATAGCAACAGAAGGAAAACTCCTTGAGGAAAACACCTTTGCAAAAGATCCAAAGGTATTGATTAGGTTGCACTGAACACTGGGAAATCCTAAAAGTTTATAGCAATAGAAGGAAAACTCCTTGAAGGAGACATAATTAGATTTTTTTTTTTTTTCGAGATGGAGTTTCACTCTTGTCGCCCAGGTTGGAGTGCAATGGCGTGATCTTGGCTCACCACAACCTCCACCTCCTGGGTTCAAGCAATTCTCCTGCCTCAGCCTCCTGAGTAGCTGGGATTATAGGTGCCTGCCACCATGCCCAGCTAATTTTGTATTTTTAGTAGAGACAGGCTTTCACCATGTTGGCCAGGCTGGTCTCAAACTCCTGACCTCAGGTAATCCACCCGCCTGGGCCTCCCAAAAGTGCTGGGATTACAGGCGTGAACCACCACGCCTGGCCTAGATTTATATTTCAATTTTCACTTTGAAAGTTAGGTTTCCACCTAGATGAATACATGATATGTGCTAAAGTAAAACTAACACCGAGACAGAGCAGAGAGGGCAAAGACTGCGCCTGGTTCTTCTTTTTGGAGCCAATCTAGCAACTCCCTCTTGTGTGCTTTTAGCTCCTTATAGTAATGACAATAAATGAAAAATAAAAGGAAAAATAAGCCCCAGAATGATTTAATCCAAACTACCTTGACAGTGAGAATTACTTCTTTATGGCTCACTTCCTTATATTTGCAAGAGAATTTATTAATCCAGATGCAAAGCATCTTGGCTGTAAGATAGATCCATTAAAAAATGTATTTTCACATTTTTCAACTTGTTATTTTTACATCATTTTGGACTTAGCAGAGAAGTTGTAAAAATAGTACAAACAATCCCCCATCTTTTTTACCCAGATGCCCATATCCCCAATTGTTTACATTTTACCACCTTTGTAGTCCATGTCTATATAAGTATGTATGGATATTATATATATTCATAATATGTATGTGTGTCTATCAATATATCATTTTAATTTTTTTGCATGGCTTAAGAGTAATTTACAGATATGTTGTTCCTTTACCCCTAAGTACTTCAGTCTATATTTCTTAAAAATAAGAATAATTCCTTACATATCCATAGTATAATCATCAAAATCAGAGAAAAAAACACTAATAAAATACTATTATCTAATCTACAATCCTTATTCAAATTTTGTCAGTTGTTTCACTGACTTTTATAGCCAAAGAAAAAGAAATTTGTTTCTTAGAATCTGATCTAGAATCACACATTGAATTTACTTATTATGTCTCTTTAGTCTCCTTTTATCTGGAACAGTTCTCAACCATTCTTTGACTTTCATGACCTTGACAGTTTTTATAAGAACAGACCATTTGTTATATAGAATGTTCATTAATTTGTGTTTCTTTATTGTTTTTTCTTAATTAAACTCAGTGATGTTGTTTGAATGTGTGTCCCCTCCAAATCTCATGTTGAAATGTGACCTCCAATGTTGGAGGTGAGGCCTGGTGGGAGGTGTTTGGGTCATGGGGGCGGATTCTTCATCAGTTGCTTAGTGCCTTCCCTGTAGCAATGAGTTCATGTGATATCTGGTTGTTTAAAAGAGCCTGGCACCTCCTCTTCTCTCTCTTGCTCTCTCTCTTGCTGTGTGACATGCTGGCTCTCCTTTGCATTCCGCCATGATTGTAAGTTTCCTGAGGACTCACAAGAAGCAGATGCTGGCACTATGCTTCATATGTAGCCTGCAGAACCATGAACCAAATGAACCTCTTTTCTTTATAAATTACCCAGTCTCAGGTATTCCTTTATATCAATACAAATGGACTAGCACACTTAGTTTATGTTTTTTTTTTTCCAGAATACCACAGAAGTGAGGATGTGCTATTCTCAGTACACCAGATTATTTCTTTTGCAGTTATTAGTTTGAATTCTACACACAGAAGAGCTTTCTGTTCTCATCTATGTATCTATTCATCCACCTATCCATCTATTTAAACATTTATTTATATTAACATTGACTCATGCATTGTCATTTTATGTTGTGGGTGAATCCATTGCCATCATGTATTTTGATGGTCAAATTGTCCCAGAGTTGGCCAATGCAAGCCCCCTCAGGCTGGATCCTGAATGCTCCTCACATGACCTTGCCATTCTTTGAGTATTCTCTTACTTTCTGGCACAAGTTGTTTCAAGAATCATTTTCTACTTCCTCTGCTCTTGTTCTGAAATCAGCTCCAAGGGGCACCGGTTCTTTTTAGTAGAGAATGATAATTAAAAACTGAGATTGGACACTAGTTTTGCTCTTTGCTACTGGGGTATTATTGCTTCTAAGCCCTCTCAGCAGACAAGCTAGAAAAAATATATGTGTAGGTGTGTATGCATATATGTTTGTTTACTTAGATCTATCTATCTATCTATCTATCTATTTATCTTAGATTATTCAGACTTCTATAACAAACAAACTACTCTAGACTGAATGGCTTACAAATAACTGAAATTTATTTCTTATAGTTCTGGAGACTATGAAGTCCAAGATCAATGAGTTGGCAGACTTGGTGTCTGGTGAGAGGGCCCACTTTCTCGTAGAGAACCTTTATCTCACTGTGACTTCACATGGCAGAAGGACTAAGGGTCTTTTTATAAGGACCTTTTATCTCTGTGGGGTCTCTTTTATAAGAGAACTAATTCTATTCAGGACGTCTCTGCCTTCATGACCTAATCACCTCCCAAAGACCCAATCTCCTAATACTATTACTTTGGGGTTAGGATTTCACCATTAACATCTTGGAGGGATATGAACAATCAGTTCATTGCTATCTATCTATCTATCTATCTATCTATCTATCTATCTATCTATCCATCCATCTATCTATCTAAATTTATCTATATGCCTATTTGTTATGCTGTCTATTAAAAACCGTAGGTATATACTGATAATTCTATTTCTAATCCAATACCACAGGGTTCATTCTACTCTCCCTCCTTTCCATATCTGTATCTCCCTTCTTCTACAGTGAGAACCTGGTTCTCATTATCCACAATATATTTATTCATTTGTCAATTCTAGAATATGCATAAAGTGATTTCAGAATTGCTAATTATAGCACTGTGAAGAAGCAAACCTACTTAACTAGGGTTAATATTTGTATATACTTCTTTTTACCTTTTACCTGAATATATATACTTAAAACACTGTGTTTAAAATTACTTGGGTTTGTTTTGTTTCTTTTTCTATTCAGAGTGATTATGTGTTATTTATTTGCAATAAAGACAGGTTTGTTTATTTCTGTTTGTGTTCGATTTTGGGTTTTCTCCCCCACTCTTGTTTATTTTATTTATTATGTTATTTATTTAGTTTTGGCTATGTGAAACACTATCATGTTTCCAAAGTCAGAACCCTGCAAAAAGGATAGAGAAGTGACTTCGAACCCCAGCCATATTTCTACTCTGTTCTCTTCTCCCCATCCTTACCACCTTATTCCCACACATCCCCTGTAGGTAATCAGTCACATTATTTTATGTTTTATCCTTCCTGTTTCTTTTTGTACAAGTTAGCATATTCATGTATATTTTCTTATTCCATGGGCATAGAAAAAAGGGTGAAAATATACTTTTCATTTTTGCCAGAAAAATGGAGACTTTAAAGAAGTATAACTAAATGGTCCCCCTCCTGTTCTCAAGTTCACTTCACACCTCATTTTAAACTTCACTTCCTTCTACAGGGATGCCTAAATTAGGCCTTGTCTTTATGTCAAGATTGAGATAAATCCCCTTAAACTGTGCTCCCACATCTCCCCCAACTTCCACATTATTAACATTAATCACATATGATGTTAAAAGAAGAAAACTTACTGCTCATTCTCTAATTTAAAAGACTTAGATGCACTCAAGTAAATTCTCTGCCTGATATTCAGTAGTCCCTCTCTCCCTCATTACCTTTAGGGCCTGAACACATGGTCATGTTCTAATCTGCTTATTACAGAGAGCGTAGGCAGCCCTGCGGCTTTCCATCTTAGCCTCACTTAGGGCTAATGTTTTCAGTACAGATGTACACAAGCCGGCAAAGACTGGTTTGAGGCAGAAATTGGCCAAATTACAAGAGCTAAGCAGAATAAAAAATAAAAATCCAACTTTAACTTCATTCATAAAGAAAGAGATAAAATGATAAAAGGCAAATAAAATAAATCATAAGAAATGAAACTACTTTAGACATACGTCAATTCTCTTGTATTGAAATAAATCATTTATTTTAGCAGTGGAGGCACTTATTTCAATATTAGAAAAATAATGCTATTGTTTTCAGCGTAAAATAACCCTCAGGTGGAATAGATGCATTGATTTTTTTAAAATGGATTTAAAATAAATCCAATGTCTTCATAATGAAAACTTACAACATTCACTAGAATATAGTAGTTACATAAGCCAGTGGCTTTCCAAGAAAAAGGAAAATTGCATTCCCTTGCTTTCATTGGTTTTTGTTAAATACAATTTGTCCATTCCGTTTGACTGGCCAATTTGATTGCAGTGTACTAAAACTCAGCTAGGTACAATATAGATCCACAGGCTTGACTTAGGAAAACCAAGCCCATATAGCACAATAATTGGATCCACACATTAATTAGATCCAGAGATACATCTTGGCTTATTGTCACTGGGCTTCCAGGCTGAAGGAATCTAGAAATAGGGTGCTTTGAGGCTCTGATTGATTGTCTATGGTATTTTGTACCAGACAGCAAGTATGAGAAAGAAGAACAGCTGTGCAATGACTATAATCAAATGCAAATACCTAGGAGTCTCCACAACAAAATAACAAAGACAGCAGAATGATGCTCATTTTGATCAATAATAACAGTCTCCCGCCCCTGAAAATTTTCACACACAATAATCACTGTTAAAGCTGTTTCCTTTTTGTCAAATTGAAACATTCAGTGTGTGGGTATGTTGCCTGATGGCATGCAGGCTCCTGATAAAGTATTAATCATGCAACTAAATGACCTGAGTCCCCAACCACATCATGTAAAATAACATCATCTCTTTAAAATTAATTCATTGAAAGAAACTTTAAAAAGAAGTGTGGAGAACAAAGTAGTTTATGCTGCTGCAGTGAGACCCTATTATAACAGGTTAACACTACAGTAGTATAGAATATACACCAATGCTGTTGGTGGTAGAAGTACTCCAGGAAGCTAACAAGTATCTGAGCATGCATCAAATTCCTTAGCTAGGAGTTGCATGGATCCTCTACTTTCTGCTTCTACTTTAATTCATTTATTCAGTAAATGTCTACTGAGCACCTACTATGTGACAACTGGTTGCACTACTTGTTGGACAACACCCTTTCACTAACATCTTACCTCTTCCAATGCATTCTAGACATGGCTACTAGATCAATATTGTAAAAACACACTTTGATTGTTTCATAAACCAGGCTCAAAAACATTTGTTGACATACCACTGCCTGCCAATATAATCCCAACACTTTATATTACATTTAGATCTCTGAGTAATATGTTTCTCTCCAACATTAGCTTGCACATTTTCCTCACTAGAGTGTAAGCTCTTTGGTTGCAGTTAGTTCATTTCAATGAAAATTTTTTTGAATATTTATCATGACCAGTGACTGTGCTAAGCATGGGGATAACATGGTGAATAAGACAGGAAGAATTCTTGTTATAGTGGAAGAGCCTGACATGAGAAACAAATACTCTCAATATAATGCGGTTAAGGGCAATAACAAAACCGAGCACAGGATACTCAGGAAGTACAGAGGAAGTGCTCATAATTCAGACCAGTTGTTGAAGGAAGTCTTCTTAAAGGGGTGCAGGCCCCACACCTTATTCAACTTGATGTTCCCAGTGTCTAGCACAATTCTTGGCACATAGTAACTTGAATAAATACGTAATCCTTACAATATAGTCAATTTGGAAGACTCATCTTCCCCAGTCTGCTGTTTTTCTATCCCTCTCCTCTTTGCCTAGAATACCCTATTTTTTTTTTTCACGACTATTTTTGCCTTTCAGAAGTTCAGTTCAAATGCCACCTGCTCCATGATGGCTTTCCTGATTACTGAAACCAGTAAATAAGCATGAAATCAGATTATCCTCTATGAGAGAAAATAACTGTAATTAGTTGGAAATGGTTACTGGCCATCCCCAGAAGTAGCTGAAAAGACCATCTTTAGTGTGCCCCTGACTTTCAAATAGAGTTCTCTAGCCTAGACCTCCACCCTGAGCCCTACATCTGCATATTCAACTGTTAACTTGGCATTTCCATTTGAATGTCACACAAGCAATTGAAACACAACAGGTCCCAAACAGAACTCATTATCTTTTTCATTCTATTTGTCTGTTTCTGTTCCAATGTTTTCTCTACCATTGCAATCCATCCAGTTGCTCAAGCTAGATCTGTGGGTGTCATCTTTGAATCACTCCACACTTGGTATTCGATCAGTCGCCAAGTTTTATTGATTCTACCCCCTAAATATTTCTCTCCATGTTCACTGTTACTGCCCACTATCACTTCTTGCCTGGAATACTGCAAGAGCTTTCTGTCTGGTCTCCCTGCCTCCAATCTTGTTTACTTCCAAATGCCACTCCAATCTGCAGCCAGAGTGATCAAAAAATGAAAAATTGAACAAGTCAGGCCCATCTTCAAAACACTTCAGCAAATTGTAATAGCCTTTAGGGAGAAGTGCAAAATCAGACAATGGCTTACAAGGCTTCTCATATTTAGACTCATCTCTCCCCCTTCTCTCTACCACTCTCCTCATTACTCATGTATTAGACTTCTTTCAGTTCACACTGAACAATTTCTCACATCATAGCCTTCAACCATGCTGTTTCCTCTGCCTGGGACACTCTTTTCTTGAATTTTTATGCGGCTGATTCTTATTTCTCCTCTAGATCTCACTGCTTCAGGGAGGCTTTCCTAATAAATTAAAGATAGCCATGGTCTTAATCTGTTGGGGCTTATAACAAAGTACCACAGACTAGGCAGCTTATAAAGAACAGAAATGTATTTCTAACAGTTCTGGAAGCTGGGAAGTCCAAGATCAAGGTGCTGGTAGATTTGGTGTCTAGTGAAGGTTCATTCCTCATAGACAGCACATTCTTGCTGTGTCATGATGGAACAGGACATGATGGAAGGGGCAAGGCAGCTCTTTGGGATCTCCTTTAAAAGGACACTAATCCCATCAATGAGGGCTCCACATCCCTGGAAGACCCCCCAGTCCTAACCGTATCACCTGTGGTTAGGATTTCAATAAATGAATTTTGGGGCTTGGGGACACAAACATTCGGACCATAGCAGTAGTTAATAAGATAATCCATCTCATTCTCCTGATTCTGGCTCCAAACTTACCTAGGAACCTCTTTGTAACAATAACAGGCTTGCCTGATTATATTTTTCTTTATCAGAGAGACTATGACATTATTTACATCTTATAACAAAAAAGAAAATTTTAAACCCCGATATTCTGATTTATGCATCATTCTGGGTAAGCTGATTTAGAAAAAACACCTTCACCTTGTCTCTCCCTAACTGTATAAATCACAACTGGAAATGATGTTCCCTCCCTCACCACTTTTATGTCATTTAGCTCATACTATGCCTGCCCTTCTTCCATACCTCAAAACATTGCATACATCTCATCTCCTCTATTAACAAGCAGATACATGAGCCTTCTACATTTCTGTGTAAATAGAATGTGTAGGTGCTCGATGAGTATTTGTTAACTGTAGTAAAACACATGAAATAATGAAATGACAGATCTAACCATGTTGATTCTATTTCCTACCTCTCTATCGCATGTGTTCTTCCTTTTCTAACACTATTGCCACTGCTGCCAGACTTTGATGATTCTCTCTGGATTACTGCAACAGCATCTTACTGGTACACAGTCCCTCTAATGCTACATTTTCCTCCTCAAGGTCAGTGTCCTTAAAACACTTCAACAAGTTTCTATTTACCTCAGCATAACAAACACATTCATTAAAATGCTTCCAAGGACCTTGATGATCTGGCCCCTGCTGACCTCTCAAGTCCTTGTCTCTCTCCCCTGCCCCTGTTCCTATCCTTCAGTCACACTGGGTCTACTTGCTGTCTCTTCTGTGCTCTGGTCTTTAATAACCCACATTATTGCACATTCCACTGGATCCACCTGGAACAACCCTGCACCCCCCCGCCCCTACATAATTTCCAAACATACTTTAAGACACAGTTCTAGAGACAATTCTGGAAAGCCTTCCTTGACCCTGCCTCACGTCACCCAGGCTGCCTTCTCGTCTCACTTTCTTAGCATCTGCTGCTAACTTCTATCACAGAACTTACCATATTCGTCCATCTTTCTGTTCACGTCCTCACTCCTTCTAACAGACAAAACTAAACCATGAACTCTTAAATGGTAGGGACCACATCTGTCCTGCTTACAATTGCGTCTCCAGGACATAGTATAATGCCCAGTATATACCAGGTGCTCAAGACACATTTGATGAATGAATGCTTTAGGGTGCTAGTGCTCTAGGCAAGGGATGGGCAGTTCCCAGAATATTGGAATAGAACATATCCAAATGTGAGGTCCTTGGACAATAAATAAGCAACCAAACTAGGCACCATCTAATAAGTCAAAAACTTTTATTACTTGCCCTCCCAACACAGTGGAGTCAGGAGACAGGAAAAAGACCACACATTTTATGTTCCTAGTGGTAAAAAATAAAAATAAAAATAGCCACAGCAGCAATAACAATCATTTATTAACTGCTTACTTTGGGCTCAGGCACTATAGTACATACCCTATGTAGATTATCTCATTTAAAATTCACAGTGATTCTATGAGGTAGGTACTATTAATTTTTTGCAGATGAGAACTTTAATGCTCAGGGTGGTTCGATATGTTTCCCATGGACCGCACAACTAGTAAATGGTAGAGCTTTGGTTCAATACCATTTCTGTCTGGCTTAAAACCCCAGGCACTTAACTGCTGCCCTGTATTGTCCAGAAAAGAGTTAAACTTTAAAACACAAAAACAGAAAGACGGTCATGCACAAACACAACACTGCTGAGGATGCCTGTAAGGAAAATCCAGAGCATAAGTTCCTCAACTTGTCTCCTTCCTGCCACTTCCTTTAAATCTGAATGAAAGAAGCCTCTAAGGAGATAAACTGGAGAGGTCAATGTACCATTGCTTTTCTAACATTTGAGACTCTGAAAATTTACTGGACAGTTTCCATTTAGGTTGTTTTTTCTATTTTTTGCTAACATCAGCTGCAGGCTTTTGTAGCAATATGGAGGGGGAACACTGGCCACAGGGATGGAGGAACTTGCCTGAGTCCTCCTGGGGACTGAGCCCCAGATGTGGATGAGAGGAGCAGGGGTAGCAAGAGAAACTTAGAGTATTAAGCTGTTCTTTCAAAGTGAGTGCTCTCCTACCTGCACCTTAAATAAGCCTTGGCCTGGCAGGGACACTGCAGTCAAATCTCAATCTCTCTCTCTCTTTCAATCCCCCCTCCCCGAATTTTCTTAAGAAGATTCTCAGCATGGACCATCTCTTCAGCGATACTGTTGAGTGTGAGGGTGGGCACATATTTTAATTCTTCTTACCCATGCCTCGTCCTTCATATTCAACTCCTATCTTCCTTGACTGTTTTAATTTTCCACTTTCCTTTATAATTTCTCACTTTCACATGCCAGTAATATACCAGAGATTAGGTATTTATGCTGTCACTTGGGCTACAGGATTTATTGTAGTAGAATGCATTTGGATGTAGGGGAGAATGTGAAACAATTGTAGTCACCCAGGAGAAAGGTGACCAGAATTCTAAACAAAGATTTGATTCTGAAAAAGGAGACTGAGAAAGTGCAGCAAAGGCCTTTTTTGGAAATCTTGTTTCCATATTCTATGTTGCTTATGTTTCATATGCTATCACAATCACAATTTAAAAACATGCAAAAAAAAATTAAGATGCTCTTAATTGAGAATAGTTGCTATTCAGACTATTGACAGAGAAATATAGATGCATGTGAAATCCTGCTGCAACAGATGATATTAACCATCTTATGTTAGATACTGGCAGAAGTGAGTCTAGTTTGATAGGGGCCCTCAGCTGTGGATTAGCCATCTTTGTGTTTGTCTCTCTAAAGAGATGGTATTTTAATAGTATTTGTTATAATAAGAATTGTCCTGAAGCAATCAAAATGTATCTAGTGTTCCTGGGATTGTGCTTTATGGTCTATGCCTTCATTATGATCATTCATTTATTAATGTGCTAAAAGGGGAATACTTTGCCATTAACAGAAGAAAATGGCAAAAAAGGGTTGTGACATTGGGCAAGCAGGCCTTTAATGGAGATGGGAAAGCATCAAATATCCTCCTTTCATTTGTCAGAGATAAATTCATTTTCAAATATATACCACTTCACTCTATTCAAAGGTACTGAAATAGGGCATTTCTTACAGGCCATTTTGAACACTAATTGCATTTAAATATTGGGGACGAAATCATTTAACCTGAACTGTATTTGTAGACAATTTTAAAACACATTTCCTCTCAAGAAAAAATGTAAAAAGAAAAATATGTCTAACGAATTTTTAAATGTATTAGGGATGAATACTGAAAGCAGGAATCATAACCAGAAAGAGAAATCTAAAAAGATGGAAAGAAGATAGAATTAAATCTCAAATAGCTGAATTATTGGGCTTAGAAGTTGCTATTTCAGAAAGATCCATTCAGCACAAAATGCTAATAATTACAGTATATGTCTGCCTGCTCATGGTTCTGTGGCTACCTGTGACCAGTCATCATTCATATACAGACAGAAGTCAGATTCTACTTTGCTCTCTTGGCTGTCTTAAGCAAATTACTGGCAAAGTATGAATGCAGAGACTACAAATGACTGGAAGAAGAGGTGAGTGGGGAATGATAACAAGTCAGATGAGGATAAGATAATCATAAGAAAAGAGAAGAGAAAACATGGCAACATTTTCCACTCTTAAAAATGTCTCCACCAACCTGGACTTTATTCCTAGGTTTAAATTAATAGATACAATGAATATATATCAAAAAGGCTTTAAAATGTACATGACCTTTGATCCAGAAATTCTACTTTAGGAATACCTCAGGTAAATTAATAAAGATGTGGTCCAAAACAGAGTTGTAATGAAGTTCGTTGCAGCATGATTTGTTATAGCAAAACATTGGAAACAACTTAAAAGTATATACAAAAGGATTTATTAAATTATGGCATGTCTATAAGATGGAATATTTTGCTGCCACTAAAATTATGATTTCTATTTTTATTGGCATAGAATATGATCATTATTGTTGAGAAAAAGGATTATAAAACGACCCACAGTATGATCCCTTAAAAGTATACATAGAAAGATGCCTGAAGAACATACAGCATTACCAGTAATTGCCTCTAAATGGTTTTTATTATGGGTGCTTTTTATCTTTTTTTTTTCTCCTTTTCCTTTTTCTTGTTTTCATTCTTTTTTCTTGTTTCTATGCTAAGATATTTCTGCCATGAATATACATTGGTTTTATTAACATAAAATTGTTAGGCAGGTCACCCAAGATGGCCGTTCCTCCAGGACCCAAGATGGCAGCACCAACCCCTTCTCCCCCCACCCCCGCCCCCCGCCCGCTTGGAATCTCCCACCAGATTTTCCTGCTGGACGGGCACTTTCAGATGACTGCAGCCCCGAGAAGTCGAAACCTATCCCAGAAAACCGAAACTTACTAAGCCCCTCCCCGCGTGCTCTATAAAAACCCTCTACTGCCCCAGTCGGGCGCGACTTCCCTGGCCCTCCTTGTTAGGACCAGTGAACCTCGCCCGAGAGCTCCATTAATAAAGCAGGTCGCCTCTGACCATTAGTCACCTAAATTCTGTGCGGTAGTTCTCATTGGATACCTGTCTTCCCAAGCCGGACATTGGTGCCAAAACCCGGGAGGAGACCCCTCTCTGACCCAGGGTCGGGGAGCATCTCCTCTCCCTACCTGCCAGGAACCAGACTCGGGCCAGCGCATTCGGCCTTTGCTATTGGGTAAGTCTCCCCTCCGTCCTGTAGGCCCCGGGAACCTCTGTCTGTAATCGCGGCCACTCAGAGTCTTCCCCCCATCAGTTTCCGACTACGGGACCGAGGACGCGGAGACGTCCGTCCTCCTCGGCCTCCGCCATCCGCGCTTCAAGGAAGGTTGGGGGATGCCCCTCCCTGACCTTGAATCGCCCGCCTCAGGACAATGGGAGGTGCCCAATCCAAAATTGATCCTAAGACACCCCTGGGGTGTCTCCTAGCCAACTTTGAAGCTCTAGGCCTCAGTATGGACCTTAAGCGGAAGCGACTCATTTTCTTTTGCTTGGTCGCTTGGCCGCAATACAAATTGGACAACCAATCTCGGTGGCCGCCGGAAGGAACTTTCGATTTCCAAATTTTACAGGACCTAGACAACCTTTGCAGAAGACAAGGCAAATGGTCAGAGGTCCCTTATGTACAAGCCTTTTGGGACCTACGCTCTCGTCCTGACCTATGTGCCAAGTGTTCCCTTGGACAGGTGTTACTGGCTAAGGCATCCCCCTCTAACAAAGAACCTGATTCCTCCCCTCTCTCCGAGCCTCCTGAAGCCCTCGCTTTACCACCATTGCCAGCGGCGCTCCCTCCTCCCTATCCAGGATCCTCTGGCCCCACCCCAACGGCTCCTCCGCTACCTCCTACACCACCTTCCTCTCCCGCTAACCCTCCCGCTTCTGCTCTGCCACCGCCTTCCCCTGTATCTGCGCACACTCGGTCGAAGACGGACCTCTTGTGTCTGCTCCGTGAAGTTGCCGGTGCGGAAGGCGTGGTCAGGGTCCATGTTCCCTTTTCTCTTACTGACTTATCTAAAATAGAGAAGCGGCCTGGGTCCTTCTCTGCCAACCCAACCCTGTATATCAAACAATTTAGGTACCTATGCCAGGCTTATGACCTCACCTGGCGTGACCTACATATTATCCTAACATCCACTCTGTCCCCAGAGGAGAGGGAGCGAGTCCAGGCGGTGGCTAGGCAACATGCCGACCAAATTCATTTAACTGACCCCGCCATGCCTGTCGGAACCCTAGCAGTACCGGCAGCCGAGCCGGACTGGGATTACCAAGCTGGTCAGACTGGCCGTCGACGCCGTGACCAAATGGTTCAGTGCCTTCTGGCAAGCATGCAGGCGGCTTCCAATAAGACGGTCAACTTTGACAAATTACGGGAGATTATTCAAGGGTCTGACGAGAACCCAGCAGTTTTCCTTAACTGCCTTACTGAGGCCCTCATCCAGTATACCCGCCTTGATCCCACCTCCCCGGCAGGGGCCACTGTCTTGGCTACTCATGTCATTTCCCAATCAGCGGGAGATATTCGGAAAAAACTAAAAAAGGTGGAGGAAGGCCCTCAAACCCCAATACAGGACCTAGTTAAAATGGCCTTCAGGGTCTATAATTCCAGGGAGGAGACGGCTGAGGCCCAAAGACAGGCAAGGCTAAAGCAGAAGGTACAGTTCCAGACCCAGGCCTTGGTAGCTGCCCCGCGGCTGGCCGGCTCCGGGAGCCAACCGAAAGGGGGTTCCGGCCACCGAGCGCCACCTGGTGCCTGCTTCAAGTGTGGGAACGAAGGCCACTGGGCCTGACAATGCCCGTACCCTAAGGAACCGACCCGACCATGCCCTAACTGCCACCAGATGGGACATTGGAAGTCTGAGTGCCCCAGCGTCGGAGCGTCCACAGTGCCTCTACGCTGTGAAAACTCCGAGACGACCGGTGGCGCCTTCCAATTACTCAGCATGGACGACGACTGAAGAGGCCCAGACTCGGGAACCCCCCTCACTCTTGCCGAGCCCAGGGTAACGCTCCAGGTAGCAGGTAAGTCCATATCTTTTCTCGTGCATATGGGGGCTACCTATTCTGTTTTGCCTTCCTTCGGCGTGTCCAGTTTCCCGTCCCCGGTCACGGTAGTGGGGATTGACGGTACCCCTTCCACCCATCGTCAGACCCCCCCCCCATTGTCTTGCCGGCTGGACGACACTCTCATCTCCCATTCCTTCCTCATTATCCCTTCCTGTCCCGTCCTGCTCTTCGGAAGGGACTTGCTGTCTAAGTTAGGGGCCTCCATTCGGTTGCACCCCAGCCTCCCCTCCAGTGCAATCTCTTTGCTTCCTCTGCTGGCACTTAGCGATGACACTCCTTCGCCGATCCCATTGCTCCCTGTGCCCGTTGATCCAATAGTATGGGACATCTCAACCCCCTCCATCGCCCGACACCATGCCCCAATAATGATCAAACTCAAGGACCCTACCAAATTTCCCTCGCGGCCACAATTCCCCATCTCAGTTGAACACCGCCAAGGGTTAAAACCTATCATCACCAGGCTCTTGCAACAACACATCCTTATCCCGGTAAACTCCCGTTGCAACACGCCCATTCTGCCCATCCGTAAGGCCTCTGGTGCGTACCGTTTAGTGCAAGATCTTCGCATCATCAACGAGGCTGTCGTCCCCATTTTTCCTGTAGTGCCTAACCCATACACTCTCCTATCCCGCATTCCTCCGACCACCACCCATTTCACGGTCCTTGACCTCAAAGATGATTTCTTCACTATCCCCCTCCACCCTGACTGTTACTTCCTGTTCGCTTTCACCTGGGAAGACCCTGACACCCATGTCTCCTCGCAATTTGCCTGGACCGTTCTCCCGCAAGGCTTCCGAGACAGCCCTCACCTCTTTGGACAGGCTCTAGCTAAAGACCTCAGTACATGCACTTTGGCCGACAGCACCCTTCTCCTGTATGTTGATGACCTTCTCCTTTGCAGTCCTTCCCTGTCTGTCTCGCAGCAAGATACAGCCACAATCCTTAATTTCTTAGGAAAACAAGGGTATCGAGTTACCCCTCACAAAGTTCAGCTCTGCACCCCGACAGTCACATACCTAGGCATTTCTCTCACCGCCACCACCAAAAGCCTCACCACAGACCGAGTTAGCCTCATTAAAGACCTCCAACTTCCCCAGGACGCAGATAAGATCCTCTCCTTCGTAGGGCTAGTAGGGTTCTTCCGGCACTGGATCCCAAACTTCGGGGTCTTAGCTAAGCCCCTGTACCAGGCGGCGAAAGAAACACCCACCAGCCCTCTGTCTGATCCCGCCCTAGTGGCCCGCCATTTCCACCGGCTGCAGCAGTGCTTACTCACAGCTCCAGTTGTATCCCTGCCGAACCCCCTGCGGCCTTTTCATCTCTACACAGATGAACTGCAGGGAGTTGCTACTGGCCTACTAGGGCAACCGGTAGGACCCACCTATCAGGTGGTGGCTTACCTTTCCAGGCAGCTTGATCCCAGCACTCGGGGCTGGCAGCCCTGCCTGCGGGCCTTAGCAGCGGCGGCAGAGCTTACCAAAGAGGCCCTCAAACTTACTCTCAGTCACCCACTCACAGTATACTCCCCGCACCGCTTGACAGATGTACTCTCTCACAAATGTCTGGCCCATCTGGCGCCCTCCAGAATACAGCTGTTTCATGTGCTCTTTGTCGAAAACCCAGATATCACCCTGACCGCCTCACCACCTCTTAACCCTGCTACACTTCTTCCCATAGAAGCCTCTGAGCCCCCTCCTGTCCTGTCGCATTCTTGTCCCGAACTCCTTACCTCTAACCCCAACTCCCGACTTGGCCTCTTCGATCGACCGCTTTCTAATCCTGACAGCACTCTGTTTGTCGATGGCAGCTCAGTCCTCACCCCTTGCGGTAGGCGACAGGCAGCTTACGCCGTAGTCACCCACGACAAAACAGTGGAGGCGGCAGCCCTACCCCTTGGGACCACTTCGCAGAAGGCTGAACTCCTTGCTCTTACCAGGGCTCTACTCCTCTCTCAGGGACAGCGGGTCAACATTTACACTGACTCCAAGTATGCGTATTCTCATTGCACACACGCATTCTGTTCTCTGGCAGGAGCGAGGTTTCCTTACTATGAAAGGGACTTCAATCGTCAACGGGCCTCTTATCCATAAACCCTTAAATGCCTTACAGGCGCCCCGAGAGGTGGCGATCATACACTGCAAAAGTCACCAGCACTCAAAAGACCCTGTTGCTCAAGGAAATAATCTAGCCGACTCTACTGCTAAGTCTCTTGCTCTTACTTCTGCCCCTGCCCCAGCTCCCGCAATGTTCCTGTCCGGTTCACGCACCCCTGCCTATTCTCCACAGGAGACCTTCCACCTCATTTCCAACTTAAAAGGAATGACCGACCAAGACGGTTGAATCTGGGTCGATAACCGGATTGCCCTCCCCGAATCCCAGGCTCAGGCTATTATTACCGATGTGCACAAGACCCTACTCATAGGCCCAAAACTCTTACATCAGTTCTTAGAACCAATTTTTCTATGCCCCGGCCTACAGTCCCTCATTCACCAGGTACACCAAACCTGTGCTGTCTGTTCAACAGTCAACACACAAGGAGGACTTAGGCGCCCAGGGCCCCATCACCAGCTCCGCGGGCATCAGCCAGGAGAGGACTGGCAGCTAGATTTCACCCACATGCCGCGGCACAAGCATTACCGCTACCTTCTTACTCTTGTAGATACCTTCACAGGCTGGATTGAGGCCTTTCCCACTGCACGTGAGACAGGAGAAGTCGCAGTCTCTGTCCTGCTAGAACATATCATCCCTCGCTTTGGACTTCCCCGATCCCTGCAATCAGACAACGGCCCCGCGTTCGTCTCAAAAATCACTCAGCAAGTATCCGAGTCGCTCCGCGTCACATGGAAGCTCCATATCCCTTACCGCCCTCAATCCTCTGGTAAAGTAGAAAGGGCTAACAGCCTCCTCAAAGAACACCTTACAAAACTTACTCTTGAAACAAAGCTGTCGTGGGTCACCCTCCTACCATTGGCCCTGACCCGCCTCCGGGCAGCTCCCAGGGGCCCCACAGGGCTCAGCCCCTTCGAACTTCTCTACGGACGCCCCTTCCTACTTCCTGGTCTTCCCCCCACTGTTTCGCCCCCTCCCCTCGCGTCCTATCTTCCTTATCTGACCCTCCTTCGCGACCTTCTCCGCAAGCACGCGGACGCCTGCCTCCCCGAACCTACCCCCTCCTCCCCGGACGCCCCTGTTGTGCTCTCTCCAGGTGATAGTGTCCTCCTTAAGGAACTACAGTCCAAGACCTTGACCCCGCGGTGGTCAGGCCCTTACACCGTGATCCTCACCACTCCGAGGGCCACTAAGTTACTAGGTCTACCATCCTGGTATCATTTGTCACAGTTGAAGAAAGCACCGACTCAGCACGACTGGTCCTCAAAACTCACCCCAACCCGGCTTCGTATCACCCATGGCCAGACCTTCCCCACTATGCCTCCTACTCCTCCTGACCCTCCTAACCCCCATAGTGCCCAGTAACTCCCTCCTAACTGAACCCCCGTTCCGATGGAGGTTCTACCTGCATGAGACTTGGACCCAAGGCAACCGGCTCTCCACTGTCACACTGGCAACGGTGGACTGCCAACCTCACGGTTGTCAGGCCCAAGTAACTTTTAACTTCACTTCCTTTAAAAGTGTTCTGCGGGGCTGGTCCAATCCCACCATCTGCTTTGTCTATGATCAAACACACAGCAACTGCCGCGACTATTGGGTGGACACAAACGGAGGATGCCCCTATGCCTATTGTCGTATGCATGTGACCCAGCTCCATACCGCCAAGAAACTCCAACACACCTATCGCCTGACATCTGATGGAAGGACAACTTACTTCCTGACCATCCCAGACCCATGGGATTCTCGGTGGGTCAGTGGAGTCACTGGTCGACTGTACCGGTGGCCCACCGACTCCTACCCAGTTGGCAAACTCCGGATATTCCTGACTTATATACGAGTTATCCCCCAGGTTTTGTCTAATTTAAAGGACCAAGCAGACAACATTAAGCATCAGGAAGAGGTCATCAATACTTTGGTGCAGTCCCATCCGAAGGCTGACATGGTCACCTATGATGACAAGGCTGAGGCAGGACCGTTTTCATGGATAACCCTAGTCCGCCACGGGGCTCGCCTTGTTAATATGGCAGGCCTAGTTAATCTCTCCCACTGTTTCCTTTGCACCGCCCTCAGCCAACCACCACTAGTAGCTGTACCCCTACCCCAGGCTTTTAACACCTCTGGTAACCACACTGCCCACCCTTCCGGCGTCTTCTCTGAGCAGGTCCCTCTTTTCCGAGACCCCCTCCAGCCCCAGTTCCCCTTCTGCTACACCACTCCTAACTCATCCTGGTGCAACCAGACCTATTCTGGCTCCCTATCTAACCTCTCTGCACCGGCAGGTGGCTACTTCTGGTGTAACTTCACCCTTACAAAACATCTTAATATTTCCTCTAACAATACCCTTTCTAGAAACTTATGCCTCCCCATCTCTCTGGTGCCTCGACTCACTCTGTACAGCGAGGCTGAACTCTCTTCCCTTGTCAACCCGCCTATGCGTCAGAAGCGGGCCGTTTTCCCACCGCTGGTAATAGGTGTCTCCTTGACCTCCTCACTTGTTGCCTCCGGGCTGGGCACAGGTGCTATTGTACATTTCATAAGCTCTTCCCAAGATCTCTCTATTAAGCTCCAGATGGCCATCGAAGCCTCAGCCGAATCCTTAGCCTCTCTACAGAGACAGATTACGTCTGTGGCCAAGGTGGCCATGCAGAACCGGAGAGCCCTAGATCTCCTCACAGCCGACAAAGGCGGAACCTGCATGTTTCTCGGGGAAGAGTGCTGTTATTACATCAATGAATCAGGCTTAGTAGAAACCAGCCTCCTCACCCTTGATAAAATCCGGGACGGTCTCCATCGACCCTCCTCAACTCCCAACTATGGAGGAGGGTGGTGGCAATCCCCTTTAACCACTTGGATTATCCCTTTCATAAGCCCCATCCTAATCATTTGCCTTTTACTTCTCATAGCCCCCTGTGTCCTCAAGTTCATCAAAAACCGCATCAGCGAAGTCTCCCGGGTGACGGTCAACCAAATGTTACTACACCCTTACTCCCGTCTTCCGACCTCCGAAGACCACTATGACGACGCCCTCACTCAGCAGGAAGCAGCCAGATGATTACGTCGCCCCTTTTTCTTACAGTATGAGGTCGGAATGTTAGGCAGGTCACCCAAGATGGCTGTTCCCCCAGGACCCAAGATGGCGGCACGAACCCCTTCTTCCCCGCCCCCCCCACCGCTTGGAGTCTCCCACCAGATTTTCCCGCCCGACGGGCACTTTCCGATGACAGCAGCCCCGAGAAGTCGAAACCTATCCCAGAAAACCGAAACTTACTAAGCCCCTCCCCACACGCTCTATAAAAACCCTCTACTGCCCCAGTCGGGTGCGACTTCCCTGGCCCTCCTTGTTAGGACCAGTGAACCTCGCCCGAGAGCTCCATTAATAAAGCAGGTCGCCTCTGACCATTAGTTACCTAAATTCTGTGCGGCACTTCTCATTGGATACCTGTCTTCCCAAGCCGGACAAAAATGAATAAAACAAAATTTGTTTTCGAATGGTTTAGTTGCCAAGGCAACACTAGTTCCAGAAACTCAGAATGCCCCTTTGTATGATTATGTGCAAGTACATACCTCCGTTGAGCCTCAGTTTACTCATTTGTGATATGGAATAAAAGCACCTATTTTACAAGGTTGCTGAGAGGATTCGATAAGACCAAGTGCGTCAAAGTGGCTGGCACAATGCTCAGCATATTGATGAGTTCAGTAAACACCGAGTCTACAACTGAATAATAGGTCAATAATCTGTATTTCACATGAGCATCAATAAACTAGAAGATTTGTATATTCTATTATTTAGATAGTGAGGGAAATCTGTTCTTCAAACATAAACAAGGTAGGTTCCAACATGGGGTATAGCGAGGCTACTCTTACTCTGTGTCTTGAGACTTTGTGGAATGTGAAGATTTGGAAGGGCGTGGCCAGACAAGCTAAGATTAATCCAAGCACCTACTTCACCAGCAGACACCAGAGCCCACGACCTCCCTCATATGAGTGCAAAGACAGAGTAGTACAACAACACATGGTTTGCTCATTCCTTGTTAAAATGGAAAATGTCAACTAAAAATAATTTTCTTTAAATACTACCATTAACAAAACCCAAGAGTTTTGAGCAAACAGATGTTTAAAAAGAAACTTATTTTCTAAAGTGTAACTGGGACAATGTAACCAGCCAAATTGCTATATATTCAGTTGCCAAGACACTGATATTGGCAAGTTCTATATTGCTCTCTATTGGTAGATGGAAGAAACTCCAGATAATGAATGAAGAGCAAATGGCACTTCTGAACTAGAGCAGAGTGGTTTCCTTAGTCATTTAACAAATATTTATAGAGCATGTAAATATTTGGAATGCTCTGGTAGGCACTAATGGCAATGGGATTAGGACCCCTGCCCTCAAGGAATTTCACATGAGAAAGGTGAATTAAAGTAGATTAGCTATCAAGAAACCTCAGTTCCATTTAATGTTCTGTTTAAGAGTGACTTGCATATGTCACACAACAACGCAGTGCCTTGGTTTCTCAATTTTTAAAATATGGAAAACTATATTGCTTTTCTTGAGGACTAAATATATGAAGAATTTGAAATTGTTTCAAGCTTTTGCTGGAAAAAGCTTTTTTTGGAAAATACTGAGATTTTTTTTCCAGGCAATATTATAAGAAAATGCAGTATTTTCCTTTATCCTTGTTTCTTCCTTGAGAAGTCTTAGAAATTACCAACAACAGCAACAACAACAACAACAACAACAACAACAACAACAAATGCTCCAATTTTTAAATCGGTTAATCTTCATTTGAAGGGTTTTTTCTTCTCTTTATTTTTTCATTTTACAGTCTGTTCATCTTTAGCCCTCATGTGTATATTTAAATACATCATTGTGGAATTGCAAATGTGTAGTTTGTTTATTTCTCTTTGCTCCCAAATTGCTCCCCAATCCAGTTTATTTTTCAAAAGCAATTTAAAGGTGCATCTTTCAGTGGGTTAATCTAGGCAATCTGTTTGTTGGTTCTGTTCTCTCAACTGTTGAGTAATAGTTATTGGATTATTCAAAAGGGAGAGAGTTGGCTTATTTCAAATAACATGGGCAAGATTCTCGTTTCACATGGTTGTGCCAGTGCACCTGACAACCCACCAGCAACACATTCCTTTCTCCATACTCTGGCATCTCTTGGCTACCCTCCACTGAGCCAGGTCCAACAGACTTCATTGATGACTCAGTGAAGAACATAAACATATATTTGGCTAAAAACAGGGGTGAAATTCATCTTTTAAAATTTTAAGTAAGGTCCAAATTGTAGTTTACAAAAATAAAAGTCTAATATTTTAGTTCATGTATTCATAATTCCATATGGTGGCCAACAGGTCCAACATACTGTGACTTCCACCTCCCTGACTGTCCTTAACTTGGATTACTCTCTCGCTTGCCCATTACGCTTAAGTCACACTGTCTTTCTGTTTCTGGAACACACCAAGCTCATTTCCTCTCCAGGGCCTTTGCTCATTACACTTGTTCCCTTTTCCTGGAATGGTCTCCTCTTCTTCCTCAAATTACCCCCTATGCCCCATTATCAATTTAACACCTACTTATCCTACAGCTCTTAGCCCAAACGTCATTTTCTCTGGAAGGACTTTCCTGACTTTCCAGATCAAGTTCTCCTCTTACATTTTTATGAACTGGAAGAAAGCCAGTGTAGCTTCAGCATATGATACAAGAGTGGCAGTGGTGCAAATACCTGACACTGGGTGATTTATAAAGAAAAGAGGCTTAACTGACTCACAGTTCAGCATGGCTGGGGAGGCATCAGGAAGCTTACAATCATGGTGGAAGGCACCTCTTCACGGGGTGGCAGGAGAGAGAATGAGAATTGAGTGAAGGGGGAAACCTTTTATAAAACCATCAGATCTCATGACAACTCACTCACTATCATGAGAACTCACTCAGTATCATGAGAACAGTTTGGGGGAAACTGCCTCCTTGATTCAATTATCTCCACCTGGTCCTGCACTTGACACGTGGGGATTATTACAGTTAAAGGTGAAAATGGGTGGGGACACAGAGACAAACCATATCAGAGAGATAGGCAGGAGACAGACCAAGCAGGGCCTTGTAGAACTAGGTGACACTTTAGTTAGTAATAGTGTAGGAACAGTGGAAAGCCATTCAAGAGAGTGATCATATTTGTGTTTTGAAAAGGTCACTGTGTCTACTCTATGGAGAATCTGCTTAAATATGGGAAATGGGGGGTACAAAAGGAAACCAGTTAGGAGGCCATTTGCGGTAGTCTAGGGAGGAGAAAATGGAGACTTGGACCAGGGTGGTGACCATGGAGGTAGGGTGAAGTTAGTAAATGCCAGACATATTCACAAAGTAAATTAATAAATCTTAATGGATTAGATTTGGAGAGTGAAGGAGAAGGTGGTGTCCAAGATGATACCCTGTCCTGGGTTGGGCAGTTAGATGGATGGTAGAAGAGTAGCTCTTAAAGGTATGTGACCGTGTGTGGTGGGGGTAGGGTGGGAAGTTGGAGAGGACAGTGGTAATGCTGTGGGCTGGCTCTAGATTTTAGTTTTAAACTAAAGTTTGTAAAGTGCTTAGTAGAATGCTTTATTATACTATTACAGCGTCATAATAATTATAGCTTATACTTACTGAACATGTACTTGTGCCAGGCACTGTTTTACATGCTGCACATATATTAAGTCACTTAGACATCAATAAATGATAATGTTTATGATTCCATAATTATCATTATCATTATTGCAATATATAGTGCCTGTCTTTCTGGACAGAGTTAGATAACACAAGCAATTTCTTTCTAGCCAATTCTCCTTTTTATAGACTTCATGCAGGCAACTACCACAGAGTATAGGCACATTCTTCAGATAAGTTAACAATGCAATTGATGAGATTATACCTTTATTTAGATCTTTTCTAACCCTGAGGGACCGGGCATTTCCCAGGTGTGTAACTCATCTAAAAGTCTGTACTCAGAGTGGGCTATTTTAGTCTGACTGTTGGTTTCTATTATCTTCATTCTTATAAAGTGATTATATCTGACATTACCCTGAAATAATTTTTTGTGGCTATTTACTAAAGCCACATATGTACTGACTAGAGTATTCTTGCCCAATCTAGGACAAAGAGCTTGATGGGGTTAAAAATTAAATCTCAACTTTTTGGAAAATCCACTCAACTGAGACCAAACTGGCAGTATTTTTATTTTATTTTATTTTTTTAAATTCAGTTTTATAAACTGAAGGCAGAAAGCCTCTTAGAGCTGTCCTCTGACCTACATGCTGAGAAGTCAGGGGCATCAAAATGCTTATGTATAGCTCATTTGGGGGGAACTTGCAAACTAGCTGGACTAGTTTATTCTGATGAAATTATCAAGGTCTGAGAAGTTTACACAGGTATTCTGGAAATTGATTCAAATTGGCAGGTTACATGTTGATATCGCTTTAAATCATTAGCACTGCCTTTGCCTTATTTGGGAATAGATCTGTATTTGTCTGTTAAGAAAGGAATTAAAAAAGAGACAATGTTGTTTTTATTGTGCAAGATAACATCGTCATCAGCTATTCATTGCACTGAACAAGCAACAGTGTGTCTTCCTCTTTCACCTCGATTTTAGGTGGAAACACTTAGGCAAACAAACAAACAAACAAAAAGTGGCATTAGAGATGGTCTTCCAATTTTCTTGGAGACATTAAACATGGAAGCATAAATTACCGTAAAGGCTTGTGACCACTTCATTTGGTTTCAAAATCTATTGATGTGATCCCAGAACTTTAAATGTTGTCAAGGGTAAGGAAACAGAAAAGTAGGCATGACTAAAATAACTAACACACTGAAGTGATAAGTGAGATTTGAGATGCAGTACAGTCCATGGAGTTCAGCTCAGGCTCACTAGGCACATTCACCCCCCGTTTATAAAACAATCAGGAAAAACCTCCTGTAAATGAGGGACTGCCAAAGAAGACACTTGTTGGGATTTCTATGCAAGGAAAGCTCCTCGATTCACAGAGGAGAAGATGATACAGGAGGCTGAGTAACTATAGCTGCCAAAAAACAGGATAAATAGCAAGTCACAATTGGACTCTTTGCAACATACAGCAACAGGAAAAGCTGCCTTATTCTCTTCCTGATGGCAGTGGCACCTTGGAGCTACTCACTCCACCAGGGGAGAAAGCTGATGGAGCCCAAGAGGCAGCCTGTGCCCTTGCTCTTAAGTTGATTTGCCCAGCCAGGCAAATGCACGTGGGAGGTTTGACTTTGTCGTTCACACTGGTCCAGATGGTGCTGTCCAAAACCAGAATCTCTGGGCCATTGGAGCAGCATGGAGAAGCTTTCAGCTCCCCCTGAATCAAATTCTGGCTCTTGCAGCAGGCAAGTCATGGAAGAGTGCCAAACTTTCCAGCCAAAAAGCTCCTGAATTCTCTTTCTTTCTTACTTTCATCCAAGTCTTCCTTTGAAATATTAGAGTTGTAAAATGTGAGTTTTAAAAAAGAAGCTTCTTTTCATTTTAAAGACTATTTCTGATGCCTTGAATCATGACATCACCAGAAATTAAGTCTTAAAATAAAGGAAGCTCTTAATTTACATTTTCCTTCAAACTGCAGTTGATTTAGAAATAAATGCCTGTGCTGGAAATGCAGAGTACAGCTTGTAAATGATTTTTTTAACTGATAAGCTCATCATAATTTTATATGGCTTGCCAACTGGTACTAGCTGAGCCCTGTCACTGGAACAGGGTTTACAAGTGACCCTTTCATACCATACCATAAGGGTTTTAATTCACAACTTGCAGAACTGCCTTCGCCTCCCTTTTGATCCTGTGTACTTTGTATTATGTCTGGATGATCATCTCTACCAGACAATAAGCTCCTTTGAGGGCAGGGGCTGTGCCTTAGTCATTTTTGTATCTCTCTACTCTCCCTCCTCCCAACCCAGCCTAGTGCTTTGCAGAGTAAATACTTTAAAATGTTTGCCAAATATAGGCAACATTTTATTCTAGTCACTTATGTCACCCTGTACGGCAACTTGATGTTTTTTTATTTTTTAATCTCGCATCACAAGCTAAGAGAGTTAGGTGGTTTTCTGTAGTGCAGCCCAAAGCGATATCTCAGAAACAGAGTCCTGTAAATCAGATAGAGAAGGGATAGAAAAAGTGCTATCAGGTGGTTCAGGCTGGTGCCTAATTTTCATTAAGTTCATTGCCACATTCTCTTGACAACTTTAAGGTCTGGGCTTCTGAGGAAAGACCCATTTTCTTGTTTGGGAAGAGAAATTATCACTACTATTATTTCACTTGTCAAAATTAAGTAAAATATTTATCACTTTTGTGAACATCACCATTATGCAGAGAACCTCCATGAGCCATACAGGCTTTTCTTTAGCCCAGATTCAGGTGTCACCTCTTTGAAGAAGCCTTCTGTGATTGTTCTGGCCTGTGTTTATTTGTCTCTTCTGTAACCATTTATAGCACTGTACAGCATACTTTGGAATTTAATAGACTACCAATATTGCAAGCTCTTGAGGGCAGAGCTGTCTACTTTTTTCATTCCCTCAACATCTCCTAACATGGGGATAGATTCTATAGTAGCCAATACTTCATGCATACGACTCTGGAATCTATTATTCTCAGCCTACCATCTCTATCATGCACTAGTCCTCCTGATAGTTCCATTTGGATGACCTCACATTATTTCCAATCCAACATACTTACAATGAACTCATACATTTCCTTAAAACTAGCTTCTCAATTCCTTAGTTTCTTTGAGCCACCTAGGCCTTAAACATCACTGTAACCTTTGACTCTCCTCCCCCTTCCTTTTTCTTCACATCTAATCATATCTCTAGAATGCTTGCCTCTCAATTTTTTTCTTCCCATTTCTACCTGCTGCCAACTCCCTAATCCATCCTTTATCATCTCACACTTAGACTACTGCAGTAATCTAATCTTAAGTCTCAACTTTACACCCTGAAATCACCTCTTCGCCACTAGATTTATTTTCCTAAAACTCTGCAAGAATATATTTTTCTTGCTCAGAATTTTGCTTGTAATTGTTCCTCAAGTGGCTTGTCACTACCTTCAAAGTTGAAGGCCAAACTCCTTGGCTTGGCTTCAAGGATATTCTACATATAGCCTGAAACAAACAACTTTTCTTTTCTTTTCTTTTTTTTCTTTTCTTCCTGTCTCTTTCTCCTTCCTTCCTTCCTTCCTTCCTTCCTTCCTTCCTTCCTTCCTTCCTTCCTTCCTTCCTCTCTCTCTCTTTCTTTCTTTTCCTTTTTTTTTTTTTTTTTAACCACAAAGTCTCACTTTGTTGCCCAGGCTGGAGTGCAATGGCGTGATCCCAGCTCACTGCAACCTCCACCTCCCAGAGCTCAAGGGATCTTCCCACCTCAGCCTCCTGAGTAGCTGGGACCCCAGGCGCATGCCACCATGCCCAGCTAATTTTCATGTTTTTTGGTAGAGACAGGATTTCGCCACGATGGCTAGGCTGGTCTCGAACTCCTGACCTCAGGTGATCCACCTGCCTTGTCCTCCCAAAGTGCTGGGATTACAGGTGTGAGCCACTGCGCCCAGCCCAATATTTCTAAATATATCTCATGATTCCCTGGTAAGAACCAAATGAATCTAATTAATGTTCTAAAATATGCTCTGCATATTCCCTTGATTATACTTTTGTTTCTGTTGTTTATTCTGTTAGGAATGTTATTCATCTTCCTCTGCCAATATAATTATCTGTTCTTTTAGATGCAACTCCAGAGTTAAACACAATCCTTGGCACAATAATGATCTACTGAATGAATGTGTAGACTCAAGTCCCACTTCATCTAGAAATCATTCCTACTCACTTGAGCCCATAATGATTTTTTTTTTTCCTTTTAGGGTTTATGTTACATGATTATCTCCACTAATAATTTGGCACTTGGCAAATTTCCCTCCTATTGTTTAATTTGAATATGTCTTTCTAGCCAACTGTATACTAAACTCCTTTTGGTTAAGTATTCTATCTTTTACATTTTATACCTCTCACTTAGCCAGTTGCAGAATCTCATGTGTAGTCAGCTGACAATATACATGTTCTCTTAGTCTGTTTGGTGTTGCTAAAAAGGAATACCTGAGGCTGGGTCATTTATAAAGAAAAGTAGCTTATTTAGCTCATGTTTCTGCTGGCTAGAAAGTTCAAGATTTGGCATCAGGTGAGAGCCTTAGGCTTCTCCCACTCATGAAGAAAGGGGAAGGGATCCAGCATGTGCAGAGATCAAATGGCAAAAGAAGAAACAAGAGAGAGGGGCTAGGCTCTGTTTAACAACCAGGTCTTCTGGGAAGGAATAGAGTGGGAACTAACTCATTGCTCCCTGCCCTCACAAACAGGGAGAGCATTAATCTATTCATGATCTAACCCCATGACCCACATATCTCCCACTAGGCCCCACCTCCAACATTGGGGATCAAATTTCAACATGAGATTTGGAGAGGACAAACATCCAAACTATAGCACCTGTGTAGATTACTCACAGGTGCTCAACAAATTGTTGTTGTCAAATCAAATATGGAAGTAGGGATAGTAATACTGACTGAAACTTTTTAGTCTTCTTGTCTCCTGTTAATTGATTTACTCCTCTCCTTCAGAGCCTTTATATTTTTAAAGTCAAAATTGATAGTATTTAACAATGTTTTGCTGCAGCCTTTAATTTTCCCAGGCTTTTAAGGTAATAGACTTCTGAGATGATATTATATGAATATCTTTAGATTATATATGATGAAATACAGCAAAAGTTAAACTTACACTACTGGAAGAAACAACAACAACAGCAACAACAACACTAATGGACTACAGCATAGTTGACCTTGTACTTCAGTGACCTTTGATGACTAAACAATGTATCAGTTTGATCATTTACAAATCGTCAAGACGGTAAAAATGAAACAAATCAACCCTACCAATCTTATCTGCCATGCAAATTGTAAAACAGCAGAACACGTCCAATCTTTGTAATTATGTATCTGAATAAAAAGTGAAACTATAGTTAATGCCTAAAATGCTTTGTGTAGATTTTGGATACATCAAGAGGGATGGCAACTCCCCTGCTCATATATAGCTAAGGACACACAGCTTCAAGGTATCCATTTAATCTTCACTTTGAAAATAGATGTTATTAATTTCAATGAGTACATATGCCCTGTAAACAATTAGAAATATCAGTAAGACTAAGTATGATTCATTATTAAGGGAGAGTCTAGTGAGGAAAGGGAAAGTAAGACAATGTATTGCAAACTTTTTAGAATAGGTGATCCTTAATACTCATTTCCTGTTATTTTTATAAATATCTAAGAAACATTTCAGCTGATGCAAAGAACAGTAATAAAGGTACAATGTGGCAAAGTTTAAGGACTCAAATGTGCGCCCATCATATGAAATTCTAGAATTCTTAGTTTATAATTTAAATAGGTGCGTATGTGTGTGAATATGTGAGTGTGTCTGTGTGTGTGTAATTTGTTTTCATGCTTACAAGAAAAAGAGAGAAAGAAAAGGTAAAACAGCAAAAAGATCTTAGTCATTGTGCATTTGGTTGTAAATAATATAAATCCACTAAAATTAGTATAAATAAAAAAGTGGAATTTGTTGTAAGAAACAGAGAATCTCAAGGAAACCGGATTGAAAGAGTAGTTTGGTCTTCATGAGAAACTGGAAACAATGGCTGGAAAGCTGTCAAGAAACTGGGCAACTTCTCTCTCTTTTACCCCTCTCTCTCCAGATTGACTTTCATGATATCAGCAAATACAAAAACCTAGACTTCTTTACAGCCTCTGAATTTCTATGTTCTCAGTTCAACTGAACAGCAGAGGCTGAGTCACAATCTCTGAATTACAAGTCCAAATTCCTAAGAGAAGGATGTGATTGGTACACTTTGAAGTAAATGTTTACCTTAACCTGATCAGCTATGGTTTAGGGGAGGGCCCAAAAGAAAAATCAGCACAGCTTAGGTCAAATGTTACCACATGTCCAATCATCTTTGGCTCAGAGGCAGAGATGGTATCATATAAATGGTACATACACAGCACCTGAAGTTCATCCCTGTTGAAGGATTGTGGGAAATGGAGTCATGGGATTGGCAGACACCCTAAAAAAATGAATATAATGGCCAGTGACAGGGGATAGTAAAGAGGGAGGAGAGATAGAAAAGAAGGAAGAGGGAGACATTTAACCATCTTACTGTTATACAGTCATTTATTTTTGATATATTTAATACACAATCCAGGGCAATTGCTATTTCTTATTGTTTTATTATTTATTGTTACTATTCTGCTTACATTATCTGATAAACTTTTTAAAACCTCATACGCTAATAATTTATGCATAATTATAATTCACTGGCAGTTTATTTTACACGTAATCTAATTTTCCATTCTAAATAAAACATCTAAATGAAAACTTAAATAGGTGTTTTATATACTCATTAACAGAGTATGTAAAAATCAAGATGGTGCCTAGAATCCTGTATGCAGTGCCCTACTTCGGTGAGGCAGAGTTTATCAATTAACATGCAGTTTCCTTACATTAAAAAAGAAATGTTCATATCTATTAGCTGGAATTAAAAAGGCATATTTGTAAGATAAAATAGTTTTGCATATAGTTCTGTAGCATCTATATTTTACTATGCTTGTATTTGAAAGTGCTAACTTTTCCTTCAGATTCATTAGAAGTGTATTTTAAATTAACCGAATTGTTGCATCTTTTTTTTTTTTAAACAATATCCTCTATGAGTTTTGTCACTAGGTGTTGAATTTTACTAGCTCTGTCAGTCTTACGGAACAGTTAAACTATCTGGCCTAATGGGTTAGGTGGCTGTGACCTGTGGTTACAGAGGGGCTGTGAGGCTGGCAAAAGCTAGATTGGTAGGAGTTAATAGAACAAATAATTTTTAAAAATTAGGGAAAATAGCTTTACATTATAAAATACATTCAAATGTAAATATGTATTGAGAAGAGGGCAGATATGCAAATGAGACTTTTTGGCAGAGTGTGGGGGTGAGGATGAAGTGGTTGCACTGAGGCACTCCGCTTTATTCATCTTAACCAGGTTAGTGATGTGGAAAAAGTCCTGGGCTAGAAGTTAAGGGATCCGGGTTCTAGCTCATAATGCAGTGTTTACGGGCTGTGTGACTTTGGGCAACTTACTTGTATTCCTTGAGCCCCAGTTTCCTCACTGACAAAATGAGATGGTTGGACAAAAGGGTCTCTAAGGTGCCTTTCAGCAATTTGATCCTATGACCTAACATGATTCATAGAACTGTGATTCTCAATTCTGCTAATCCATGCAATTTCTTCCTGTCAAGGGTTAGTATCAACAATTGATGTGACTCATGATACCTATAAAAAGACTGTTTAGCTTGTATGTCTCCTTTCTTTTCCCTGAGGTTGCATATTATGTTCATGCTGCCCTGGTTTCGCCTTGGTGATGAGAAAGGAATTCCATTTTCAGGAAGAAGCTGAGGGAGGCTGGGTGCCTTCTGATGAATGGGAAGCCATGGAAAGGGCAGCAGCCTGGAAAACATTCAGTTCCACCATTTTCTTTTCTGGCAAGCTGCATTATCCCAGTCCCTGGTGTTAAATCAGGGACTGGCATAATACAAGTTTGACAATTGAGCAGGAAAGAAATGCAAACTAAAGGCGACGGGGTTATCAGGCAGTTCCCTCTTCACTCCATCTCAGGCAAGCTTCAGCATCGAAGAAAAGGTTGAAAGTGTGTGGCAATTTATAACTTGGAGATAGAAGAATTCATTTTCTAATAGGGAAGCTAAATTATATGTAAAAAAGAAACTTTTATTAAAGCAGTTCCATCAGAGTGACTCTGATTAAGAAGTAGAGCAATTTTCATCATGTAAATTATGTTTTTAAATTAGATTTAAATAACATAGTAATACTTTTATTCATGTTATCCACCATTTAAAAGAAATAAATAATTTGGTCAACTCCCTGCATTTTCACGAAGCAAAATTCCATTACAATTCTTGAGTAATTGAAACTGTGGTGATTTGTAGAACCATCCAATTACAGGAATTCAGTGCAATTATTTTTCTAATAAAGTTAGTTTTCACTTACATGTGTCTGTCATTTCCTGTGAGTGTGCGAATGCTTTAAAAATCTTTTTCAGATGAGCCCTGGATATTATTGTACCTGTAGAGAGATATTTATTCATACTGTCAGATAAATGTAGAGCCCATAAAGGAAGGCATGATTATAAATTTTAGTATGTCTACTTGTCTTTGTTTTTCTGCCAGCATCAATAAACAATTGTGAATGTTTTTCAGTAACCTATTGACCATAGCACATTGAGTGGAAGTCTGGAATTTTAAAAATAATTAAATTGAAATGTTAATGCCGACATATTCTATTTAGACAGTAATGCTGTAGTAAAGATTAGATTAAACTGGGCCAGCGCCTCTTAGCATTCTAATAATTATGTCCTTCCCTGTTTTCACAGAATGAAAGTTGAGGTAATTCAGGCCAATGTGATTGCCAGGCTTTGCCCTCTATTCACCCTTAACTGTAGTTTTAGGATTGGAGAAAAGTATAAGAGCATCAGAAAAATTTAATATGCAATTAATTATTTAACTGATCCTTCTACAGACATTTGCTCAGTGAGCCCACATATGTCCCAGATACTGCGCTAGGCCACGGAGATACTGAGATTAATTGACCTCATGTCAACTCTCAAGGAGGTCACAAATCCGGAAGTCTCTGCACAATACAGAATAGTAAAGTTGCAGACTAGCAGTGAAGTGGGTAAAGGAGGGCAGGGGGATAGGAGAAACTTGCGACATTTCCCACCTCAGCAAAGTCAGTTTGGTGACTGGGGTCCACAATGAATAAATGTTATTTTGGAAAAATGGCTTCTTTCTTCTAGAGTCTCTTGCTCCCTTTAACTATAAGGGGTTAATTTCTTCATCTCTCAGGAGTGAGAGGTGGACAAAAAGTAGAGCGTGACTCGGAAGGAGAAAGAGAGAGAGAAATCAACTTATTTAAGACCAAAACCATGCTTTTAAACTACGGACCCCTGTGTAGAGTTATTATAAGTCTAATATTGCTCTACTGTATATCTAAAGGTTTGGATCACTTTTAGTTTAATGACAAAGTCTATGTTTTAAAAGGTCAGCCAATGAATTAAACATGTGTGTGGTAGATTTTTGCATTGCTCTACCATTTCAAAGATACAATCCAGTGGAGAAGGCAATGTGCTTGATGTACAATGAAATCAGGTTTTGTCGACAATTTGTACAGCTTAAAAGGAGAGAAAAGTGAGCTGTTTTCTAGGTGTAAAGGTAAGCTGCAGTTACACAATTAAAAAATAGTTGTCTTCAAAGTAAAATACACACTTAACTAAGGCAAAATTATGGCTACCAGTGCATGGGTGAAACAAACAGAAACACACTGATCTATACATTAAATGCAACTCTTTGAACTGAATCCCATTGTGCAGGTAGAGGGTTGTGTGTGAGGAAGATTGGTTTCTGTTGAGTGTGTTCTGAAGTGGACAAGGAGAGGAGTCTTGACATCAACAGGCCAAAGAAACCAGATTTATGAGAAACACTGGGTTGTAAAGGTCTGGCCAAGAAATGATTGTCAGTGAATCATCTGCTGATGACCAAGAAAATCAGGAGAGTTCATTTGAACAATATCAGGTGGCTTGAAAATACGACATAATGTCAGAATAGCTTCAGATATTACATACTACTAAGGAAGGGATTTCAGTGAGGTTCCACATAGCCTGGTTAAAAAAACCCTTTTACTTTAACATCCTTATCAATGATCAAGGGACATTCATTACATTTATAGCTGACAGTGAATTAAGTTTTATTTTTTACAAACACCACAGAGAACAAAGAATTGCCAGGTTAGAAACATGGTAGAAAGACAAAAAGCATGGCCTCACCTGGGTAGGTTTAGAATAAATACCATGGATGGAAATAGAATGCTTGTAGACACTGAGTGGTAAACAATGAAATATAAGTCATATCTTCCTCTATCTGGCCCCTGCCAATTCCTTTTCTGAACAGCAGCAGCAGCAGCAGCAGCAGCAGCAGCAGTAACAACCACAACAGCAGCAAAAACAATGCCAGCAATAAAAAAAATTTAAGGATGGTTTCCTCAAATATGCAGAAAGGCAGCATTAAAGCGTAAGAAAAATAAAGTCCAAGTAGTAAACCCACAATATAGGAGTATTTGAGAGTGTCTGTACAAAAGGCACCGCTCCCAAAACAGTGCTTGGATCAGAGGGCCGGTCTACGATACAAAATATGTGAAATCAGGGAGGCTTTTCCTTAGCATTTCCAAGAACTGTTTTAGAGAAGATTAACAAAGGGGATTGTCTGGATCTGCATTGCTGTTTTACAAGAGATTAGAGAGTGAATTCAACTAGCAAGAGTGGCCCATTCTCCGAAATAGGCCTTACCAATAAAGGAATTATCAATCATTTTCACCTCATTCGTGCCAGAGTCACAGCAGTGAAAAAATGTCCCCTCATAAAATCTCAAGCCTTTCACAAACATGCTATTTTAATTACCACAATCTAAATTTTCATCCGTGTCCTCAGAGAGTTAACATTCCAATATGGGAACTTTAAGGAGGAAAACACTTCAGCTGTATTTTGAAGTCCATGGAGAGTAGTAGATAAATAGCTTACAATGGCCAATTCTTTGTGCAGGAGGGTGTGGGCAGCTTAAAAATGGAGCTCGCAGAGCAAATTGGTACTCTCTTTTGGAGGTAAAGTGCTCATATGTTTAAGGTAATTTACCTCTTCCAAGAAGACCATTTTGCTCTCTGAAGGAATAATTTAGTTCAAAAGGGTACAAATTCAGCATCATTAAGGCTTTGAGGAGCTACATTTTCTATTATAAGCAAATCCTGGAGAAGCTAATTTGCCTGAATTAGATGATCACTTTGAATCCAGGAGGGAGTATATTTTACTTACCTTACTCATAGTCATCAGTTTTCTTTCGATTGCCCAGGTGTGCATGAACATGTGTTATGTATTATATACAAGCTTAATAAAATAAGACCCAATCCCTTTTTCTAAGTAGCATATGTTCAGCTGTATCTTAGCACATGTCCCAGTCACTGGTAAACGTGGATATACAGAATATGATTCTTCATTAAAAGGAGTTTATGAAGTTTTAATTTTTGACAGGAAGGCGCCTAGGGTAGACAATAGAACAGAGCTGGCCTAACTCTCATGGATGTGGTAAGGACTGACTTTTAACAGCTATGAAAGTACTTTCAATATTAAGCCTTATGGAACCACTAATTACATTTATTATTTAAAAGGCATAATGGGAAGAAATAAAACCAAGAAAATTTTAGGGAAAATATCTAGAATTAGTGCCTAATAAGCAGCTTTTTTGATGGCTAAAGAGTAGGTGAAGGCTACTGGTAGAAAATCTATTACTGCAGTGACTTAAAATGGGAATACAGGAAATGTGCTGGAGCAAAGTGAAAATCATTAGGGTGCTGCAATTTAAACATTAGGCAGTGACCATCTGGCCACCCTTTTGGCCCCTTGGTTCATAACCTGTCAATAAATCTCACATTAATCGACACTTATCGTGCTTTGCCTATAGAACGATCGAAGCAGCTGTGTTATTCTTTTCACAGCCCTTCTTACTTAAAGTGTATCACTGCACTTCACCTGCAAATGGAAGGAACACTATTTTGTTTGCTTATGACCCAAGTCACTTGTCAAACCTATTGTAGACTTCCATACATTGGAGATCTGTAAGAAAGGTGCTGTAAGGATTGAGATGCAAATCAAAGAGTAGCTTATTTCAAACCAAAGGAATTATAGTTTTATTATATATCAATGCATTATACCTAAGACATTTTCTACCCGAAGTAAAAGAATTGACCTCAAAGGATAACCACCAACAGCCAAACACCTGACTACTACCACAACAAAACCGTATCTAGCTATATTTTAATTTGGCTTCATTTACTTCATGCAATATCTTATACGCATTCAGGAAATTAGATGAAGAGAAAAATCTCTTTGATGCCTGACTTTTTAAAAATCATTTCACTCTGTGGGGTTGTATACAACAGGCAACAATTATTTTGGTAACCTAATCACAAATGTTCATTTTTTTTTAATGTTAGTCTTTATAAGGTAACTTTAAGAATCTTTAAATACTGTCTTTAAGCACTGTTAGAAATCTACTTGCCGATCACAGAACATGTTTGTTGTCTGAAAACAGGGAATTAGCTTCGTCAAAATACATCAAACCTAATTCTGGTACTTCTTTTGTGGAGAAGTCCAAGGGTCTATGACCCAGCAATGTTGGCATAGAAAGATACTTTATTTGTGTAGCTGACTTCTTGGCAGTTCTAATAAAACCTGAGTTTAAAATGCAGTTAATTCTTGTTATTTGTGGTAGTTATGTTTTATAAAGTACTGAACCATTGCTTTTAGAAGAAACGTAAGGTTAGGTTCCTATAAGCTTCTGGTCACATTGTTGTTAACTAATCAATATGTAACTTTGTTTTATGTGTGTTTCTGTTTAGCACATTCTATTTAACAGATTCTGGCTAGGCGTGGTGGCTCATGCCTGCAATCTCAGCACTTTGGGAGGCTGAGGTGGGTGGATGTCCTGAGGTCGGGAGTTCAAGACCAACCTGGCTAACATGGTGAAACCCTGTCTCTACTAAAAATACAAAATTAGCTGGGCATGGTGGCACGCGCCTGTAATCCCAGCTACTCAGGAGGCTGAGGCAGGAGAATCGCTTGAACCCAGGAGGCAGAGGTTGCAGTGAGCTGAGATTGTGCCATTGCACTCCAGGCTGGGTGACAGAGTGAGAGTCCATCTCCAAAACAAAACAAAACACAACAAAACAAAAAACAAAAAAGAAACCATATTCTGTTGTTTCATTAACCCTGGACTCATGGCCCACAGCACTACTATTTATGCCTGAATGATGCTTGTTAACATGTTGTCTTTTTTTTTTTTTTTTTTGTAAAAAAACATCACACACAGACTTCTTGTGCTTAGGAACACTTGATGGTACTTCAGCACTACGCTTGGGGGCCGTTTTAAACTGTTAAAATCATCCCCCCAGAAAAACGAAAAATGTGGCACCAAACAGACCACAAAAGGGACATTGGTTTACAATATGAGACCTGAAACAAGAAGGCAGAGTGTTCCCTTGTTTAATTTCAGCAGGGAATATGCACGTTGGACAACTTCAATTTTTTGCCATTCCGTGCATGTTCACGAATGACCATGAAGACAACACAGATGTTGATTGTGGGGTTACAAATAAAATTTCAGCAAGCAGGCATAATTCATAAGTTTGGAATCTGCAAATATTGAAGACTGACTGTACCTATTATGCAGTAATGATTTTTTATACTTCTTATTTAAAACTGATTAAAAATGTATTCTTTACTTGCAAAGAATAAATTAGAAATACATACGATTTTGACTTAGTACTTAAGTTTCAAATTTTGCCCTTGAACATTTATTTCAGTAAATTAACTTGAAAATAAGGTTTGATTTTCTCCAAAGTTAGTCTAACAATTGTAGTTATTTCAGTGGCCCTATTCAGGAGCTCAGTAGCTAAGAGATTATAAATTACAAAAATACATGGGAAGGCAATAACAGGAAAAGAAATCAAGGAACAAAATACATGTTCTCAGTATTACAGTCGATAGAAAGTTCAAAGAGCTGAGATGTGCTTAATCAACACTTGTTGAAGGAACTTGACAATTTATATTTTATTTTATAATTTATAATTGAAAATGGTATGAGAAGCAGGATGGATGGAAACATTTATTTGAAGATAATAATACCATTAAGGTAACTCCATGACATACTACATTGCCATTATTTGGACCATGCTTTATATAGCCTCAATTCTGAAGTGCCTAGTGTTGGCCAATATTTAAGACATGAGCATTTGATTCCCTATAAAATAAAAATGGTCTAACAGACATTTTATAAAGTGTGCTCTGTTGAAATGTATCATTCTGTGCTGCCAGGAGAGCATGCACTTTGAATTGAAAGGGAGTGAGAAGAAAATAGGGAATGACTTATGCATGGTGCTTTCAAGCTCACAACAGAAATAGCTCTAGCAAATGTGGTCACTCAAGAAAGTTCAAAGGTGCTGGTGTCTGAGTTTGGGAAGGGAGGAGAAGAACTATAAAGCTAAGATGACATTTCAATTAAAACTTTTAAAATATAAAATAACTAATGTGTGAAATTCACTGTAAATGGAGGAGGAAAAGCAAAACCTGGGTGTTTAAAAACAAAAGAATAGAATAGCACTAGCACACGAGAACACAGAAAGTCACATTAAACAGGAAGATAGAAGTGTGCATTATTATCTTTTCTACAGTGGCAAGTTCAAACATCAGCTGGGAAGAGATGAGAGTGATTTGATCTCTCTCTTATCTTGGCTTTATTATATGAAACTATGTAACCTCTTTCCTGTCTTGTGTTTTTGCCTTCAGTCTGTGGCTTCATACAACGGGTTTATCTTCTAGGCCACATTTATGAAAAAGGAAAGGAACTGAAGACAAAGAAAAAAATCAAGCTTTTAAAAGGATGCCAATTTTGTCTAGAAACTGCCATTACAGAGATAACAGGATTTAAAAACTTGTCTAAATTTCTTTTAATATATTTAAAAAACACACTTTCTATAACTGAGATGATCCCTACGAAAAGGAAAAATGACTTTCAGCACATTGCATTGTGCCATAATACACTTTCCTGGAATTTTTTTGATACTAGTCATTAAGATGCATAAGGCCAAATCCAGGAATATGGTTTTGTCTGATAAGGTGTGTCAAAATGCACAAGCCCAGCCAATGAAAGAGAATAGCTGTCACTTGAGAGAAGCTGGGGAGAAAAGGCAAAGGCATTTTTAACAACCTCTCACAAGACACTAGAGTTTTAGAAAACCGATGAGTGAGTTAGTTCCTAGGGGCATCCTAGGTTAGAGTACTTGTCTATCTTAAAGGGATTATTTAGTTTTATGTTAAAGAGCTTTACCTCTGAGAAGTGAGGAAGGACTTGTAGTCTCTCGTTGGTCTTTCTGTACTGCGCAACTCCGCAGAGAGTAGACACTCAGGGTCTCCTCACAGAGTAGGCAGAATTTATATTAAGGTACAGTCCACCAAAATAAATCCCAAAGGATTTTCCACAAGTTCTGAAGTTTTGACAAACACTCAAGTGCCTCCGAAATATGATTATTGATAGCTAATTTTTTTTGAGCACTTACTATGCACCAGCATTGTGTTGACAACTTTCTACACACCATACTAGTTTGTTTAATTCTCATGATAGCCCTATAGGATATGTACTCTTTTATGCCCATTGTACAGATGAGGAAAGTCATGCAAAAAGAGTTAAATAACTTGCTCAAGGACATATTGAAAGGATGTGGTGGAGCTGTAGTCCAACTGTAGTTGGTATTATTCATTAACATAATAGTCAGGAATTAGATTGTCTAGCTAGTTTATTTGAAAGGCTGTAAAAGACTAGTTCTCAGTATCGGTAAGTTGTAAGGTGAGTGAGTGAGACAGGGATTATGGAATGCTACAGAGAATGAAGAGTGTTAATGTGGAGGACTAGGGACAACCAAGGGGAATTATAAGAATACTAAGAACTGAGACACAAAAGGGAAGAAAGGGGACACTCAAAGGAGTTTTTAAAGGTATCTTCACAAATTTTTCCAAGGTCCAGTTCTAAGAATTACCATCAGTATTGAAATCCAGATATGCCTTAAAATTCAGAATAGGTACACTCCAGCAAAGCTGGTTGCAAAAGAAAATTGCACCCCCTCTTTGGATTCTCTTATGCCAGAGGGGATAGTGGAGATGTTAAAATAATTTCAGCATGTGGCCAAAATATAGGATTGCTTCTTGTTATTGTGGCTCCCTGGCTTAGGTGTGACCATCATGCCAACAAGTAGCTGAAGCAAGATTCGGGTAAGCTGCCCCTCAAACTATAATCTTCCGTAGCTCTGGTACACCTTAACCAAGACACCAGTGAGAAGCAGGGGCCAACACCTAGCTTAATCTATTACACTGGAACTATTGTAATGTCCTGCTGGATTTGAGCTAGAGAATTGTGATGTAATGATATTAATAAATGAGGGCTTCCCAATGCTGCTACTGTGAGGTTTTATTTAAGACATAGCAATCAATTTTACTTTTGTATTAGTTTCCTAGGGTTAATATTAATATATATTATTGCTTCACAGGATGCAATGGTATACCACACACAGATATATATGCACACAAACATATTTGCACATGCGTACATACATATATGTACATACATGAGAACACACACATCTCTACTTCTATTCCACAGCATTCAGAGACTCTAAAATAGTTACAACTTATTTCCAAGCTGGTAATAAGTGGCATAATAAAGAATTTTCACTTGCTGACTTTTGACTGATATAACTCAACAATTTAAGATATTAACAGGTCATAAAATTTCTTTTTACTTTGAGGTAAAGTTTCTTCACTATGGGATGACTGATGTTTTAAACTGATTTTCATTTAAATAAGTCTCATAAGCCTGAAGCAGTTGGCAGTTTTTTAAGTAGAATCATAGATACTGAGAGTTGGAAGAAAACCTAAGGCTAGGTCAGTATAACCTCCCTTTTGATGATTCCGTTTTCTCTACAACAGCCCACCAAAAACTCTCAGACCATCTCTCTCTCTGTCCCTCCCCTCTTCTTTTCTTTCCTAAATTCATTTATTCAAACAATTGAATGCCTATTATGTGCCAGTTTTCTTCCTACATGATGCAGATAGAAAAAGTAATAAGATACCGTCATTAATTTTAAGAAACTCACAGTTGAGTAGAGTTGACAGATATGCAAGCAGAAAATTTTCTACAACGTGAGCAATAGAAGAAAAAAATAAGAACAGAAAAGGAACAGATAGTATAGAGGAGAGAATAATTAACTGCGTGTGGATGTAGTCGGGGTTGGGCAGGGTTTAGACATTTTCCAGAGGAAGAAATGCCAGATCTGGGTCTTGATGGGTGAGGTTTGCTAGGAGAACAAATGGATGATAAGGTAGAAAGAGAAGAAAGAATAGCCTAGTGTAAAGGTAGAGAGATTAAAGAACCTGGCATGTTAGAACAATCCCAAGTAGTTTGTCACAGTTCGTTGTAGTTGGAGAAAGGTAGGGAACAAGAGAAGCTAGATCCCAAAGGGCCTTGTCTGCCTGATCAGAAGACCAAACATCATTCTGAAGGTGGTGGGGAGTCATTAGAAGATTTTAAGTAATCTGTCACTATATATCAAAAGTGTGTTTTTGAACTTAACTTTGAAAACTTTGGATTTCTAAAGTTCTTACTTAGAGAGACCTAAAATCTTTCTCACTACACCTTCAACCTCATAGTCTCCATTCTTTTATGGGGTTCTCACAGAATAAATATAATTGCATTCTTCTACACATGTTAAATAGAAACATTGAACAATTGTGATTGGATTCTAATGGGTCTTCTCTGGGTTAAACATTTTTAGTTATCTTGACCATTGATTCTCACAGAATTGCTTGCCTGAAGGAAGTCAGGGGTATTTAACCACTACCTCTTGTCTTCCATTAATTATTTGAGGGCTGTGAGGGCTTCTGAGGCATTGGCGAAAGCTCTGATGCAAAGATTAGAAAGTTTCACAGCATGCATTTGAGGTGGGTGCAGTCAACATAAGATGGGTCTGAGCTCACATGGAACTGTCCACTGCAGGCTGCAGCTGAAATCAGAGGTGGATCAAGGGGGTGTGACCTGGGGCATGAGAGGCAAATGCTACAGTAAAGGTAAAGGTTAAGCTGTTGTAACAAAGAGATCCGAAAACACAGTGGCCTAAACAAGACAGAAATGTATTTCTTAAGTAAGGTCTGGCTAGTCTAGGATGGTGGGCCTTCTCTGCTCAACAAGGTCATTCAGGGACACAGGTTTCTTCTATCTTGTTGCTCTGCCTTTTCCTGGGGCATTTCCTAGACTGTACGGTCAAAACTGAGTTGCTAGCATGTCTGTGTTCTGTCTTGCAGAAAGAGGAGAAAAGAGGGAGTCCAGTGCAAACAATTTCCTTTTAACCAAGTGAGACAGAAATTGGACACATCCTTTATGCTCTTATTCCATTGATGAGAACTTAATAGCGTGTCGACGCTGGCTGCTAGGGAAGCTTTGAAATGTTTCCAGCTGACAAGCTATGTGTGTAGTAAGAAGGGGAGAAAGAAATTTGGGGGGATTCCTAGCAACTATATAACCTCCCTCATACTGAATTTTCTGTATCGTAAAACCAGTCTGTTTTATGTTTTCAAATTCAAATTCAAATCAGTCCTGAAGTTGCAACAAAACCCAACAGGTTCAAACACAGCCAAAGCCATGCCATAACCATTACTTACTGCAAGCAGCTAAAGAATTCCTTGGTGCCGGGTGCAGTGGCTCATGCCTGTAATCCCAGCACGTTGGGAGGCTGAGGCAGGCGGATCACTTGAGGTCAGGAGTTCGAGACCAGCCTGGCCAACATGGTGAAACCTCATCTCTACTAAAAATACAAAAATTAGCCAGGAGTGTTGGTGCACGCCTGTAGTCCCAGGTACTTGGGTGGCTGAGGCAGGAGAATTGCTTGAACCCGGGAGGCAGAGGTTGCAGTGAGCTGAGATCATGCCGCTACACTCCAGCCTGGGTGATAGGGTGAGACTCTGTCTCAAAAAAAAAAAAAAAATTCCTTGGTTGGTCTTAATTGAGAACAGTGTAGGACAATTCTCCTATTACAATTGGTCTTATTAAGAGCTGTTGAACCATGCAGAATGGGCTGAGAAGAAAGTTCCTCTCCTCAACAGAGGACCACGCCATTTTCCATTTGGCCATTATTCTTCATGTCTGTCGTCGGGGCTTACATTTCATTATAATTCAAAGAATAACAGGAGATTTAAGGGATTTGGGTAGGCTATTTTTTTTTTAACCACATGTGCAAAATTTCAGAGATACTACTTTCTGACAACCCAAGATGCAAGGGAAAAACAATGTGCCACTACTGTCCTTGTACATCATTGCTAATGAGGGCAGCTTCTGCCACGTCAGTGGCATGGATGCTTTACTTCGGTGGAATCTGTGTCCCAGCTGTGTCATGTGCCACGGTTATTTGTATCTCTATAACATGATGTTGTTCACTGCATACATTGAGTTATGTAAGACATCAGGAGAGAGAGACCTTTTGTTTCTCTGCAAGAAGTATGTCTCTAAAGCCTTAATTGGCTAGTATGAAATGTTGACATTTTACCCCAACTTGACAGCCAAATCAATGTTATTGAAGGCAGCCTGTAGGCATTCGTGACAGCCTAAGGATTAATACTCTTAGCCAATTGCAAAATGGTTGCAGCACATCAGCAGGCCAGGTGTGTTGGCTTCCTGGATTCGAATCAAAGCAATTTCAAGGTGTGCCCTAAGCTATTCATATATTGTAGACAGTAAAATTAAACTCGATCTCGACTGATCACAATGGGCTCATTTCTAAAGTAACTTTACTTATTCCTTCCTCATTTTTTATATTAGTGCATATACTGATGAAGACATGGAAGTTTCTTCATGCTTGTCGAACCTAGACAAAATGAAGTTAAATTTCAGTAGCAGACATTTGAATCCCAGATAAATGAGTAGAATGACAAAATGACTATGAGTAGAATATTGAATAAAATGACTGTGGCAGAGATAGTATTCAACAAACATCTATGTGTTTCTTTTGACTTCCTACTTTCCTTTGTAGTGAGGTTGGAGCCATGTGGCTAGTTTTGGATAATAGGGATGGAGCTGATGTAATATGTGACATTTCTGGGTTGAGTCAGCAAAGACCTTTATGCCTCCTCTATTCCTCTTCTGCTGCATTGATATTGGAGGCCACATGTTTCATATGGCATAGCTACAGGATGGAGTAGAGTGTTTTGAACTATATCATGCTGTATATGAATAAGAAGTAAACTGGTGGCATAGCCAAGCTTATTCTGACTAATACAGAGGTGTTTTAAATTATCCAAAGACTGGGCCAATTCTCCGTATTATCAGTCTAGATGATTGGAAATGGCATTCAAAATATGTACTTTTGCAAATGCCGGGTGAAGCTTTCAAAGCTTATTTATTTCAAAGTTTATTTATTTTAAAAGGTACCACCACACCCTAAAGGCCAAGATGCTAACTTTGAGGGAAGATCATAATACACAGCAAAGCATGAAACTGATCTTCGGTTTTACAGCTATTATTATTTTACTTGCCGTTTTTCTACTGTGTCACATGATTCTAAACAATTCTGAAATTGGAAGTCAAGCTCATCTAGCAGTGAATGATGGCATCTCTACTTGTTTATAAATTCAGACAGTAAGTGAAGTTGAAGCACAAATCAAAACTGCATTCCATTGCACGTAGAATTAGTGGTATATGTTGGACACCCAAAATGATGTATGAGGAACCGATTGCATCTAGCTAGAACTTAAATTTAAATCTCCTTTGTTCATAGAGGTGAGCTGGAGGGAAGCCACATTTCAGCCAAGACATTATCTTTCAGTGGTTTGTCCTTTCTCCTCTTGCTGTAAAGTAGATTCTAAGCGCAGGAAAGGGTTAATCAAATTTGTGGCAACAAATTATTTGGGGCTGACTAACTTTAAATTAGAAATTCCTATTAAAAAGTTCACTGTAGCTATTAAAGAAAGTCATTATTGTAAACATAACTTTGCTTCATAAGAAGTAATAAAATACTTGGCAGTTCCAGGCTCAGTTTATTCATGTATCCAAATCTTTTCAAATTCTCATACATTTTTGTAACTCTATTTCATGTCTTTATATTTAACTTATTCCAGACGGACTTTGTCAGAAAATCCCATATAAGATCAAGAATCTGAGCTCATGACATTAATATACTCATAAGATGAAAATACAACTTCATGATCTCCCTTCCTCCTCACCTGCTTTCATCTGCACAAAAATGGGAAGCAATATAGCATCCACAACAAGAGAAATGATGTCATTCTATTTATTGAAGAAGCACTGTTGACTGACTGAATAACCTGCACTGATAATATGCTAATAAAATAGGCTTGGATGGTGTAAAATAGAATTGGCTATAAACTGGTCCCTGACAGAAAGAAAACTGGTATGTAAGACTTATATCTATTGGAGACTTTTTCATTTAATGAGTAATTCATTGTAATTAAAATGAAAATGAAATAGCTTTTACTAGTGGCTCCTAAGAGAGTTTATCAAGGCAACAGGGTTCCTAGTTTTAGATCAAGGAAATTTTATATCTAGTTAGTTCCTATTCAAATAGAGTATCTTCTCTTTCCAAGAAGAAAATACAACTTTTATTTCTTGTCTTTATCTTCCTTGTCTTTTTAATTTCATTTACTTCTTTCTTTTTCTTTTTTTTTTTTAGCAGACAGTTTGTTTTGGGTTACGGATGTCACTGAATTATCTATGGACTCACTGAGTGGATAATTTGAATTTTATTTTTCATCTGCATAGAAGACTGGAGGATTGTAAGAGCGCTGCAATACGGGCATTTTTGGAATCCTAATTACAGTTTTTAGCTTGGGTTGTTAAAACTTCCAAGTTTCTCTTACTCTGGATTCAGACTGTCACATGGATTTCCTGTGGTTTTAGGTTTTCTCTGCAAATGCAGGCAAAATTTTTTGGATTTGAAATGTCCTTCAGTTTCCCAAATTTAACTCTTTACCTTTTGTCCTTAGAGAAGATCTGAGAGATGATGATAATTGAATATACTTCCTTTCCCAACTCTACCCGAAAACATAAATCCATTATGGGGGCAATTCAACATCTATTAGATGAGACTGTAGGCAATGGCACAACCCTAGCAGGGTGGGCAGGAATGTGTGATGGTGAAGTGTTTTGTAACACAAGTGTCTGGCTCTTTCAGCATTTAATTGAGCTGAGCTCTACATTCTTAATAATATGTATTGGGCTCTGGGTGACTGTGCAAATCTGGAAATCATGGCTTTAGCCAGATTTTCTCAAGTTCAGCCCTGTTTGCATTTGGGCTGATCATTTTCTGTTCTGGGGGCTGGCCTGCGTATTGTAGCATTAGTAGCTTCCCTGGCCTTTACCCACTAAATGCCTATAGCACTTCTGTCCCCAGTTGGTATAGCCCAAAATGTCTCCAGACATTGCAGAAAGTCCCCTGGGGAGGGGGATAAAATTATTCCACTACAGAACTCCTGTTTTTGGGTGAAAGACCATTCAGTAGACAAATTTGTTTTGTGCCAGAGTGGCACATCTAACATAATTGACACCTGGAAAAGATGTTTGACTCTCCCTCTTGTATAGGTAAAAATCATTTTCAGTGATAATGAAGTGAAATTAATATCCAAGAGAGTGAGAAGTTTGTTATTATTGAGAGTCTTTAATTTTTTTATATGTAATCATGCCAGTAAAATATAAGAAAATTAAACGTGAAATAAATTTTATAATACAAAACAAATAAAGTAATAGATTATTTCACACTGCTTGCTTCTATCAAAACATCTTATGTACCCCATAAACATATCACCTACTATGTACCCACAAAATTAAAAAGAAAAAAGTAATAGATATAATAAATTAATACCTTTTAGTTATACTAATGTATTTTTAAGGGAAAATCTTATACCTATATATAATAATAAATAATTAAATAATGTCACAGTTTAATAACAAAAAACAACTTGATAAGAAGAGTAAAAATTAGAAGACTAAGTTTCAATTTTAACTATACTATTCAAATTCAGTAATATAGTTCATCTATTAACTAAAATTTTCACTAACCAAACCAGGATACTAAACCTAGTCTGCCAAAACACCAAATCAAAACACCTAAGGAACAATACATTACAGTTTGTCCTCTGCTTCATTCATTCATTCTTTTAAAAATATGCAAGTAGTCACATAGAATGATGATATTGAAGCAAGTCAGGTTCAGGTCCTTTGCTGCTAAAATGTCTTATCATTGTCTACTTTGAATCTAATATTTAAATGCAGGAATATGCAGAAACACAAGGGTTGCAGATGTGAACTCTACATAGGGTGAGTTCAAACGAGTCTGAAATGTTAGCAACTTCCTTTGGAAATAAATGCATGTAGAAGGATCTGCGTGTGACAGAAGCCAAGTATATAACTGAGAGTTCTTTAACTTCCATGTCAAATGTAATGTCCATTATGTGGTAAGCAATATGAATAAGTATCATTATTAAAATTAATAAAAATATATTATTAAATCTTAATAGTAATAATTGCAATTGTTTTGAACTTAGACTAGTGGTTCTCATCCAGGGGCAATTTTGCTCTGCGGGGGACATTTAGTCATGTTTAGAGACATTGTCGGTTGTCACGACTGGGAAGGGGTGCTACTGGCATCTAATGGGTAGTGGCCATGAATACTGGTAAGCATTCTGCAATGCACAGGACAACACAACAAAGAATGATCCAGTGCAAAATGTCAGTGGTGTCGACATTGAGAAACTCTGACTTAGACTGACCAATGATTCCCACCCCCCTCCAGAGGAGTATTTTATCCTTGACTTAGTTTCCAATGCAGGTGCATGGTGATAATAAAAAGCAGATTTATTTTTAGTTTGTTTTATTATTGTTTGTAAATTTTCTACAGACAATGCATCCCCTTATCTTCTAGGCTTGGAACAGACCACTCTAATTTCCCTTCCCTGAGGAAGATGCCAAATGTAACAAATATCAAAGCAAAGAGATATGTATGTGGTATTCATAGTCCTCACTAAAGTGTTCAATGTCATTAACAGAACTGGGCTTTTGAAGTGCCTGAGAAAAATTGGCAGCTCTGACAATTTTCCCAATATGCTGTGGTTAATCTGTGATGACATGAGTCATGTTTTAGAGCTATGGGCTTTGGCTGGTCCCAAATGGTAAGAAGGACTTACATTTAGGAATTAATCTTGCTTTGAGATCTAGGAAGACAGAAGATGAGTGGCAGTATTGGTAAGAAACATTCACACTAATTGGTTATATGAAGTCCAGAGAGCACATATAAATCAGGAAATAGAAAGATCGAAAATAAAAGCAGTCGGTTAGACAAAAGGGGGCAGATATGAATTTCACCAATTGGTTTTCTTATTGTCCTGCTTTTGTTTTGTTTTGTATTAAATGACTGCAAAATATTTTGCCCCAGGGTGAGGTTAGGATGGTAAATCAAAGCCAGATGGATGATCTATCTAATAAATTCTTAAGTAATGAAACAGAATTCATTCTCTGCCAATGGCACACTCATTCCTGTCTCTGTGTCTTTATTTATTCTCTTTCCCTTTCTTTGAAGACCCAGCTCACCTCTCCACCAGAGAAAGAAGCAAATTTGATATTTCCCTCAAAGCCTTGTTTGAATTAGACTTTTGCAGTTTTTCTTGTATGTCCTTGTTTTTTAATTTAATTTTATTATTTATTTATTTTTTTGAGGTAGGATCCCACTGTGTTGCCCAGGCTGGAGTGCACGATCTTGGCTCACTACAACCTCCAGTTCCCAGGTTCAAGTGATTCTTCTGCCTCAGCCTCCCAAGTAGCTGGGGTTATAGGCATGCACCACCACGCCCAGCTAATTTTCGTATTTTTAGTAGAGATGGGTTTCAACATGTTGGCCAGGCTGGTCTCGAACTGCTGACCTCAAGGGATCCGCCTGCCTTGGTCTCCCAAAGTGCTGGGATTACAGGCGTGAGCCACCACGCCCAGCCTGTTTTTAATTTTAATACATTTCCAGGAATTTCTTTATGGGATTACACCTGCCCAATTCTAAGAACTTCCTTCCCCACCTCCTGTGATGAGTTTGTGACCTAGGCCTGACCAACTGAGCATTGCCTTCTCTTGGTCACAGTGACTGGTTCACAGATAATAACATGACCCAAGCAGAACAAATTAGGCATAGGTGCTTTCCTCTCACTGGGGTTGCTGAGAGAATGGGATATAAGCCTAGAGTTTCTGGTAGCCATCTTGCTACCAAGAGGAGAGAACCTTCCTTAGAGCCATTACGGAGGAAAGTGGAGCTGACAGATGGAGAGAAGAGAAAAAGGTGATGACTTTATTTGATTCCCTGAATGCATCTGTGTCTAAAGTCCACAACTGAGCTTTCCAGTTACATAAGTAACTGAAGTCAGTTTGTGTTGGTTTTCTGTCACATGTAACACAATAATTCATGACTAACATCACTTTCTTTCCAAAGTCTTCCTTAACCATTTTACTTCATGTTATTCTTTCTCAACTCTGAATTTCCATAGGATTTATAAGTTTTAGTATGTACTCTAGCACTTGATTATATACTGTTTTATTGTTACCTACTCACTAAATTTATCTGAATCCAGTCTTTCCCATTATACTTTAATAGTAGAAATATGTTCATGGTTTATGAATCAGTTTTACATTCAAAATTTCATTTAACTTATAAACTCATAGAGAAAAGATAATTTGTCTTACATTTCTTTTGTATTTTTCACAGTACTCAGCAAAGGGTGGTCACATAATGAGTACTTAATAAAGAGCAGGTTTAGTCAAACTTCCATTCACAGCTATGCTTCCGATTCCTGAGCATCTGAAAAACTTCTAATTCAATAAGCTATAAGTAACAAACTCCTAAAGATAGTAATTTTGAAGTTTACAAAAGTAAAGAAACGTAATTCATCTTGAGCCAATTTACAGAAATAGGGCTAGGCCAGTTCGCTAGCGTGAGCTTTGTGAAGCCAGGAACTTTGTCACATTTACCTTTGCACACACTACCATCTAACACAGTATCAAGCGAATACTAGATGTTCAATACAAGATTAATAAATAGTAAAATGACTGCATTGCTTATAACATGCTTTCTGCAGTGACAGAAATTTTTCATATTATAATTTGTACTGTCCAGTATGGTAGTCACATGTGGCTGTTAGGCACTTGAAATGTTGCTAGACTAACTGAATGCTTATTTTTATTTAACTATTATTAATTTACATTTAAATAGCCAAATTGGCTAGTGGCTACTCTGCTGTGTAGTTTGGGTTTGTAAGCATAAATAAGCAGCTTATACTACACAATACAAGGATGTCATTGGAAATACACAATTTAAATGCCATCACAGATTTTTTTGAAACAACCCCAATTTATAATGATAGTGAAAGCAATAGACATGTCTTCTTCTCTTATGGTCTAGTTCAAGTATCACCTCCTTTGGGAAACCTGTCTTGACTCTGATCCCCACTCCACTTTTACCCCATCTAGATCAGAATTAATAAATGAATTATTCTTTCCAACGATGCTATGCTATATTCTAACCAGTTTTACTTATGTCTAATTAGTAAGCTAGATTTGTTGATTTTTGAGGGCAGGGACTATGTCTTATTCTTCTTTATTCATTCAAAAGTACTTATTAAGTTCTTACTATGTCAGAACTTACAGTGTAATTTTCTGTTGGTTAAGCCACTCAGTCTGTAGTATTTTGTTATGGCAGCCTGTAGACTATTACACTACGACTGGGGTATATTAGAGTCTTTTGGAGGCATAAAGCAGGGAAACTCAACAGGACGTTACACAACCCACATTGTGAACCCTGGAGAGCTGCTACTCTAAAGTCATCTTTATGCTGAGACTTGAAGATGACTAGGAGTTAGGCTAATGAAGGAGAATTGAGTAACCAAGGAACAAGCATATCTCAAGTGAGTTACACCACGTGGAGATTTTGAGGAAGTAAAATAATTTAGTATGTCTGGGCTGGGCACGGTGGCTCATGCCTGTAATCCCAGCACTTTGGGAGGCCGAGGCAGGCAGATCATGAAGACAAGAGATCAAGACCATCCTGGGCAACATGGGGAAACCCCATCTCTATGAAAAATACAAAAATTAGCTGGGCATGGTGGCAAGCCTGTAGTCCCAGCTACTCTGGAGGCTGAGGCAAGAGAATCACTTGAACCTGGGAGGCTGAGGTTGCAGTGAGCCGAGATCGCACCACTGCACTCCAGCCTGGCGACAGAGCGAGACTCCGTCTCAAAAAATAAATAAATAAATAAATAAATAAATAAATAAATAAATAAATAAATAATTTAGTATGTCTGAAGCCTAAGTAAAAAATGGTACAGGATGAGAATGGAAATTGTGCAGGACTTACGGAAACCAAGGTAAGGTATTGAGACTTCATTTTGGACCCTCCAAAATGAAGCCATTTGAAAAAAGTAGAGTGGCATAATTAAAGCTTTGCTTTGGATAGCTCACTTTGATTGCAGAATGGAGACAAGGTTGGAGGAAAGCCATTCTGAAGGCAGAGAAACCACGGAGAAGGCTGTTGCGGTTGTCTAGATGAAAGATGACAGTGGCTCGGATGAGAGTTCTCATATCTCTAAGGCCTACTACAGTACCCAGCACATAACAGGTGCTCAACAAATATTTGAGGTGAAACAATTTGAGCGGAAATCTGAAGGCCAATATATTCTTCATTTGGATGACAAAAGTAAAAGCAGGGCTACAAAAAAGAAACAGCATCTTTCAAGATTTACATGATGCCAACAGCTATATCAAGATTACATTTCAGATGGGTAAAATGAAGAAGGATTTTGAATCTCACAGTAATAATTTTGGTCACATCCAAATAAAAAGAAAACAATTTATGCAAATAACATTATCTTAGAAAATGAAGAGTAAGATTAGCAGGGCAATGATAAACAAGAAAGGAGGATGTAATATCTGAACACTCTATTTTTGGTCTAAAGAAGACTTCCATGTTAATTGAAACCAAATAAAATTCAGATTTATAGTTCATATTTTAAGAGTTGGAAGTGTAGCTTTTCTCAAAACTAGGAATTTAGAGGATTAGCCTTGAAAATTTGTTGATTTCCATTCTTCCTTTAAAAAATAAGCTCAGATGATAATAGTAAGAGAATTTCAGTTGATAAAAACCGTATCAGGAAAAATCGAAACCTGTGAGACGATTGAAATTACCTGCTAAAAGAAAAAAAAGTTTAGAAAACTTTAAGAACTTGGGTTTTTGCCAAATTTTAAGGGGTAGCTTAGGTTTTATCTTGTCCAGAGATAAAGAGGTTGACCAAGTGCCTTCTTAAGCTACCTTTTATCTTCATTTAGTTTGTCTTCTTACCCTCTTGAGTGCTCCCTACCCTTTTAATAGGCCACCTTTTTTAAATGTCCATTTCTGCCAGTCATCTGTCTCTACCTTCTAAAGTCTCTCTTTTGACTTTTAAACTTTTTTAAAAAACCGAATGTCTAAAATATTGCTCCAGCCCCAAGCTGTTACCCTACTATTGGTCAAAAAATTCTGCAAATTTCAGCTCTCCCAGGAATTCATCACAACCTAAGTTTCATGTATTTCACTTTCCGACTTATTTTTTTCTTTCTATTTTTCTATAAGTCCCTAATACCTTAATATTTGTATCATTCTGTTTTAGATTAAATATCTCTATGGAGCAGAAGCTATATAAATTTGTTTCACCTTGGGTTGAGCCTGATAAACATTCTTATCAAGGCAACAGATGAGTGATGTATATAATGTGTGTGGGTGTGTGTATGTAATTTTAAAAGCTTGAAAATATTCATCTTTCCTGTCAGGTGGAGATCCAGATTCACACTTCTACAATTAACAGTCATGTGCCAAAGATCCTCAAGCATACCTTTTAATTTTAGGATGACTTCAGGGAATATCAAGATTGGCTTGAACTATTATTGTAATCATTAACAAATAGCATGATTTAATGTAACCAACATTCTGAGACCTAAATGGAAAAAAACAAACAAACAAAAAAAACCGAAACAACCCTCAGCCATTACATATCTACTTTCAGTTCAAATTAGTATACATTCCATTTTCATTACAACAGAGAAAAGTGGAAAGTATGGTCTTCTCTTAGCCACAAATCAATATATAAACCGTGATCAATGGATGTGAAGCTCCTCTGGAAATTTGAAATATTTTTATGCATTTTGGCAGACTCTATAGCAGGAAGCAATCCATTAGGCTTTGAAAAGAGGAAAGCCAATAAAGATAGGCTAGATGTCAAATTCTTACACACCTCATATTTCTGACATGAGAACTATTCTTTCTGTCTGTTACATCCAATGATCAAAATGTGGATAATCTAGTCAGAATTATATCTGAACTATCAATCAAACAATTTATCTATCCATCCTCATTTTACCTCTTCCATGCATTTTCCACGGGAACACTGAAAAGTATCTTTACCTCAGTTTTCTACTGCCCGAAAAATGGAAATGTGAATATTGATCCAGAAATGCTACAATGATCAATCATTTGAAATCTGAAACTAGAAAAAGCTCAAATACCACAGAGCCATTTCTCTAACTTCTGTCCTCCTTCAAAAAGCAGAAGCTGAATGTGCAACTAAACTTTGCTTGATGGGTAAAGCAGCTTCTTTTCATATGGTAGACTCAACTCTCTAAAATCTTGCTTTCCACATAGGAAGGCTTCAGTATGAGGCTGTGATTAGTCACAGGTTGTAGCTGTCACACTTTATCATATTATAGCCAAATGAGATATCATAGCATAACATGAGTTACTGACAAATTTTTAAGTCTATTCCTGACCTATGACCAAGATTTATGGCTAGCATGACTGCAAATCACAAGGTGACTTGTTCACTCAGAAACTCGTACTGAAATATTATTAAGCCATAGCCGGTCTGGGAAACAAAAAGCCTTGTAATTATCTACTCGCCAAGGATCAGTAACAGTTTGTGCCAAGTGAGACAAACAGCAAACTCATGGAAAAGTGTTTGCCTTTCTCATTAAGGCTATCTTGTCATATATAGTGTCTGAAAGAAAAGATTAAGACCTTTGATAGTTTACCAGCCCTAAAAATGCTGTGCAGAGGCTTTGCTGTTAGGCAGGTGATATAGATCTCTAGAGGCTCGGAAATACTGTGTTCCCTTTGGAAGATTTTCCTCTTTGAACTCGTTGTGCTACTAAGTTCATCCTAAGAAATCAATCTTAAGGGAATTCAAACTTGTTACTCATGAAGGGAAAGGTTTGTCAAAATCTGTTACTTTGATTGTTAAGTTATTGCTCTGGCTAAGAGTGATTCTTAAAAAGAGTGCTGGAGGATAGAGATGGATGAATAAGGCCTGGTGAGTTCAAATGTGATGGACTCTTTCAGTGGAGAGGGAGACACGTGCTCCTGCATAGAATCCTGCTAGGAGAAGAACTCAGAAAGTTAGGAAGAGGTTATGAAAGATTTGTGCCTGGAGAAATTGAGTCATTTGTTCCACTGGGAATGTGGAGGGAAAGAACAGATGATATTAAACCTCAACATTCAAAAGAATTATTTGAGTTCTACATTATCCTGTAATTATTACAGCTCTACAGGTCTCTACTTGTTCTGCAGTATCCTACATTTTTGTTGAATGGTTTAGCACATCTGCAGTTAGAAAATGTGTAAAAAGGACTCAATGAATTTAATAATCCATAGTTGGCTTGACTGCCTTAGAAGAGGATTCTAAAAATATATAAATTATTTCAGGGTCACTTAAACTGCTAGCAAAGACTGTAGCTATTGGTTAGTGTAATGAAGGTTGAAGCCAGCCTCCAAATGATACCCCATACCCCACCTAGAAAAAAAAATGAAAATGAAAGTTTGCAGCTTCTGCAACATACATTTATTCATAAAGTGCTCAGAGAGCAGAATATCCAGAAATTGTGGGCAGTTACACTCTGGTGAGCAAAACTCAGTGAAAAATTATTTTCTTGGGCTATAGGATTCCCCCTTTGTACTATTTTAACCTGAGTGTGGATGCCCCCATCCCCAAACTTCTGAAGTCAATGTGAACAGGTGCTGCACACACAGGTTCTCAAATCAGTAAGTATCTTTTGTGCTACGGAGTGGGTAGGAGTGGGTAGGCTATTCAAAAGAAGAATGGGAAATTCAACCTTGAAGGTTCATGTGGAAGAAACCTAGGCACTAATTAGAACCACTCAGAAAAAAAAGTGCATAGAATTCCTGTGTTGTAGCTTTGTTGGTCAGATTGTTTTTCAGTCCAAACCTCAGTGTACTGTAGAAAATCACCACAGGTACAAACCCATTCAGCGTTCTACTTTTGGAATCCAGAATTGTCATTTTGAATTTAACATTACAATTTAATCTATTTATGCGTTCCACATTATATGGAAATGAAAGACCTGGTCTGCTCGATTTGCACCGGGCTGCCTGTATGACATGTTGATGTGGCAGGGACTCAGAGATCTGTAACTCACTCTTCCCAGGACTGTCTTAATGAATTAGGAAGAGTCAGTCTTTTTGGTCCTGTTTGAGTTTATAGCGCAAATCTCAATATAGCCATAGGAAAAAAAGATGCATTTGATTGAACAAAGAGTGCATAAGGGCCCTTAATGCTTTGTATGCTTTTTAGAAATATAACAGAGTTTTCAGAAATTTCCTTTCTTCCTCCACCCTTGAAAAGCACTCTTTTCTTTCTTGGAAATAAATTTTATTTGAATAAGGGCCATAATGAGGTGAATATTATAAAGGTAGCAAGCTTATTATATTGGAATGACTGCTCTACTCTTCCTCTTCAAGAAAACAAAGATTTCAAACTACCTCTAATGCAACCTCTAGTTAGCTCTGCTGTCACTGACAGAATAAAAAATGAACTTCCATTGCCCAACCATTGCCCAACCAGCTTTCTGTTGCTGAAGTCAGATTTTTATTGTATTGGGATCATTTAAAATTAGCAGGAGATATTTGACATAACCAAATTTGACCAGTTTTTTTTTTCTCTTCCAAACCCTGTGGAAATATGTTTGTTAAAGACGGCATCACTAGGTTTAACTTGAAAATGTTTTATTTTTTTATTTCTATTATACACATTGTTTTAGTGGTTTAAGTTCAAGAGCAAAATTGCAGTGCTCTCCCTTTTTCCTTACCTTGCAGAGATATTTAATTTCTCTAACTATGGTCCCATTTTTCATTTAGGTCTCTTAAGGCTGCCTGGTTTTTTAATGTAATGGTCATCTTCATATCTTAATAAAACAAAAATTGAATTATATGCACTACTGGGCAAGCATGACATGACTTTTGCTAGCATATGTAAGGTGTGAAAACCTGGGGGAAAATACTATTCAATTTAAGTTCCACTTGAGCACACGGCAGTGCACTGGAAATGAGTTCAGCCTTAATGGCACTGAAAAAGGTGGAAGCAGGGAAAGGTGGAGATCACCGATTTGAACCTAATTAAAAAGACCTGATAAAAATGCTAGAAAGCCAGATGGTAAAGTCAATTTCTTAGTACTGTGCCAGTCCAGGGTTGGAATATGTTTAGCAGTTGACATTCTGCAAGGGTAGACTGATAATATCAGCAGGGAAATCAAAAGGATTTTGCTAACACTATTAGACTTTACTTTTAAAACTCATGCTTCTGTATCTAAGTGGAAACAAAAAATATAAATTCTCTATTTTAATCAAGTTCTAAAGCTCTATGAGAGCTTCAAGCATTTGATTGCTATTCAATATCTCCAACACGAATTTGAAAACTAAATACTAACACCGTCATAATAGCAAATAGTGGAGTGGAAATTCAGCACACTAGGATGGTTATCATCCCTTAAGAGAATTGTTCCTCTTTAATTTTAAAAGTTAAACAACTGATTATTCCAAAACAACACTTGAAGTAAAGCACTTAAAGAAATAGTGTCCACATTTAGGCAACTTTTGGTTACTCAAAATATAAACATTTAGAAATTGGAAATTTCATTTGATCATACAATAATAGGTGGGCCTTTCTTGAATATTTTCACTGCCATGACCATAGAAAACATCTCTACATGGAGCAAATAAAAAAAAAAGTAGATCAGAAATTTTTCTTTCTTCATCCAGATAACTTTCCGTTGTCAATGTAGGATTGCAATGAAGGATGAGTAGACATTCTCAAATGATGCATATTTATCCATATATATTGAGTGCTATTAAAAGTTAATTGAAATTAGAAACTGAGTGGGCTATATTTTGAAATATTTTATTATTTTAAAAGAAAACAATGGAGGAGGGTTTAAAAAGTATCAGGGGTCTATCCAGGGACAAAAAGAAGGAGAAATAGAGGGGAAAAGGGCCAGGATAATTCAAGACTCTCATTGGTGCCAAACTTTGCCATTAGAAATTAACTTTTGGAGCATTGATTCACAGCCTTGATGTTCTTCTTCTGTCCATTTGTTCCTCTGTGATGTAACTGAATAATTTATAGGTAACCAAGTCTTCCACCAGTGTCAGGAAAGAGCAAATAGACCTGCTTTTTTCCAGCCAACAACGAACAGTAATGTTTGGATTTATAGTTCTCCTTTTCCAAAGTGCTCAGGAGGAAGATATCTTGCCACCCAATTCATCTCAAATAGTGGAGCACCTTTAACAAGAAGTTTAGGTGGCGTCAGGGACAGAGCTAATGAGGTTTGTTAAGTCTCAGTTTTTATAAAGTACGATGTCAGCTTTCTGCCTCACAATAGGATTTGCTCAGTACTACAATCCCTGATATCTTTCATAAATTCTCCCCAAGGGAGTGTGTTTCATGGACTACTGTCAAGTATATATTTGCCACTCTACCTATATGAACCACAAAACAAACAACCTATCTAAGCTATTCTACACCTGAGGCATACAAATGGCAGAGTAAAATACTTGTCAAAATCTTCTTCATTACTGCAGGGGAAAAGGGGAGCTTTGCTATTTATGTAAGCAGTCACCATCGTGGCTAAAACATTGTTTCCTCACCCCATTTGTTTCCCCAGTAGGTATATTTGTCTCTCAGTTGTCTAGCTCTTCTTTCTGTGCATTCCTGGATTATATTCAATAACGTTTGGGCTTTTTTATTTGAATTTGCATATTTGCCATCATTTATTTACACTAAAAGTATTTCTCTAAATAATAATAGAATCTTGACTGAATAAATTTTTATACATACAAAGGATAAATATTATGTAGCAAGTATCCTGTTTTTTTCTAACCAATTGTATTGAGGCACAATATGCACTTGAGCAACTGAGTTTATTAAAATTATATAATTTTATGAGTTTTGACGGTTAAATGCACACATGAAAACACTACCACAAATAAGATACATACCATTTCCATCACCTGCTTTTTTCCAGCCAGCAAAGAACATCAAAAGTTTGTTCATGATGCTTTGTAATCCAGCCCTGCCCCTGTATGCCCCAGGCAACCAATGATCTACTTTCTCTCCCTCTAGATTAGTTTGTATTTTTTAGTGTTTCAAATAAATGAAATCATGCAGTATGCACTCTTCTTGGCCAGCTTCTTTCATTCAACATGATTGTTTTCTGAAATATTAATTTTGTTGGATGTAGCAATAATTCATTCCTTTGTATTGCTGAATAGTATTCTATTATACAAATATATGACATTTGTCCATCTACTGACTTGTTGAAGGACATTTGGGTTGTTTCAAATTTTGAGGTATTACTAATACGAATAAAGCTTCTGGCTGGGTGTGGTGGCTCACACCTATAATCTCAGCATTTTCAGAGGCTAAGGCGGGCAGATTGCCCTGAGCTCAGGAGTTTGAGACCAGCCTGGGCAACATGGCAAAACCCCGTTTCTACTAAAAATACAAAAAATTAGCCCAGCGTGGTGTCATGTGCCTGTAGTCCCAGCTACTTGGGAGGCTGAGGCAGGAGAATCGCTTGGACCTTGGAGATGGAGGTTGCAGTGAGCCGAGATCAGCCTGGGCGGCAAAGCAAGACTGTCTCAGAAAAAAAAAAAAAAAAAAAAAAAAAAGCTTCTACTAACGTTTTTTCTTGCATAAATACTTAAGGACAAAAATGCCGAGTTATATAATAGGTATATATTTTTAAAAAACTGCCAAACAGTTTTTCAAAGAGGTTGTACTATTTTACATTCCTACCAGTAATGTATGAAAATGCTAATTGCCCCACATCCTCATCGACACTTGGGTTTTTCATTTGTTTGGTTGGTTGTTTTAGTTTTAGCCACTTTAGTATGTTTCTAGTGGTGTATCATTATGGTTTTAATTTGCATTTCTCTGATAACTAATATCTTGAGCATCTCTTCCTGTGCTTATTGGCCATTTGTATATTCTTTTGTTAAGAGTCTGTTCAAATATTCTTTCCATTTTTCATTTTTTTTTTTTTTTTTGTGGGGAAGTCTTTTTTTTATTGAATTGTAATAGCACTTTATATAATCTGGATACAAGTCCTTTGTCAGATGTAAGCTCTGTAGGATATTTCCTCTTAGTCTGTGGCTTGTATTTTTACTTTCTTAAAAGTGTCCGTTAAAGAGCAGAAGTCTTTCATTTCAATGATTCTAATCTAATCATTTTTTCTTATATGTTTATTGATTTCTGTGATTTGTCTAAAAAATTTTGACAACCCCAAAGTCATAAAGATTTCTTCCTTCACCTTACTCTAAAAGTTTTATAGCTTTAATCTTTCATATTTAATCTATGACCCATTTGGGGTGAATTTTTGCATACAGAATGAGGTAACAATCAACATTCATTTTCTCTCGTCATTGAATTGCATTGACATTGTTGTTGAAAAATATTTTGACTATGGATATAATATTTCTGGACTCTTTTTTGTTCCCTTGATTGATATGTCTTCATTCATACCACACTCAAGTACTAAAGCTTTATACTGCCTTGAAATCAGGTACTGTACTTTCTCCAGCTTTGTTTTTCTTTTTAAAAATTGCTTTGGCAATTCTAAGGTCACTTGCATTTCCATATACATTTAAAAATCAACTTTTCAATTTCTACTTAAGAAAGCCCTGCTGGAATTTGGATTAGGATTGTGTTGAATCTACAGATTAATTTGGGGATAATTGACACGTTAACAGCATTGAATTTTCCAATCCATGATTATGGCTCTCTCCATTTTATGTCTTTAATATTTTGCACTAATGTTTCATAATTTTTAGTGAGGAGATGTGTCATGTGTTTTGTTAGATTTATTCCTAAATTTTTTTATATTTGAGGAGAGGGGGCTACTGTCAAATAATTTTTTTTAAAAATCCATTTTTCTATCATTTGCTAGTATAGCAAAATATAACTGATTTTTTGGATATTAACTTTATATCCTGTGACCTTGCTAAATTTGTTGGTTAGCTCTATGAGTTGTTTTGTAGATTATCTAGGATTTTCTCATAAATAATTGTGTCATCTGGAAATACACACAATACTTTCCTCTTTCCAGTCTTTATGTTTTTTATTTCTTTTTCTTGCCTTATTGCAATAGCTAGGAGTACTAGCAAACACTTATGGGAAAGTGTTAAATGTCTCATTATTAAATATGCTGTTATTTTAGTTCTTTTTTTTTAAAAAAAATAGATGCCTTTGGTCAGATTAAGAGATTTTTTTTCCTAGTTTCATGTCAGTTTGTTTATATTTTTAATCATAATAGCTGTTCAATGTTCTCAAACCCTTTTTTCTATCTCTATTGAAGTAATCATATGTTTTCTCCTTTATTCTGTTAATCTGGTGAATTATATTGTTTTATTTTTGAATGCCAAAGTAACCTGGCATCCCAGTGATAAAACAAATTTAGCCATTGTGTTATTTAAAAAAAAGATGGTTAAATTGATTCATCAATATTTTATTAAAATTTTTTGCAGTTATATTTGTGAAAAATATTGGTCTTTTTTTTTTGGTAATGTCTTTTTCAGAATTTTATATTAAGTATATTTTGGCTTCATAAAACCATTTGGGAGGTTCTTTCTCCTCCCATATGTTCTGAAAACTTTCTAGTTTATCCTGTGTCAAATTTGATAGTTGTATATCTCAAGAATTTGTCCATTTCAAGTAAGTTATTAAACTTGTTAACATGAAGCTCTTCATAATTTTTTTAAAATTTTAAATTATATGTTTAATGTATCTAGGACTTGTCTTGCTAACCTCTTTCTCATTCTTGATATTGATTTGCATTTTCTCTTTTTCTTATTTAGTCTAGCTAGGGGTTTTATCAATTATGTTCATCTTTTCATAGAACCAGCTTTTGGCTTTGCTAATTTTCTGTATTACCTGTTTTTTGTTGTGTTTATTTCTGCTGTCATATTTCCTTCCTTCTACTAACTTTTGTTTTACTTTTCTGTATATTAACTTCCTGAGGTGGGAATTTGGGTTATTAATATTAGTTCTTTCTTTTTTTGGTATAGGCATCTTAAACTATCAATTTCCTCCTAAGCACTATATTTTCACATGCTTTATTTTCATTATCATTTAGTTAGAAACATTTTTTAATTTTATTATTTTCTTTGTGATTTTTCTTTGGCTCATGAATTATTCAGAAGTGTCTTGTTTAAGTTCCAAATATCTGGGAATTTCCTAGACTCTTATTGTGTTATTGGTTTCTAATTTAATTCTATTGTGGCCGGAAAATATACTCTGTATGATTTCAAACCTTTTTAGATTCATTGATGTCTGTTTTATGGTCATACATGTAGTCAATTTTGGTGACTGTACCATGTGTACATGAAAGAAATGTTCATTCTGCAGTTATTGAGTGACACAGTCTATAAATATCAATTAGGTCAAACTTGTTGATAGTATTGTTCAGATCCTCTATGTTTAACCTGACTTTTGTCCAGCTATTCTATGAATTAATGAAAGAGAGATGCTAAAATCTCCTACTATGATTTTGGAATTGTCTATTTCTCTCTTTAATTCTGTCAATTGTTACTTCATGAATTTTAAAGTTCTGCTATTAAGCACATGTATGTTTAGAATATTTTCCTGGAAAATGATCCAATTATCATTATAGAATGTTACTCTTTACCTTTGGTAATACTCTTCATCTTAAAGTTTCTTTTAGCTGGTGTTAATGTAGCTACTGTGACCTCATACTTACTGCTTACATATTATACTTTTACACTTTTCGCACATATCTGTGTCATATTAAAGTATGTATGTTATAGAGGGCATATAGTTGGGTCTTGACTTTTTAGCATTTCTGATAATATCTGCCTTTTGATTGGCATATATAGTCTATTATTATTTAATGTAATTATTAATATGGTTGCCTTTATTTCTAATTTTTGTGGGTACATAGTAGTTGTATATATTTATGAGGTACATGAGATTTAAAATTTTTTTTTTATTTCCATAGGTTTTTGGGGAAAAGGTGGTGTTTGTTTACATGAGTAACTTCTTTAATGGTGATTTGTGAGATTTTGGTGTACCCACCCATCACCCGAGCAGTGTACACTGTACCCAATTTTCAATCTTTTATCTCTCACCTCACTCCCACCCTTTTCCCCAAGTCCCCAAAGTTTATAGTATCATTCTTATGCCTTTGCATCCTCATAGCTTAGCTCTCCCACTTATGAGTGAGCACATGTGATGTTTGGTTTTTCATTCCTGAGTTACTTTACTTAGAATAATGATCTCCAATTCCATCCAGGTTGCTGTGAATGCCATTATTTCATTCCTTTTTATGGCTGAATAGTATTCCATGGTGTGTATACATATATATATATATATATATATATATATATATATATATATATATATATATATACCACAATTTCTTTATCTACTCATTGATTGATGGGCGTTTGGGCTGGTTCCATATTTTTGCCATTGTGAATTGTGCTGCTATAAGCATGCATGTGCAAGTATCTTTTCCGTATAATGACTTCTTTTCCTCCGGGTAGATACCCAGTAGTGGGATTGCTGGATCGAATGGTAGTTCCACTTTTAGTTCCTTAAGGAATCTCCACACTGTTTTCCATAGTGGTTGTACTAGTTTACATTCCCACCAGCAGTGTAAAAGTGTTCCCTTTTTATTGCATCCCAGCCTACATGTATTAGTTTTGATTTTTTGATTATGGACATTCTTGCAGGAGTAAGGTGGTATTGCATTGTGGTTTTGATTTGCATTTCCCTGATCGTTAGTGATGTTGAGCATTTTTTCGTATATTTGTTGGCCATTTGTATATCTTCTTTTGAGAATTGTCTATTTATGTCCTTAGCCCATTTTTTGATGGGATTGTTTTTTTCTTGCTAATTTGAGTTCCTTGTAGATTCCGGATATTAGTCCTTTGTCAGATGTATAGATTATGAAGATTTTCTTCCACTCTATGGGTTGTCTGTTTACTCTGCTGATTGTTTCTTTTGCTGTGCAGAAGCTCTTTAGTTTAATTAAGTCCCACCTGTTTATCATTGTTTTTGTTGCATTTGCTTTTGGGTTCTTGGTCATGAAGTCTTTGCCTAAGCCACGTTCTAGAAGGGTTCTTCCAATGTTATCTTCTAGAGTTTTTATGGTTTCAGATCTTAGATTTAAGTCCTTGATCCATCTTGAGTTGATTTTTGTATAAGGTAAGAGATGAAGATCTAGCTTCATTCTTTTTGGCTTGCCAATTATCCCAGCATCATTTGTTGAATAGGGTGTCCTTTCCGTACTTCATGTTTTTGTTTGCTTTGTCGAAGGTCAGTTGGCTGTAATTACGTATTTGGGTTTGTTTCTGAGTTCTCTATTCTGCTCCATTGGTCTATGTGCCTATTTTTATATCTGTACCATGCTGTTTTGGTGACTATGGCCTTATAGTATAGTTGGAAGTCAGGTAATGTCATGCCTCCAGATTTGTTCTTTTTGCTTAGTCTTTCTTTGGCTATGCAGGCTCTTTTTTGGTTCCATATGAATTTTAGGATTGTCTTTTCTAGTTCTGTGAGGAATGATGGTGGTATTTTGATGTGAATTGCATTGAATTTGTAGATTGCTTTTGGCAGTATGGTCATTTTCACAACATTGATTCTATCCATTCATTAGCATGAAATGTGTTTCCATTTGTTTGTGTCATCTATGATTTCTGTCAGCAGTGCTTTGTAGTTTTACTTGTAGAGGTCTTACACCTCCTTTGCTAGATATATTCCTAAGTATTTTATTTTTTTGCCACTATTGTAAAAGGGGTTGAGTTCTTGATATGATTCTCAGCCTGGTTGCAGAGCTACTGATTTGTGTACATTAATTTTGTATCTGGAAACTTTGCTGAATTCATTTATCAGTTCTAGGAGCTTTTTTGGAGGAGTCTTTAGGGTTTTCTAGGTATACTATCAAATCATCAGCAAATAGTGACAATTTGACTTCCTCTTTACTAATTTCCATGCCTTTCATTTCTTTCTCTTGTCTGATTGTTCTGGCTAGGACTTCTAGTACTGCGTTGAATAGAAGTGTTGAGAGTGGGCATTCTTGTCTTTTTCCAGTTCTCAGAGGGAATGCTTTCAACTTTTCCTCATTCAGTATTATGTTGGCTGTGGTTTGTCATAGATGGCTTTTATCACATTAAGGTATGTCTCTTCTAGGCTGAGGTTGCTAAGAGTTTTAATCATAAAGGGATGCTGGATTTTGTCAAATGCCCTTTCTGCGTCTATTGAGATGATCATGTGATTTTTGTTTTTAATTCTGTTTATGTGGTGTATCACATTTATTGACTTGCAGATTTTAAACCATCCCTACATCTCTGGTATGAAACCCACTTTATCATGGTGTATTATCTTTTTGATATGCTGTTGGATTCAATTAGTTTGTATTTTGTTAAGGATTTTTGCATCTATATTCATTAGGGATATTGGTCTACATTTTTCTCTTTTTTTTTTGTTATGCCCTTTTCTGATTTCGGAATTAGGGTGATGCTGGATTCATAGAATGATTTAGGGAGGATTCCCTTTTTCTCTATCTTGTGGAATAGTGTCAGTAGGATTGGTATCAGGTCTTCTTGGAATGTCTGATAGAATTAAGCTGTGAATCCCTCTGGTCCTGGACATTTTTTTGGCAGTTTTTAAAATTACCATTTCAATCTTGCTGCTTGTTATTGGTCTGTCCAGAGTTTCTAATTCTTCCTGGTTTAAGCTAGGAGGGTTGTATATTTCCAGGAATTTATCCATCTCTCTAGGTTTTCCAGTTTATGCACTTAAAGGTGCTCATAGTGGCCTTGAATGATATTTTGTATTTCTGTGGTGTTGGCTTAATATCTCCCATTTTCATTTTAATTGAGGTTATTTCCATTCTCTTGGCTGTCCTGGTATGTTCCTGCAGTACTTCTTGGAGCAAAAAGTCACAATGTGAGTCTGAACACGCTGCCCTCTGTCTAAGAGTTGCTATTTCGGTACATGAGATGTTTTGATACAGACATGCAATGTGAAATAAGCACATCATGGAGAATGGAGTATCCATGCCCTCAAGCATTTATCCCTTGAGTTACAAACAATCCAATTACACTCTTTATTATAAATGTACAATTAAGTTATTATTGACTATAGTCACCCTATTGTGCTGTCAAATAGTAGGTCTTATTCATTCTTCCTATTTTTTGGACCCATTAACCATTCCCACTTCCCCCAAGCTTCCCACTACCCTTCCCATCCTCTGGTAACCATCCTTCTACTCTCTATATCCAGGCATATGGTTGTCTTTATTTTTTTAAAAAAATATGTGGGTACATAGTAGGTGTATATATTTATGGGGTACATGACATGTTTTGGTACAGGCTTGCAATGTGAAACAAGCACATCATGAAGCACATCCTTCCCCTCAAGCATTTATCCATTGAGTTGCAAGCAACCCAATTACACTCTTTAAGTTATTTTCAAATGTACAGTTATTATTGACTACAGTCACCCTATTGTGCTAGCAAATAGTAGGGCTTATTTATTCTTTCTATATATATATTTTTGTACCCATTAACCACCAACACCTCCCTGCCAGCTCCTCACTACCCTTCCCAGACTCTGGTAACCATCCTTCTATTCTCTATGCCCATGAGTTCAATTGTTTTTATTCTTAGATCCCACAAATAAGTGAGAACATGCACTGCTTATCTTTCTGTGCCTTGCTTATTTCACTTAACAAATTATCTCCAGTTTCATCCATATTGTTGCAAATGACTGGATCGCATTGTTTTTATAGCCAAATAGTACTCCATTGTGTACACATGGTACATTTTCTTTATCTATTCATCTGTTGATGGATACTTAGGTTGCACTCAAATCTTAGCTATTGTAAACGGTATGCATATGGCTGTCTTTAGATGTATCATTTTACTATTTGGTTTTTGTTTGCTACTTCTTATTTTTATCTTTCTGTTTTCCTGACATGGCCCTCTGTTATTTGAATATACAGTTATATGCTGTATAAAGACATTTCTGTTAATGATGGAGCACATATATGATGGTGTTTCCATAAGATTATAATATCATGTTTTTGCTATCCCTTTTCTAGATTTAGATATGTTTAGATACACAATATTTACTACCGTGGAATTGCCTAAGGTATTCAGTATAGTAACATAACAGGTTTGTAGCCTAGGAGCAATAGGCTATACCATGTAGCCTAGTAGTGTAGTAGGCTATACCATCTAGATGTTTGTAGGCACACTCCATGATGTTCACACAACTGTGAAATTGCCTAGTGTCACATTTCTCAGAATGTGTCCTCATCATTAAGTGATGCATAACTATATTTTAGAATTTGATTTCAATTTATCTATTAACTTTTCCCTATAATCTTTTAATATATACATATATTTAGTGGTTGCTCTAGGGATTAGAGTGTGCTTTCTGAAGTTGTTACTCTTCTAAGTATTAATAGTGTACCATTTACACAAAATATAGTAACCTTACAACCATATGGGTCTATATTCTCCACCTCCCCATCTTTTAAATGTAATGTTTGTTATGTACATTATAATTAATTACATTCTAACCCTGCAAGGGATTGACATAATGTTTGTTTTAAATAGCTGTAGGCATTTTAAAGAAATTAAGCGAGAAGAAGTTCTTTCATTTTCACCCAAATACTTAAAAGTTTTTGATTCTTTTCATTCATTCCTAAAAATCTGAGATTCTCTCTGGTGTCATTTCTTTCCAGCTGAAGAACTTTCTTTGGCATTTCTTATGATTCAAATCTGTTGGTGATTCATTCTCTTAGTTTTCTTTTGTCTGAAAACATGGAATTTATTCTATGCCAGTTGCTTCCTCCAAACTTTGGCTTCTCTCTGAAATACACGTTTTTAATTTATAGTTTTCTATTTGTCATAGGATAATTTTTAGTAGCTTACTCATTCATACTGGAAGTGGAATTTCTATTAATCAGTTTTTCAAAAATATTTAAAGCATGGGGAAGTGTTTCTGCAGTAATGATAAGTAAAAAAAACTATGACAATGAACAGAATGTATTCCAATTTTATAAACAATAAAAGCAGTTATGCATTTATAATGTATAAATGCAAAGAAAATTTGTTTAAGTCTTAGTAAGGATTTTTTCTTGCTGGTTGGATTAGGGCTAATTTTTATTTTGTTCTTTAGAACTTGCTATAAGTTATATTTTTAAGAACACATTTAATTTTATTATCATAAAAATAATAAAATTGATTTAAAAAGATATTGGAAGGCAATGAATGAATAATTAATAAATGACTCAAAGAGCCAATAAATCCTCCAGTAGTTCAGAGGAGGAAAAGGTTTCAAGACCAGAAATCTTTCAGACCAGATTGCTTTGTCTATTGTATTTATATTTTTCCTAAGAATATTGTATGGTTATATTGTTTCAAAATGTATAAGCATTAAAGATCAATTAGCTGGAATGTCCAAGAAAAAGAACACTTTGATTAAAAGAACTTTTATCTGATATTTAAGCAATAAAAGTTTTCAGTTTCAACACACTTACTGGACAATATTTTTAAAACATATGAGCCCATTTCTCTGCCTTATATTCTCAACATAATTGAATCTTCATTTGAAGACTAATGATCTTTCAGGGCCTCAGACTGTTCATACTGCACATCAGTGATTCCTATAGAGGACATTGGAGGAAGTCTTTAGTCCGTGTTCACTCAGGATATAACCTGGAAGTTGGATTTGTAATTATCTAATATGTAGTTTAGTTTACAACTTGCCCCTTTTATCTAAAAAGTTAGATTCCAAAAAAAGCCTGTTTTAATGTTTATGTAATTTGAGGATTCTGGTGAAAGAGGGGGCTGTTTATTTGAAATTTTGGTAAACATAGAAAACATAGTTGTCATATTGTATTCCAAAAGTAGCTCTTTTCAAAATTGTTTCACTGAAAAGTTCTTTCCATATTTGAAGATTAAAGCAGAAAAAATGATACCAGAGAAACAAAGAATAATTCTCCTATGAAGTTTGATAAAAGAGATTTATGAGATTATCATCTCAGTCTGAGAATATTTCCCTAGATGGAAAATAAAATGTTGGAGGAACTGAAAATAGAAAACAATATAAGTTAAAAAAAATAGATAAATACAAGTTACCAATTACTTCATTCTTCTTTTGCCTAGTTCCCCCATACAGCCTCTGAACCAGAAATAGAAACCAAGCGGGAGGCTGAATGAGAAACTTATCTCTCTGCCACCCTTGCTAACAGAATCAGCCCATGGATGAAACACAATGAAAAATACTCATATTGTAGCTCAAAAAAGAGAGAGGCTTGCCATATAACTTCTTGAATTTAAGGAATAAAATTCCTTAATGAGAAAAATGTTAGAATGCACCTTCTACCTCACCTATGTCACCCAGCACTTATTTAAACTGTCCCCCTCTAAAACCACTTTACATTCTACTTCCTCCATGTGTCCCTCTTCAAATTCTATCATCGGCCTTTGAAACGTTTGCTGTGAATACTTTCCAAAGTTATGGTGAGAAATATGTACTGCAGGTAGCTCTTCACCTTTTTCAGTGGTAAAATATTTTATGGGGAAGTGGTGGTGGGATAGGGTGACAGGAGCAGGATTATACAAGTAAAAAGTTTTTCCATAATTTTTATGTTCATCTAGGTATTCTTGATTTCTCTTTCTCTGTCTCTGAGCAGGACTTGGACACTTACCTTTAAGTGTACTATCATCTATGAATTTAATGTGCATCATTGTAGTCACTGTTGGGGAAAAAATAAATTTCCTTAAATCCAAAGCAAGCCTTTTGAAATATCACTCAATATTTTACCCTTATCTTTCCACCAGTTCACTTTTCCTTCATCCTAGACTCTCTTTCTGCTCCATGATAGAGGTTAAGACAAGGAGCACTGGCAAAAAGTTGGGGTAGGATTGGAAGAGAAACAGCAGTCATCTGCAGGCTCCATTTTCACCTGCAGGGTTGCTATAATATAAGAGTTATTAACATGCCAAGTCTTATGTTCTTGGTCTTTAAAAGTGCCTTATAGCATACTCCAGTTAACTGTTTATTGCTCCCATTTCCAACCCCCCTACTGTGGAGTGTCTTGCTAATGCTGGGAAATCTCCGGATTACATATTGTCATTCCCCACTGAAGACAGAAATAAGCACTCAGTTGCTTTCAACATTATTTTCCACTTTCAGTACCCACTGTGCTATGGTTCAGTAGAGTACTTTGTAGGTGGTTAAATTCAAATTTATTTTTTCTATCAATATAATGTTATAAAACTTGCCCTAATGTCTTTAATCTGTATTATATGCTGTATAGATAACAGAATACTTTTCCTAATGAAAATAGCTAATATATGCTATATATATGGAGTTTTAAATTGTGATAATAATGTCTTTTTGGTGACTGTAGTCTTCACTTTCTGATGTAAGGTTTTGTAAAAATGGCTAGTGATTTTACTGATTATCCTCAAATGGCCCAATAAACACAGTCTTAATGATTCTATGAATATATTTTCAAAATAATTTTGCTCAATAAAATGTCTATGTGGTAGGAGTTTTAAGCCCTGCACAATTTACTCAAAATAAATTCAATTAATCTTTAAATGTTGCAGTCAATAATTTGCTTTATTTATTTTAGAAAAAACATAACAGCTCTTTTTCAATCTAAAAGAGATGTAAAAACCAAGACTTTCTTTAATTCTACACAATGCTTATGCATGCTTATAAAATTTTCAAAAGTCATTTTTCAAGGAAAACTGCATTTCTTAATCTCTGTTAATGTTTTGCCTCTATCTGGTTCCAGTAGACTGCCCAGGCCCTCCAGTGATTATGTTGAGGAGGCTGTGATCTAGTGTATTACTCAGATATTGTTGTGGAAGTGCTGGTGCCTGCGCACCACAGGAATTAGAGGAGAATGAAGGGAAATTGATTTGCAAATACTTGAAAGAAAGACTCAGAGGAATGGATTCTGGTACTCTTTTAAGGGCTCGTGTTTTTTTTCTCTGAAAGGAGAAACAACACAATTAATATGTCAAGACAACAGAACTAGCTTCTTAGAATTAATTTGAAAACAAAAAGTGAAAAAGAAAACTGTTCAAGGATCTTTCTGATCTGACTAGAAGGTTCTGTACTCTTTCAGAGATTTCAGAGGGTGCTGATAAAGAACCCTACCTTTTTTGACTAAGGCTCTTTAAGTGTGAGGCTGTATCAGCATTCAGTACCACTCATCATTCTGATATCTAGTCAGAAATATGAAGTAGCTGAGAATAACTAGTAGCTTTGTAGAAAAAGAAAGCAGTTCTGCATCAGAACTATATATGTATAGTGACTCTACGAAAAGAAATGATTTCAAAACCTGAGGCCCAAAAAGTCAAATTTTGAGAGGTATTTTGCTAATCTCAATTCACTAGATAATTAAAACAATTTACATTGCTTTAAAAATTATAGAAGCAATCTACGTTCCTTGTAAAACACAGAATGATACAATGCTACATAGGAAAGTATTAGGTCAACTGAAAAAGTGGAATATGGCTGGTAGATTAGGGAAGTGTACTGTTTTGATGTTAAATTTCCTGAATTTGACAACTGTACTGTGGTAATATAAGAAAAATATTACAATATAGAGGAGATACTCACTGCAGTATTTAAAAGTGAAGAGCCTCATGCAACTTACACTCAAACAGTGCAGAAAAAATGTTATGTGTATACGTGTGTGTACAGATGTCTGTGTGTGCATGTGTGAATATATGTAGATGTATATGAATATGGCAGGGAAAAAGCCAACAATAAAGCAAATAGGGTAAAATGCTAAGAGGTGAATCTATGTAAAGGATATGTGAGTATTTTGTACATTTTAATTTTTGCAACTTTGAAGTTTGAAATCACTTTCAAGAAAACTAAAAAAAATTAAAATATGAAAGCTCCTTCCTTCTGGATTTTTTTTTTTGCATAAACATCACACACTGAGATGTTTTAAAATATAAATAGAATAATGCTATATATTTAATTTCATGATTTTTTCTTTTTTACTTATCAACATGTATTGAATTGTGTTAATGTTTCAGGCACTTGATTTCAAAGTACGTGTTCATCTTATTGTAGCCAAGTTGCCAAGTTTTTTTTTTTTTTTTTTGAGGACCAAGTAGTCTGTGCTTCTCAATGACCCACTGACTCCTATACATGTGTTTAAAATAACTTTGTCAACATTTACATAATAGTACAAAGATTGGGAATTTGAGAAATCCATAATATTTCTAGGGTCTTACTATGGAGAAGAAAGCCACATTATGAAATTCAACTTCAATTGTTCCTTGATTCACTTATGGAAAAGGTAGTTCATTCATATGGTTCAAATTCCAAACTGCACAAAAAAAGCATACAGTGAAAAGCATTCTTTCCACCTTCTTCTGCTGATACCCAGCCCTTCTTTTCTGAAGCAGCCAATGCTATTGCTTACTTATGCATTCATCCAGAGATATTGCATGCATTTACATTATGTGTGTTTGCACCATTATATCTTCACAGCATATATATATGTATGCATATTAATATACAGTCATGTGTTGCTTAATAACAGGAATAGAGTCTGAGAAATGCATTCTTACGTGATTTTGTTGTGTGAAGACCAAAGAGTATACTTACATAAACCTAGAAGGTACAGCCTACTACACACCTAGGCTATATGGAAAAGCCTGTTGCTCCTAGGTTACAAACCTCTACAGCATGTGACTATACTGAATACTGTAGGTGATTGTAACACAATGGTAAGTATTTATGTATCTAAACATAGGAAAAGTAATGTGTTGTGCTACAATGTTACAATAGCTATGATGTCATTAGGTGATAGAAATTTTTCGGCTCCATTATAATCTTAGGCGATCGGCATGATATGTGGTCTGTTGTTGACCAAAATGTCTATATGTGGTGCATGACTGTATCTGTGTAATATTCAAATTAATCACAGATTTATTGAACCCCATCTATGCGCCAGACACTATTTTAGGTGCTAGTGATATAACAATGAACAAAACCAAATCCCTGCTTGTAAGTAGTCATCATTCGATGGGAGTAGATGTACAATAAACAAGAAGGTGAAGAAGGTGAAAAGTGCCATTAAACAGAGGACACAGAACATGAGTTTAAGAGTGCCAGGCCATGGAGCAGGGGTGGATTGGGTTAGAATTCTAAATAGGATGGATAGGATAGTCTTCCTTGAGAAAGGAACATTAAAGCAGAGACATGAAAGAGGATAGAGAGATCGTCTTGCAGATATTTGGATAACACCAGCAAAAGGAAACAGCTGTGTAAAGTCTGTAACGTGGGCACATCAAGCCTCTTATCTTCTTCTTCTTCTTTTTTTTTTTTGACGGAGTCTCGCTTTGTCACCAGGATGGAGTGCAGTGGCATGATCTCGGCTCACTGCAACCTCTGCCTCCCAGGTTCAAGCGATTCTCCTGCCTCAGCCTCCCGAGTAGCTGGGACTACAGGCACGTGCCACCACGCCCAGCTAATGTTCGTATTTTTAGTAGAGACAGGGTTTCACCATCTTGGCCAGGATGGTCTCGATCCGTTGACCTTGTGATCTGCCCGCCTTGGCCTCCCAAAGTGCTGGGATTACAGGCATGAGCCACCGCACCCGGCCAATCCTGTTATCTTTTAGGAATAATAAAGGGGTCAGTCTGACCAGATAAGAGAGAGCTAAAGAGTAAATAATTCCATAGGAGGTCAGAGAAGAAATGTGGAGTCAGTTCAAATGAATGGAGAGCCATTGGAGGATTCTGAGCAGAGAAATTACATTATCTGACTTAAGTTTTAAGAAGATAATTCTCTGGCTGTTGTGTTGTTGTGTTGAGAATATGCAGTAGGGAGGCAAAGGTGAGAGCAAGAAGACAGATTAAGTGGCTATTGCAAGAATCCAGGCAAGTGGTGTTGGTGGTTTGGACCAGGGTGGTAGCAGTGGTCAGAATATGCATACGTTTTGAAGGCAGAGCCAACAAGTTTTTCTGACAGATTGAATGTAGGGTAAGAGAAAGAGGAGAGTCAAGAATAAAGCCAATGGTTAGATGTGAGCAGCTGAAAAGATGAGGTTGCCATCAGGAATGGGCACAAGTTCTGAGGGGCCTGAAGGTTATATACAATTTTGGGGACCTTCCTCAGGAAAATGAATATAAAATTACAAAAACAAAATAAGATGTCTGATAAAAATGGGGATATTTGTTTAGAATGAGAGAATAAATGACAAAATTCACAAGTACTAAAAAGCTTACAGACACCATGAATATCATAAAGTTTAGAAAAATAACAATCTTTAGATTTTTACATAAAACACTTTATTGCTTATTTGTTTAATTTCTAAAAGTTATTTTATTTTTTCTCTGAATATTCCTCATTAAAGGGATATTCTTTCTGTTCTTGTGTCTCACCTCTATAATACTTTACCTGAGTATATCACTGAGTGTTTTATAAAGTTTTCTTCTCCTTGCATAGTCTCCATTTCCTTCAAGTTTCTTTCTTCTTCTGTTTATTGTTTAATTTTTTATTTTTGTCTCTAACTTCTATGTTGTGTACTTTCCTCAGGATATGGCAATCCTTGCTTGTTGACAAGGATCCTTTGCTTGGCTGAACTTTAGTCAGGCTCCTGAAACTTCTTCTAGGCCTATCTGTGCACTTCCTTGTAAAATCCAGTTTTAGCAAAGAACCCTGCTAAGTCAGTTTAGCAAGAATCACCCAGCCTTGATATTTGATAGTCCTCAGTATCTAACCGGGTTCGTCATTGTCCACCATCTCCCAGGTGATGTCTGATCACCTTGGCCTGTCTTCAGCAAGGATACTATTAGGTCAGTTTAGCCAGAATCTCCCTTACCCCTGATATTCTGTCTTAGTAATTTTCCATCTACTGGCCTCCACTGGGCTCCCTGGCTGTAAATTCCCATGCTGTATTTGAAAGTGAGCCCAACTTCTCTCCCACACTGCAAAATCCCGTTGTAGTGATCCTTATACCTATCATGATGGTCCTGAATAAGGTCTTCCTTACCATACTTTAACAATGTAATTGAAAATTTTTCTTCAACATCTGTTCATGTTTGAAAGTGCTGAGAGTAACTCAGAGTCTGTGGCTATGGTTGGTTTACTTGGTGTGTGAGTGGACTGTTCGCTGGGAGCTCCCTGGTGTCTCTATATTCAGGTTTTTCTTCTTGGGCTCATCAGTTTCTCCAGAGAAAACTTTTCCAGTCTCTTGCCTGGAGAATGGAAGACTGGGTTGCAGTGTTTTGCACACTAAGTGAGGGAAGCATCCAGTTTATTATGCATATGGTTGCTTAATCTCATTGTTTTAGGTAAAGTGTCTAGGTCCACTATATCTAGTCTTCCAGTTCAGTGACTCTCTATTTTTTCCTGAAAGCTGGAGAATAATCTTTCAAACATCTGCAGGGTAGGGAAAAGACAGTTACCTAGCTCTGGAATGAGGGAAAGGATCTTTCTAGATTAAACTGAGTTTCATCCAAACCTCCTAATTTTAGCTCTCTTTTCCTGAACTCTCTCAGTTCCAAAGGTATCTTGTTTTGCTAATTTCCAGGCTTTATGGGTATACTGGATTGTAAATTGAATCATTTCTCAGCTTTCTCCACTGCTGGCTGAGTTCTCTACCTAGGTCAATTAACTAAGTCTACCCAAGTCAACTAACACTAATCCCTCTGCTTTCTATTTCAAAAAATTGTGTTGCTGTTATCTCTTCTAATGTTCTTCTCGGTCTTCAGGACTTTTGTCGTAAACAATTTTTTCCCTCCATTTTTAGTGGGGTTTTGAGGGGCATTAAAATCAGTTTCCTATATTCAATCCATCATCTATTCCAGACCTCCTTGAGATGCAACATTTTAATACTTAGTTGCCTTACTGTTATATTTTGACCGGGAGTCCTGATTCCATTTCCTTTTCAGGGTAACCACCACACCACCTCCGCCACCACCACAACAAATTTAGCTACCCATCTTTCATCATGTGGGAATTAATTACAGAAAAGAGGGCACATTATTTCATGTCAATGATTCAACAGTGATGAATTGAGAATCTATTGTGTGTCAGGCACTGTGTTAGGCATTTAATATTAAATATGCTAGAATATTAATATCAAATATTAATACACAATTTAAAAACATTAAATATATAGAAATATTAATAATGTTTAGTACATATCTGCATAGGGATCACAGTTTAGCAGTTTTAACAGTGATGTAGATAAAAAATGCTATGCATAATATCAGAAGTAAGTAATAACAAAGTTCAAAGATAGCTTAGAGGAAGGTATTATCAACTCTCTTCATGGAAGTCTTCCTGAAGGCATTGATACTGAAATAGGAAAGCAGGGGTGGTATCTTCCTATTTAGATAAAAAATATATACTTAAGTTAGTTTATACAATATAAATCTTTCACACTTCTGATTTTGGTCTTAGGGCTCTTTTAGATGTTAGAATCCCAGACACAAAACAGAGATAAATAAGTAGCTATTTCAGACCGTATTAATTCAAGATGACAGAATGTCACAGTAGCTATGTTTACAACCCTAATTCACAGAAGCAAAAGAGAAGACACGCAATGAAGTATTTTTTTGTCTTCATTGGGATGTTGTGGTGTTTAATGTGCTGACGTATAAAAAGTGCTTTATAAGATCATAATATTAAAACATTTTATTATCAATTCAAAAACAAAAGCTGATATCTTAGTGACATAAGATGATTTAACAAGTACTGAGCACCTACTATGTATTGGGAACTCTTCAGGTGTTGGAGATACGGTGATGAACAAAACGGAGGGTGGAGGACACAGCTCAAACAAGTGTCAAAAGTGTAGTAAATACAGGTTAATAAATACAGGTTGCTATATATATATATAAAATAGCATATAACAAGTTGAGCTAACATAGTTTTGGACTTCTGGGAAGGTCTTCCTGAAGAAGTTATACTTAAACGGAGGCAGAAAAAAATGATGTGAAGTTAGCCAGGTGAAGTTGGAAGTGAGAGGAAAGAATTTTGGACAAAGGATACAGCACATGTGAATGTCCTAAAGTGGTCCAGAGTAAGGTTCATTCAGAAACCTGCGAAAAGGTCAGCAGCATGTCTGAAGCCTAAAGTGTGAGGCAGAGAGTGACACAATACAAGACTGAAGTGATAAACAACTGCCAGTTGATACACTTGTAAGAATCTATGTTAATGAATTTAGATTTTATCCGAACAATAATGGACATTGAAGAAGTTTATGCAGGGGAATGGCATTTTTATATGTATATTTTTCAACAAAGCATTCTGTTGATATAATTAGAATATTATAAATTTTCAAACCCTTGATAAAATAATGAATCTGAGAAATGATCATCAATGGCAGTGGGTATTATGTACACAGCACTGTCTATGACATATTTATCTTAATATAAATATTGAATCTAAATTAGATCAAACCTCTAGATCTAACTATGAATTTATAGGAAACGCAGGAAGACAGAAAACAAGATCAATACACCACAGAGATACAATCAAGATTGTTTAGAGATCAGTGGTGACCATGAATATATAGTGTTAGCAACATGTTTAGTTGTAAAATTTTCATCATTAGTGCTTAGCGGTATGAGTATGGTAAAAACAGAAATATTTGACATTTAAAAACAAAAAATGTCGAGGGTCCAAATCAAGTTTTATTTACCTAAGTTATAATTTCCCTTTATCTCCCAAGGATTTTGTGAGTAAAAACAAGGTAATACATTAAAAGAACTTTAAGATCTTTGGAAGGAATGTCCTTATTAAATACAGAGTGATACTACCATGATTATCACATAAAATTAAGCTATTTGAGATGTTTTTTATGTTGTTTTTTGTTTGACTCTTGCATTACATGCCATTGATTTCCCTTTGATCCATCTCCTCATGATTAACTTAGGTACGATTTTCCTAAGGCATGATATTATCCTGTCAGTTTAAGAAACTTCAGAGTAAATCAAAACCCGATGATGCCTGTGATCACAAAATAACAAACATGTCAAAATAGAAGTGTCGTTTTAAAAAAATTTAATAGCAACTTGTATCTTCCATCAAAATCCACTCAAGGAATTTCCAAATATCAACTAGTTTATAGTTAGGAAGTGGATTTCATTTGAAAGTTAAATGTGTATTTGAATGAAAATGTATTCTGTATTTTAAAAGTACCTTTTTTGTGATACAGTCTAATGTTTATTTTTATGTTATGGCAGGTACACTTGCATTTTCAAAATTTAAAACATATAAAAAGTGGTTAAGAACTAACATTTGTATCAATAGTTGATAAATCTCTAAGATTTTTTATTATACAGCAGAGTACAATGGTTGTGCTAATGCCAACAGGGCACCATGAAATTTAGTCTAAAAATATCACTAGGCTTTATACAAGCAACAACGTATACTGCTGGTTTTAGAATTTCAGGACATGGTCTGCTTCTAATACTAAGCAGTCTTTTACTATTTTTAATGTTGTGCATTTTTATGGTATTTAGTTTGGGAAATGTTTTAAAATATGGACCTATAATGCAAAGGTATTACATGCAGTACCCTTCTGGGTTTGATTCTGTTGTCCTCAATGAACTCATGCAGAACCTTTCTGTTTGCTGGGAAGATGACTCAATCATCATGTCCTCTATTGTTAACACTATGACCTTTGTAAGTGTAAAATAAGTTAAAGATGGGGGAGTATTTGATTTCAGAGAAATGAGATTAGATTGGTTTAGGTTACAGACTTATACTAGTGTCTCTAAGACTTCACTTGGCCTTTCAGATCACAGAGAACTTGGAAACATGATGAATACAATAATTTTTTCATACCAAAAATAGATTATTTGGTGGAAATGTTGCTTAAAACATCAAAGCTCTACATATTTTGTTTTTATAGTCATGCTCTTGAGAAGTTGCTTTAATAGTGTTTGGAGTTACTTTCTCAGTCAAGATACTGAACTGCATTTTCACTACATTGCACTCATTTTATCAGTTGCATTCATGAACTGTGTGCAGCAGAGTTACATCATATTGGAGAATGTAGTCTTCCCTTATGTAATATATTTCTAGATGAAAAGGCAAAACAAGCTTGAAATATCATCACAGATATTTGCACAGAACAGTGTACTCTTAGTGACCAGTTGCCGCCCAAGTATTATGCCAAAACCACCAGTCAAGCAGTGAATAAGAAATCAACAAAACAAAACAAAATAGACTAGTAAGAAAGGGTAACCTGAAAGGGAGAAACCAGGCATTAAGAACATGAAGAAAAACAGGCTGGTTGTGACCAAACTTGACAAATTGCACACTGCACTTTCTAAATTGTGTCTCAAACACGATGGTATGGAAACATACCTTTACTCCATGAGAATATTTGACTTCCCATCTGGAAATCCTCTTTACTAAGTCAATTGTTGGGATGATTATGTATAATTGAGCCACACACAAAATGCAAAACCATCAGAGATTCTAACAGGTGTAAGAGCACACATGACCATACTCCAGCCAATATAAAACTACATGTAGATTGATATTATAAGAGTATTCAATGATGTTCTTCTTCAACAAACACAACATTTGGGCAGCTATGGAGAGCCAATCATTACGAGTCTTTACACAAATTGGTATTTGGAAACTTTGTTAAGATAAGTCAGCTATGCTCATATAGCTTATTTCCCTGCAATTAAAGCATTTGTGACACTACCTACAGAAAATGAATTAACATTCAATGCAGAGAAATATTCTGACATATCTGAAATGAGGTCATTATTAGAACTGCTAGGCCCATATGGTATGAAGTTCTTAAGTGAAAGCCTTATGTGGCATATTTCATCACAAGTTGCTAAACTTAAGAAATTTGTGGAGAATGTTGATGTGTTAACACAAATGTGGACCAGCTTTGACAAACCAGACCACATGGCTGCACTCTTTAAAAGATTATCATCTGTTGACCGTCTTTATTTTGAACCTAACACTGTTGTTAGACCCTAGAGATTTAAAGATGGATAAGACAAATTCCCTTTATGTCTTCAAGGAGCTCATGAATTTGAAGCATGAATGAAGACAGGAGTAGAGAGTCAACATATGAAGAGTTTTATGTCCTAAGTTAATGGAGTTTGAATTTGAACATGTGGTCAAACCAAAACCACCAAATGATTTTCATTAGGGAAGTGACATGTCAGATTTCTGTTAAAGTCACATGGCAGGGTAGCAAAGGGGCTAGAGGAGAATAAGTTATAAGAAGACAAGGAGGCCGGGCGCGGTGGCTCACGCCTGTAATCCCAGCACTTTGGGAGGCCGAGGCGGGCGGATCACGAGGTCAGGAGATCGAGACCATCCCGGCTAAAACGGTGAAACCCCGTCTCTACTAAAAATACAAAAAATTAGCCGGGCGTAGTGGCGGGCGCCTGTAGTCCCAGCTACTTGGGAGGCTGAGGCAGGAGAATGGCGTGAACCCGGGAGGCGGAGCTTGCAGTGAGCCGAGATCCCGCCACTGCACTCCAGCCTGGGCGACAGAGCGAGACTCCGTCTCAAAAAAAAAAAAAAAAAAAAAAAAAAAGAAGACAAGGAGTTCACATTTCTTGAGTGCTCACTATGTGCAAGGTATAGTATTAAATGTTTTATATTCATAATTTCCCCTTATCACTACAATAATACTTACTGACAAGCATTATTATCTCCATTTTACAGCTGAGGAAGATAAGGTTTAAAGAGGTTAATTTCCCTACAGTCACAACTGCAGTAAAATATATTGTTGGTATCTGAATATGAACTGACTTCAAGGTCCATGCTTTTCTTCTGAGCTATGCTATTAATTAGGAAGCACTGTATCAGTCTAGAAATGAATGATGATGAAGGCCTGAACCAAGATAGTGGCAGTGGAATGAAAGGAAAGGGAAAATGTGAGAAATATTGAAGGGATATAATTGGCAAGAAGACTTGGTTATTGTGCAGATTTGGAAGGGGGAGAGCAAGGAAGAGTGAGGTGTCAGGAACTTCTTTCATGTTTTAGCTTGCCTAAATGAGTGGGTGGATGATGATGTTATTAACTTAAATTGAAAAAGAACAAATGGAAATAGCAATGTTGGAGATACAGGACAAAATGGGAATAATTGATGGAATGAAGTGATGGAGGAGATGGGAAACGGTACAGGTGGATGGGTTACATCAGTTGCTTTTTCTGTAATGGGAGGAGAGAGGCTAAGATTATGTACAGATATAAATGAGCGTTGGGGAGGAAATAATATTGAGAGATTTTAGACTCAATGACTTCTGCATTATCTCTGAAAAAAGGAAGTGAAAGCAGGAGGCAAAGAAGAGGAAGTGAACTTGAAAAGCACAGCATTAAAAGTTTGAATTAACCACTGTGGGGAATGAAAGAGGGAACGGATCACCATTACCTAATAAAATTACAAAGCATTTTTTTTTCTTCACCATCATATGATACCCCTACTTTATTTTTTTTCTATTTTTGAAATTAAAGTTATCATAAATCTTAAATGAGATAATTGATATCATTATTCATCCATAGGGTCAGCATTCTTTGTTTTGCAAAGTGGTGGGAACAAAGTACATTCTCATCAAAAGCATACAAGCTTTTGTTTGAATTTTCTTGTCTGGTTCTAATATAAAGGCTACATTGGCCTTGCAAAATAAATTAGGAGGGTTTTGCCTTTGGTATTTTATGGAAGACTTTGAGTAAGACTGAAATAATCTGTTTCTTGGCATTTATCTGGAAACTTGTTAGAGCCTGGTCCTGGTGTTTTCTTCATTGGAAGTTTTTTTTTAATGTTTTTGTTTTGTTTTACTATAAGCCAAATTTATTTAATAGATAGAGGGTTATTCAGGTTTTTGATTTCTCCTTGAGTCACTTCTGATAAATTATATTTTTCTAGAAATTTACTCATTCATTTAAGTTTTCAAATTTATTATAAAAAATTGTGCACTGTTTAATATCAACATCTATAGTTATCCTCTTTTCACTCCTAATATTGTTGCCCTTTCTCTCTCTCTTTTTTCCTTGATTAATTCCATTAGAAATTTTTCATTTAAAAAAATTTTCAAAGAAACAACTTATATCTTTGTTGGTCTTTATTGTACATTTGTTTTCTAATTTATTAAATACTACTCTTCATTTTCCTTTGATTTAGTTATTTTTTTGAAGTTTTCGATATGAATAATTTAATTGTTATTTTCAACCTTTATTCTTTCATAATATACCACTTTAAGACTATAACATGTCTTCCAAATACCACTTTAAGTGAATCCTGTCTGTTTGAATGCTTAATGTTGTTGTGATCATTTAGTTGTATTTTCTCATTTCCATTATAAAGTCTTCGTTGACCTATGAGCTGTTTAGAATTTGTTTGTCTTTAGTTGCTGATAAATGAGTTTTTCTTGTTATATATCAAAATGTTTGTGATTTTTCACTTACTTATGGAATAGTCAAAGAATGTTGTTCATATGATAACATTCCTTTCAAATTTGTTGAAGCTATCCTCACAGCCTAGCTTGTGGTTAGTTTTCTTAAATGTGACTTGTATGCTTACAAAAAATGTATAGTGTACACCTGTTGGGTACAATATCCTATTTATGTCCATTAGATCAAGCTTGTGAATTGTATGATTCAAATCTTCCACATCCCATTAATTTTTAATATATTCAAATTGTCAATTACTGAAAGGCTCATTTTGAAAGCCCTCATAATGATGATATATTATTCAACTTCTCTCTGTAAATCTGTTATTGTTTTATGTTTTGGGAGCTATCTTACTTCATTAAAAGAAGTTTAGAATTGCTTTATTTTTCTGGAAAATTGAACCTTTCTTATTATGTAAAGACCATCTTTATCTTTGGTACAAGGTTTTTTTTTGTTTTTTTTGTTCTTTTTAATTAAAGTCTGTTTTATCTGGTACTAATGTATCTATAGCCACTTTATTTGAGTTACAATTGCATAGTATAACGTTTTCATCTATTAACATTAATATTTCTGTATACTCTATTAAAAGGTGTATAAATGGATATTTTTAAGAGTCCATGTAACAATCTTTGTCTTTTAGCTTGAGAGTTTAGTCCATTTACATTTATAGTACCTACTGAGTAATTGAATGTATATAAATTATCTTATGTATTCTCTATTTGTACTATTTTTTCTATTTCCTTTGTTTCTACTTGTAACATTTTGGATTGATTCATTTAAAAAATTAGTGGCTACTTAGTTATTTTAACATGTTTATTTCAGCCAAGCAAATTGTAAAATTGTCAGCATTGTTACCCTCCACCTAAACTACACGAAGACTTCAGAATGCTTCACTTGTCATTGTCACCCTTCCAATGCTACATAACTGCAGCAATAGTAAAAACACTTGTATTTTCTTTCTTACTTTATTGGAAATGTGTCTAGTGATTTTCTGCTAAAACTTGTGATACCCTTTATCAAACTATAAAAGTATCTTTGTATTCAAATAACCTAATTTTTATCACATACTTTTTTTGCTTCATTGAAATAGTAATGACTGCATGGACTGTTGAGAAAGGCTCTGAGGCTGACTCTGGGCCTAGTTAGAAAAAGTGGAATATCTGACTATTGTGGCCTGCCATGGGCATTTGGGGGACAGAATGGCAGCATGTGTGCCATGTCACCTTGGAAAGCATAAGTGACAAAATGAAATGTAACACAGAGAAAGCATGGCTTGATTTTGGATGGGTAAGAGAGCAAAGATATGTGCAGAGTAGTAAGCCCTTTGGGGAGAATAAGAGGAATAGCCTTGTGGGCATCCTCAACAGCTAGGAGATTAACAAAGATACTAGATCATGGGGAAAGTAGGTAATGGGCAAGGTAGGTAATTTTCAAAGACAAATTATTTGTACTTGATTTTTTTCTTATGGCTACCCTTAAAAGGAAAAAATAAGTTGCACTTTTCTCTTGTGGCAGCTCCTACACCCCTTTCTCTCTACTCCTTAACAAGGAAATCAGCAAATCACCTGCCACTTCATATTATCTGTTTTATTGCTCCCTTCCATTAGTGTGGATGCTAGACACTTGGATGTGGTGCATATTAGAAGTAATACAGGAGGATATTACATACACGCTAGTCAGCAGCCAAAATCACAATCTCATTTGCTAGTGAATTTGCAAATAACCAGTCTTTCAGGTACTTCTCTAATTTTCACCAAATGTTGCACTTTTGAAAGCTTCATTAATCTAGCCCCATTAGGATGGGTAGGGTGAATGAGTTTATGGCTGTAGAAGGTGAAGTAGCAGAATTTGCAGCTCTTAAGAACATTGCTACCATTCATTTATGATAATGGTGTCTAAGTGGCATTAAAATTCCCCTACAAAATATTATTTGGAGTAAAAGAGCACCAAATACATGGTGAATTTGATAATAGAATACTTAAAACCCAACACATGCTTATTTACTGAAATTAATGGCTCTGAAATGACAAGCATGTGATTTAGTCTTAGAATCATGGTATGCATAGCTCTAGCATTGCAGGCAAGGGAGAAGCTAAAAGCAAATAAGTGGCATTCTAGAGGGAAAGAAACCATATGTATTCAAAGGAGAAATATGATTGAAAAAGTCATTAGTACCATAAGGAATTTTCAGCCATAGTTGACCTTTTCCTGAAATGAGAATGCTTTATTTTATGGTGAGAAATATTCTGTTTAGAAAAAGCAAACATTGGTGTTTGGGGAAGAATATTTCGGGTAGCCACTTTGAGTCAAGATGAGGTTTGATGACCCAGAACCATAACCCGTGGGCTTGGATTTTTGTTTATGATCAATAGATATAACATCAAAGAGATGTTCATTGCAAATATCTTATCATTTTTGTCCTTCATTTTCATTTCATTTTGTCCTTCCTTTGATTCACCATTTGTCTTCAGTTTTGTCTGCCCTGCTGCTAGAAATGACTGCTGGGGAAATAAAGCATGAAATAGGTAACCTCATGTGGGCCAAGAATTTTTCTTTTCCTTGATAGGTCCATTTTTATATATCAATTTGTACAGGTGCATCCTGTGACCAAAGGCTAAAAGAGTAGTACATACTGTCTAGAGCAATAGATTTTATGAAGGGAGCATTTTGCATACAAACCAATACAACTGGCAGATTTAATCAAGTTTTCTATGTGATTAGGCTTTGAAAGCTGTAGCCGGTTCCGATAGTAAAGAAATACTGTTTGGAAACAAATTACTACTCTTGTCTTTATGACATGTATCAATTTACACACAAGCTGCATAAATCACTTTTTATATTTTTCTATAATGGAAAAATACTGCAGGGCATTTTAATAACCAATAAATTATATGTTTAATGAACCAGACCAAAATATAAATGGTATGAGTCAAATACCCCTAAGAGTGAGGACTGGATATTGACTTGATAGAAATTCTGGTCACATAGACTATAGACTGTTAGATCCACCACAGTTCAAGAGAGTCAGTGCTTATACTTCATCTATGATCATCCACGTGAAAATTCTTCTTGGGACTTTATAACTTATTTTCATACCTCACCTATCTACTGCTTATATTATGCTCCAGAGAAATCAGGAGTGAAAATAGACAGTTTTACCTTTGACCTTTTATAAGTATTACTCCAATAATTTATACAGTAACTCTATTGCGCCTGGTGAATTAGAGAAAGCTTTTCTCAATCACTTATGTAAAGCAACTACACACATTTGACATCACATTTGAAACATGTGAGAGTCCACTGATAAAGGGATGTAGTCACAGAACCAACAAAATACCCTTTTAGTTTTCAGACACATGAACGGAGACCCTAACAAGGTGAGAGAAATTGGATGAGAGAAACACATGAAACTTGAGTTGTTGCAATAGGAGTTTCCAAGTAAATACGGGATACTTCATTGCTTCCTAATCTTCTCATATTTAGGATCACATATGTCCATGCATTAAAACAATAGAGAAGTAAGTATATGTTACCTAACATGTATTGATGTTATTTTTGTTTCTTATTAAAGAACAGTGAGGCGGTATAGTTTTAAAGAAAACTGGGTGGGAAGACAAAGGACATGGGGTTTGCAAACCCCTAATGAAGGTGCCATTAACTAACTAGCTGTAAAATTCTGGCCAAATCACTTCTCTTGAGCTTCCATTTTCTCATGTATAAAATGAGGGAGTCAGATAAGATGATTACTAAGTTTTTTTTTTTCTTATCTATTTGGTATTGTTAAAGGCCTCAGAGTTTGCATATGAAATTTAGTAAAGTTGTATCCTGTTGTATAAAATAGTCATATTACTGAAACATTGTGTATTTTAATTTCTTTCTTTACTTTGTGGGGAGGGAGCCAATTGTATTCTGAGCACAATGGAGAATACTGTTACTTAAAGGAAACCTGTGATGATTGTTTTTAGTATATGTGCTGTGGAAGCCAGCACTCTGTGATGATTCTTTGTAAAGCAAATAAACCTTTGTAATGCAAATGTTTATATTCTAATGGTTCTATTTTCAAGTTTCCATTTTAATATATCAAGCTCATTTGCTCCAAAGTACAACTAAACTTTACATATTAATGAAAATTCACATCTATATATATATATATATATATATATATTTATCATTTTTAGCCTAGAGGAAAAATTTTCTTCCTCTTCTGTATTCTTAAATATTTACTGACAGTGCCACTTATTTAGCTATATGCTCTAAAAATAATTGTCATGTATTGGTTAGGAACTCAGTCTCTGGAGTAAGACAGCTTGGGTTTTAAGTCTGGTTCTGTTGCTTACTAGCTGGGCAGCTTTGACCAAAATGCTCCGTGTTACCAAGCCTGTTTCCTCATCTGTAAAAATAACATAACAGGAGTAGGGCTCGCAAGATGGCCGATAAGAACAGCTCTGGTCTGCAGCTCCCAGCGAGATCAATGCAGAAGGTGGGTGATTTCTGCATTTCCAACTGAGGTACCCGGATCATCTCATTGGGTCTGGTTAGACAGTGGGTGCAGCCCACGGAGAGCAAGCCGAAGGAGGGTGGGGCATTGCCTCACCTGGGAAGCACAAGGGATCAGGGAGCTCCCTTCCCTAGCCAATGGAAGCCATGAGGGACTGTGCCATGAGGAATGGTGCAATCCAGCCCAGATACTATGCTTTTGCCACGGTCCTCGCAACCCACAGACCAGGAGATTCCCTCTGCTGGCTACACCCCCCAGGGCCCTGGGTTTGAAGCACAAAACTGAGTGACCATTTGGGCAGACACTGAACTAGCTGCAGGAGTTTTTTTTCATACCCCAGTGGTGCTTGGAACACCAGCGAGACAGAACCATTTACTCCCCTGGAAAGGGGGCTGAAGCCAGGGAGCCAAGTGGTCTAGCTCAGCGGATCCCACCCCTATGGAGTCCAGCAAGCTAGGATCCACTGGCTTGAAATTCTTGCTGCCAGCATTGCAGTCTAAAGATGACCTGGGACGCTTGAGCTTGGTGGGGTGAGGGGCGTCCGCCATGACTGAGGCTTGCATAGGCGGTTTTCCCCTCGTAGTGTAAACAGAGCCGCCTTGAAGTTCAAACTGGGCTGAGCCCACCGCAGCTTGACAAAGCCACTGTAGCCTCTCTAGATTCCTCCTCTCTGGGCAGGGCATCTCAGAAAGAAAGGCAGCAGCCGCAGTCAGGGGTTTATAGATAAAACTCCCCTCTCCCTGGGACAGAGCACTTGGGGGAAGGGGTGGCTGTGGGTGCAGCTTCCGCAGACTTAAATGCTCCTGCCTGCTGGCTCTGAAGAGAGAAGCAGATCTCCCAGCACAGTGCTCAAGCTCTGCTAAGGGACACTCTGCCTCCTCAAGTGGGTCCCTGACCCCTGTGCTTCCTGACTGGGAGACACCTTCCAGCAGGGTTGGACAGACACCTCGTACAGGACAGCGTCGGCTGGCATCTGGAGGGTGCCCCTCTGTGATGAAGCTTCCAGACGAAGGAACAGGCAGCAATCTTTGCTGTTCTGCAGCCTCTGCTGGTGATACCCAGGCAAATAGGGTCTGGAGTGGGCCTCCAGCACACTCTAGCAGACCTGTAGCAGACAGGCCTGTTAGAAGGAAAACTAACAAACAGAAAGAAATTGCATCAGCATCACCAAAAAGGACATCCACACAGAAACCCCATCCAAAGGTCACCAACATGAAAGACCAAAGGTAGAAAAATCCACGGAGATGAGGAAAAACCAGCATAAAAATGCTGGAAATTCCAAAAACCAGAATGCCTCTTTTCCAAAGGATAACAAGTCCTCACTAGTAAGGGAACAAAACTGGATGGAGAATGAGTTTAACAAACTGACAGAAGTAGGCTTCAGAAGGTGGGTAATAACAAACTCCTCTGAGCTAAAGGAGCATGTTCTAACTCAATGCAAGGAAGCTAAGAACCTAGAAAAAAGGTTAGAGGAATTGCTAACTAGATAACCAGTTTAGAGAACATAAATGACCTGATGGAGCTGAAAAACACAGCATGAGAACTTCATGAAGCACACAAAAGTATCAATAGCCAAATCAATCAAGCGGAAGAAAGTATATCAGAGCTAGAAGATCAACTTAATGAAATAATGCACGAAGAGAAGATTGGAGAAAAAATGAATGAAAAGGAATGAACAAAACCTCCAAGAAATATGGGACTATGTGAAAAGACCGAACCTACATTTCATTGGTATACCTGAATAATGACAGGGAGAATGGAACAAAGTTGGAAAACACTCTTCAGGATATTATCCAGGAGAACTTCCCCAACCTAGCAAGACAGGCCAACATTCAAATTTAGGAAATACAGAGAACACCACAAAGATACTCTTCAAGAAGAGCAATCCCAAGATACATAATTGTCAGATTCACCAAGGTTGAAATGAAGGAAAAAATGTTAACAGCAGCCAGAGAGAAAGCTTGGGTTACCCACAAAGGGAAACCCATCAGACTAACAGCAGATCTTTCTGCAGAAACCCTACAAGCCAGAAGGGAGTAGGTGCCAATATTCAACATTCCTTTTTTTTTTTTCTTTTTGAGACGGAGTCTCGCTCTGTCGCCCACGCTGGAGTGCAGCGGCATGATCTTGGCTTACTGCAAGCTCCACCACCCGGGTTCATGCCACTCTCCTGCCTTAGCCTCCCGAGTAGCTGGGACTACAGGCGCCCACCACCACGCCCGGCTAATTTTTTGTATTTTTTTAGTAGAGATCGGGTTTCACCATGTTAGCCAGGATGGTCTTGATATCCTGACCTCGGGATCCACCTGCCTTGGCCTCCTAAACTGCTGGGATTACAGGTTAACATTCTTAAAGAAAAGAATTTTCAACCCAGAATTTCATATCCAGCCACACTAAGCTTCAAAAGTGAAGGAGAAATAAAATCCTTTACAGACAAGCAAATGCTGAGAGACTTTGTCACCACCAGGCCTGCCTTACAAGAGCTCCTAAAGGAAGCACTAAATATGGAAAGGAAAAACCAGTGTCAGCCACTGAAAAACATACAAAATTGTAAAGACCATCAACACTATGAAGAAACTACATCAACTAATGGGCAAAATAACCAGCCAGCACCATAATGACAGGATCAAACACACATAACAATATTAAACTTAAATGTAAATGGGCCAAATGCCCCAATTAAAAGACAGAGACTGGCAAATTGAATAAAGAGTCAAGACTCATCAGTGTGCGGTATTCAGGAGACCCATCCGATGTGCAAAGACACACATAGACTCAAAATAAAGGGATGGAGGAATATTTACCAAGCAAATGGAAAGCAAAAAAAGCAGGGGTTGCAATCCTAGTCTCTGATAAAACAGACTTTAAACCAACAAAGATCAAAAAAGACAAAGAAGGGCATTACATAATGGTAAAGGGATCAATGCAACAAGAAGAGCTAACTATCCTAAATATATATGCACCCAATACAGGAGAACCCAGATTCATAAAGCAAGTCCTTAGGAACATATAAAGAGACTTAGACTCCCACACAATAATAGTGGGAGACTTTAACACCCCACTGTCAATATTAGACAGATCAACGAGACAGAAAATTAACAAGGATATTCAGGACTGGAACTCAGCTCTGGACCAAGCGGACCTAATAGACATCTACAGACCTCTCCACTCCAAATCAATAGAATATACATTCTTCTCAGCACCACTTCACACTTATTCTAAAAATGACCACATAATTCAAAGTAAAACACTCCTCAGCAAATGCAAAAGAATGGAAGTCATAACAAACAGTCTCTCAGACCACAATGCAATCAAATTAGAACTCAGGATTAAGAAACTCACTCAAAACTGCATAACTACGTGGAGACTGAACAACTTGTGCCTGTATGACTACTGGGTAAATAATGAAATTAAGGCAGAAGTAAATAAGTTCTTTAAAACCAATGAGAACAAAGATACAACCTATCACAATCTGTGGAACACAGCTAAAGAAGTGTTTAGAGGGAAATTAATAGTACTAAATGTCCACAGGAGAAAGCAAGAAAGATCTAAAATTGACAGCATAACATCACAATTAAAAGAACTAGAGAAGCAACAGCAAACAAATTCAAAAGCTAGCAGAAGACAAGAAATAACTAAGATCAGAGCAGAACTGAAGGAGATACAGACGCAAAAAGCCCTGCAAAAAATCAGTGAATCCAGGAGCTGGTTTTTTGAAAAGATCAACGAAAGTGATAGACCGCTAGCAAGACTAATAAAGAGGAAAAGAGAGAAGACTCAAATAGACGCTATAAAAAATGATAAATAGGATATCACCACCAATCTCACAGAAATACAAACTACCATCAGAGAATACTATAAACACCTCTATGCAAATAAACTAGAAAATCTAGAAGAAATGGATAAATTCCTGGACACATACACCCTCCCAGGATTAAACCAGGAAGAAGCTAAATCCCTGAATAGACCAATAACAAGTTCTGAAATTGAGGCAGTAAGTAATAGCCTACCACCCAAAAAAAGCCCCAGATCAGACAGATTCACAGCCAAATTCTACCAAAGGTACAAAGAAGAGCTGGTACCACTCCTTCTGAAACTATTCCAAACAATAGAAAAAGAGGGACTTCTCCTTAACTCATTTTATGAGGCCAGCATCATCCTGATAGCAAAACCTGGCAGAGACACAACAAAAAAAGAAAATGTCAGACCAATATCCCTGATGAACATCAATGCAAAAATCATCAATAAAATACTGGCAATCCAAATCCAGCAGTGTATCAAAAAGCTTATCCACCACAATCAAGTTGGCTTCATCGCTGGGATGCAAGGCTAGTTCAACATATGCAAATCAATAAACATAACCCATCACATAAACAGAACCAGTGACAAAAACCTCAATAGATGCAGAAAAGACCTTCAACAAAATTCAACAGCCCTTCATGCTAAAAACTCTCAATAAACTAGGTATTGATGGAACGTATCTCAAAATAATAAGAGCACTTTATGACAATCCCACAGCCAATATCATACTGAATGGGCAAAAGCTGAAGGCATTCCCTTTGAAAACTGGCACAAGACAAGGATGCCCTCCTCACCACTTCTATTCAACATAGTGTTGGAAGTTCTGGCCAGGGCAATCAGGCAAGAGAAAGAAATAAAGGGTATTCAAATAGGAAGAGAGGAACTCAAATTGCCTCTGTTTGTAGATTACATGATTGTATATTTAGAAAACCCCATTGTCTCAGCCCCAAATCTCCTTAAGCTGATAAGCAACTTCAGCAAAGTTTCAGGATACAAAATCAATGTGCAAAAATCACAAGCATTCTTATACACCAATAACAGACAAACAGAGAGCCAAATCATGAGTGAACTCCCATTCACAACTGCTTCAAAGACAATAAAATACCTAGGAATACAACTTACAAGGGATGTGAAGGAGCTCTTCAAGAGGAACTACAAACCACTATTCAACGAAATAAGAAAGGGCACAAACAAATGGAAAAACATTGCATGCATGGATAGGAAGAATCAATATTGTGAAAATGGCCATATTGCCCAAAGTAATTTATAGATTCAATGCTATCCCCATCAAGCTACCATTGACCTTCTTACCAGAAATGGAAAAAAATTTCATATGGAAACAAAAAAGAGCCCATATAGCCAAGACTGGAATAAACGAAGACTGGACTTGACTAAGCAAGAATAAGCAAAAAGAACAAAACTGGAGGCATCATGCTACCTGACTTCAAACTATACTATGAGTCTACAGTAACCAAAACAGCATGGTATTGGTACAAAAACAGATATATAGACCAATGGAACAGAACAGAGGCCTCAGAAATAACACCACACATGTAAAACCATCTGATCTTTAACAAGCCTGACAAAAACAAGCAATGGGGAAAGAATTTCCTATTTAATAAATGGTGCTGGGACAACTGGCTAGCCACAAGCAGAAAACTGAAACTGGACCCCTTCCTTACATCTTATACAAAAATTAACTCAAGATAGATTAAGGACTTAAATGTAAGACCTAAAACCATAAAAACCCTAGAAGAAAACCTAGGCAATACCATTCAGGACATAGGTATGGGCAAAGACTTCATGACTAAAATACCAAAAGCAATGGCAACAAAAGCCAAAATTGACAAATGGGATCTAATCAAACTGAAGAGCTTCTGCACAGCAAAAGAAACTATCATCAGAGTGAACAGACAACCTTCAGAATGGGAGAAAAATTTTGCAATCTATCCATCTGTCAAAGGGCTAATATCCAGAATCTACAAAGAACTTAAACAGATTTACAAGAAAAAAACAACCCTATTAAAAAGTGGGCAAAGGATATGATCAGACACTTCTCAAAAGAAGACATTTATGCAGCCAACAGACGTATAAACAAAAGCTCATCATCACTGGTCATTAGAGAAATGCAAATCCAAACCACAATGAGATACCATCTCACGCCAGTTAGAATGGCGATCATTAAAAAGCCAGGAAACAGAGTTGGGTCCAAGATGGCCAAGTAGGAACAGCTCCAGTCTGCAGCTCCCAGCATGATCGACACAGAAGATGGGTGATTTCTGTATTTCCAAATGAGGTACCTGGTTCATCTCATTAGGACTGATTGGACAGTGGGTGCCGCTCATGGAGGGCGAGCCGAAGCAGGGCGGGGCATTGCCTCACCCAGGAAGCACAAGGGGTCAGAATATTTCCCTTTCCTAGCCAAGGGAAGCTGTGACAGAGTACCTGGAAAATCGGGATGCTCCCGCCCAAATACTGTGCTTTTCCAAAGGTCTTAGCAAGCGGCAGACAAAGTGATTCTCTCCCATGCCTAGCTAGGCAGCTTCCACGCCCACGGAGCCTTGCTCATTGCTAGCGCAGCAGTCTGAGATTGATCTGCGAGATGGCAACCTGGCTGGGGGAGGGGTGTCTGCCATTGCTGAGGCTTGAGTAGGTAAACAAAGCAGCCGGGAAGCTTGAACTGGGCAGAGCCCACCACAGCTCAACAAGGCCTACTGCCTTGAGACTCCACCTCTGTGGGTAGGGCATAACTGAACAAAAGGCAGCAGACAACTTCTGCAGACTTAAACGTCCCTGTCTGACAGCTCTGAAGAGAGCAGTGGTTCTCCCAGCACAGCATTTGAGCTCTGAGAGTGGACAGACTACCTCCTCAAGTGGGTCCCTGAACCCCGTGTAGCCTAATTGGGAGACATCTCCCAGTAGGGGCCGAGAGACACCTCATATAGGTGGCTGCCCCTCTGGAACAAAGCTTCCAGAGGAAGGATCAGGCAGCAATATTTGCTGTTCTGCAATATTTGCTTTTCTGCAGCCTCCGTTGGTGAAACCCAGGCAAACAAGGTCTGGAGTGGAACTCCAGCAAACTCCAACAGACCTGTAACTGAGGGACCTCATTGTTAGAAGGAAAACTAACAAACAGAAAGGAATAGCATCAACATCAACAAAAAGGTCATCTACGACAAAACCCCATCTGTAGGTCATCAACGTCAAAGACCAAAGGTAGATAAAACCACAAAGATGGGGAGAAATGAGAGCAGAAAAACTGAACATTCTAAAAATCAGAGTGCCTCTTCTCTTCCAAAGGATCGCAGGTCCTCACCAGCAACAGAACAAAGCTGGATGGAGAATGACTTTGACGAGTTGACAGAAGCAGGCTTCAGAAGGTCGGTAATAACAAACTTCTCTGAGCTAAAGAAGGATGTTCGAACCCATTACAAGGAAGCTAAAAACCTTGAAAAAAGATTAGATGAATGGCTAACTAGAATAAACAGTGTAGAGAAGACATTAAATGACCTGATGGAGCTGAAAACCATGGCACAAGAACTTCATGATGCATACACAAGCTTCAATAGCCAATTTGATCAAGTGGAAGAAAGGGTATCAGTGATTGAAGATCAAATTAATGAAATAAAGAGAGAAAACAAGGTTAGAGAAAAAAGAGTAAAAAGAAACGAACAAAGCCTCCAAGAAATATGGGACTATGTGAAAAGACCAAATTTATGTCTGATTGGTGTACCTGAAAGTGATGGGGAGAATGGAACCAAGTTGGAAAGCACTCTTCAGGATATTATCCAGGAGAACTTCCCCAACCTAGCAAGACAGGCCAACATTCAAATTCAGGAAATACAGAGAACACCACAAAGATACTCCTCGAGAAGAGCAACCCCAAGACACATAATTGTCAGATTCACCAAGGTTGAAATGAAAGAAAAAGTGTTAAGGGCAGCCAGAGAGAAAGGCTGAGTTACCCACAAAGGGAAGTCCATCAGACTAACAGCGGATCTTTCTGCAGAAACCCCACAAGCCAGAAGAGAGTGGGGGCCAATATTCAACATTTTTAAAGAAAAGAATTTTCAACCCAGAATTTCATATCCAGCCAAACTAAGCTTCATAAGTGAAGGAGAAATAAAATCCTTTACAGACAAGCAAATGCTGAGAGATTTTGTCACCACCAGGCCTGCCTTACAAGAGCTCCTGAAGGAAGCACTAAACATGGAAAGAAACAACTGGTACCAGCCACTCTAAAAACAGGCCAAATTGTAAAGACCATCGATGCTATGAGGAAACTGCATCAATTAACGGGCAAAATAATAAGCGAACATCATAATGACAAGAACAAATTCACACATAACAATATTAACTTTAAATGTAAATGGGCTAAATGCCCCAGTTAAAAGACACATACTGGCAAATTGGATAAAGAGTCAAGACCCATCAGTGAGCTGTATTCAGGAGACCCATCTCATGTGCAAAGACGCACATAGGCTCAAAATAAAGGGATGGAGGAAGATCTACCAAGCAAATGGAAAGCAAAAAAAAAAAAAGCAGGAGTTGCAATCCTAGTCTCTGATAAAACAGACTTTAAACCAACAAAGGTCAAAAGAGACAAAGAAGGTCATTACATAATGGTAAAGGGATCAATTCAACAAGCAGAGCTAACTACTCTAAATATATATGCAGCCAACACAGGAGCACACAGATTCATAAAGCACATCCTTAGAGACCTACAAAGAGACTTAGACTCCCACACAATAGGAATGGGAGTCTTTAACACCCCACTGTCAATATGAGACAGATCAATGAGAGAGAAGGTTAACAAGGATATCCAGGACCTGAACTCAGCTCTGCAACAAGTGGACCTAATAGATATCTACAGAACTCTCCACCCCAAGTCAACAGAATATGCATTCTTCTCAGCACCACATTGCACTTATTCTAAAATTGACCACATAATTGGAAGTAAAGCACTGCTCAGCAAATGTAAAAGAACAGAAATCACAACAGTCTCTCAGACCACAGTGCAATCAAACTAGAACTCAGGATTAAGAAACTCACTCAAAATTGCTCAACTACATGGAAACTGAACAACTTGCTCCTGAATGACTACTGGGTAAATAAAGAAATCAAGGGAGAAATAAAGATGTTGTTTGAAACCAATGAGAAGAAAGATACAACATATCAGAATCTCTGGGACACATTTAAAGCAGTGTGTAGAGGGAAATTTATAGCACTAAATGCCCACAAGAGAAAGCAGGAAAGATCTAAAATCGACACCCTAACATCACAATTAAAAGAACTAGAAAAGCAAGAGCAAACACATTCAAAAGCTAGCAGAAGACAGGAAATAACTAAGATCAGAGCAGAACTGAAGGAGATAGAGACACAAAAAACCCTTCAAAAATCAATGAATCCAGGAGCTGGTTTTTTGAAAAGATCAATGAAATTGATAGACTGCTAGCAAGACTGATGAAGAAGAAAAGAGAGAATACTGAAATAGACACAATAAAAAATGATAAAGGGGATATCACCACGAATCCCACAGAAATACAAATTACCATCAGAGAATACTATAAACACCTCTACACAAATAAACTAGAAAATCTAGAAGAAATGGATAAATTCCTGGACACATACACCCTCCCAAGACTAAACCAGGAAGAAGTTGAATCTCTGAATAGACCAATAACAGGCTCTGAAACTGAGACAATAATTAATAACCTACCAACAAAAAAACGTCCAGGACCAGATGGATTCACAGCTGAATTCTACCAGAGGTAGAAAGAGGAGCGGGCACCATTTCTTCTGAAACTCTTCCAATCAATAGAAAAAGAGGCAATCCTCCCTAACTCATTTTATGAGGCCAACATCCTCCTGATACCAAAGCCCAGAGAGACAGAACAACAAAAGAGAAATTTAGACCAATATCCCTGATGAACACAGATGGGAAAATCCTCAATAAAATGCTGGCAAACCGAATCCAGCAGCTCATCAAAAAGCTTATCCACCACGATCAAGTCAGCTGAATCCGTGGCATGCAAGGCAGGTTCAACATATGCAAATCAATAAACATAATCCATCACATAAACAGAACCGATGACAAAAACCACATGATTTTCTCAATAGATGCAGAAAAGGCCTTTGACAAAATTCAACAGCCCTTCATGTTAAAAACTCTCAATAAGCTAAGTATTGATGGAACATATCTCAAAATAATAAGAGCTCTTTATGACAATCCCACAGCCAATATCATACTGAATGGGCAAAAACTGGAAGCATTCCCTTTGAAAACTGGCACAAGACAAGGGTGCCCTCTCTCACCACTCCTGTTTAACATAGTGTTGGAAGTTCTGGCCAGGGCAATCAGGAAAGAGAAAGAAATAAAGGGTATTCAATTAGGAAAAGAGGAAGTCAAATTGTCCCTGTTTGCAGATGACATGATTGTATATTTAGAAAACCCCATTGTCTCAGCCCCAAATCTCCTTAAGCTGATAAGCAAGTTCAGCAGAGTTTCAGGATACAAAATCAATGTGCAAAAAATCACAAGCATTCCTATCGACCATTAACAGACAAACAGAGAGCCAAATCATGAGTGAACTCCCATTCACAATTGCTTCAAAGAGAATAAAATACCTAGGAATCCAACTTACAAGAGATGTGAAGGAGCTCTTCAAGGGGAACTACAAACCACTGCTCAACGATATAAAAGAGGACACAAACAAATTGAAGAATATTCCATGCTCATGGATAGGAAGAATCAATATCATGAAAATGTCCATACTGCCAAAAGTAATTTATAGATTCAATGCCAACCCCATCAAGCTACCAATGACTTTCTTCACAGAATTGAAAAAAACTACTTTAAAGTTCATATGAAACCAAAAAAGAGCTCGCAATGCCAAGATAATCCTAACCAGAAGGAACAAAGCTGGAGGCATCATGCTACCTGACTTCAAACTATACTACAAGGCTACAGTAACCAAAACAGCATGGTACTGGTTCCAAAACAGATATATAGCCCAAAAGAACAGAAGAGAGGCCTCAGAAATAACACCACACATCTACAACCATCTGATCTTTAACAAACCTGACAAAAAGAAGAAATGGGGAAAGGATTCCCCATTTAATAAATGGTGCCGGGAAAACTGGCTAGCCATATGTAGAAAGCCGAAACTGGATCCCTTCCTTACACTTCATACAAAAATTAACTCGAGGTGGATTAAAGACTTAAATGTTAGACCTAAAACCATAAAAACCCTAGAAGAAAACCTAGGCAATACCATTCAGGACATAAGCGTGGGCAAGGACTTCATGACTAAAACACCAAAAGCAATGGCAACAAAAGCCAAAATTGACAAATGGGATCTAATTAAACTAAAGAGCTTCTACATGGCAAAAGAAACTACCATCGGAGTGAACAGGCAACCTACAGAATGGGAGAAAATTTTCGCAATCTACCCATCTGACAAAGGGCTAATATCCAGAATCTACAAAGAACTCAAACAAATTTACAAGAAAAAAAAAAACCCATCAAAAAGTGGGCAAAGGATATGAACAGACACTTCTCAAAAGGCGACATCTATGCAGCCAACAGACACATGAAAAAATGCTCATCATCACTGGTCATCAGAGAAATGCAAATCAAAACCACAATGAGATACCATCTCACGCCAGTTAGAATGGCGATCATTAAAAAGTCAGGAAACAACAGATGCTGGAGAGGATGTGGAGAAATAGGAAGGCTTTTACACTGTTGGTGGGGGTGTAAATTAGTTCAACCATTGTGGAAGACAGTGTGGTGATTCCTCAAGGATCTAGAAGTAGAATTACCATTTGACCCAGCAATCCCATTACTGGGTATATACCCAAAGGATTATAAATCATTCTACTATAAAGACTCATGCACACATATGTTTATTGCAGCACTATTCACAATAGCAAAGACTTGGAACCAATCCAAATGTCCATCAATGATAGATTGAATTAAGAAAATGTGGCACATATACACCATGGAATACTATGCAGCCATAAAAATGGATGAGTTCATGTCCTTTGCAGGGACATGGATGAAGCTGGAAACCATCATTCCCAGCAAACTATCACAAGGACAGAAAACCAAACACCACATCTTCTCACTCATAGGTGGGAATTGAACAATGAGATCACTTGGACACAGGGTGGGGAATATCACAGACTGGGGCATGTCATGGGGTCGGGGGCTGGGAGAGGGATAGCATTTGGAGAAATACCTAGTGTAAATGATGAGTTAATGGGTGCAGCAAACCAGCATGGCACATGCATACCCATGTATCAAACCTGCACGTTGTGCACATGTACCCTAGAACTTAAAGTATAATAATAAAACACACACACACACACACAGACACACGAACACAAAAATTTCAGTACACAATAAATATTGCCAGCACTGAACATTTTTAACGGAAAAAAATAAATAAAATCAAACAATAAAAAAAATGTCAGGAAACAACAGATGCTGGAGAGGATGTGGAGAAATAAGAAGGCTTTTACACTGTTGGTGGGGATGTAAATTAGTTCAACCATTGTGGAAGACAGTGTGGTGATTCCTCAAGGATCTAGAACTAGAAATACCATTCAACCCAGAAATCCCATTACTGGGTATATACACAAAGGATTATAAATCATTCTTCTATAAAGACACATGCACACGTATGTTTATTGCAGCACTGTTCACAATGATAAAGACTTGGAACCAACCCAAATGCCCATCAATGATAGACTGGATAAAGAAAATGTGGCACATATACATCATGGAATACTATGCAGCCATAAAAAAGGATGAGTTCATGTCCTTTGCAGGGACATGGATGAAGCTGGAAACCATCATTCTCAGCAAACTAACACAGGAACAGAAAACCAAATACTGCATGTTCTCACTCATAAATGGGAGTTGAACAATGAGAACACATGGACACAGGGAGGGGAACATCACACACCAGGGCCCGTCAGGAGGTGGGGGGTTAGGGAGGGATAGCATTAGGAGAAATATCTAATGTAGATGACGGGTTGATGGGTGCAGCAAACCACCACGGCCCGTGTATACCCATGTAACAAACCTGCACCTTATGCACGTGTATCCCAGAACTTAAAGTATAATTAAAAAAAAATAACAACAGCAATTACCTTGTAGTGTTTGTGTAATGATTAAATAAAAGATATAGAGTACTTCACTTAGTGTCTGGCACATAATATACACTTACTAGGTTTTAGCTATTAGCATTATTCTCAAACGCTTCTTGTATTGTGAGTTTTCATTTTATATAAACAATATACGTAGCACACTTTACCTGGATTATAAACTTCGTGAAGTCAGAGACTATAATGACGCTTCTTTGTATAGTATCCACTACACGGTCTAGTAGAATGTCTTGAACTGAGTAGGTACCCAATATATATTTATTTTTACTAGTTGTTTCTGATTTACACCAGAGAGGTTTTTATCCTGTTTTAAAATAGACCACAACTAAGAACAGGAATGTAAGATATGAGTGGTGATATTAGGATTTTTAAAGCTGCAAGGAAAAGACACACCCAGATTACCTTCAAGGATGGAGGTTTATTGCAAGGGTACATGAGCAAATGAGGTAGTGAGGTCACTCATGATTTGCGTAGTCACTCTGGTTACTGATGTTTCCAAGACTTGGATATCTGCCTGGGTTTGAATCCTGGCTCTGCCACTTACAAGCTGTGTGACCTTGGGCAAGATGTTAAAGCACTTTGTGTCTTAGTTTCTCTATCTCTAAATTGTAGATGAAAATAGTATACATCTCACAGGGATGAATGAGGATTAAACAAGATGGTTCATGTAAAATGTTTATTGCAATGTCCGACCCATGGCAGGTTCTCAAGTTATGGTAGCTACTTTGTAGTAGTAGTAGTAGTGGTGGTAGTAATAGTAGTAGTCATTATTGTAGCTATTATTGCACATGTCATAAAAAAATCAGAATACACCTCAGTGTCATTCAGGATAATGCCCTTAAGTCATGTGATTTGCCTTTTCTTTTTTATCTAGCATTTGCATTTCCCCAAATAGAGGATTTGATTGAGTTCATTCGCCAACCTTCAACATGCACAGCCAAAGCCAACTCATAATTAGGTGTGCTCCATTCTGTCCAACCTCTATCATGATTGTATTTAGGAAATCCATTAATTCCAGGTTCAGTCTATTGGCTAGGCTAGTAGGGGTTTTTTTCCCCATTTTTTTGAGGTATAATTGATACACAAATAACTGCATATATTTAATGTGTACAATTTGAAGAATTTGGACATTTGCATACACCTGTGACATCATCATCACAATGCAGGTAACACACATTGGATCAGCAATGATAAAAAGACAAACAGACAAGCAGAAATTGGATCATTTTCCTCAATAGGGATGTGTTTCTAAGTTGATCGCTTTGCCTTCATGTACTCTTCTTTGAGCGCATATAGTCTAGTGACCTTCCTAAATAATCAAATCTGGAAAAAGACATTTCCTTTTCAGTACATGTTCATTTTTTTATTCTAGGACTTCCCACTCTAACTTGCTTGATCAAGACTCCTTGATCTCTTTCTTTTCTTGTCACCCCCAGTGTGAGTTTCCTTAAAGTTCCTGAGAATCTTTTTAAGTCTGCCAGACACAGTATTGAATCAAATAAATATTACCTAATTAAGTCACACACAACTTAAGAACCTCTGTGATAGGATATTAGCAGTCTGGATTCCCAGAAATCATGCTGCTTCATTATACACAAACTGCAATTTTTATCTATCTGTGTAAGGTCCAGATAGAATGAGTTAGTTATTCAGATTGAATGAAAAATCACCAAGGATTTTCATTGTAAAGTCCTTCACTCTTTATCAAGGGAGACAGGCCTGTGGATAGGTCAGAAACAATCAAGGAAGATTTTGTGGCCCAAAGATTCCTCAAAGCCCAGTGGCTATTTACTCCTGCCTTGAATACCATGGCTATATTTTAAATATTCACTCTTTCACTATTGAAGCAGCTTAGTTCATGTCTACATCTTTCAAATTTTTCAAAATTAACTTAGAGTTAACCTTGATGGCTTTTTGACAGCTCTTCTTCTATAACCATTTTTAAAATAGCTTTGGTCACCGTTGAGGCAAACCTCTTTGTTTAAAACTCACATTTAAGACATGAAATAGGCCGGCCATGATGGCTCACATCTGTAATCCCAGCACTTTGGAAGGCTGAAACAGGTAGATTGCTTGAGCTCAGGAGTTTGAGACCAGCCTTGGCAACATGGTGAAACCCAGTCTCTTCCAAAAATACAAAAATTAGGCAGGTGTGGTGGTGCATGCCTGTGGTCCCACCTATTTGGGAGGCTGAGGCTGGAGGATCTCTGGAGCCCAGGAAAGTTGAGGCTGCAGTGAGCCATGATCATGCCACTGTACTCCAGTCTAGGTGACAGAGTAAGACTCTGTCTCAAAAAATGTATATATATGGCATGAAATACTAGCAGATAGAGGGCATAGGCATGCTAGTGAAAAACAAGGCATGGGATCAGATAACGTCCAACAGATTTTATAGCTAAGGACCTAGAGGGGTTAGAGTTGCCCGTTCTGCTTTCCAGAGTCCTTTTGGGTTTTATAGCAGCCATAGAGCTATCATTCAGGCCAACAGGACTCTTGCGATCAACAGTGTCAAAACATCTTATAAATCTCAAATAATCAGCATCCTCTAAAGAGGACTCTGGGCCAGAGTGAATAATGTTTTGAAGACAGCCATGATAATCCCTGCTTCACACCTGAAACAAGGCTGAAATAACAGAGGAGAGATAGCGAAATTACACAGAATAGCTTTGCTTTTGAGGTTCCAGGAAACCATTCAGCATCTCTTGGTAGGAGATTCAAACTTATCACTGTCCATAATCTTGTGGTGTTTCTTAAAAGGGTAGCGACCTATGGCTCAGCTGATGCTATTTTACAAACAAATCAAAAGCACTAAACTCACCCAATTGCTGCTCAGTGGCTGCTCTTAACTAAGAGCTGGAGAGCTAGGGTTCATTCGACAGGGCTTTGACTTAATTAACATCCTTCCCTGACAAGGCCCTTTCTCCATTCTCCTAAAGCATCTTATATCACAGTGAGACCATCAGTCAACATATACAGTTACACTTGTTCCTTTTCTGTTTCTCAGGATATCTCTAGTATTCCAGATTTAACCCTCAGAAGCTTTACTTTCTCAGATGAACAAAAATTCTCCAATGTCAAGATAAAATAATTTGAAGCATTTAGACTTGCACTTCCCATTTCAGGTTATGATACTGTATTTTTCAATATTGATTGTGAAGAAATACTCAGTACATTCTGTCTTTTATCAAACACTGGTGTTGCTTATACCCAGAAAAGAAAAGTTGGTCCTAACCATTTTTTTAAAAAATATATCCATTTTTTTCTATATATGGCTGAATTACTCTATTAGTACTTTTAAGAGACATGACCTCAGAGCTCTCCTCTGACTCTTTTCTATTATATTCAATGTCCTTAAATGACAGTCATTGTCTGGGGTGAATAGGTACATCTTGACCTTACAACAAAGGCTAAAAGGCAGAATTAAGAAATTTATTACCTAAAATTCTCCTAGAGTTTTACTCTGTTTCTCTGGGTGGATTATAATCTGCTAGGCCTTCAAGATACTCATGATGACCAGTGGAAATTTGCTGACATTATGTCAGCAACTGTCAATCAGTGGTCCTTGGTGGACTTACAGGCAGACAGATGAACAAAGTGAACTTTCAAAGCCCAGAGAGAGCAGAGCCCAGCACAACTCGCAGTTCACTGAGACAGCTATGGAGGAAAATTACAAAGGACTGTGGTGTTCTACTTGTGAATCAAGCTATACTCAAATAAGATTGGTACCTCAAGGTATTTGTTTGATTGACTTGCAGGGAGTTTGCTGTATTTGTCTTTCTTGTCAGAGGCCATCATCATTTATATTCACCATGAAAAAGGAGAAAGTAAGCTTAAAGAATACCTTTTGATATTCCAGATTGCCAAAAAGCAGAAATAGACTCCAGATAGAACAAAGGACATATTATACGAAGGACTGCAACAATTACAGTACTGTGAGAAGCAGGAGGGGAAACAAAACTATTGTTGAGAAAATAAAGAGAAAAGGGAAAGAAATTACTCTCTTGGCACTGCACAGTGGGACAGTGGGTACAAGTTTCTTCTCAGAGAGGGTAAAGGCCCTTCAGTATGTATGCTACATTAATAAAGAAAAGCTGAAACAGTGAAGAAGATGAAGATAATGAAAACCAAGGTTGTGGAATTGAAAAGTTAAACATCTTGAGAGAGAAGATATTCTGAAAAGGGATTCTGGAAAGAAGTCTTATACCACTGAAATTTTTCAATAGGCAGCAGGATTGTCCCACAAAATTGAATCGAGGTCTTCCAGAAAGAATAATGGAATAATTAGGAGAATCCAAAAACATTTGGGAATGCAGAGAAAAGAGTCGCTAACCAAAAGAGAAAGAGGCAAGGGGTTTGGGGTGGTCTTGAGAAATGTGGAAGTTGCTGGATATAGGCCTGTCATGCATAGATAGCTCTTCAGTATGTATGCAACATTAATGAAGAATTTATTACGAGAAGCTCCAAATCAAAAAGAAATTGGATTTTTTGGAGAAAATCACACTGGCATGATTTTCTTAGGGAAAAAGTATAGTACTGTGGAAACAGCATAGATTTCAGCTCCAGCCTTTGACAGATTGAGGATCAAATCCCGGCACAGCTTTCAGTAAATGCACAAATTACCTCCTCTCAGCTCCAGTTTATATGTCTACTAAATGAGGAAAATAATAGCTATGTTTCAGGTTTGCTGTGAGAAGTACATGATATACTTCTAATAATGGGCTCATAATTGGGATTTAATAAACAGCATATATTTTTGGTTATTATATTTTTTCTGGGTAAAAACAAGATATAGTTTATGAGAAATGACTTTGTGCTTAATCCCCATCAGAGGGAGGTGATCTGGTAACTATTTACAAATAAAATAAAATAAAATTAAAAAGGCAAATACAACACAGAAGCCCACGTAGTTTTTGAAAGTAATACATAATGTTTACTCTGACTGACTACATATAATTCTGTAGGCTGAATGATTTGGAGTAAATTGTAGCATTATATTGATTCTTCCTAGGATGAAGTTAACACTTGGGGTGCTGTTTACTATGTAGAGTATAAAAATTGTCATGAAAAAGTATTCATAGCCATGTGCTTTGTTTTGTTTCCCTCTGGAAAACTTTATCATGAGGATAAATTAATAGTGCCACTTTCTTTTCATTAAGCCTTTGTCATAAGCAAGCAACAGCAGAATTTTAATGCCTCACCTATTCTTCAAATTCTTATTATTCTTTTTGAAAAATATTCTCTGTTTACATTGTTTTACATGTTACACTATTTCTCATAATGCTCAAACCATACAATTATAAACATTCGATGTGAGGTCACAAAAGAAAGGGAAACCAAATGCAGCTGATGATTATTCCATTGTTTTGATCATGTCAAAATAGTCCCATCAGAACACACTCTCATTATGTCACCACACTGTTGTAATTTTGAGTTTTCCTGTAGTTTTAGAAAGAATTTATATATTTATTTTATTTTTATTTTAATTTCTTTCTTGAGACAGAGTCTCGCTCCATCACCCAGACTGGAGTGCAGTGGTGAGATCTTGGATCTTGGCTCACTGCAACCTCTGCCTCCTGGGTTCAAGTAATTCTCATGCCTCAGCCTCTTGAGTAGCTGGTATTACAGGTGCATGCCAGTGCACTAGGCTAATTTTGGCATTTTTAGTAGAGATGGAGTTTTACCATGTTGGCCAGGCTGGTCTCAAACTCCTGGCCTCAAGTGATCTGCCTGCCTCAGCCTCCCAAAATGCTGAGATTACATGCATGAGCTACCACCAGGCCTGGCCAAGTATTTATATATCTCAACAATCATCATAACTGCATAATTTAGCACACATTAATATCCTATAATAAAACACATGTTTACTTCTACAATGTTTCAGGGGCATCTACATTTGTTTACAGTTACAGATGTTTCTTATAAGATAACATTCTGTTTCTCCATAATGTGAACAATTTGCATGAAAAAAGTACTCCCAAAGTTACATTTGTCCCATTTGCTTTACAACATTATGACAGGAACCTTTGAGGGATACTTCTGTTTCATATTCCTATACTGCCAGTGGTTGCAAAATTTCCAAGAGCAGGAGCTGTAGGTCACAATGGAAAATGGAAACAGTAGATTGGGATTTGACTTACTAACTGTATGGCTTTAGGGCAGTCTCTTAATACCTAGGGTTTTTTGTTACTTGGTCACCTGCTTTCTTTAAAGAAGGGACTTATAGATGGATTCTCAAAGTCTCCTCTAACTTACAATTTTATATTTTGTGATAAAAAGAGTTGAGTTTGTCAGAGGACAAAATTCTTTTCTTGATTTTGTCTGAAAGGGAGGAATCTTCAGGTCTGGACAAGATGCTTCTTTTCTTACCTAATTTTCTTTCTTTCTTTCTTTCTTTTTTTTTCCCTAATTTTCTTTAATGAACATTTGTCTTTCTTGGCTGAAAGAAGATAAACCAGATGGGAAAAGGTTCCATTTAATATTAGTAGTGTATTCATATGATCTTGCAGTATCCACAGTACGTTTTCACCTGTTCAGGAGGTGTGGGCAATCACTTTTGTGGTTTGGGGTTTCTCAATGATACTAAGGTATGAAGTATAAAAACAATCTTAAAACCACATCTATAATTCTGTGGTTGTGGACACTACTTACAACATTCCATGCTTGTTAATCTAAATATAGCTTAAAGAAAAGTCTACCAGCGATAAAGATTTAACCACTTTTTTTCTTAGTAAAAGTAAGTTCATCGAAAAATACATTTTGATTTTAAAAGTTACAATGGCAATAATTGTGTGTTATAACAAGCGAAACAACACAAAGTTGCATTAAAAAAAAGCCCTTAAGTATCTCTTTCCACTCCTACTATCAATCTCTCTCTGCAATAACCAATGTTAACCAACCCCAGGGTGTTTTCTTCACCACCTTTCACTGGGCTCATGCAAGTACATCCAAGTAAGTTTTTTTCCAATTTATACAAAATATCAAAACTCAAGGTTACTAATGAAATATGACTCTTTCCAATGACTACCAACATTTCTTTGATTGGCAAAGTCCTTTGTACATACAGCCTATCCTCCCCTGAGCTCAATCTCAGCTCAGTCTCCTTTGCCATTTGTATGGTTCCCATTCCTTAAAAATGAAAAGAAGCCATTCATTTCCAAAGAAAGCATTCTCTTGGGGGCAATGAATAAACACAGCACTTCCTTTCTAGTAGCTATAAACTTTACTGTAGATATAAAATTTACTTACCACACTATAATATTTGAATGATTTTGGTACCCAAACATTTAGCCCTATTGTGGGATGTTCAGATCAGATTTAAAATTTTCTTTTGAAGTGTCTTAACAAAGAGGAAATAAAAACAAATTCAGGTGGAAAAAAAGTAGCTAACAGCAATCTCACTTGTAGAATGGTAGCTGGTCTTATTCTCAGAGTGCATCAACTTTGATCTCATTTGTAACTCTAAGTGTCAGTTAGAGCAACAAAATGGAGATTGTAAGAGGGTTAGATATTCCATATTAGGAACTGTTTTGAAAAGATATCCATCCATTACATTATTCAAAGATAGAGATTGTCTGGTAGCTGTGGTATGTACAGCCCTGACCCAATTTCTCAGTAAAAAATAATTAGCATATCAATGTTCCTTAAGGAAATAATGGTTTTCATGCTAGAGGAGCAGGTTCATTCTCTGCACACAATGTTGATCCTGAAATGTCACTCTCCAGATGCAGTTTATAACTGAATGAAGAGCTAGCTCAGCAAGAAGTCAAGACTTCTGTATAATATAATGATGAGACATTTTTTAACCTAATGGGACTCTGCATGACAAAAATTTTTAAGATGATAATAGTACTGGATAAATTATTACCTGCTAGTTCAACCCCCAGAAGGAAAGAATCCCTTTATATAATGTTGCCATAAGAGTTACCCGAAGATTTATAGGTTTTGCAGGAAGAGTTTAATATTTATCTATAAGAGTCTGAATTAGAGGCAGAGAATATGGAATAAAGCAGGAGATTACTTCAGTGACTGCAAATCCCCAGACTTCTGGAAGCCTAAAGGATAAAAGTGTCATTACTTTCTGAGAAGACCCCGAGATGAGTACAGTTTTAATTGGCAGAATTTTAAAGGAAATTAAAAGTGTGTATTATGAACCTTACAACAACCTCAGTGAAGACTGTCTTCAGAAACTGAGCACAATGATTCACAGAAATTGGGAATAATTATGCCAACAGTCTGCCAGTGGCACCTTCCTGCAGATTTATATCTAAAAAGAGAAGCATTTGATAGTCTTTTTAATAATATCATCTTATCCAAAATACACATACAGGAAGAGTTTGTGTAGCTTGGATGAAGTCATAGGTTAGACAGGTAGATCTCTAAATCAACAGAAAAGCAGCACCTCTCCTGAGGAAGTCTCCAGAGACATTTTGCATGCTAAGCCTGTTAAGAAGGAGGATTATCATTAGTGTCAATAGACACAGGAAACTTGGGCAACAGATGTGGGCAATCCATAAGAACTTTGGCTTCCAACAACTGTCTTAGTTATGCCCAGCTGTGCATCTGCCAATGCTAATCCATCATAACACAACCTGCTATTTACTTTCCTTGCGGTGATAGGGATTTAAGAGGATGATGAAAGAGAACCAAGACCTATGAAGTAATTTAGAACTTTCTTGAATTTAAACTCTCCCTTTTACTTCCTATCATATGGCATATTGAAAAGATAACATAACACCTAATTGCAGCTAGAGTAATTGCTGCCAAAATTAATAAAGGGAAACACAATAGTTTACTGAGTTTCTTGTTTATAGTATTTTATAATACCATACAGAATTATTTGATAGAAGTTAGACAAGAATATAATTTGTTAGGTAGTTATCCATCTTTAATGTTCCGGCTCTTTCACATAAGGATGATCTATCAGGTATTCTTCAAAAGCATAAACAGCTAAATATAAATAAAACATCATAAGCAGTACTCTAAAGGAAGTAAGATTTATGATAATCCTGCTCAACTGAAGAGAGAGAGAAAAATGAAGAGAGAGAGATAAATAAAGAGAGAGAGAGAGAGAGAGAAACCCTGTTCCTCTACCAACCCATACCATTATCATGTGCATATGTGTGTTTAAAGTCAGTGAGAATAAGGTTAACAGCTCTTTCAGATGCAAGACATGCCATTCCCAGTAAGACATTTTTTCTATTAGGTATCCCCCTCCCCACTGTACTGTTTATAGTTAGTAGTGTGTGATTCCTTGCTAAAATAGAAAAGAAGCTCAGAGCTCTATGCTAATAAGGTAAGGCTTCTAGGTTCTGTCCCATGCCTATAGAGTAGTTCATATCTTGAAGTCTACATGACACTTTGACAGTTGCTTTGATGTAGCCATTACCAAATAATGTGAAAAATAGAAATCCTTACCTCTTTCCTGAACCTTGCCCTATTCCTGAGTTTTATCCCAACCCAGATCTTCATTGTGAGAGATGTTGGTAAGGAACAGGGTGGAGCTGTGACATCTCAGTCATTGGGGCATATGGGCTCTTGCCATATTCAAGTTGGACCAAGAGCATTCCTTATGTTTGCAAAAGACTCTGCATTTTTCTCTATTTCTTTTATATGCAATTCAACATTAAAAAAAAAAACCCTACAATTGTTTTAAGCGATTCACTTGAAACCAGATGGATGGCCTCATGGATGTGAAGATATTTACCGTGTCTTCAGGAGAAAGAAAAAGAGGGCCAGGAGTACATCTGAGCTATAAAATCATCTGTAGATGCTAACTTCTTAAGCAAATGAAAAGGTTTTTGAGGACAGGGACAATAATCATTCATTAAGGCCCATTCCTACAGAAGGTGTTCAGTATTTGTTTAGGTTAAACCCTATGAAATTGCCATCTTTGTAGGTGAAAAATGACTTCATGTTGGCAATTTCATATGATTCAATCTAAGAGTTAAGATCCTATGCCATACCTCACTTTAGCATACTGGAAAAAACATGAGAGCTTTGAGCAGACAGGCCTAGATTGAAATCCCAGCTCTACCAACTATGTGACCTTGGGAAAGTATCAGTCTATCTGAGCCTTAGTTTCTTTATCTGTAAACTAGAGAGACTAATACCAATCACATAAGATGACTGTGCCAATTAAATTGAAAAACATGCAAAAATGACCTGCAATAGAGACAGAAAGTAGACCAGTGGCTGCCTAGGGCCTGGCAGTTTGGGGAAAAATGTGGAATGATTGCTAATGGATGCTTTTTAGGGTGATAAAATTTTTATAAAATTAGAGTGTGGTAATAGTTGTACAACTCTGTGAATATACTGAAAATCACCGCATAATACACTTTAAATGAGTGAATTGTATGGTATGGCAGTTATATCTCAATAAAGTTGTTTTTAAAAAGTCATAATAAGGGAGACACATAGAGAAAGTCAGAGAAAGAGCTCAAAGCTACTAAGAAAAAACATGCTTAGACTTGGCCTTTCACAAGGCTCATTTGTAGGCTTGAAAACAAACAAACAAACAAACAAACAAACCTCTGAGTACTTCTTGAATTAATCCAGTTTAGCATGAAACAGTCATCACAAAGCATGATTTCTAATTGGCTATTTCTGGTACTAGCCACAGGGGAAGAGGTTGTTTCTTTCTATTCTACATCTGGCAAAGATCTAGTTTTGATATAACAAATGTCATGAAGTTAAGATTTATTTTAAGATTTACTTCAGAGTTGAAAAAAAGCTACAATTGACAGACTGTTTGGCTGTTTCACATCTCAGGCCTCCCAGTGTTTGGTGCATAGTCATGTGAATAAGAAAGCTGTCTTCCCCAGCACTTTGTCATTGCAGTTGCACAAACTCAACATGAGTCTGGTTTTGAACAGCAGCACAGCTTGGACAATGTTCAATCACCACACAGAGTCTGGGCAATGTAAAAAGCAGACCAGGGAGGCCTAAAAAGAGGGCATAATAGTTACTTGCCCAGATGATCAAATCACATTTTCCTCTTCTAACTGTTAGACATTTACAGGGATACAATTCGGAGATGCCTTTGGGTCCTATTTAATCCCTATATAGAAACTAAGCATTTGCTAATAAAGGGCCAGATTCTTATGCAGGGAATTTTATACATAGGACTTTACTGGGCACAAATCTGGACAGAAAAGGATTCCAGTTTTGAATACTGCCCTATGATACATTTGTAAATAGTCCATCCTATTCTGGATGATTTTTTTTTTTTTACCCAAAAGTGTTATTCAGTGAATTGCTTCCCCTCTCCATCTGTGCAATTTCTGCATAAGATAAGAACAGTTATCAAGAATTACAGACCAGTGATTTCACCTTAATTTGCACATCACCCTCTGAAGATGCAATGTCTTGCTGTTTAAATGTGTGTTTGTTTCTTTTTAATCAACAGCATCTATAAGTCATACCCAGAATTAAATAACAACAATAAGGTGCTAGAATGCAGCCAGGCCACTAGCATTGAACCAACTCTTATCCCAACACTAGCAGGATATCTGAGGTAGATAAGAGCAGGGAAGGTGAGCTCCTGTAAAAGTTGTGAAATAGATGATTCCTTTCTGTCGTACTTTTCCAGCCCTTTTGTTTCCAGGTACCCAGTGACCTACTGCTGTCTTCTAGGTACTGAGATCCTAACACTGCTAAATACCATGAGAATCAGGCAGACCAATGCTCTGGATCTTTTTCTTCTTTGGTCTTTTCTTCATTACTTACTCATCCTATATATTCCACTCTTCAGTCATATTCTATTTTATGGTTAGTCTGATAAAATAATTCAAGGTGAGGAGTTAATGCTTTGAAAAAATTCTATGTTTTGCCCCTTTGAGGAAGCATTTGCATTTTAACAGTGGGCTTTAATGTCTTGAATTACAGTTAATCCAGTCAGGAAGAGATTTTAGTCCAGGATTTTTTTTATGCTCCTTAAATAATATCATATAGATTTAGGCTATCTTTTTGGTTTATATATAAGAACAAGATTTATATATACATACATATATATATACACACACATATATATATGAACAAGAATGATATGTGTGTATATATATATATATATATACACATATATATATACACACACATATATATATGAACAAGAATGATATGTATATATATATATATATATATATATATATATATAGCAACATGATGAAATAGATTCCACATGAAGAGGAGACTGCAATCAACAAGGATATACGATATGCTTCAAGGATCCAGTAAAAGTAAATTTTAAGTAATGAAGCTTGCCTGTGAACCACAGGTAAATACTAGCAGCAGACAGATGAACCAACAGTAGAAAAAGCAGATGGGGTAGGATTTAAAAAAATATTTTAGGAAACACAAAGGAATCTGTACATTTAAGTCGGCTCTATGAAAACCAGTTATAGCCACAAACCAATGGCTGTTATTCTGGAAGTGGGAAGAAGAACTTCAAGTGATTTGTCTTTTGAGTAACAGCCATTTTGAGTATAGCCAAACAATATCTGCAAGGCTTGTAATTTACACATGTACACAAATGTATAAAAGGACACATATCTTTACACTACAAAACTTCAGATGTATAAATTATACATTTAGGACTTTAAACAATTTGCCCTCTTGTCATTCTGTAAGTTATTTATGATAAAAGAGCACTTTTTCTCAATAAAATCATAAAAACAACTGAGACGAGGGTTTATTAAATTCAAGATTTACTTATTTCTATACAAATTAATGCAAAAATATAAGTGACTGCTGGCAATATTAAACATCCATGGAATAAATAATACTAGTTGTTAAATTACTTACAAAGAACCTCTTCTGCACACTTTTCAGAGAAGCATTTTGAGTAAAATTTGAAATATCTTGTTACTGTCCAGTAGACTAGCATAATCTCAGACACTGCTCTCTCTTTATGCTATTTTCTTCTGGGTTTTAATCACTTTTCTAATTCTTCCTTGACAAAGGTGATAAGGTATAATTTAGCTATGAGTGTCTATTCTACATACAGAATTCACACATTATGATCAAAACCAATCCATCTTATCTTTTGTTTTCAAAGTAGAAATGAGGGTAGAAGGTTCACAAATGCATGGAAAATCCAGTATATCTTAATTAATGTGAATGTTTCCTCCAAATCAAATACTGCAGAGAAAATCCTCAATTGTCAACATTGAACAATAGGGAAACTGGAGAATGGATTACCTTTTCTTCAATAGAATGGATCATGCTCTTCACAAATAAAAATAGTACAGAATTTAGGTCCAGAATTCACTGAAATTAAATAATCTCAATTTTAACTGCAACATACACTCATTAAGAACTGATTATAAGCAAGGATCTATGCTGGGAGAATATGGAAATTCAAAGATAAAAAAGCTAAACTCTGTTGTCAAAGACTTTACAATCTACTGGGAAGAAACATACATAAATTAGTAGGTGATAGAATAAAAGTTATATGATGTTCCTACCTATTCCTTATTTCAAAAGCATATATTTCTTTTACTTGAATGTCTTCTCAAGAGAAACATTAAATACTCTTAATTTGAGAATATTATTGGAAGAAAAATCTTGCATATGACTTTAGTTTTGTAGGATTTGCCTCCTGGTATTCTGTACCAACATTTCTTTTTTTCTTTTTTTTTGAGACGGAGTTTCACCCTTGTTTCCCAGGCTGGAGTGCAGTGGCGTGATCTCGGTTCACCGCAACCTCTGCCTCCCAGGTTCAAGTGATTCTCCTGCCTCAGCCTCCCCAGTAGCTGGGATTACAGGCATGTGCCACCATGCCCGGCTAATTTTCTATTTTTAGTAGAGACGGAGTTTCTCCATGTTGATCAGGCTCGTCTCAAACTCCCGACCTCAGGTGATCCTCCCACCTCGGCCTCCCAAAGTGCTGGTATTACAGTCATGAGCCACCGTGCTCGGCCTCTGTACCAACATTTCTATCTGCTTTTCCCATGAACTAGGTTCTCCTCAACTCTGTGTCAATCCATTCTACTCCAACTGTTCACTAAGGTTTAGAGAAATTCATAATGCTGAGAACTATCACTACTATCACATGTTATATATGTTTTTGTGGGAGAAAGTTTGTGTCAGAGTATAGATGCCCTTCAAATTTCCTTTCATTTGAAAATGTCGGGGCAGTGACAGATATAGAATGGCAGGAGTGTAACATGGGGGTAAATTCTATGACAAGAGTCAAATAAAGCCACAGGCAATTGCTCTGGTGTCGAAGGCCAAGAGAACAGTATTAAAATCAACATGGTCAAAGAAAAAAGAAGTCATACTTCTCTTAAAAAGAAGTATGCATTTTTTCTTCCTGGCTAAACAATAAAATTCCATAAGCATAAGCTACACTGCCTGTCTGTTCCTCTGACCAATTTGCAGAGTATGCTGTTGCATTGTAAGTTCTACTCAAATAGCTCATTAAAGTCACATGCTATTAGTAGTTTGGGTTTACTTAGCAGATATCTCATCAATCAGATCCTAGAAGTCTAGGGCAGCCTACATGAGTAGGTGTGATGCTAGTGCTACCAACAGGTTCAGGAATAGAAAATTCAGAAAAGATCAAGCAAAATCAATTAAGAAAATAAGCCTTTGGCTAGAGGGTTTGGCACATAAAGTTGGATTTAAAGTTAAAATAGGAACTTGAGTTACTGAGAAGCAGATGACACTCTATTTCATGTTAATCCAAGAATAAATTGTTGAACAAAGAAAGAATGGCAAAGACAAATGTTCTACTGTTGTCCCTTTGAATATTAGTTTGTTGGTTTTCCGGTTCTGGTAATGGTGGAAGAATTTTTCTTGGATTAACTCTCATTAAGGCAGCAATTATGAGATCCATGTTTATGCAGTTTTTATCCCGATATGGGTGCCAAGAACATGAAATGTGGGGCAGTTAGAAATCAAAAGGAAAGCTTGGCTTTAGGGGTCAAATAGTGGAATTCGAGGATGGCAATTCAGATAGAATTTAAGGGGAGAGACTCTGACAAAGAGGAAGCTACAGAAGGAGAGTCCTCAAATCTGCCTATAAACTGCTTTCAAATCTTGTATGATCTGAACCATGCATGTAGTGGGGGGTGGGCAGGAAAAGACCCCAAAAATCCCAGGAGAAAAGAGGGGATAGAAGACTGAAAATGCTGCAGTTATTTCAGTAGATATTCATGGCAGAAAAGACAGTTTGGAGTTTTAAGGTGGCTTGGTGAATATACGGGGCTTACCACTGAAACTCCAGAAGGATCATGTCTTAGAGGTAAAAGTTATGTTTCCATATTAAGGGATTCACCTTAGGACAATGGGAAAAACTGAAAGAGAGTCACACTAACAGAGCACAAAATCAAGCCTCCACAAGTTCAATTTGATCATCGAATTATTTATAACACACCTTCTTCAGAGGAACATAATGGAATCCAGGGTATCTACAATGAATTATCCAAAATATCTAGTATAAAAATCTAAAAAAAATTGATGATAGCTGTTGAGAAACAGGAAAATTTAATCTATAATAAAGAGATAAAGCAATTAGTGGAAAATGACTTTTAGATGACCCAGATCATGGAATTAGCAGATAAGCACTTTAAAGCAGCCATTATAAATATGTTCAAGGTCTTAGAGGAAGAAAATTGCCAAAATGATTGAACAGTTGTGGAATCTCAGTGAAGAAACAGAATCTATTAAAAAATGAACACTTTAGAATTTAAAGGTTAAATATTAGAAACGAAAACTCAATTTAGAGGCAAGATGACTACCTGGATGCAACTAGGAGGAACATCTACCACTGAGAGACCAGGACACTGGGAAGACTGGCACACTTCCAGCAGATCTTTGTAAGGAAGACATTGAGAGTGGATGGAGGGGTGACACAGGCACTGGGCTGAAGTGGGAGGAAGCTGGGAACCCTGCATGGGGCTACCATGCAATGGGACTCATTCCTGGCCTCCAGTGACTCTTGGGGAAGGGGTGAGGTAAGCAGGCAAGAAGGAGCCTGTCTTAATATGGACCTCTGGAATCCTGGCAGCAGGAGACCCCATGACCTGCATGGGCACCTGAGCTGGCAGGGAGAGTTGCTTAGAGAGGTAGTAGGGGCAGGATCCCAGCCTGTGTGGAGTCTAGAGTGTCTGGTGCAGAAACATCTTCAGGGGAGCATGACCCAGGCACGCTCATCCCCCAAGGCTTGCTATGCTCTCCTAGGAGATTCTAGCCTTAGGGGAACTGTCTAACCTGAACAGAGGAGGGCAATCTTGACCATGAGATGGGGCCAGTAGGACCTGAGCTCATTTCTGTCTGCTGGCCTCTCTTGGAGACCCAATCTGGCAGTGCCTGCTTGCAGTGCAGCTTTAGATGCCCAACCAGGGCAGGGGCCCACATCATAGCTCTTGCACTGGCTGAGTGTACCTGACCATTGAAAAGCTCTAGCAGAGTGGCCTCCACCAATGTGGACCAGCCCACTCACACCCTTCCCTGACTGCAGCCTCCCCTGTGCCACTTGGCCAACACACACTTGCCCACAGCCAAAGCCCCCATTGCTTTGCTGATGCACGTGTGTGAAGGTAGGCCTCACTTCCCCTTCCCTGCTGGTGCATGCATGTGTGTGCACCCTACCATGCCATTGCTGCCAGCACAAGCGCACCCACCCCCATGCTGCACGGACACCAGCAACCTTGCCCCCTGCCCCATACCACCACCACCAGCAGCATGAACATGTGCACAGAGGTCACCAGCCCTGCATTTGTGGGCACCCTGTGCTGACTCCTCTACCCCCACGATACCACCACTGCTTCAGACAACCCCCAAACAGAGGCTGGAAGCCCTGGGCCTCCCAGCGCTCCACACCACCCAATGTGCGTGCACCCTGCCACACTGCCACTGCTGCTAGCACATGCAAACAAGCACAGATCCTGCTGACACCACCTGATAAATTGCTTTGGCTGGTACCATCCTTCAAAGTGTTGTGGCCAGTGGTCTCAGAACACCTCAGCCCCTTCAGCACAGCAGGTTCTCACCTTGAGGGGCCAGAGAACAAAGCCAGGTACCCGATACCAGCTCCCTAGAATTAGAGCATGCAGTCCAGGAGTACTGAACTGAACCTTGGCTCCCCACAACCCCCCAAATCTACCATAAATGAAGCCCATCAGCTGAACTCAACTTATGCCACAATCAAACCCTCAGGACATCAAAGAAGATAAAAGCAACAAAACAAAACAAAACAAAACAAAACAAAACCTACCCCATTCAAAGGACAGGAACTTCAAAGACTGAAGGAAGATCAGCCCATACAGATAAGAACCAATGTAAGAACTGTGGAAACTCAAAAAGCCAGTGTCTTGTTACCTACAGATGACTGCACTAATTCCCCAGCAATGATTCTAAACCAGGCTGAAATGTCTAAAATGACAGAAATGGAATTCAGAATATGGATAGGAATGAAGGTCACTGACATTCAAGAGAAAGTTGAAACCCAATCCAAGGAATCCTTAGAATCTAAGGAATACAATATAATGATACAGGAGATGAAAAACAAAATGGTTATTTTAAGAAAGAACCAAACTGAGCTGATAGAGCTGAAAAACTCACTTCAAGAATTTCATAATAGAATTACAAGTATTAACAGAGGACTTGACCAAGCTGAGGAAAGAATCTCAGAGCTCAAAGACCTGTTGTCTAAAATAACTCACATAAAAATAAAGAAAAAACAGTAAAGAATGAACAAAATATCTGAGAAATATGGGATTTTGTAAAGAGACCAAATCTATGACACATTGGCATCCGAGAAAGACAGAGAGAAAAAGCAAGCAACTTGGAAAACATATTTTAGGATACCATCCATAAAAATTCCCCAACCTCACTCACAGAGAGGCCAATATTAAAATGCAGGAATTGCTGACAACCTCTGAGAAATAGTACATAAGAAGACCATCACCAAGACACATAGTCATCAGATTCTCCAAGGTCAAAGTGACAGACAAAATGTCAAAGGCAGCTAGAGAGAAGGGGCAGTTTTCCTACAAAGGGAACCTTACCAGGCTAACAGAGGACCTTTCAGCAGAAACCCTACAAGTCAGAAGACAATGGGACCTATATTCAGCGTTCTTAAAGAAAAGAATTTTCAACCAAGTATTTCATATCCACCCAAACTAAGCTTCATAAGCAAAGGAGAAATAAGATATTTCTCAGACAAGCAAATGCTAAGGGATTTCATTACCACCAGACTTGCCATACAAGAAGTCCTGAAGAGAGTACTAAACATGGAAAGAAAAGACTGTTACCAGTCACTACAAAAACACACTTAAGTACATAGACCAGTGACACTATAAAGCAACCACATATAAAAGTCTGCATAATAACCAGCTGACAACATGATGACAGGATCAGATCCACACATATCAATACTAACCTTGGATATAAACTCGCTAAACACCCCAATTAAAAGGCACAAAGTGGAAAGTTGGATAAAGAAGCAAGACCAAATACTATGCTGTCTTTAAGAGACCCATTTCACATGCAACGAAACACACAGGCTCAAATTAAAGAGATGGAGGAAAACCTACAAAGCAAATGGAAAACAGAAAAAAGCAGGGGTTGCTATTCTAATTTCAGACAAAACAGACTTTAAGAGAACAAAGATCAAAAAAGACAAAGAGGAACATTACATAATGATAAAGGGTTCAATTTGACAAGACCAAACTATCCTGAATATATACACACCCAACACAGGAGCACCCAAATTCATAAACCAAGTTCCTAGAGAGCTACAAAGAGACTTAGATAACCACACAATAATAGTGGGAGACTTCAACACTCCACTGATAATATTACACAAATCATCAAGGCAGAAATTAACAAAGATATTCAGGACCTGAACTTGACACATGACCAAATGGACCTAATAGACATTTACAGAATACTCCACCCAAACACATAAAAATATACATTCTTCTCATCTGCACATGGCACATACTCTAAAATTGACCATACAATTGGACATAAAACAATCATTGACAAATTTTTAAAAATCCTACAAACCATACTTTTGAACCACAGTGCAATAAAAGTAGTAATCAATACAAAGAAAAGAGCTCAAAACCATATAATTATATGGAAATTAAACAATACCAGCTGTGGGTCTGTCATAGATGGCTTTTATTATGTTGAAGTATGGTCCTTCTATATCCAATTTTTTTAAGGGTTTTTTAAATCATGAAGGGATGTTGAATTTTATCAGATGTTTTTTCAGCATCAATTGAAATAATCGTATGGTTTGTATCCTTCATCCTGTTGAAATGATTTATCACACTGATTGATTTGCATATGTGGGACCATCCTTGCATACCTGGAATAAAGCCCACTTGGTTATGATGAATGATGCATTGTTGAATTCAGTTTGCTACTATCTTGTTGGTGATTTTTGCATCAATATTCATTAGCAATATTAGCCTGTAGTTTTCTTTTTTTGATGTGTCTTTGTCTGGTTTTGGTATCAGGATAATACTGGCTTCGTAGAATGAGTTTGGAAGTATTCCTTTTCCTATATTTTTCAGAATAGTTTGAGTAGGATTGGTATTAGTTCTTCTTTAAATGTTTGGTAGAATTCAGCAGCTAATCCATTGGTTCCCAGGCTTTTCTTTACTGGCAGACTTTTTTTGTTTGTTTGTTTGTTTGTTTTTGAAAAACTCTATGGCAGACTTTTTATTATGGATTAAATCTCATTACTTGTCATTGATCTGTTCGGGTTTTGGATTTCTTTATGGTTCAATCTTGGTAGGTTGTATGTGTCTAGGAATGTATCCATTTCCTCTAAATTTTCCAATTTATTGCAGATAGTTTGGTCATAGTAGCCAATAATGACCCTTTGAATTTTTGTAGTATCAGTTGTAATGCCTCCTTTTTCATCTGTGATTTATTTATCTGGGCCTTCTCCCTTTTGTCTGGCTAACAGTTTGTCAATTTTGTTTTATTTTCAAAATTCTAACTTTTGTTTTGCTGATATTTTGTATTGTTTTCTTCACTTCAAATTTATTTATTTCTGCCCTGGTCTTTATTATTTCTTTACTTTGGGTTCATTTTGCTCTTGCTTTTCCAGTTTTTTAAGATACATCCTTAGGTTATTTATTTGAAGTTTTTCTTCTTTTTTAAATGTAGGTACTTATAGCTATAAATTTCCCTCTTAGTACTGCTTTTGCTGTATATCATAGGTTTCGGTATTTTGTGTTTCCATTATTATTTGTTTCAAGGAATTTTTCAGTTCCCTTCTTAATTTCTTTATTGACCCACTGGTCATGCAAGAGCATACTGCTTAATTTCCATGTATTTGTATAGTTTCCAAAATTCCTCTTGTTTTTGATTTCTAGGTATAACTAAAACACTATAGAAAAAATATAATAATCTGATAAAAAATGGACAAAAGATTTGAATAGACATTTCTCAAAAGAAAACATACAAATGGCAAATAGGCATGTGAAATGGTTCTCAACATCATAGATCATCAGAGAAATGAAAATCAAAACTACAATGAGATATCATCTCACCACAGTTAAAATGGCTTACATCCAAAAGACAAGCAATAACAAATGCTGGCAAGGATGTGGAGAAAAGGGAACCCTTGTACACTGTTGGTGGTAATGTAAATTAGTTCAATCACTATGGAGAATAGCTTGGAGGTGCTTCACAAAACTAAAGGTAGAGCCACCATATGATCCAGCTATTTCACTGCTGGATATATACCCCAAAGAAGAAAAATAAATATATGGAAGAGATATCTGTACTCCTATGTTTGTTGCAGCACTGTTCACAATATCCAAGATTTAGGACCAACCTAAGTATCCATCAACAGATTAATAGGTAAAGAAAATGTGGAACTTATACACAATGGGGTACTATTCAGCCATAAAAACGAAGGAGATCCTGTCATTTGCAACAACATGAATGGAACTGGAGATCATTATGTTAAGTGAAATAAGCCAGGCACAGAAATTCAAACATTGCATGCTATCGCTAATTTGTGGGGTCTAAAAATCAAAACATTTGAACACATGGAGATAGAGAGTAGGAGGGTTACCAGAGGCTGGGAAGGGTAGTGGGGGGTGGGGGCAGGGGAGGGGTGATGATGGTTAATAGGCACCAAAAAACAGTTTGAAAGAATGAATAATACCTAGTGTTTGATAGCACAACAGGGTGTCTACTATCAAGATAATTTAATCATACATTTAAAAATAACTAAAAGAGTATAACTGGATGGTTTGTATAACAAAAGATAAATGTTCGAGGGGGTGGATCTCCTATTTTCCATGATGCGATTATTATGTATTGCATGCCTGTATATAAATATCTCATGTACCCCATAAGTATATACATCTACTATGTACCCACAAACGTTAAAAATTAAAAAATATTAAAATAAAAGTTGGCCAGGCATGGTGGCTCATGCCTGTAATCCCAGCACTTTGCGAGGCCAAGGCAGGCAGATCACCTGAGGTCGGGAGTTTGAGACCAGCCTGACCAACATGGAGAAATCCCATCTCTACTAAAAATACAAAATTAGCGGGGTGTGGTGGCACACACTTGTAATCCCAGCTCCTTGGGAGGCTGAGGCAGGAGAATCACTTGAACCCAGGAGGCAGAGGTTGTGGTGAGCCGAGATTGCGCCATTGCACTCCAGCCTGGGCAACAAGAGCAAAACTCCATCTTAAAAATAAAATAAAATAAAATAAAATAAAATAAAATAAAATAAAATAAAATAAAATAAAATAAAATAAAAGTTTAAAAAAGGAAAAATTATTATTACTTGGAGGCCAGTAGAAATCAAAACAAAGAAATGAAAACTCCATTGGATGAGATTAACAGCCAACTGAGAATAATAGAAGTGAGGGTAAGTGAGCTTGAAGATATGTCAATCAAAATTATTCATATGAAGAACAAAGAGGAAGGAAGACTGACACAAAAATGAAGAGAGTATTTATAACTTCTAATAAATTATAAAGCATTTAAAATACATGAAATTAGACTCTTGGAGGAGAACGCAGAAATAATGGAGTATAAAAATATTGTTAATATAAAAGTTTAAACATTTCCAAATTTAGTAAAATATGAGAAACAACTAGTCAACAAACAAACAAAGAAACAAAATAACGAATCATTAATTTACACAGCAAAGAAGCTTAGCAAACACAAAGTAGGATAAATTCAAAGAAAACCACATTTAGACACATCATAGTCAAACTATGAAAAGACAAAGCTAAGACATAATATTGAAATCAGCAGCAAAATGATAGACAGCTTATAGGAAAAGATTAAAAAAGAAAATAGAGACTGAAAGAAACTGGAATTACATCTTGAAAGTGCTAAAAAAAGACATTTTTAGATAAACAAAAGCTGAGAAAATTTGTTACTAGAATACAAAGCTACAAGAAATGCTAAAGGAAGTTATTCAGTCTGAGGAAAATTATAGATGAAAACTCTAATCTACCTGGAGAAAGCAAAGTCATCAGGAATGATGAACATGTAGGTAAATTTTAAAAAATATTCTCCCACTACTTGATATTTTTAAAAGCCAACTGACTAAAGTAAAAACCATTGCATTGTTCAGTTCATGACATATGTAGATATAAAACAGATGACAATAATAGCAGAAAGAGCGGTGGGTATATAAACTTCTACCTTTCAAGGTACTTATTTTTTATTCGAATTGGTAAAATATTTACTCTAAGTACACCATGCTATGATAAAGATGCATTGTTTAATTCTTAGAGAAACTACTGAAAATAATACAAAGAGGTAAAAATAAAAATCCAATAGAGGAAATATTATAAAACGGAATAATAAAAATTATTAGATTGAGCCAAAGGAAAGCTTTTAATTGGAAGTTATTGCTTAGTCTACTTACATTTCATGTAATTATTGATATGGTTAGGTTTAAATCTATCATTTTGCTAGCTGTTCTGCATTTTTTTCTCTCTGTTTCTCCTTTATTGTTCCCACTTGGATTAATGCAATGATTTTTTTACATGAAAAAGCAAGACACAACTATATGCTACCTTAGCTTTAAGTATAAAGATGTTTTCATAACAAAAGTTTAAAAAATGTAAAAATATATACAATACAAATGGTATTTGTATATACAATATAAATGCATAAGAAAGCTGAATTGATTAAAATATCAGGCAAAATAGAATTCAAGAAATGGAGGATTACTGAAGAAAATAAAGACATTTATCCTGATAAAAGTGTCAATTCATCCAGAAGACAAAAACATTCCATAATGTATACCTAATAAAAGAGCTTCAAAATACAAAAGCAAAATCTGACAGAACTAAAGAGAAAATAGATACATGCACCATCATGGTTGGATATAGTAACATTCTTCTCTCAGTAAGTGAGAGACCATCTAAATAAAAAATTAGTGAGTATATGAACAATCTGAAAATAAAAAAAGCTGGTTCTTTGTAAAGATTGATAAATTAGATGAAATCGAATGTAGGCCAATGAACAAATGAAAGAGCAAATACAAATTATAAGTATCAGGAATAAATGCAGGGATATTATCCCAGATTTCACATACATTAAAAGGATACTTAGGGAATATTATGAATAATTTTATGCCAAAAAATTGACAAATTAGATGATATGAACTAATTCCTTCAATGACACAAATTGCCAAAACTGATGTAAAAACTATAAAAATCCCTATTAACATGACATTTATAAAAGAAATGGAATGTGTAATAAAAGTACTTACACACACACAACCCCTAGATCACAGTTCTTGCTGATGAATTATGTGAAACATTTAAGAAGAAAATAACATTCATCTAACGTGAAAGTTTTAAGAAAATAAAGGAGGAAGGAATCTTTCCTGATGTGTTTTATGAGGCCAGGATAATACAGCTACCAAAATATGAGAAAGGCATTAAAAGAACAAAAAATAAAAAACCAATATCTTTCATATAGCCACACATAGAGAATTCTTTGTACAATATTAACAAACTAATTCCAGTAGTATATTAAAAATGTTAAAAAGATAATATATCTTGAATAAATGAAGGTTATACCAATAATGCAAGATTGGTTTAACATTAAAAATTAAATTAGAACTCAAGATTAAGAAACTCACTCAAAACCACACAACTACATGGAAATTGAACAACCTGCTTCTGAATGACTCCTGGGTAAATAATGAAATTATGGCAGGAATCAAGAAGTTCTTTGAAACCAATGAGAACAAAGCAACAAAGTACCAGAATCTCTGGGACACAGCTAAAGCAGTGTTAAGAGGGCAATTTATAGCACTAAATGCCCACATCGAAAAGCTAGAAAGATCTCATATTGACACCATAGCATCACAACTAAAAGAACTAGAGAGCCAAGAGCAAACAAACCCCAAAGGTAGCAGAAGACAAGAAATAACCAAAATCAGAGTGGAACTGAAGGAGATAGAGACACGAAAAACTCTTCAAAAAATCAATGAGTCGGAGGACCCACAGACGCTCTGAAGGAGGCAGACTGCTCCTGCAGGACCCAGGAGACCCCCTCAAAACTGTGAGTGCCCCAACTGCTGAAGTGGGAAACAGAGACCCTCCTTTCCCAAACACGCCCTCACTGGAGAAGCTGAAGGTCTGTTTGCGGGAGAAGTTCTCGATTTTACCTGGAGCTGAGTCAATTTGCAGAGCTGAGTGAAATACAGGGGTAGAGGAAATAGCTATAGAAAATAGGCAAAATTTATACAAGAACAATATAAATCATGTATGATATTAGAAGAATTATAAAACTTTCATTCATAGTGGATTTTGTTTTGGGTTTTTTTTTTTGAGATAAGGATCTTGAAATCCTGGGCTCAAGTGATCCTCCCACTTCAGCTTCCCAAGTGGCTGGGACTATAGGTGTGTACCCCTATGCATGGCCCAGAGTTTTCTTATAATAATTTTTCAAGTTGCCTATGCTAGAATATCTGCCAAAATGAGTATTGGGGTATCACATTGCAGTTCATGGGAATTATTTAAAGGAATGTATTACCTGATACCAAACTAAACAAGATTCAGATTCAGAATTGATGGTTGTATAAAAACTATGTCATGTACAAATAAAATGTTATCATATTGTTAGCCTCAAAACTTGGTCCTTATAAGCACCTTTTGATAAATGATCTTGAGTAAAGGACTCACATAGCAAAAGCCCCCCTTACTTAGGTTTGCTTGTTACCAAGCAAAAGCAGGATATTTAAAAAATAATATTGTTTAACAATCATCTAGTACATTTTCTTTGCAAGTATTTTTATATACCTCATCACATCGTTTTCATTAATACCGTTTCTCTTTTGTGAAATATGCATGCATAAAATGCATAGACTCTACATGGATAGTTTAATAAATAATTATAAAGGAAAGCTCATATATTTACACTCAGGCAAAGAAACTGCAAGCATCAGAAGCCTCTCACTAGGGTCTCCCTCAGCAAAAGTTCATCCTTCTTCCCAGAGTTGGCACTATTCTGAATTTTGATAATTATTTTCTTTATTGTTTTACTACCCATGTTTGTACTCCTTAGCAATATAAATTAGCTTTGTCTGGTTTTTGAATTCTTTCCTATCTTTTTATTTTGAAAAATCTCAAACCTATAAACAGGTAGCAAAATAGTGCAATGAACTTTTTCATATTCTTCACCTAGACTCCCAGTTGTTAACATTTTCCCATGTTTTCTTTGTGTCAAGAGATGGATATACATATGTACTTTATTTGCTGAGCCATTTGAAAATATGGCAAACACTGGTTTTGAACTTTGTATAAACAGACTTATACTATACATATTATTTTGTATCTCTTTTTCTTTTTACTGTTTATAAAATTTGTTGAGATTGATTCCTCCCCACCCCCACCCCTGCTCAAAAAAGAAAGGTAGGGCTAGTGGTTTTCATGAAGGAGGATATATTGTTTGGAGGATCTGGGTAATTTTAAATTATAATATGGAATCTAGAGCTTAGATCTAAGGATTATTCCTGAATGAACACTTTTTCAGAGGAAATTTCGTAATACATACGTATCAACTGGAATGAAAACCAATGATACGTACTTAGAGTGTTACACGTTACAGGCCAGGATGTAAACTTGGATTAGGATTGTAATCTCAACGCTTTGGGAGGCCAAGGCAGGCAGATCACATGAAGCCAGGAGTTGGAGACCTGCTTGGCCAACGTGGCGAAACTCCGTCTCTACCAAAAATACAAAAAAATTAGCCGGGTGTGGTGGCGGGCGCCTGTAATCCTAGCTACTCCGGTGTCTGAGGCACGAGAATCACGTGAGCCTGGGAGGTGGAGGTTGCCGTAAACTGAGATTGCGCCACTGCACTCCAGCTGGGTGACAGAGTGCTGACTCTGCCCCCAAAAAACAAAACCAAACAGAAAGAAATAAATGGATTTAATAATCTAATTCATACTTCCTGTTGGTATAATACCAGTTAATTTGTTTACTAAGGAGGGTGAATGATTCATCTTAAAAATGGATGTTTCTTAAAAACTAAGTCTCAACTACAGCAAAATGGATGAAAAATTTGCATAAAATGCATTAAGTGGGACCAAATGGTCAATCAGTAATGTCTCTAGCCATGGTTGCCTGGAGATATTAACAATGTTACACTGGGAATGAAATGATGCTACACAAATGGAAACTTCTCCCAAGGGGGAAAGGATTCTTCAAGCCAAAGCCTAGAGCAGCATAAGAAACCATGCACAGATACCACAAAGTTAATTTAGTTGTTCCTAGCAAAAGAAACTCAGAACTCTCAGGTTGTAGAGAGAGAAATTCCATATTAATCTTTCATTGGCACCAATGAATAAAGACTTAATTTTGAGCAAAGTTACCTGCAAAGACCAAGACTTGGTTATTGGGGCATGAAGCAAGAAGAGCCATTTGAGAGCAGACAAAATGATGATGAAATGTGTTTTTTGAATATTTACTATGTGCCAGGCTGTAGTCCAAGTATTTTATAAGCATTAACTCATTTAATCCCTTGAAGTGGGTATTATTTTTGTTTTATCATCTGCATTTTACAGGTTAGGAATTTGAGACTCTCAAAGATTAAGTAACTGGGACATGTCACCCTAGCATATGAGACACCTACTAAGGCAAGACTGGACAAGAATATCCAGAAACCACACTGATAGTTTTCAGACTTTTTAGGGAAAAGCCACTCGGAATGGATATCATAGGAGCTGTGTTAGATTTGTAGTTATGTCAATACATTTAATACTAGTTTTCAATTGTTATAAGTTCATTATAACAAATTACCATGACAAACTTTTTTTTTTTTTGAGGTGGTGTCTCACTATGTTGCCCAGACTGGCCTTGAACTCTGGAGTTCAAGTGATTCTTCCACCTCAGTCTCCCAAGTCATTGGGACTACAGTTGCATGTCATCATGCCCTGTGACAATCATTTATTATCTCAGGATTTCTGTAGGTCCACAATCCAGGTGGGCTCAACTATGTTCTCTGCTTTGGTTGTCACGAGGCCAGAATCAAGGTGTCAGAAAGCCTGGGATCTTATGTGGAGGCTCTGGGAGAGAATCTGCTTCTAAGCTCATTCAGGTTGTTGGCAGAATTCAGTTCCATAAGGTTGTAGAACTGAGGTCTCATTTCCTAGCTGGCTGTTGGCCAGCACCATTCTTTGCTCCTTGAAACTGTGCACCTTCCTTGCCTCATGGCTTCCTCCATCTTCAAAGCTAACAACAGTATATTGACTCCTTCTTGTGAGTTGAATCGTCCTGACTTCCCTCTCTGCCTTTCTCTTCTGCCACTAGTCAGGAAAAGCTCTTCACTTTAAGACCTATTTTCCGATTGGGTTGGGCTCACACAGAAAATCTCAGATCTTAAGGTCAAATGACATGGACATTTAATTACATTAGCAAAATTCCTTCACAATGGTTCTGGGTTATTTCATTGTCCGGAGACAAGAAGCTGGAGAGAGTACCTTTAGAATTCTGCCTACCATAACTTAGTTTCTGGTTACTTAAATATTTCAGCACAAGGTAAAATAGAGGTGATAGAAGTAGATATGGAAATGAGGGGAGTGCTGACTACAATTAATATTCAATTTTTGTTTCAATTTAAAAAAGTATGCTCTTACCAAAAATAGAGAGCAGTCACAAAGAAAGGGATATTCTAATTAAACACCTTTAGGGATAGACAATTTTCTTCCTTCTTTCACTTAATTCTTCTAATACTAACTTCATAGGCATGCAGTGGAGCCAATGGAATCACTAATTCAATCAGTTAACATTCAATTTTTAGTGCTTTCTTTAATCTCTGTGCGTATAGATTGGGATAGCTGAGGTGCACAGGGATTCGAGAGCTGTGATAAACACCTCATTGCTCTCTGTTCAGAGTCTTCACAGGGCCTAGATCAAAGTGTTGGCTGGCCTGAACTCTTATCTGAGGACTTTGAGAGAGCATCTGCTTCCAACCTCTTTCAGATTGCTGGTTGAATTCAGTTCCTTGTGGCCATAGGGCTGAGGTCTCTGTTTGTTGGTTGTTAGCAGGGAGCCTCTCTCAGTTCCTTAAGGCCGTCTGGATTCCTTATCACATCGTTCCCTCCATCTTCAAACCAATGATGGTGCATTGAGCACATCTCTTGTTTCAGATTATTCTGATTTTTCCTTCTGCTGCATCTCTTTGACTCCAGCCAGAGAAGGTGCTCTGCTTCTAAGGGTTCATGTGATTAAATTGAACCCACCTGAACAATCCAGGACACTCTGTTTCAAACTCTGTAGTCTTAATTATGTCTGTAAAGTCCTTTTGCTATGTAATATAGTCACGGGATACAGGGGTTAGAGCATAGACATCTTTGGGGGCCATTACATTCCCAAAGTGATGGAATATGAAGCTGGGAAGAGAAGCTGGAGTAACATTCTGAAGCTCAAATGTCTGCTAGGAGGCCTACGAGTCATTCTCTAGACTCAAGAGCATTATGTCATTGAAGAATTTTGATCTCTAAGAAAGACGATCGGGAGCACTGTAGAGAAGTTAGGCTGGAGAAAGACAACAGGACCCAGTTCAAAAATTATTGCATAATTCAGGGAAGAAATGCTGAAGACTTGGGCCATTTCATGTGTGGTGGGGCAAGGGCCTTGTTTTCTTTATACTTGGTTAATTTTTCACCTGGAAGTCCTACTAAAGCTTCAGATTTCACAGCTGATGTTATCTCCTAAAAAAACACTCTCAAGTATGTTCTCTCCTAATACCCTACAAAATACTCTTCACATTTTATGGTGATTACTTATTTAATTGTGTATCTTCCCTGCTAGATTTCCTTTGCCTATCTTCCCTGCTTCTGTTTTAGATTCGTGAAAAGAGTTATTAGTTCTGGCCCATTCATTTCTGTGTATTTGGCACTAAATAATTTATATTGCATGGAAGTTACTAAGCAATTTGGTTTCCAGCTTGGGTGTTTTGGTATAGGGCTCAGTTATGAACTGAAGTAGGAAATATACTCCTTATGCTTCATCTGCTTCCTAATGGAAAACATTGGGCTTGCCTTGATTCCATTGCTGAAATACTTTTAAACTTTGTATGAACTTTAAAGCCAGCAGAGGACTGAATGTGTTAAGTGATGACACTAAATTCTACGACACACATTGAATTTACCATGTTTTTCTTAACCCAATTTGCCTTGTGAGATGGCGTGTGTGTGTGTTTGTATGTTTAAAGCCATTGTGTTTGTCCATCTGCATTGCGGATTGGTATACATTAATGAAGTGTTTTGCAATAGAACTCAATATTTTTGTATATTTCTAATGATAAGGTCGAACCTGGAAGGATTATCTTATGATGGAAAGGTTTTTATAGTTGCATCAATACTTAATTTAGCAATAGTTGTTCAGGTAGCTTTTTTGAGCTGACACTACTCAGAGGAAGACCTCATTTTGTCATTATCAGATACGGGCCTGACCAACTGGCAAAGAGAATAACAATCAGAGAATGTATTGATTTCCTTTAGCAAGTTGAAGACATTACCGTCATTAGTTCTAAGGCTTTGGATCATTTAGGAAGGTTGGGGCTCCTTGAACAAGTTCCCTGTAACTCTCTTCAGTTTGTCACCTTATTAACAAAGTTTTTCTTTTTTTCTTTTTCCTTTTGAACTGTAAGAGCAACTGTATAATCTAATATGAATGTTTTATGAAATAGTATTGTCAACCACTGATGTTTTACGGAAATGCACACTGGGTGGTATAATTATTTAAAGTTTAAAATGTGCTGAACAGAGCTCTGTTTTAATAAGCATTTCAGAAGTTGAATAGACTGAAGTTCAAAGGACAAATGCTTTTTAAACAAAATTATTCATTTCATTTCCCATGTTTGAAATGAGTAGTTTAAAGCTGCTATTCAAGCTATAAAGGATTTCCTTTGTCTTAATTGTTAATACAATTAACTGCAGTGTAATATCTGCTGGTTTGAACAATAATATTATACATTAATGAGGTTTATGCTAATTTTTATCCTCAGACATCAATTTTCCAGATAAAAGCACACACAAATTTTGCATTTTTCCTTTAATTTAAATTCACATAAATATTTGTTTACTTTGCTTAGTATCCATATTATCTAATATATGAGCACATTATAATCAGTTTTAAATTTTTTCTTTCATTGAATCTAGTTTATTTCAGGAGCACCATGAGAACAGCAATTTTTGAGCAAGATCAATGGTCTTTCTTCTGCTATATGGCAGATACTTAGAATATATGCTAGTACGGACTGTTTGCCTCTTTGGAAATGAGACATCTGAGGTGGAGTTTGAGATAGTCTCAGGAAAAGACGAAGGTGGAGGAAGCCTGCAAAATGGTGCTGGAGTTAGAATAGCTATAAAGAGAATGAGTGAGACACAGTGATACTAGAACTTTCCTGTATTTATTCTTATATAAACAATTTAAAAAAATATTTTAAATTTAAAAGATTTATTTGGCCAATAATAATTGTACATAATTATGGGGCACAATGTGATGTTTTGATAGATACATAAAATGTGAAATGATTAAATCAAGCTAATTAATATATCCATCATCTCACTTATCATTTTTTGGTAAGACATGAAATTTTCTCTCTTAACAACTTCAAAATATACATTATTATTAACTATAGTCACCAAGCTTTGTAATATACCTCAAAAACTTATTTCTTCTAAGTGAAAGTTTGTACCTTTTGACCAACATTGGAAAATCTCCCCTTTAAACATGCTAGCAAATCCTTTTGAAAATTAGCTTGAAATTTTAACACAAATAAGTTGAATACATTCTAATTAGTGCCACTGAAGCTTGATGGGAAGATACTCAGTGAAAAATTGCAACTAATGCTAATATTCTGTTCAAAAACAGATTGAACAGGAGAAAAAACATCAGAGGTTGCAGAGATACAGAGTGAAAAAAAAAATCCATGAATCTCCAGGCAAAAGCATGGTGAGGAGAAATACCAAAGTAACATAATTGTGAGAATCCCATATGAACTGTTTGGTCACATGGAGCATATGAATGATACTTTCAACACCCATCACACAAGTGGGCACATTGGCAAAACAAATCTTAATGGGGATTTGAATTTTCAAGAGATATGTCTAAAGTCTCAGTGTTCTGAAAGCAGAGCATATGATGAATTCTTGACTTGCCTAACAATTTTACCTTATCGGCAACTGAAGAAGCAATGAAGGAAAGCTTTCTCTGGAATTAGGATTGCAAAGAATATGCATTATGTATGAGGTATTGTGATTTCAGCAAAACATATGGCAAAAATGATTTAATCTACAAAAGTGGATTAAATGCTAAAATAGGGATATGGACCATACTGTAAAGGCAGGTTCATATTCATAACTGGTTGAATAACTCAATGCAAAGTCTTGATTGGGGATCATTGTTAACCTAAAGAAAGATCTCTAGTGCCTTGCCACAGAACTCTGTATCTGCTTCTGTTCCTTTCTATATATTGAGCAATTATCTGGATCAAGACACAATAGTTTTGCTTGTAGAATTTGCTGATGATTCAATTCTGAGAAAGAGAACAGGTAAGATGAATAAAAGACTCAAGATTCAAACTCATATATAGGTTGGAAGAATGGCCCCAAAGTAATAAGATGAAATTTAATGGGGGTAATGATGAAGTTCTATACATTGATTTAAACATAGAAACATTCATAGAATTTCCACTGTACAATTCATAATGGTGAATGGCTTAGTATTATAGCATTATTATGAAAAAGACTCAGCCTTTTATTGCACTGCCAACTCAACATGGGCCAACACTATGATATGGCAGCCAGAAAAGCGAATGACTATGTTGGGTTGAGTTAAAGGAAGCACAGAGTACAATAAAAGGGAGTTAGATCATTCCAAAAGCACTCTGTTAAGTTTTTGTGCTGCTTTTTTTTTTTTTTTTATTGATGAACTGCTAATGTCCAGAGGGGAAGGCCTGGGTAATATCATGTCACATGAGAAAAGATGGAACAAACTAGGGCTATTGATTCTAGAAAAGAAGAAACTTAAAAGGGATAAAAAAAAGAGTGTCTATTTATTAGAAATGATTCTAATAATGATCTAATAATGATTAGGCTTCCTCTGTACATTTAGTACCTAGCACAGCCTGGTACACAGTAGATACCAAAAAAAAAAAAAGTTGTTAAAATTCATTCAATGAAAAATTATTTTCTTATATGGCAGTTATTATTTTAAGTGCTCAGTATACAGCATTGAACAAAACAAACATGGTCCTTGTCCTTGTAGAACTTATATTCTAAGGAGAGGAGAGAGAAGATAAACTGAACAGATAGCTACATAATGTAATACCAGACAGAGAGTGGTTAAAAGTGAGGGCTCTGGAACTGGACTGCCTGGCTTCAAATCTTTGCTCACGCTTACCAGCTCTGTGTGACCTTATACAAGTTATCTACTCTTTCTGTAACTCAATTTTCTCATATGTAAAATTGAGATATTAATAGTGCCTACCTCAAAGAGTTCTGTGAGGGTTAAATGAGGCACTCCATGTAAAGTTCTGTGGACAGTGTCTGGTATAAAGTAAGTATTCAGTAATAACTATTATTGTTATAGTCATAAATGCTCTGAAGAACGAAAAGCATGGTAAGGTGACAGATCAAAGAATGGGAAAGGAACATCATTCCAGAGAATTGTGTGTAGAAGATACATGAAGACACATTGGAATTATGACGTGTCATATTTCTACACCATTTCACATGTTCATCTTCCCCCATTTGTCCTCCACTCCTTTATTTGCCTGGATGATCTCCGTTTACCTTTTGAAATCAAGCTCAGATAGCACCTCACCTAGAAGGCTGAACTGATCCCCTTTGCTACTAGAGCTGGCTATTCTCTCTTCCATGCTACTTTTATTTTTTAAAATTTATCACAAGGTATTATATTAAAATGTATGAGAAGGTCTAAGGCATAATGGTTAAGATCTCAGATTTTGGAATCAGATAGAACTGAGTTTGAATTACCAATCCATCACTTACTGACTGTTTGACCTTGAATAACCACTATATCTCTCCAAACCTTGGTTTTCTCATTTGTAAATTTGGGATAATAATATATACTCTATAAGGTATTTTTTATAATTAAATGAGAAAATGTATGCAAGAAGCAGTACAGGGTTTTAATCCCAGCTCCATCCCTTAGATATGTGAATTTGGAGAAGCCATTCAACTTCTCAAAACTTCATTTTTCTTAATCTGCAAATGGGAGAATTAATCCTTTCTTCCAGAGTTATTGTAAGAATTAAAAAATGTATATAAAGCGCCTGGAACATAGTAGGCTCTGAATATATGCTTGTCAAATTGAGTTTGATTGGCAATCAGAGCTTTTAGAAAGAGTTGCCTTTTGAAGCCATAAGTTCCTTGTTATATTATGAGGTGGTCATAGTAGATGGCAATATACTGGAGACGTTGTAGAGGGGATTCCTGCAATAGCATAGTGGATGGATGAGGTCAGTACTTCCCAAACTTTCATCCATAGACCAGTTGCAGCAACCCCATCAAGTCTAAATTAATAGGTGTGGGATGAGAACCATCAATCTAGGTGACTACTAAATTGCCTCCAACTCAAAGGTTAATGATTCTGTAAATTAGAATTTAGTTCATAAGTTATGGACTTCATTAATTTCATCAAATGAACTCCTCTCTGTATCCTTTGTACCCAGGCTTTCACTTTTTGCACCGACGCATATTATTAAATGGTTTCTTAACTACACTAAGCCCAAGAAAAATGATTTTCATTTATCTTCATTTATTTATTTATGCATTAAATTTAAGTAGAGTCAGACATTCAAGAATCATGTTTTCATGCTGTGTGAGATAATTGGTTAATCTTAGTTTAAGTTTTCCCATTATTCAATATGCTTACTTTTTACTTAAAACTGTGTTACCATTGCCAAAACTTTCCCAAGGCAACTTCTTGAATCTGAAGTTGCAGAATTACAAGTTGCCAAAGTCAACCATGACACAAGTGTAGAAGGTAAGAGAACTTATATCATATGGCCTTGGGCAAACACCTTTGTCCTGCTGTGTGTCAACTTCCTCATCTGCAAAATGGGAAGAGGAAAATGCAGATAAGGTATTTCTTATAAAGCTTTTTAAATATGAGAAAATGTTATCTACTTTGTGATTTTCATTAATTTTGATATTACAGATTTTTTTCTGAATTTTTGCATTTGGATTCATTTTTAAAGATTTGCATATTTTAAAAATGTTTTGAATACCTAAATATCAAGGTACAGAGATGTTAATACCTGGTAGAAATTTACTTGCATTTGATACTAATGTACAAAAGACATATTGAAGGAAATATAGCTAGGAAATTAGGAAAAAGGAGAGGGAAGTTGAATTGGGGAAAGAAAGGTTTTTTCAACAGTGTGGACTCATTGAAAATATTAGGGGAACAAGCTGAAGTTTTGAACTCCTCTACTTGGGAAAATATTTTAGAAATGCTTATTTCCAATTTGTACGTATTTTGGGTGTCGTGGCTCCTTATGGCTTCTTTTCTTTTCTCTTTTCTTTTTATTTCATAAAAAAAAAAAGGAATATATGTGCAGAACGTGCAGGCTTGTTACATAGGTATACGTGTGCCACCATGGTTTGCTGCACCTATTGACCCATCCTCTAAGTTTCCTCCCCTCACCCCTCACCCTGCAACAGGCCCTGGTGTGTGTTGTTTCCCTCTCTGTGTCCATGTGTTCTCATTGTTCACCTCCCACTTATGAGTGAGAACATGTGGTGTTTGGTTTTCTGTTCCTGTGTTAGTTTGCTGAGGATGATGGCTTCCAGCTTCATCCATGTCCCTGCAAAGGACATGATCTCATTCTTTTTTTCTGGCTGCATAGTATTCCATGGTATATATGTACCATATTTTCTTTATTCAGTCTATCATTGATGGGCATTTGGGTTGGTTCCATGTCTTTGCTATTGTGAATAGTGCTGCAATAAATATGTGTGCATGTGTCTTTATAGTAGAATGATTAATAATCCTTTGGGTATATACCCAGTAATGGGATTGCTGGGTCAAATGCTATATGTGGTTCTAGATCCTTGAGGAATTGCCATACTGTCTTCCGCAATGGTTGAACTAATTTACATTTCCAACAATAGTATAAAAGCGTCCTATTTCTCCACAGCCTCACCAGCATCTATTGTTTCCTGACTTTTTAATAATTGAGATTCTGACTGGCATGAGATGGTATCTCATTCTGGTTTTGATTTGCATTTCTCTGATGATCAGTGATGTTGAGCTTTTCTTCATATGTTTGCTGGCCATGTAAATGTCTTCTTTTGAGAAGTGTCTGTTCATATCCTTTGCCCACTTTTTGATGGGGTTGTTTGTTTTTTCTTGTAAATATACTTAAGTTGCTTGTAAATTCTGGCTGGATATTAGACCTTTGTCAGATGGGGAGAATGCAAAATTTTTCTCCCATTCTGTAGGTTGACTGTTTACTCTGATGATAGTTTCTTTCACTGTGCAGTAGCTCTTTAGTTTAATTAGACCCCATTTGTCAATTTTGGCTTTTGTTGCAATTGCTTTTGGTGTTTTTGTCATGAAGTATTTGCCCATGTATGGCTGCTTTTCATGTCCTCACAACATGGACATGTATGAGCCAATTATGATAATGTGGTTGTTATCAGGGTCTTAGAGAGTCTATTTTGAAGGAATCCAAAGCAGACTTGAAAAGTATCTCTTTATACTCCCTTTTAATGTCTTTGTAAAATATATTTGAGGATCAAGAAATATCTGGGTTTTAAACAAAAGGAGCTATAAACATACTGGGTTTTATTATAACTGACAAATCCTATTAGGTATTTATAACTCTTCCGACTCTTGTTTCTTTCTATTTTAATTGTTAGTATTTCTTTGTCCTACAGGAAAGACACTCTTGGTTATATTTTGACAAGTCACCTTTTTTTATTCTCATTTTTCTGCATTACTTAGTTGCAGAGAGTGGATACAATTCAACAAGGTTAAGAGAGATAATCTCTTGCTAAAAGTAACTAATTCTGCATCATTTCCAATTATGCAAAGAATTGAACAGTAAATCAGAATTTTTCCATACTCTGGAAGAAGTACTTAATTTTAACTGAACGTCAAATCGTTAAAGGTAACAAAGATGGAGTGTACGCAGAAGCACTTGTGAAAGAGTTATGATTCTATTCTAATTATACCAATTTATTTTTTTAATGAAAGTATTCTCCTGTAATTATTTTGATAAATTCTCTTAACACCCTCCTCCTTCTTTGCTCCGCAGTTATTATCCCACTGGTAGCCAGTGCAGGCAATTGCCAGAATTATCTTTATATTTAGTCCATAAGAAGTTTATAATTTTGCAAGTGACCACTTAAGTGATGAGAACATTCCCAGGTCCCTTGAGGAGTTATCTAGTTGCTTGGCTTTAAAGTTGTTTGACCCATAAGAGGTCATGAAAGGAGACTCCACTTATAAATTTCTATGCATGTATGATATCCTTTTAGCTTGTTCTTGCTGCTGAATTTTGATTGCCTTAACTTTATACTCCTGGTCTTTGAATTAGTAGGTTAAAGTCTGTTTTTTACAGAGGTATACTTAGCTGAAGTAGTCACCGTGTCACTTTATGTTTCAGTTTCTAGGGATAAAGTTATTTATTTGTTTATGCATTTAAGTGTTTTGAAACTCATATGACTCATGACTATTTAAGCTACTCAAATGTAACTGTTTATTCTGCTTCCAGAAGTAAATGTTGCCTTGAATCAATATAACACTCTTTTGTTCAGTGTCTTGCCCAGTGCTCTCAGAAACTGCTTGGATAGTACAATCCATATACATATTTTAGCATCTTGTCCCTAATAATCATAGAGCACTTTTGTTATATATTTTGCTGAAATCAAAATACTTTATGAGTGTGCAATACATATTCTTGACAACCCTACTTTCGGAGAAATCGTTTTCTTCATTCCTTCTTCAATGAAGAATGACTATAAGGTAAAATTGTTAGGCAAGTCAAGAATTCATCATATGCTCTGCTTTCAGAATACTGAGACGCATAGTTCTTGAAATTCAAGTCCCCATTAAAGTTTGTTTTGCCAATGCACCAGTTAGTTGTGTGACAAATACTCAAAGTATCCCCCATATATCCTCCACGTGGCCAAACAGGTCATATGGAATTCGCAAGATAATGTTATTTTGGTATTTCTCCTCACTATGCTTTTGCCTCAAGATTCATGGATTTTTTTTTGTTCTGTAACTTTGCAACATCTGATGCGATTTCTATTTTTGAATAGATTATTACCATTAATTGCAGTTTTTCATTGACTATCTTCCCAAGTCTCAGTGACACTTAGTCAACTTTATTTAACCTCTTTGTGTGAGAATTTCAAGCTACTTTCATTTACTACCCATACTGTTGAAATTGTGATAAAACATCTAAGGGTAAAACTATGGGTCACAAGTACCTTTCCTATCATTTCCCCATGACAATTATTGAGATAATTTTCCTTTTTTTTTTTTTTTTGCTTTTTTCCTGTACTTTCATAATCAGATTCAGGCACATATTTTTTTGTTGTTGTTATTTTGTTTTAGATTCAGGGGTACACATACACATTTGTTACATGGATACATTGTGTAATGGTGAGGTTTGGGCTTCTAGTGTAACTATCACCCAAATATTGAATATTGTACCCAACAGGTAATTTTTCAACCCTCACTTCCTCTCACCCTCTCCCATTTTTGAGTCCCCAGTGTCTATTATTTCCATTTTTTATATCCACGTATATCGATTGTTTAGCTCCCACTTATAAGTGAGAACATGTGGTATCTGATTTTCTGTTTATGAGTTACTTTACTTAGGATAATGACCTTCAGCTTCATCCATGTTGCTGCAAAGACATGATTTTGTTCTTTTTTATGGCTGCATAGTATATCATGGTATATATATACCTCACATTTCCTTTCTCCAATCAACTATTGATGGGCACTTAGGTTGGTTCCATGACTTTGCTTTTGTGAATAGCACTGTAATAAACATACAAGTGCAGATGTCTTTTTGATAAAATGATTTCCTTTGGGTAGATACCCAGTAGTGGGATTGGTGGGTCAAATGATAGTTCTGTTTTTAGTTCTTTGAGAAATCTCCTTACTGTTTTCCATAGGGGTTGAACTAATTTACATTCTCACCAACAGTGTATAAGTGTTCCCTTTTCTACATATCCTCCCCAACATGTGTCTTTTTTTTCTTTCTTTCTTTTTAATAGTAGCCATTCTGACTGGCATGAGATGGTATTACATTGTGGTTTTGAATTGCATTTCTCCAACGATTAGTGGTGATTGAGCTTTTTTTCATATGCTTGTTGGCCGCATATATGTCTTCTTTTAAGAAGTTCTGTTCATTTCCTTTGCTCATTCTTTTAATGGGGTTGTTTGCTTTTTGCGTGTTGATTTGTTTAAGTTCCTTATAGATTCTGAGTTTTAGACCTTTGTCAGATACATAGTTTGCAAATATTTTCTCCCATTCTGTGGGATGTCTTGTTCACTCTGTTGATAGTTTCTTTTGCTGTGCAAAAGCTCTTTGTTTAATTATTAGTTTGCTGCAAAAGTAATCGTGGTTTTTGCCATTAAAAGTAATGCTCTCAACCGCAATTACTTTTGCACCAACCTAATAGGTCCCACTTGTCAATTTTTGTTTTTGTTGCAATTGCTTTTGGACATTTAATCATGAAATCTCTGCCAAAGCCGCTGTATGAAACAGTATTTCCTAGGTTTTCTTCTAGGGTTTTAATAGTTTTAGGTCTTACATTTAAGTCTTTAATCCGGTGTGAGTTGATTTTTGTGTATGGTAAAGGAAGGGGTCCATTTTCAATCTCCTGCATCTAACTAGCTAGTTATCTCATCACCGTTTATTGAAAAGGGAATCCTTTCCCCACTGTTTGTTATTGCCAACTTTTTCGAAGATCAGATGGCTGTAGGTGTGCGACTTTACTTCTGTGTTCTCTAACCTGTTCCATTGGTCTATGTGTCTTTTGTACGACCAGGGTACTATTTTTATTAGAAGTGGTGTGCGTGTGTTTGTGCACACACACACATATATACATGTTTTTTTTTTTCACCTCCATACTTAATAGACTAAGAATCTCATTACTTTCCTGTAAAGATGTCAGCTTTAAATTTTGCCAGTTTTGGCAACGGTTTTCACACAGCTGTATCTGCTTCCTATTTGCAAGGTATAAAGAAAAGAAATTTTAAAGTTTTGTTTTGAAATCTAAATGGAAGAGGTGCTTATTAACAAGGTGTCTTTTTTTATATGTGAAAAACCAAGCATGCTCATTCTACTAAAGAGCAAACAATTTTAGTCACACTGTAGCTGTATTATGTAAATCAACATTTATAATGGGAGCAACAGCAACAATTCTTGTGATGTCCAAATCAGAGTTTGGAAAAAGGAGGAGGAAACTCATGACTGCATGTGGGTATTCGGCTCTAAAGTTTGATGAAACTTTTCAGAAATTTGAGAGTATCTCAGGCCAGCCACTGATATCTCACAAGGTTTGGCATTTAACAACACAGATACACACACACACACACACACACACACACACACACATGCACTCATGCACACACACAGAAAACAGACTGGAGGAAACCCCCATGGAGGCAGTTCTAACATCAGTAGACAACCCTCTCTTCCATGCAGTCATAGGGTCCCATTTATTGCATCCATCAAGAGAACCATGTTGAGATTGACAATCCTTCCTGCCATGGGTCCTATTTCACCTCCCATTTGACACAAAGAATTTTGCAGGGCACCAACTTGGGATTCTGATATCTGCTTTACTCGGATTCAGAGGAAAACCAATTTTCAAAAATATGTTTGTAATGGCTACCAACTTGCCAATGCATTTGCTGAGCTAGAAGTTTTCAGCTCTTTGAAATTTTATCTCCCATGTGCTCCAAGGACTTCCCAAGCACCACAACACCTCTTTTAGTGTGGCACAGCAGACAGGCTAGTGCACAATACAGGCAGCATAAGGCTCCTCTCACCTGCCTCACAATGGAAGGGGTTTTAAGGCAAAGTCAGAAGGAAAATCATTTCTTATGCTAAATAGGCCTTCCCTTTATTCTCCTTAGTAGCAATGAGAAATTCTGAGCGGATGTGTAGGGGGAAAGAACACTTAAGCCTGCACCTGCAACAGAAATGCAATTTCCCTGCTTTCCAATGGATTTTACTCACCATTGAGCTAACTCTGTTTGTGACCCTGCTGGATTTTGAACTCTTACGCAAATGCAACAATTACAGGAAGCCCAAAGGACGCCCCTCAATTCATTGTAAAACCGGGTGTAGGAATGAACTCTCCCAATGAGTAATGCAGTTACATGTCTATGCTAAAGTGTTCCGACACAGCTTTGAAGTCTTTAATCATAAATCACATTCACAAGCTTCCATCTCCGTCTGTAGCATGCATATAGTGTTGCTACATTACCATTGAACTTGGAATAAAAGCCTGTCTTGTGGAGATTATCATAGGACATAAGAGATTATTCTGCTACCGACAGGAAAGGAAGCATGCTAAAAATGCATGAGCTGTCAAACTAGTGAACTTGCCATGACCTGGAACATCAGAAATACACTGACTGCCTTGAGAGATGAGCCTTTTTGAATTGTGGTTCTATGAGAAGCAATAGCACATAGAGTTGGAAGAGTGGGACTACAGGAAATGAATTTAGAAATGAGACCAGAGAATCTTTAATGTCTCTCACAGCATTCAGATTTTCTAAGTTAAAAGTGATAAAGACTAATACTGCTCACCCAGAAACTCAGAAGAATAATTAGGGAGTGGAACCTGAGCGAGGGGACCAAATGGAAAGTGGATTACACGATGGAAAGTGGATTAAACGATATAAAGTGAAGTCCTAGGGGCAACTAGAAACCAGTGGGGAGGGAGGAATGTGGCAGCCCGGGAAAGATTCCACCGTCTGGAAGGGAAGAGGAATACAGATTTCAAGGAATTCAGTCTACTGCACATGCCCTTTGGCCTTATCTTTTCCTTTCTTCATGAGATACTTACTTCTGACATGCAACAAGAAGAGGAAGTCTCCATGGAGAGTTCTCCCGAGTCTCACCATGGATCTTCCATTTCTTGTAAGGCTTTTAAATTAAGGCAAGGATTTATTCTGCATGACGCCTGAACTCCTTTTTTTACTCAAAGAGATGATCTGTTAAGAACAGTTTGGGCACAGTGGGAGGAAGTTGGACTGTAGCTCCCTAGGCTCACCATTAATGGATAAATTGAATGCTTCCATTTGGGACACGTAAGACAGGGAGTATTTGGAGTCTTTTTTTAGAAGTACACTTAAATGAAAGATCTGTTAAATGCTTTTAAATGACAATATTTCAGTTCTTTGTGTCCACAACCACGTGTTCCATAGGGTTCCAAGTCACTCTTTATTAATTTGCAATTACATGCAACTCCCTTGTCTCTCTGCAGTCTCTTTCTGACATATGCACCTAAAGAGGCTCTGAGGGGGCGTTGAGGAAGCTAATGACCAGCTAGGAGAACATATTTACACTATGCAGACAAATGAGAAAGAGTCAGTGCAAAAGTCAGTGATAGAGTACTTGCAGTGAACTAAAAGTCACTTGTCGTGCAGTGGAGGAACATTTGCTTACAACTTTAAGGACTGAATAGAAGCATTGTGAATTTGGGCAATATTTTATGTATGCTTTATCTTGCTGTCAGACATAATTTTTCTCAACATAAAATTTCAATCCTATCTTCAAAGCTCCAACCTCACAGCTCAAGTCCAGGTTTTATTATTTTTTTAAGAAGCAGTTTTATGTATCATCAGTGTTAATGAAAACATTATGTTCAATTCTTAAGTTGAATTGTGGATTTGAAATATGAAGTTCTCAGAACCATATGCTCATGTTCAAAACTGATGTCTTTGTAGCTGTGCCTATTCAGAGCATGAAGATGTATAGAAGTAAATGCACATTTGAATGTGCAGGTTATACTTTATCATTAAGGCCAATTATTTATAGAAGCAGAGCAAGCAGAGCACTGTCAAAATGGCTTTAAATAAAACAAACAAGCAACTGCAGAAAGGTATGGTTTACAACAGGAATGCTTGCCATGGGATCCTTTATCTTTAGTAGAAAGAGCTGGCCGTGGCTGCTGCAAGCAAAGCGCTTTAAAGCAGCTGGACAAAATGCTGCAGGAGGGATGCAGCTGGGATCTTCCTCTCTGGAGAGAAGATGGATCCCTTTGAGGGAGACTCAGCTGGCTAGGAAGCCTCCAATGCACTAGCAAGCTCAGTTCTCTCTGGTAACCATACAGTATTTTCCAGAAACCATATTTTCCAATAACCTTGAATAATAGAAACTTCCTAAGCTGTCTGGAAAATAAAATAATCTGCTCCTGGAAAGGAGTAGTAAATGCCTTTTAGATCTAGATAAAACATGTAGCTAAAATATTTTTTAAGTAACGATGATTTGTGCAGCAGATAATAATACAGTTTTCTGACTACAAAGAATCTAGGCTCTGTCACTTCATAGCTGTATGAATGTTTGCAAGTGTCTTAACTAACTTGAGCCTCAGTTTCCTCATCTGTAAAATGGCAATAAATAACGGCATCTTTGCTTATTTTTAGAGAAATGCTAATTCATAAATAAATGGCCTTCCCCCCTAAGTTTAGAGAAAATATCTTTAATATTCTTGTTGCTAGTGACTTACTCCTGTTATTTATTATAGAACTTATAAGATCTTGTCAATGAAATTGTTTAATCTGCTGGGTGAGCCACTTTTGGTAGGTCCAGATTTAAGTTCGATAAATGTTTAGACATTGTGAACAACTGTGCCTGTTTCAGTCTTCACTTTCCCTTTAAGTTTTGCACCTGACACTCTGCAATCCTGATATTTTTGTTGATCCAATTCTCCAATTACTTGTTGACCAGAATGTCACTGTTTATATGGCCCATCAAGTTCCAATTCTAGGAGAACCTATTCTCTTCTTTGCCAAAGATTGCCTTTTGCCAGGTATAGAATATTTTTGGCCTGACTGGATAATCTTTGTACTTATTTATAAACCATAATGCTGGCTATAATTATTTTCCTGTTTCACAAAGAGTACTAGCTGCCTAACTAATATCCATTCTCTCTTTCTTAGTTAATAACTTAACCTGATATTATTCTGGTTGGCCCTGGAGAGGTAAGTGAGAGATGGGATGCAATTTCCAGGAACTCTTCTTAAGAAATAGATAGCATTTGGTATATATACTCTTTCACTTCCCATTTCCTGCTTCCTGCTGATTATGGGGACATAATGGCTGGAGCCCCAGTAACCATATTGAACAATGAGGTAATCTTGCATATGGAAGTCACTGCAAAAGATGATGGATTATAAACATAAAAACTCATACTTTGTGACCTTGGAGTTACAATTATCGTCTCTGAGTTGCCTACCTTGGAATGACTTTTATGTTAGAAAAAATTGATTTTTAAAATCTTGTTTAAGCCCCTGTTCTTTAAGGTCTTGGTTGATGTTTCTAGATGATACAGCACATTTTCCTGAGCATGTGTTCTGAGACCACAGCCAACCTAGTAATATTCTAGTAGTGGCTATATTGGTTATACTGAGAAAAGATGCAGAAAAGATATTATAAATATTGCTGGGTCAGTGTTGACAGTGAAGTTTATGTTTTCAGGGCAAATGTCCTGTCCTTTCCCCCCAGAACATTTAATTCAAATGAAAAATGCTATGAATTTAGACCACAGATTTTATTGAGACAATTTCTCTAGACAAGTGCGAATGGATCAGGACCAGAAATTGAAAGCCTTTGTGTTAGTATTCTATATTTCTGTGACTCCCAAATAATAGCACTACCAAACTTTAAAAAGCACAAACTCAGGGATTAAAATAAAACTATAATCTTGGACTGAAATTTTACTCAAATAGAATGTGGCACAATTCTCAAAATTGAGATTAACAAATGCCTTCTTGTCTACATTTTTCCCCCTCTACCAGTGTTTTTTGATCTTCTAGGCCTAATCTTCTTTTAATGTTTTAGATTTGAAATAAATATAGATTCACAGGAAGTTGCAAAGATAGAGTAAAGAAATCCCATGTACCCTTCACTCAGTTTCCTCCCAGTGGCCACATCCTAAGTACCTATAGTACAATATCAAAATCAGGAAATTGACTTTGGTACAATATATGTATATAGTGCTATGTCAGTTAATCACATGTGTAGATTTGTGTACCTACCATCACAATCAAGATACGGAACTATTCCATCACCACAAAGATCTTTCTCATGTTACCCCTTTAGAGTTATACCCACCTCTCCCTTATATCATGCATTTCATCTTTAACCCTTAGAAAGCAGTAATCTGTGTTTTCCATCTCTAGAATTTTTGTAATTTTGAGAATGTTGTATAAACAGAATCAAGGTTGTGAACTTATGAAATTGGCCTTCTGCACTCAGCCATTGCTCTTTTAGATTCATTCAGGCTATTGTGTGTATCAATAGTTTGTTTATCTTTATGGCTGAGTAGTAGTCCATGCCATGGATATACCATGGTTTATTTAAACCATTCACACCTTCAAGCATATGCCCATTGTTTCTAGTTTTGGGCTATTATAAATAGAAATGCTATGAACAAAGGTGTACAGGTTTTATTTTTTATTGTTTTGAGACAGAGCCTCACACTGTCACCCAGGCTGGAGTGCGGTGGCGCAGTCTCGGCTCACTACAAGCTCCACCTCCCGGGTTCACGTCATTCTCGTGCCTCAGCCTCCCGAGTAGCTGGGACTACAGGCGCCCGCCACCACGCCCGGCTAATTTTTTGTGTTTTTAGTAGAGATGGGGTTTCACCGTGTTAGCCAGGATAGTCTCAATCTCCTGACCTCTTGATCTGCCCGCCTCGGCCTCCCAAAGTGCTGGGATTACAGACGTGAGCCACCGCGCCTGGCAGGTGTACAGGTTTTTGTGCAGACATCAGTTTTCCTTTCTCTGGGATAAATGCTCAGGAGTACAATTGCTGGGTTGTATGACAGTTCTATGTTTCGTTTTTTTAAGAAACCACCAAACTATATTCCAGAGTAGATGTACCACTTTATAATCAATCCCTCCAATGACCTTCTGGTCAACCATCTTTCCTTTCCTTGGGTCCTAAGGTTCTTAGCCAGTCTGGCTTTTTTCTCCTCACTTTTCAGAGTCTTCTTATGTTTGTCTTACATATAATCCCCAAGATATACTAGTTGTACTTAGCAGGAGGAATGGGAAATAGTACATCTACTCCATGTTCCCAGAAGTGGAAGTTTTCTCTTTATTTTCTCTTGAATCCCACACTGTTTTTCAATGCTATATGAAATTTCAAAATAAATTAACTCATAAAGAAATAAATTAACTTTTGCCAGGTATAAAATATTAAAAAGTTAAGACATTTCTGTTTTGTTTTCAAATTAACACATCAAACTTTTTCCTTCACTGATATTTATATATGCCACCCACCTCCTTGAGACTCATTGTCCTGCACATTTTCAAAATTTTTGAGTTTTAATTTCCAATCCCCCTGCTTTTATTTCCAGCCATATCACCATTCCCTAGTTGGGGTGCTCTTTTTGTACTAGTGCCCTATTGTGAACCAAAGCACTGAAATCGGTGTCAGATTTTTGGCCCAGTTTTTTAGAACAAAGATGTTCAATTTCAGATAAGTTCAGATAAGCATTAGATAAGCATCCACACACTTAATCAATGCTTAGTTGAACCAGCAGCCTTCATCAAAATTTTGAGGCCTGCCCATCAAAAGAGATTTGCTTTTATCAGTATTTGGCTTGATTCAAACTAACCTGCTAACCCTATTGCTTTAAAAAAAAAAACAAAATGCACCAGTTCAGAAGCATCAGGCTTGGAATAAGTGTAAGGGTCTTTCATATATAGTTTGAGAATATTTTATCACACTATACCACTTGTCAAATGTAATTATAAAGGGCTATTAGATGAGGTTCAATTTCCACGTAGCTCTATGTAAAGGAGACAAGTTTTTCCCCCCTCTTCTCATGGAGAGGAATATATTTGTATTTTCTCTAAAATTTATTGATTTTTCCTATGGAATGTTTGAGATCATTGTATGAATCTTCAACTGCAGTAGAAACATAAAACGTTTTATAAGTGGTGTTTTCATCATGAAAGGTGTAATTACACACACACCCTTTACGCATATATTTTTTATTGGTTTTGTGGTTAGTTGATTTTAAAGAATAGCAAGAAAGGAATACGATATTGGAGACAAATAAAAAAGAATAGAAAGTCAAAGAATTTCCAAATGATTATTTTATTAGATTTTGTTTGATCATTAAATTTATCCTCATTTTCAGACCAAAATAGTCACTTAAAGTTTGATGTATTTTTGTGTATTTATTTTTATTGTATATTTTTGGTAAACTCCATGACATCTTTTCTTTTAGGGAAGGTGGATGCCCAGCATGCCACATACAAGTCAAGAGAGAGCTTTCTCTTTGTGTTACCAATTTCGATAATTTAAATTTTGATTTCTTTAGGCTGTGGAGCTTTGTGTGTCTTTTTTTTTTTTTTTTTGGATGCCTGCATTTTTATTCTGACAATTTGTGAGTGCTTTTTCTAAAATAATAATAATTCAAAACAAATAGCCAAACCCCTAAAAAGTGGCTTTCTTTTTCTTTTACATCTCCTGTTCTCCTTCAGCAGACAAAAATTCAGTTAGTTTTGTGAAATGCAACATCTAGCCTCCCCTGCTTTTTTAAGGCAAAAAGATAAACTTCAATGGCTTGAAGCTGACAGTGTGGATTCAGCTTCATTCATCTACACTCAAATTGTAAAGTATTCCTCATCCTCCTTTTAACCTGCATGCATGCAGTACTGTGTGGTAAAAGCACAAACCCAAACTCCATCGTCATCTTCAATTGCATAGGTCAGGCAGATTTTTAGGAGGAAACACAACTGTGAAACCTAGTCTCTCTTCTTGGGAAAAAAATCAGTCATTCCACTCAGCACTAGCTGAAATACTGAAAAGCAAATTGCAGCATTGCTTGGGAAGAGATAACTTTTTTTTCTCTCTTATTGCCCTTGCCTCTTTCTCTTGTTCCCTCCACCTCCTCCTATTCTTCTTCCTCAACTAAGTAAATCATTTATTTTTCTCTTTTTTAAGATGGCTAATATAATGGTTTCTCTGAAGTCAGTGTTTATGTAGCTAACCAACGGTGCTGTCACTAACAGCTGCTGCTACTGTAGCAAGATTTTCAATGTGGTGTGTTTTCAGTATCTGTGCACACTGTTCCTTTCCAGGTTTGTTGAAAGATTGGAAATTCCCAGTGGTAATCTCAGGTATCATCCCGGTGGCCACAGATCAGCCTTGGTTCTTCAGCTTCTTCAGTTATACTGCTGCCCATGAAGCAAGGGTTTTGTTTTGTTTTAAATTTCTGTCCCTTAGTCAATACTTCAGTAATCATCAGCCTAGTTGTTACTAATTTCAGTACATCTTTCTTTTTTTTTTTTTTTTTGGAGACAGAGTCTTGCTCTATCCTGAAGGCTGGAGTGCAGTGGTGCGATCTCAGCTCACTGCAACCTCTGCCTCCCGTGTTCAAGTGATTCTCCTGCCTCAGCCTCCTGAGTAGCTGGGATTACTGGTGCCTGCCACTACGCCTGGCTAATTTTTCTATTTTTGGTAGAGACAGGGTTTCACCATGTGGGCCAGGCTGGTCTAGAACTCCTGACCTCAGGTGATCCACCCTCCTTGGCCTCCCAAAGCGCTGGGATTTCAGGCGTGAGCCACTGTACCCAGCCGCATCTTTCTTAAATGCTGTACATAAGCTCCCTATCAGTTCAGCACACGACTACCTATGCTTTCTGTACGATTCTCAATCTAGCAGTGTGGTAGAAGAAAGACATACTGTATTCTACTATTGGTTGCATCAGGAGTATATCTGGGTATGCATTCTTCTAGCCTCCCTTTGGTCCTTGGACAATTATAGTCTACGCTTCCCAGCAATCTTCTCTTTGTTCATTCAGATAATCCACCATGTCATTCATAGTCTGACTTGTTCATCTGGGATTTGGAGGTTTGCTGAATGCCATTTGTATGAATACCATTTAGGTATTTGGTAAACTCTCCACCAATAATAAGGGCAATATCACCAAACACAGAATCTGTGTCTTCACAAACCTGTGGATATTCTCATTCCCTATGTTCTCCATCAACAAAAGGTAAGATACTGAATTTCAAAATGTGACATAAGTCTTCCACTAAACCTATGGTCTCCAATAAAACCTGACACTCAGTATAATTTTTCAATACAATATCCTTGCTCAGAAAGAGTTTAGAGGCTTCTATGTACTTTAGAAATTCATCAATCAACATTTCCCCCAGTGTGTTAACTGCCATTAGGTCATCCTCTTGCATTCCTCCAGACCTACTTGTGATTTGGAAAATCCTTGACAGGGAGACTATGGTCTCATCTTGATGCTGCACTTTTCAGGGAACACTTCAAAGAGTTAGGCAGAGTAAAGACCAAAGGTCATTGAAATAGATCTTATCAAAAGTGCTCTTATATGGGATTTCATCTGATACACCTTCTGCAGTCAGACCAGAGCTGTCAGAGTCAATTTTTGAACTGAAGGGTAATAGTACTTAGTAATATTTTTCACAATTTCCATCAAAGCATCATATGCAGCACTTCTCAGGTTGTTCTGCTGGTCAGCAGAAGCTGTCTGGGGTCTCCATGAGCTTCTGAAATATGAGGATAACCAGGAAGTAGCAGTGTCTTCCTGGCCATTACTTACAAAGTTTCATAAGCAGCTTCAGCGAGACTGGGAAAAGCCCAGCATGCATTTGAAGACATTCTGGGTTCATCATTCAGGCCTTCCATCAGACTTTGTGGCAGGGGAGCCAAGTAGACACCCTTGATGGCAGCTTCATGAAGCAGCTTTCAAAATCCGCCCTCAGTGTGTATACTTGTATATAAAAAAACTTACACAAGGGTCTTTGATTAATTCCATTAAGATAAACATTGCATGTATGACTAGGAGTTGTAGCTTTTTGGGTTTCTGTTCTTCCAAGATACAGGCAAAAGCCGTCACAGTAGTATCCTGGTATGACTAATCGGGATGCTTGAATGTTCTTTAACAGAGAGAAGTACATGTGGGAGAATGTCATCTTCACATCACGTGGTCAGGAACATCATCATTTTCATCACTTTTTGCTAGTGTCTGTATAAGAATTGGAACCACAATTGTAGAGCTCCCTTGGCACAGAACTCGCTGTGTGCTGTGGGGGCCTTCTTTGTTCTGCTGCCTCTTAAGCTTTAATGACGAAATCTATTTTTTCATCACAGACACTGGACCAGAATTTTATTCCTTATAGAACCACTTCATCAAAGTCACTATTCATTACTTCATTTGTGACCACAAAAAGAGCAGGACTCATGTATGTGTCCATGTACTGATAATATAGGGACATTTTCTTGACCAGATTCTGTAATGTACCCACTTATACCTAATTATCTTGATAATAGGTTGCTCCGTAGACAACCTGCAAAATAAATTGCCTTTCAGACTCTTCGTCAAAGTTTGCTCTGGTGAACTCCAGTAGTTCAGGAGTGCCTTAGTAGCCACTAACTTCACATTACTATTAGGACCTCCAATCTCTTTAGATTTATCCCTTAGCTGCTCCCTGTAAATTTCTTGGCAGATGTAATAAATTGCATCCAATGTTGACTTTTCCATGTACTCTAGGCTGCTGGGGTTTGTGACATTGGCTACCAGCTAAAGAATGAGTTCTGACGACTAGTTTACTGGGATCTCTGCACAAACAGTATCAGCCATCATAGTGAGGAAGAACTAAGCCCAAAGTCCTCAAAACAGTTCTCAGCTTGTTTGTCAAACAGTAGCATTAACGGCAACCCTTTCTACTGATGTTGTGCCTTGAAGTTAAGATTCTTAGATGTCAAAGAATTCTTGATTTGTAGACCAGCTACAACCCTGCAAGTCTGGCTGTTTTCTGAATTTTCTGGCACTCTGGAGAGTTCCAGAAGGACTCTTGGTAAGTTCAACCATCGCACACTCAAGGAACTTCTAGGCGGCTTCTAGTTCAAGCAGAGGTTGGGATGTGGTTTTCACCTTGGTTCAGCTCCAAGGTGATTTTGATAGCAGCAGCTTTTCCCCAGGAAACACTTGGCCTCTCAGGCGGCAGCTCTTATTAGGGATAAGGGTTGGGAGCTGAATGGCAATGGAGAATGTGAAGAGGATCAAAGTCATCACAGGTTCATTCATGTGCTCCTTCTTGGTAGTGCTCTACCACCCTTTTTTCCCCACTCTCTCCCTCTTTCCTTCCTGCTTTGCTGTTGACAGTGGCAGCTGCCCCTCTGTTGAAGATGAAGCAGGAAAATTAGGGGCAGCTCAGAGCATGGCTGTAGCTTGGTTGGTGAGGAGAGAAAGAAGACAAGGAGGCAGTGAGTGAATAGCAGTCAGAAAGGAGGGAGAGATTTGCTAATCTTTTGATTACAGAAACTAAAAGCTAAATCATGAATACCAGGGGTCATTAAAATGACATACAAATCGCGATAGAGTGTGCATGAATACCAACGCTCAGTTCATTGTCTTGGCCAAGTGCCCAAGTAGGTGATGATATCTTACAACCCCAAGGATTTCCTTAAAAAAAGTTACATTATAAAATAACAGCCTGCTGTTCACCCAAAGTTTCTTTATGCCAACCTATGTGAGAGAATCAAACTTTCATTATTAAGTGCTTTGAGATTCAGACAAGTGACAGGCACTTTAAAATCTGTTTATTTGGTACTAAAGACCGTAGATTAGACTTTTCAGCCAGAATTGCACAAGTGTGCAACACAACCATTAGCAGTGTCATCTGCAATATATGGAAGTAAAATGATTGACTGGTTTTAAGCTAAGTCTTAGACTCATCTAGCATAGACCAAAAAGACAGGGGTAGTAACTATATGCATTAAAACGTCATGTAAGTACACATTCAAATGAAGGTCAAAGTCACAAGGGCAGAAGAACTTTAGGAGAAAAAAATAAAATCATTTTAGTTTGCTTTCAAATTGTCAAAATTTAGTGGCTCGCCATTCCTGTATATCAGAATGGTATAACTAGCCAGGAACAGAAATAATCCAGCAGATAGGGATGGATGCAACATAGCTCAAGAGCTTCATCCTGGAAGCGGTAGATGATGCTGGTATAGCCAAGAGGTAAAAGTCAGAAAGCAGGTTCTAAAGGTACTTTCTTAAGGAAACCTTTGACAGATTGGGAAAAAATAGACAGGAAATGGGTTCAGGACAATAGAGCTAGGAACATGTTTTACACTAGACAAAGGCAAACAGATACACACCTAAGTTTATATTTTGTGGACAGAAATGACTTATAAGGTTTGTGCTGGGAAGCAGAGAGGAGCAGAGACTTTACAACAAAGCTGTCCAATTTGTGTTTGTAGCTAATGGTAGCAGAGAATTTAGGGTTACTTACGATCTTAGACATGCAAATTGTGTTTCCTAGCCTTAGCAGGAAAGTCTGTGGAGCTGGTGAGTACTTTTCATAAAGTAGTGGATCTGGGCTGGGTGCGGTGGCTCATGCCTATAATCCCAGCACTTTGGGAGGCCAAGGTGGGTGGATCACCTGAGGTCAGGGGTTCGAGACCAACCTGGCCAACATGGTGAAACCCCGTCTCTACTAAAAATACAAAAATTAGCTGGGCATGGTGGTGCATGCCTGTAATCCCAGCTACTCGTAAAGCTGAGGCAGGAGAATCGCTTGAACTTAGGAGGCAGAGGTTGCAGTGAGCCGAAATCACACTACCGCACTCTAGCCTGGGTGACAGAATGAGACTCTATCTCAAAAAAAAAAAGAAAAAAAAAATCAGTGGATCTGATCTATGCTGTCTGCTCCCTAATTTTAGAGAATGTTCAAATATCTACCCCTGGAAAGTCACAAACTAAATATGAAATGTGCAGTATTAATCTGGAAGTATTAATAACTGCATTACCTTTCTAATACTTATTTTCTGAAACCTACTTTAAAATTCTGAAATAAAATTTATAGATACTATAACCTACTGTCACACACTATTCAAGGGGAAAAAGGAACAATATAATGTTCTATCAATAATATAAAAGGTAAATGAAAAGAAAGTAACATATAGCTAAATATACAAATGGTCAGTCAAAACTACTTCAGAAGATGTAATAAAATAGATGCTTATAACTACAGGTAAAAATCATTATGACATGACAGCTACCAAGGTTTACTTTGTAGGTGCCAAATACCTAAATACCCAAATACCATAAGTGTAATTGCTGTTTATGACATGATTTCCTCTAAATGATTAAAAAGGGAAAAAAAGCTTATTAAGTTTCAAACCAAACAAAGAATAATATTTCCTCAAATTATAGTGTAAAAAAATTTTCAACTGCATGAATGTGTGTTTGGACATTTGAAAGTGATTTAACAAATATTTATTGAGCACTCATTAAGTGCCAAGCACTGTCTTAGATACTTGGAATAGAACAGTGAACAAGACAGGCAAGTATCCCTGCCCTCAGGGAGCTTACAGACTAGTTGGGAGTGGAGTGGGAAGAAGACAGACAATAAACACAGAAAACCAAAACCAATTGAATAGCATATTGAAAGGTATTAAGTGTCTTGGGAGAAAATAGAGCAGGGTAACTATTGGAATTGCCAAGGAGTGGTAGGTGGTTCGAATTTGAAATGAGAGTGGTTTTGACAGGCCTCATTGAGAAGGTGATATCTGCAGAAAATCTTGAAAGAGCTGAAGAAGTTAACCATGAATTCTAGGCAGAGAGAACAGCCAGTGCGAAGGCTGTAATGAGGGCTCATGCCTGGCGAAGGTGGAGCAAGGGAGCCAGTCTAGCCAAAATCAAGTGTATGAAGTGGGCAGTAGCAGGGCATGAGGTCAGAGAGGTAGTGGGAGGCAGGATGATCTTGTAGGACTTTGTAGACCACTTTAGGCACTTAAAATTTCATTCTGAATGGGAAGCCATTGCAGAGTTTTAAGCAGAGGAGTGACATGATATCTTATTTATGATTTAAATAGATGCTATGTTGGGAATAGTTGGGGGTGGGGTTGGGGCTGGACAAGGATGGAATCAGGGAGTCTAGTTGGGAGGATATTGTAGTCCAGGTAAGAAATGACTGTGGCTAGATCAGGGTTTTATCACTGGAGATGGTGAGAAATAGCTGAGTTTTGTATAAGTTTTAAAGAGCCAACAGAATTTCCTGATGAATTGGATGGAGTATGAGAGAAAGAGCGTGATGGAAAATGATTTCCAAATTTTTAGCCTGAAAAAGATTCCGGATGGTGAAAGTTCCTATTTACTGAGATGGGAAAACTTGCAGCTTTTGTGGGGTGAAAGAAGAGGAATATCAAATTCAGTTTTGAAGATGTCAAGTTTGAAATGTTTATTAGACATCTAAGTGGAGATGTTGGGTAGGCAGTTGGAAATACAAGTATGATATTCAGAAGAAAGTTCTGAACTAAAGTTAAAAACTTGGTAGGCTTAGCTATATCTCTGGTATTTAAAGCTATTTATTGGGTAAGCTCACCATTAATGGGGGTAAAAATGGGACCTGCACATTTGGCACTGTAGCCAGTTTCCCCAGAAGGCATTTTCAACTCCATCAACAGGGGTCAAGGGAAATCCACACAAATCTTCAAATGTAATTATTCTCCTCCTTCAAAAGGAATTAATAGGCCTTGTGCACTGGGAATCAGATCTCACCTTTTCTTGACTTCTACCCCACCATTAGAGTAAAACAAGGAGCCTGAGTACTGGGAATGATGTTCAGCTCCTCCAGGTGTTCTTAACACCATCAAAAAGTCAAGAGTGAGACCCCATACTGGGGCAAAGACCCTGCTTCCTCTAGACGTTTTACCCTCCATAATCAGGAATCAAGGTGGGATTTGAGCACTGCAAATAACACCTGGCTTTCCCTGTAATTATCGACTCCATAGACATTGTCATTCACTAGTCCTTGTCATTTCTAATGACTTCAATTTTTCCATAATCTCAATTTCATTATAATCACTCATCTGCATACTCCCACACCTCCCATGTCATGAAACAGTTATTTTGAATTTCTAGATGGGGAAATTTGCCACTTACTGAGAAGTGGTGTATCAAGTTCAATGCAGGAGTGTCTTGTATGTTTTCAGGAAATCTATAATCTCTGGTCTCTGTTCACTAAATGTCAGTAGGGTCCTCCAATCATTATGACAACAAAAATTCCCCCATATACTATTAAATGTCCCATGGGGAAGCCACACCTTCCTTGTTGAGAATTGCGGCTCTATTTTACACAAAATATCATCGATTCTAAAATGTTGAGTGAAACAGCATGTACTCACTCAGAGTATCATTAAAATTTTCAGAATTTTCCCTTCTGGCTAGCAAGATCTATAAAGATAGACCCGTTTTTATATTTCAATTTTGACAGTTCTCTCAAATAACCTATAAAATCACCACCAATTATTTTCAGATTTAGTTATTCTGTCTTTAAAATGGGAATAGCATTTTCCAGAGCACCACTTACGTACTGATGCTGGAAAGATGAGGACAGTATATAATATGCCTGAACTTTTCAGAATATAAGACGTTACCTAACTCCTATTAATAATTATTTTTAAGACAAAGCTGAAAAATATACTGGATATAGAAAATAAAGAAGATGTGCAGATGACGACATTATTAAGCTTATAAAAATCTGTTTTCCTATATAAAGAACAGTTCTACTGCAGGAATAAATACCTTCCAGTGTCATTGAGAAGTAAAATATGGCCATAATACATATTGGCAATTTAAGAGACTATAGAGGATTAAAGGGGATTTGCCACAAGTTGCTGAGTGATTTTGACCAGATTTAGGTAAGCATTTTGCAAAATGCATAGCTCTTCAACTAATTCTAAGTGCTTAAAGAAACAGAATTTACATCCTCTTGAATCCAAAGTGTCATCATCATCACCATCTTAATATTTATTGAGTGCCCACTGGGCGCCTAATACTATGCTAATTTTTCAAGTCAGTATTTTCGTAGTCTTTGTGGATTGTAATCTCATGGCTGAGACATCCACTTAGAAATTTAAAAGAATAATTTCTCTGTGGTATCATGAAAGGTAGCAGAATTTTGGCTTTATAGTAAGAAGTTTTAAATAGGTATAATGAAAGGACCCCTGGGCACAGATCTCCTGCCATCCAACTAAGAAACCTCCCTATGGGATGTCTGGTTGAATGAACTCCTGGTCCTTAGAATCAGACAAAGATCTCTATGATCATTAAATTAGATTGACAGACACTGCCTTGAGACAATGGCAGGGGTTCTTACTGAGCACCTGCAGATCACGATGTAGTTAGAAGTGAATACCCTTATACATGGATATCATTTCCAAAACTTGACACTGTATTTGCATAACGTATATGTGTAGTAAATTTAAAAAACTGAAAACTATAATTCAGTTGTAAAATATCCACCCCACAATCCAGCTCCAAAACATTATCTGTGCTATCTCTAGGACTGGGTACTGCAGAATAAGGTTATTTCTGAACAGCTTCAGAGTCAGACGGTTATATAAGCTGCACCCCAACATTCTGGCTTCAATTTCAGTGCATTTTGAAAGGCCAAATGCAAAGTCTGACTGCTGGCAAGTCTTAATACTTCTGCCAGTAAATGATGCTGAATCTTTCAAACAGCAAAGTGTTATTTTGATCTCTTTTCACTGCCTCTCAGTTCTTCCCTGGCCTCTGGCAGTAAAAGATAATCACTTCTGGGAGCAATTAATTTCACCTAGAGCTTTTCTTTAAATTCACTGTATTTGTTATGACAAGATGTGCAACTCAAAATAATAAAATGAACGAAAGCCTTGATTTACATGTTAGGTGAGCTGGAGTTAGATTGAATAGATATTAAGAGTACCATTATTTCTGATCTGAGGGAGACACCCTTTTGCACAGTGGCCAGTTGTTAATCTTCTGGGTGTCTCTGGGTTCTGGGTAGCACAGCTACCTGAGCTATGTCTTTTGAATACAGAGTTACTTCCTTTCCAAAACATGTCATGCCATTCTTGAAGGGTCTTCAGCCGTTCCTTTCCTTTATGAAGGAGTTGGATTGCAATGGCTTTTTGCCTTCTTCGCCATGACCTGAAAAAGCATGCACACCTGGTGGAAACTTCTTCAGTAACAGCCAAACATGTTGGCTTCAATTTCTGTCTTCTGCGATGCAAATGATTCATTTCCTGTGTTGCTAATGTGTGTCTTTAGATGAAAACCTTTCTCCCTTTCAAATGTAAAATCTCTCTGAAGAGTTTATTTAAGTTACCTTATCCTGGAGCCCCACACTTGCCCGTAGTTACATTATTCATGATGCAGAGAGCTGCCCAGACAATGAGCTGTTGGGTGAGTACTCGGAGTGCTTTGGAGATGATCCACACTCCTGAAGTATTGTTTGAGTAAAAGCAGTGTCTGAGTTCTCTTACTGATTAGTAGACACACTTATAAAACTGTGATCATTCTGTATCTGAAATTTTCAAAAAAGGGCTAAACCTTCTAACTCATTTTCAGTGAGGAAGGAATTCGCTTCTAAAACAGGACACTATTAGAATGTGGGATGCAGAATAAAAGTGGGTTAAGGATGAGGGAGCTAGTAAGATTGAAAATGGTATGACATTCTTGAATGAAATATGTGATAAAGCCAGATATTCTAGTTAAGCCGACAGAGTGTCAGATAAATGAAGCAAAATGAAACCTGGCAACATTACGAATATCTTTTCAACATTTCAGTGTGAGAAGAGACGTGTCTAAGTACAAGTATAGCATTCTTTCATAGTTTTGCATGTGGCAGATATGCTGGTGTTATCCTTAAAAAATCATTAATAGTTTTCCAACAATTGGGAAGAAGGCCTTTTTTTAAAATTAGACATCTTAACACTTAGTGATTTCCTGCACTAATGGTTACACAGGTTTTTCTACTTTATATGGTCCCTAAAATATTCAACATAAAAAATGATACGTCTAGCCAAGCGAGAGAAATAAAGCCTCATCCAGCCAGCTAGCCAGCCAGCAAGCTATTTCACAAGTATGCATTTCATCTACCTGCTGTGTGTTAAACACTATAAAAAATACAAAGGTGAATCAATCATTGATTCCACACTCAAGAAACTTAAATAGAGGCAATAGAATGTGTAGATTAATCAAAAGCAATGAGACCACTAGTTAAATTTTATACTAATTTGTAACCCACAACTATCTAGAAAGGCATTGTGAGGCCTTATAACATGGACAATAGGAGAGTAAATAGAAAATATAAACCAAGGAAAAAGGGTAAATGTATGCATGCTAATTTTAAAAATAAATAGAATTTTTGTAATTGAGTTGAAATGGTGGCTCTGAGCTTCCTGGAACCCCAAACAAAATAAGTTACTAAGTTATGTAAAGGGCCCATATCAAACCCATATCAGTTCCTAAGCGGAGGCAAGTTTTTAAATAGCTCAACTCTATCATGTAGTTCATTGCACAGGACAATGAAAAATGAACACTTTTAAAAGTAAATGCAGAATATTCTGTAAGATTTCTTATAAAAGCAGAGAGGGTAATATACAAAGATAGCGCCGTGAAGGGAATTCTAGGAAAGACTAAGTTAAAGTGGTTAAAGCATATACTTTTCTGTGGCCTCAATAATAAAATATAGAACTTATAGCAGTGAATTCAAGATACTGCTCTATAGGTTGGTGACTTTCTGTGGTTCGGTTTTTATTGGTACATGGCAAATGGGAAAAATGAGTGTATACTAAGTTTTAACAGAGCTCAATTTGTTTAATTTAATGGTCTCTTTTATTCTAAGATTATTTCCTCCTATTTTTTGATATAAAGATGTCTTTTGTTCTGAGAAACAATGTTGACAATAGAAGGTTATTTACTAAAATGCAGTAACTTGATGAAATACAGAGTTATCAACCAAATGTTGGTCTTCTCACCTTTAGTTTGTTTGTGTTTTGTTTGAATTTGAAGGACTGTTAAACACAAGTGTAGAAACCACACCTGAAAGTGTTCAAATAAATGAGGACTACATACTTGTCTGCCCTTGCCAACCTAAGTCATGTCTACTGGCAGAAATAAACTGCTAACAATGGTCTCAGCCTCATCCAAAGTATGATAAGATTAGACTCAGGCTGAGGGTGTATATTGGAAACACCTCCACTGGTAAGTGGAATTGAAAAAGTCTGTTTACCTTTCAGCGAGTGATGAGTTTCAGGCTGTAACATTTTTTCCAGTCGTCATCATGTGTTGTCAGTCTATTAACCTGCATATTTTCCTAGCCCTTGATTCACACTGGGGCTGGAATTGTCCCTGAACATCATCTCAGAGGTCTATTCTCCTTCATGAGAAGCAGATTCATAGTTATCCTCCACAAACCTACATCTACTGCATTCCAAGTATTGATTCAAAAATGTAACACAAACAATGAAATATAAAAAGATCACCTATTTTTTAAAAAGTAAAGTAGAAGATATAAAATAAATTTAAAATAAAGGAATTAAAAATAAAAATGAAAAGAAATAATAAAATATGGGAATAAAAATATAAAGATAATAAAACTGGCAACATGCTTGCAATAGAACAATTTTCTAATTGAGATCATTAAATGAAACAAAAAGGAATTTAACATATAAAGAATAATGTAGTAAAATAGTGAAAACAATAAGAACAAAGGAACAGATAACAAAACAATTAAAATGTATTAGAATTCATTAATGAAAAGGCACTACATTAATGATAAGAAACTGATAGAAAAGAGAAAAATAACAATTCCAACAAAATAAAAAAGATGACTTAAAAAATTTACTTAAAAGACAATGACTTGAGGAGAAACTGCATTAAAAAAAAACTAACTCATGTATTCCAGACTTCATTAACTTGTAACTGAAAAACAAACAAAAATCCTTTCTCTACTCAAATTATTATGCGAAGAACCTCTCATTCCCCACTTTTCAGCTTCAAAATAACAGGCTCAATATATTGTCTCATGTGTGCTTATAATGAATACTTCCAGAATTTCTGTTGTGTGCTTCATGTCTTGACACTATAGGGCTTCCTCTTTAGCCAATAACTCTCATAAAATTGCTGTTCTCTTAAACTGTTGCATTAGGAGTAACTATCACATTTATTCCTCCCCACCAGTCCCCAGGAAGGATACAGCTCTCTCCTTGGATAAGAATTCCTTCCTCATAGGGTTGCTGATGGGAGTCAATGAGAAAAATGCATGTAAAGCACTTAAAAAGGGGTGGGCACATAATAAGGGCTCCATAAATGGTAGTGACAGTTACAGCTGCCCCTGGTCTTCTAGCATGGCCCTTATGGTAGATGGTATTATTGGTCCCAATCATTCACTCCCTTCATAGGAGGATAATGCATTGCAACTCATGGCCATGGGACTTGCAGTATTTCCATGTAGAGGAGTATATTCTCTGCCTCATTTATTATATTTGAAGTTTGGCCATGTGACTTTCTCCAGCCAATGAAATATGAGTGAAATGATATGCACTGTATCTGAGTTGAAGCTTTCAGAGAAGAAAATAGGGGCTACTCCTTTAGCTTAGATCTCATAATGAAAAGGCACAGGTTGCGGAACTAGAGCTGACTCACAGTCACTGATGGGACTATGAGGGAGAAAAAATATTGGTTGTGGTTAAGCCAGTGAGATTATTTTTAACCTTAGTATAACTGCAAACAAGCTGACTGACACAGCCTCATATCTTCATTTGCTGTAATATTCCACTCCCTGAATGTTCATCCTACATTTTAATTCTTGTTTTGCTCTTCCTTCTTACATCTTGTTCCTCTTAGACTATGGCTTTTAAACTGTTACTTGTTTAACTTTACGTTTTCCTAAGTTTGGAATACTTAGTACTGTTGGGACACAGGCACATAATAGATGATTTATAATGAGAACGTTAATCTCTTTTCAATGCTCATTCAGTTCTTCTGATTACATTAATGAGAAATTCTTGGTTTGGTGCTGGTTTGTCATTAATAACTCTATAACAGTTGCCAATACTTCTTTGAAAAAAGACAAAAGTGGTCTTCAAGCTAAGAGAATAGGACTAACAATAGTATCTAGCTGGAACTTAATAATATTGTTTAATCCACATTGTATTTATTGTATGGTCACCCTTTGTTAATAACAAGTGTTATCGATCTGCCAGTTACAATATAGCTCCCTTTTAAAATTAGTACATTTATTTAAGTAATGAAATGAGCTGATTTAGATAAAGTTTCAAGTGATGAAATTTGGAAGACTCTGACCCATCTTAAGGCCTCACCTTCTTTAGCAATGGAAATGAACCTGTCTCAATCTGTACGTCTTATAGGGTTTGCTTACTTCCATGTCCACTTCAGGCCCGGCTCTTAGATTTACCCCTTTGACCTCCTGCCCAGTACAAGTTTCTGGGCCTGAAACCTGAAAATGTAACTTCTCTTTCTAATTTTTAAATTTCACTGAAAAGACAAATTCATTGCATCTTGTATGCATCTTCCTGTAGACTTAAATAGTTTCAAAGAACATACTGCTCTAATTTTGTTTCTGCTTCTAGTACGTACACAGCAACTAAACACCACCAGGACCGTTTTTACTGTGACCTCTTCTCAGCTTCAGTAAACAGTCCACTACTCAAAGCTGAGTCTTGATCCCAAGAGTAAAAGGGATCCATTGCTTCTAGTAATAGCATTTCCTTTCCCCTTATTAATGCCCCCAATAATCTTAAGGCTTTAGGGAATCAACTGCTACACAACAGCTAACTTGATTGAGCTATTTACTATAACTCATGGTTGTTTTCCTCAGAGACAGCTTCAAATATAGAATCCTATTAATGTTTATCAGAAAGCTGTTTTTCCTATAATATGTTTTTTTCTTATTTAATATAAACATTTTTGTTGTAGCATGTTGCTCAGTTTCCCAAGACAATTAAGTTTGTTTGAAATGAATCTGTGTTGTGCCCCGCCCCTTACAAAGTAATAAAATAAAGATTCCCTTTGTGCTAGTTAATGTGCTGAGCCACTGTCAGGGGCTGACACAGCCTCAGGAGTGGGCATTATGAGAAGTGCTTGACCAAAGGCTACTGAAGAGCTTGGAAACAGGCAGCAACCAGTTAGATGCAGAAAGCCTGAAAGTGAGGTTGCACTGAAGTCTTGCTCTTTCTATTGCTACTAATAGTATCATCAGAGTTGCCTCCATTTGATGAGATTGCTCCACAGACACCATAAGAAAGAGCCAAAGAATAGCTTTTGTATTACTAGCACTCTCCAGCTGCCAGCAGCAACTACAGCTTAACAACCCTATTGCCCTATACTTGTGTGACATGGACAGCAAAAGTGTGTACATGACATGCTCTGGAGCTCTGGTGAATACTATTGCTTTTCTCATCCAGATTTGCCTCTAGTCAATTAATTAAGCACCTTGTGCTTGTGCTTTCCTAGTTTAGCACTTACATGTTTAACTTTTTCAAAATACTTTACTCACAAATAATAATAATAATAATGCTACAATTTCTTGAGCACCAACTATGCTCCCAGGCATTTTACATATTCATTCAGTCAATAATTACTGAGTCATTACCATGCATTATGCATTTTCCTGATCATTGGAGTGACATTATTAAATGATATAAACAAGATATTTGCTCTTCTGGAAATAAGAACCTACTAGGGGAGATAAAGAGTAAACACACAATAATAATCAACAAACTTGATACATTGTATAGATAATATAAAGTTAGTGCATTAGTGTGTTCTCATGCTGCTATAAAGAACTGCCCAAGATGGGGTAATTTATAAAGGAAAGAGGTTTAATTGACTCACAGTTCCACATGACTGGGGAGACCTCAAGAAACTTACAATCATGGTGGAAGGGGAAGCAAACATGTCCTTCTTCACATGGTGGCAGGAAGGAGAAGAATGAGAACTGAGTGAAGGGGAAAACCTCTTATAAAACCACCACTCCCATGATTCAATTACCTCCCACTGGGTCCCTCTCATGACATGTGGGATTATGGGAACTACAATTCAAGATGAGATTTGGGTGGAGACACAGACAAACCATATCATTCAGTCCCTGGCCCCTCCCAAATCTCATATCCTCACATTTCAAAACACAGTCATGCCTTTCCAACAGTCCCTCAAAATCTTAGCTAATTCCAGCATCAACCCAAAAGTTCAAGTCCAAAGTCTTATCTAAGACAAGGCAAGTCCCTTCCACCTATAAGCATTTAAAATCAAAAGCAAATAACTTACTTCCTAGATACAATGGGGGTACAGGTATTGGGTAAATACACCCATTCCAAGTGGAAGGAATTGGCCAAAACGAAGGGGCTACAGACCCCATGCGAGTCCAAAATCCAGCAGGGCAGTCAAATCTTAAAGCTCCAAAATGATCTCCTTTGACTCCGTGTCTCACATCCAGGTCATGCTGATGTAAGAGGTGGATTTCCATAGCCTTGGGCAACTCTGCCCCTGTGGCTTTGCAGGGTACAGCCTCCCTCCCAGCTGCTTTCATGGACTGGTATTGAGTGTCTGTGGCTTTTCCAGGTGTATGGTGTAAGCTGTTGGTAGATCCAGCATTCTGGGGTCTGGAGGACTGTGGCCCTCTTCTCACAGCTTCACTAGGCAATACCCCAGTGGGGATTCTGTGTGGGGGCTCTGACCCCACATTTTCTTTCTGCACTGCCCTAGCAGAGGTTCTCCATGAGTGTTCCACCACTGCAGCAAACTTCTGCCTGGACATATGGGTGTTTCCATATATCCACTGAAATCTAGGTGGCGGCTCCCAAACCTAAATTCTTGACTTCTATGCACCCGCAGGCCCAACACCATGTGGAAGCTGCCAACTCTTGGGGCTTGCACCCTCTGAAGCAATGGTCTGAGCTGTATGTTTGCCCCTTTTAGCCACAACTGGGATGGAGTGCACCAAGTCTTGAGACTGCACAATGCAGCAAGGTGCTGGTCCTGGCCCAGGAAACCATTTTCTCCTCTTAGGTCTCCTGGCTTGTAATGGGAGGGGCTGCTGTGAAGACCTCTGACATGCCCTGGATACATTTTCCCCATTTTCTTGGTGATTAACATTTGGCTCCTCACTACTTAGGCAAATTTCCGCAGCAGGCTTGAATTTCTCCTCAGAAAATGGGTTTTTCTTTTCTTTTGCATCATTGGGCTGCAAATTTTCCAAACTTTTGTGCTCTGCTTCCCTTTTAAACATAAGTTCCCATTCCAAACCATATCTTTGTGTATACATAAAACTGAATGCTTTTAACAGCACCTAAGTTACATCTTGAATACTTTGCTACTTGGAAATTTCTTCTGCCAGATACCCTAAGTCATCTCTCTCAAGTTCAAAGTTCCACAGATCTCTAGGGCAGAAGCAAAATGCCTCCAGTCGCTTTGCTAAAATATAGCAAGAGTCACCTTTATTCCACTTCCCAACAAGTTCCCCATCTCCATCTGAGACCACCTCAGCTTGGACTTCATTGTCCGTATCACTATCAGCATTTTGGTCAAAACCATTTAACAAGTCTCTAGGAAATTCCAAACTTTCCCACATGTTCCTGTCTTCCAAGCCCTCCAACTCTCTAGGAAGTTCCAAACTTTTCCGACATTTTCCAGTCTTCTTCTGAGGCCTCCAAACTGTCCCAACCTCTGCCTTTTACCCTGTTCCAGTCTCTTCAATATTTTTGGGTATCCCGACAGCAGTGCCCTGCTCTCTGTGGTAGCAATTTACTGTATTGGTCTGTTCTCACACTGCTATAAAGAATTGCCTGAGACTGGGTAATTTATAAAGGAAAGAGATTTAATTAACCAACAGTTCTGCATAACTGGGGAGGCCTCAGGAAACTTACAATCATGGCAGGAGGGGAAGCAAACATGCCCTTCTTCACATGATGGCAGGAGGGAGAAGAATGAGAACTGAGTGTAGGGGGAAGCCCCTTACAAAACCGTCACCCCCAGGATTCAGTTACCTCCCACTGGGTCCTTCCCACAGCTTGTAGGGATTATGGCAACTACAATTCAAGATGAGATTTGGGTGGGGACACAGCCAAACCATATCAGTAAGAAATAGGAAAATGCAAAATGTGATTGTAGACAATGTTAATTTATAGAGGGTAGTCAGGGAAGGCCTCTCTGATAAGGTGACATTTGAGCAAAGACCTTAAGTGAGAGTTCTCCCTCTAACTTTCAAACTTCATTCCCTATCACTTTTCTCTCACCATATCCCAGAACAATGTGTTTTAGAAATACTGACCTCCTTGCTGTTCCTTGAGTACAACCTTGCTGTCTCCTCTGCCTAGAATGTTCTCCCCTATTTATTTACATAGTTCCTTCACTCACCCCGTTCAGAAACGTGAAATCAATCAAAATAGGTTGCTGGTTTATTGTGGAAATTGAGGAAGTGGGAACAATAAAGGACAACACCCACATTTTGGGCTGGAGCAACTGGGTATAAATGTAAAGAACACAGAATGGGAAGGATCTGGTTTTATTAGAAAAATAATAAACTCATCATGAACAGTCAAATACACATGTCTGACAGGAAAGAGATCTGGGTTGATAATATATACTATTTGGTTTTTGAATAAATAAACAAGTTATAAATTTTGGAGTCAACAGCTCACAGGTGGTAATGGTCAACTATAAGAGTGAGTGAGATCACACAGGGAGAGTATGCATAATGACAAGAGAAGAGGGCTTAGTCCAGAGTAATGAAAAACAGCAACCTTTAATGCCTGGATAGGGGAGGATCAGCTCTTGAAGAATACTGGGAAAGAATAACCTTAGGGAGGTAAATAGAAATTAAGGATAACACAGAGACTTAGAAGCCAGGGGATAGCGATCTTTCAATTAGGGGATGGAGAAGAGTGAGAAATGCTACCAAGAAGTCAAACAAGGTGAGTACTGGGAATCCACTGGACTTATCAATGAAGAAATAGATGATAAATGAAGAGCAGTTTTAATTTGGCGATAGCTATGGAAGACAGATTGCTGTGGGATGAAAGGTGAGTGAGAGCACAGGGATTAGAAAAATGTGAATTTAGGCAACTCCTTAAAGATATTTGGATATAAAGTGGTAGTGAGAGATAAAACTTTATCTCATTTGATTCTCATAACCTGGTAATTCAGACATTTATATTTTTCTCCACTGTATAGTTGAGTCTCAGAGTGGTTAAAAACTTTTCCAAGATCAAATATTTAGTAAACGTTAGGAGCAAAATGTTAAGCTGAGTCTTCTCTCTCCAAAGTTTCTTCTTCTCTAGTCCCTATCCTCAGTTACTTGACCTGCTAGAATCAAGCAGAGCAGGAAAGTTCCATTCTTACCCACAAACTGAATAAAGGAGCCCAGTAGGGGATTAACACCCAAGTTAATAAGTTGCAAACTTTTTCAGGAAGAAAGCACAAAAGTGATTATAACAAAGCTAACAACTTATATTCTTTGGTTCTTCCATTTGATTAATAGATATGTAGTAAATGGACCGCAGCAATAAAACAGAAAGTGCTACCTCCTTTCTGGAGTTGCTGTAAATATTCCTCAGATGTCAAAAAAAGTAGAAAAATTCTTGTTACAATTAATTTTGGTAATGGAATGTATATAAAGATACATACCTCAACTTGGCTTTTTGGTCAGCACCAAGATGCACTATTTCTTGCGGTAAATATCGATCTAAGATAAGATCAATATTTACCTCACAGTTCAATATGTTGTGTGACTGTCTTCAACACAAGTCAATATCTGCGTAATGTCTGCAACCTGCTTCTTATCAGTGCTTTTGAAACTTCCCTATAGCCCTCAGGATGTTTGGAAATTTGAAGTGTTCTGGATTCTTGTCGGCTCTTTACAGTCAATCTATACACAGTAGAGCTATATAATATGACTCTTTCTAGCATAGTTGTGATTGCTAGACAAACAGTTCCTGAAACTCCTAGAAGCCAGACCTTCTAGGATGTAGAATAAGCCTAGATGTGCCCAATCCTGGACTCTATTCTATTGAGATCCCTTCATATAGTACACAATATGAATTACTAAATGGCAAATTGCCATGCGTAAAACCCACAACTTTGACTGAGGTCATGATTATGTCATTCAAATTACATTAATCTTACCTTTTTATCCTTTGGAACAGACCTGCTAGAATCAAGCAGATCAGGAAAGTTCTATTCTTACCCACAAAATGGAATAGGGGAGCCCAGTAGGGGATTAACACCCAAGGTTAGAATTCACTTCCATTGTATCCAACATTAGTCAAAACATTTTTAAAGTATTATGAAGAGTGAATTTTTAGACTGTGAAAAGAATAGAAAGATACAGGAGAGTACAAAAAAGTATAATAAAGAATTTCAAAGGAGTGGAAAATAAGCTCTGCAAGAAAAGGTTCAAGGCATGAAAAGTGTGATCTTAAAATATCTAAGGGGATTATATGTTGAGACCACTGAGTTTTTCTGTTTGTTAGTAGAAAACTGAGTAGGAGAAAATTGTATTAAATTGAAATAAGGAGTAGTGTTTAGAGAGTGCTTAGACCAGAAATAGATTTGAGAGTTTTGGGGCATCAGTATAATAGTTATAATCATGATTTTGGGTAAGATTTAAAAAGTAGTATGAGAGAAGTACAAGAATTAACTGGAGAAACACAAAAAAAATAGGAATTGAGAGGAGGAATTAAAGTCAGTAGGTTCAAAAATGGAGGAAGGAAACAGGACAATGGAATATCATCAAAGGAGGAAGTTTTTATTGAGCACTTAGTGTGTGCCAGGCACTTTTCAAAGTACTTACCATATATTATCTCATTTAATCCTAACAACCGTATGATTTTGGTTCTGTGGTAATAGAATCCCCTCTGTTTTACAGACAATCAAGCTGAGGCTTGGAGAAGTTCACTGACTTTCTCCTGTCACAGCCCTCTGAAATGGAAGTCAGGATTTGATCCAGGCAGACCGGGTCCAGTGCCTACATTTTAGCATCTTTGCACTGCCTCTAAATATAAAGTTTCCAGTGGTAGAAGAGTAGGCAAATGTCACATACTGGAAAGAGGGCCAAGAGGATGAGGACTGATAAAAATATTTGGTGATTGAGAGATGAAAGATAACATTAGAAAGAGCAAGTCTCAGTAGAACAGAAAAGAAAGAAGCTAAGCATTCAGGGAATGTGTTATCAGGGAGTGGAGCAACAAACACAGATTGCCATTGAATGGAAAAGGGAAGATACAATAGTAACGTGAGAAAGTGGCAGGAAAAAGTATACTACTACTTATTTTAAAGACAGAGGAGACTTGAATATGTTTTTGTTTATCTTTGAGTAAATGATAGTATTACCATTAATATACTTTACTTAGAAAACCAAGGTCACATGACATGTGTTCCTTCAACTTGTTTCTCTTCTAAAAATATGTTTGTACCTGTGTGCAATTATGATGAGTCTGCTTTCACAACTCACTTCCTCACTATCCACCAGCCTAGAATCAGAAAGAGAGAAAAAAAGATTATGTGGTTTCTTCACAACTGGGGATAATAAGAGAAGTTTACAAGGACAAAGTCACATTGTCACCGACTTCTGTGACAGAGTTATTGTATTTATGAGCAATTTAAAACTGACACAAGGGCCGGGCGCAGTGGCTCACGCCTGTAATCCCAGCATTTTGGGAGGCTGAGGCAGGTGGATCACGACATCAGGAGTCAGGAGATCGAGACCATTCTAGCTAACACGGTGAAATCCCGTCTCTACTAAAAATACAAAAACTAGCCGGGCATGTTGGCGGGCGCCTGTAGTCCCAGCTACTTGGGAGGCTGAGGCAGGAGAATGGCGTGAATCCGAGAGGCGGAGCTTGCAGTGAGCCGAGATTGTGCCACTGCACTCCAGCCTGGGCAACAGAGCCAGACTCTGACTCAAAAAAAAAAAAAAAAAACAAAAAACCAAAAAAAAGCTAACACATGGTGTAAACTTCACTCTATTGATTCAATCAAGTGGCTATTTTTTTTTTTTTTTATTATTTGATGACTCTATATGCTTACAATTTTATGTATGGGTTTACTGTGGATCTGCCATTATCATCTCTGTATCCGTTGGCAGACCTCATTTCAATTGTAAACTTCCAAACAATATGCATAAGAAATGATGTATTGGAACAACCACATGAACTTTGGCATTAACTCTGCAACCTATTCCCTCTATGACTTGGAAAAGTCACTTAACCTCTTTTTGATCCCATTTCATACTTGTAATATGAGGAAAATAATGCTAACTATTTTGTGGAGATGTGTTGAGGATTAAGTCAGATAGTGTACAGTTCAGATTCTATTAATGGTCCAACTCTTTACCCTTTTCTAAATCCAGGCCCTTTGCCTGGTTACTTTGCATCTTCTTCTACTAAAGATGCAGAGTATTATTTCCCCAACCCTTGACTTTAAGTTTAGCCTTGTAGCTTGCTTCAGTCAATGGCATGCTGTAGGACATAATGTGACAAAAATATGTCAAGCTCTTATTCCATTCAGCTTTCTGTCTTCTTCCTTTACCATCAACTTAAAACAAATATTCTTGCTGGTTCTGGAAGAAGAGACACTGGGGCAGAACAAACCACCTTATCTGGGCCCAGCCTAGATCAGACAACTCCTAGACAACCTCCAGATCCATGAGCAAAGCCAGATTGAGATGAGAAAAACTGCAAGCTGTGCCCAACTTCGATCATCGAATGCCTAACTGACCCACAGACACATGAGAGTAAATGATTGCTATTTTGGGGATGATTTCACAGCATTTTTTTTTTTTTTTTTTTGAGACAAAGTCTCGCTCTGTCACCCAGACTGGAGTGCAGTGGCGTGATCTCGGCTCACTGCAAGCTCCGCCTCCCAGGTTCACGACATTCTCCTGCCTCAGCCTCCCTAGTAGCTGGGACTATAGGTGCCTGCCACCACGCCTGGCTAATTTTTTGTATTTTTAGTAGAGACGGGGTTTCACCGTGTTAGCCAGGATGGTCTCGATCTCCTGACCTCGTGATCCGCCCACCTCGGCCTCCCAAAGTGCTGGGATTACAGGCGTGAGCCACCGCGCCCGGCCACACAGCATATTTTCGTGGTGATAACTATACTTGTCAGGGACTTAGCGCAGTGCTTGGCACATGATTGTTTTTAACAAATTGTCTTTAACAAATCTTAATTGCTTTTTTTTTGGTATGGATAAAATGCAATACATATTTTATACAGTTTACCTATAGTATAAAACATGCAGCTATTAAGAAATATTTGGATGAATGAATGTTTCCATTTGGTGTCATGCAGACATCACTTTTGCAATATGCAGTGAAATAGCAAATCTTTCACAAAGAATTCTCTTAGAGTTTTGCATGTTGATTGCTGTATTCTTCTCATGCAAGTGTAACTTCCTCCCACTAATGCTAATATGAATTATGTGTGTGCACTGAAAGGAAAATATATTCCATGAATATTACACTAATGAATTAATTTAGAAACTCAGACTCATCTATTTATTAACTCCCGACTCATCACCTTATGTATTTTGCATGTTGTAGTAAATGCAGAAAGAAACATTTAGAAATATTCACTTGCTTTTCCATAGGGATCAGCTCAGGGAATAAATCTGAGTTTTATAATGCTGTCTTAATATTACATGCATACTGAGGAAGATTCTTAAAGATTATCTTGACTGCTCATTTTCTGTTATAATTATCTAAACCTGTAAATTTCAATTTATTGTCTTCAAAGTTTCTTTGATTAATGTAATCATATACCTCCACTTCTCAGATGTTTCTTAACATCTTCATTGATATTGTTAACTACTTGTCATATTCTACTAAAATTTATTATTTCTTTGTTGATGTTTAGTGTATTAAATACAAGTAATTGACACCCTTCCTAAAAAGTCTGCATACCGGCCGGGCGCGGTGGCTCACACCTGTAATCCCAGCACTTTGGGAGGCCGAGGCGGGCGGATCACGAGGTCAGAAGATCGAGACCATCCTGGCTAACACGGCGAAACACTGCCTCTACTAAAAATACAAAATATTAGCCAGGCGTGGTGGCGGACACCTGTAGTCCCAGCTACTCAGGAGGCTGAGGCAGGAGAATGGCGTGAACCCGGGAGGCGGAGCTTGCAGTGAGCCGAGATTGTGCCACTGCACTCCAGCCTGGGTGACAGAGTGATACTCTGTCTCGGAAAAAAAAAAAAAAAAGTCTGCATACCTCCTTAATCATCAATAGCTTGTGATATAAATCTTCAGAACATACGTGGCTTTACTAGTAACCAGATTCCATTTGTAATTTTTTTTTTTTTTTTTTTTTTTTTTTTTTTTGAGACAGAGTTTTGCTCTTGTTGCCCAGGCTGGAGTGCAATGGTGGGGTCTCAGCTCACAGCAACCTCCACCTCCTGGGTTCAAGCGATTCTCCTGCCTCAGCCTCCTGAGTAGCTGGGATTATAGGCACGTGCCACCATGCCCGGCTAATTTTTGTATGTTTAGTGGAGACGGGGTTTCATCTTATTGGCCAGGCTGGTCTCCAACTCCTGACCTCAGGTGATCCTCCTGCCTTGGCCTCCCAAAGTGCTGGGTTTACAGGCCTGAGCCACTGCACCTGGCCTCTATTTGGAATTTTGTATTTAGAGGAGATGGAGAGGTAGAGGTTGATGGTAGGTTATGTAGCAAGGGACAGGATAATTGCCTGGTCTTTATAAATTGTTATCTGCACAAAACCATCACATACTACTTAAATCTGTAACTTGATTTTTGCACCCATAATTAAAGGCGTGTTACCATGGAATAAATCCTTTCTAAAGGCTTTTAACGCATATATGGTACTATATGTAATATGTGAAAGGAGGTAAAGTTTGAGCAAACTAGGGAAAATTTTTCACCTGTTTGAGGACAATTTAGAAATAATTCAAAGATGTTAAATAGACATTAGATGTGGGAGACTAGATGTTGGAGAAAAAAAAAATTAGAAGCTACAAACTTATATCCACCTGCTGTATGCTAACACTCAAGCATTTATATTTCTATTTATTCAAATTACATGTAAGTTTAGTTTAATTCAGATGGTGTTTATGCATCAGATCCACTTCTCTTCCATCAACTGCAAGCCTTTGCTCCATCAATTATTCCCTCTTACATCTGTATTCTCGAACTCTTTGGGTCCTTCCACTAGAGGTATAACTATGATCAAATATTCCCCTTTCAAAATACCTTCCTTTGAGCCTATTGACATTGGTTTGTCACTCTAGAGACTTCTCTCCTTTACTTCACATGCAGGAGTTTATGAAGAATATTTTTCACAGCTGTCTTTCACTTCATCATCTTCAATTTAACCCACATGGATCTAGCTTCCATTCCCATCATATTGCTGAAACATCTCTGAAAGAAGTAATTAATGACTTCTAAATCGGCAATTTCAATTTCAATCCCTTTCTCACTTGACCATTTTACAATATTGCTGGACATGCACTACATCTTGAAAATCTTTCACTGGTTTCTGTGATTACCCTTTCTTAGTTCTCTTTTGAGTATTTTTTTTTGGAGACGGAGTCTTGCTGTGTCCCCCAGGCTGGAGTGCAATGGTATGATATTGGTTCACTGCAAGCTCCGCCTCCTGGGTTCACGACATTCTCCTGCCTCAGCCTCCCAAGTAGCTGGGATTACAGGCACTCGCCACCACGCCCGGCTAATTTTTTTGTATTTTTAGTAGAGACGGGGTTTCACCATGTTAGCCAGGATGGTCTCGATCTCCTGACCTCATGATCCGCCTGCCTCGGCCTTCCAAAGTGCTGGGATTACAGGCGTGAGCCACCACACCCCGCCTTGAGTATTTCTTTTTGTTCTCCTTTGTTGGCTTTTCTCCCTTCAATGCTCCTTTAATATTGGTACTTTCCAGTACTAAAATATTTAACTCTTTTTTTTTTCACTCTACACATTGTTCTCGTTTTTGACTATTTTTTCTTGGCTTCAACTATCATCTGTATTCTAACAACTGGCAATAGCTTAAGTCCAGATTTCTATTTTAAATTCACTAGCAGAAATTTTCTCTTGGACATCTTATAGCCAACTCAGAGAAATTTACTAAAAAAGGATCTTACTTTTTCCAAAGCATTTTCTTCTCCCTATGCTTCCTATCTTGGTAAATGGCAGCATTAATCATTCATTTATCCAAGACAGAAACCTGATAGACTCCTTCTACTCTTCCATTTGCATTATCATAAACATTTCAATTACTATAGATTTATATATATGTTTCTCAAATCTCTTCTTACACTCATCATTTTAATTTGTGTTTTTATGACCTCTATCCCACAAAATTTCAGTAGTTTCCTCATTTGTTTTAAAACTTTTGGATTTCAGATACAAGCACATTAATTAGTGAGTTTATCAAGGTCACCTGGAAAAAGTCAAGATTGAGAAATATTTCTATTTCTGTAAAATGATAAGAAATTTTGCAAATAAAATTAAAAATGTCATTTAACATAGCAAGAAAAATCATCAAGTACTTAGAATTAAATCTAATGAAAGATATGACAAACCATTATACCTGAAACAACAAAACATTTCTGAGAGACATTGAAAAAGATTTAAATAAACAGAAAAACATAGCATGGTTATGGATTGATCGGAGGACACAATAGTGTTATGATGTCGATTCGTCCAAAATTGATCTATAAAGTAAAGGCATTCTCAGTCAAATCACTGCAGTGTGTGTGAGTGTATGTGTGTGTGTATAAACTGACAAGCTGATTATAAGATTTGAATTGAAATGCAAAAGTATTGAATAGTCAATACAGTGTTGAAAGAGAGGAAACAAAGTTGGAGGTCTTATGCTCCTGGACTTCAAGACTACTTATAAACCCATAATGGTTAAAGCAGTGTAGTACTGATGAAAGGATTGACAAATAGACCAACAGTACAGAAAAGAGAGTCCAGAAACAGGCCCACATATATAGAGTCACTTGACTTATAACTAAGATTTCACTGTAATTAAGTGGGGGAAAGAATAATTTTATTAAATAAATAATGTCAGAGTAATTGAATTTTTATATGAAAGAAAATGGACCTTGATACCGATGTCAAACTATACACAAAAATAAAATTTAAATGGACCGTGGACCTAAATGTGAAAAATGAAACAATGGGCACTTTTAGATCAGACTATGGCTCTTAGGCCAAATCCAGACTTCTGCCTCTTTTTGTAAATAAAATTTTAACAGAACACAACCAGCCCATTCATTTGTGTATTGTTATGATTGCTTTCATGCTACAATGGCAGAGTTGAGTAGTTATGAAAGAGACTACATGGCCTGCAAAGCCATATGTATTTACTATCCAGTATTTTACAGAAAAAAATTGTCAAACTCTGTTCTAGAAGAAAACAGGAGTATACCTTTATGACTATGGAGTGGTATTTTAAAAATTTTATATAAGGAAAAAACCCATAAAACAAGACCATATAAGATTAACTAAAGAAATAAATTTGACTCCATTAAGTTAAGAACACCTTTTTATCAGGATTGGTGTCTAGACTGTAACAAAAACTCTTAGGTATCATTAAGAAAAAAAGACAAGTTATCCAATTTAAAAATGAACAAAGGATTTGAATGCATACTTCTCCACAGAAGGATACACAAGTGGCTGATAATCATATGTAAAGATGCTCAATATCGTTAGTCAAGAACATAAACAAAACCACAACGTGATATCCATTTGATATCCATTAGGATGGCTCTAATTAAAAAGACAGAAAATAACAAGTGTAGGCAAATATGTGGAGAAATTAGACTCTTAATACACCGCCGGTAGGAATGTAAACTGGTCTGTGCATTCTCTTTGGAAAACAACTTGGCTGTTCCTCAAAAAGTTAAACAAATAGTTACCACATGATCCAGCAATTTCACTTCTAGATATAAATCCAAGAAAATAGAAAAATATGCCCACAGAAAAACTCATACATGAATGTTTATAATAGCATTATTCATAATAGTGAAAAAGCAGAAACCACGCAAATATCCACCAGTTGATGGATGGATAACCAAAATGTGGTATATTCATACAATGGAATACTATTTAGCCAGAAAAAGAAAAGAAGTACTGTAGATGCTACAACATGGATGAAACTTGAAAATATTATGCTAACTTAAAGAAGCCAGATGCAAAAGGCAGCATATTGTATGATTCCATTTATATGAAATGTCCAGAATAGTCAAATCCATAGAGACCCAAAGTAGTAGATTAATGGTTGCCAGGAGTTGGAGTCCCAGGAGAATGGGGAATGACTGCTAATGAGCATGGGGTTTCTTTTTTGCAGGAGGAAAATATTCTGGAATTATGTAGTGTTGATAGTTGTATAACTTTATGAATATTTTAAAAATCACTCAATTGCATACTTTAAAAGGATGAAAATTATAGCATGTGAATTATAGCCCATAAAAGTTACCAAAACTATGTAATCATGGTTACATGTAAGAAATTGAAGTTATACTAATCCATGGATCAGCTAAATAGATAAAATAAAGTAAAAAACAGTAATTTTGTTTAGATGACCCAACATACACGTACAAAAAACCCGCAATGAAATATCACCATACACTCACCAAAATGGTAAAAATTCAAAATACCTAATAGCAACTGTTGGCAAGCATGTAGAATAATTGAAGCTTTCATATATTGGTGATGGAAGTGTAATTTTATGCAGCAACTCTGAATAAATTTAGTTGATACTGTTTGGCATCTTCTTAACATATGCTAAATATATTACAGAAGCTTATATTAGAAAAAGTTAAATATATGGTTATCCTATGACCCAGAAATTCTACTTCCACATATATAGCCAAGAGAAATGAGTGGATATGTTCACAAAAAGACTCATAAAATAATGGTCATTTTGCTTGGTACAAGTGGAAACCTTGTTTCAGATTAGCAACAGTTGAGGACTTACATCTTGGTATTATTGTTCTACTAGTATCTCAGCCTTCAATCTTTCACTTCTTCAATCTAAACAAAATAGTTTTGTTTCCTTACATTTTCATTCATTGTTCTGCTTAAAATCCTTCAATGGCTCCCAACTGTATAAAGCAGTGGCTTTCCACTCTGGCTGCAGTTAGAATAACCAGGGAGCTTTTAAAAATGGCCTTTACTCATCATAGCTCAATAAATCAGAATCTTGGGAGGGTGGTGTTCGGGTACAGGCATTTGTTTCTTAACTCTACACTTTACAGTATCATGCACCAAGAAGAAACACACACTCAATTACTTAGTATCTGAACGGTTTCTCCATGCTGCTATGTTGCTCCCTCTTGTCTTATCTTTCTTGGGAGCTATTAGCCTTCGTACAAGACTCAGTTTAAATATAATCTCTTCGTGAAGCCACCACCTATTTCCACTGTCCCCAAGCAGAGTTAGATTCTTCATAGCCACCTCCTATAGCATCTATCACTTACTATTGTAATTATAACAGAGCAAGAGTTTCATCAGGCAGGTCCTGCACTTTATTTATATTTTTATCTCTAGTGTCTAGTAGAGTGTACAGGACAACGTTCAATAAAACTTGAATGAATGAATAAATGAATCTCTAATTGTGAGACTTTGCAGGAATAAGTCCCCTGATTGCCTGCAGTTAATTTAATAGAACTGGCTATCTCCTAAAAAAGAATTTATGTACTGAAAACGTGTGGGAAAATACAAAAATAGAAATCAACATGGGTTAAGAAGTTCATTCAAGCAAGGTAAAGTTCAATGAAACATACATAGAATAATCCTTCAAAAATATTACATGCAATTGTGTAAAAACTACTTGCAGCAAATATGGTATTCTTGGTGAAAGTAGGGAAAGCAACGATAGATACTGCATACATCAAAAGTATTATGTTGACATCAATGAGAGCTTCTTAGACAAAGCTGACTCCTGTGTGAAGGAAGCCTGTGGAAAGATAATTCTGAAAATTTTACATCCCTTGAGAATGATTTCTGAACATCACTTTTGAACAAAAAATTGTGTAAAAATTGAAGGACAAAAATCAGACATAGTTTCTTTTTACAATTTCTCCATTTTCCCCACTGCAGGATGGATTGCAGCAAAAGGAGATGAAGTAAATGGGCAGTCTACGTAGGATGAAAATGGAGTGTGCTTCTTTTTCTAAGCCCAGCAACTCAGGATCCTTTACTGATTTGTAGAATGATTATAAGCACTGCCACAATCAAATCTAGCAGAAGGTAATTCTAACAGAGTCTTTTGAAGAGATGATCTTAACAAATATTTACCTCATCATTTGGTCATTTGATGGAAACAAAACAGAATCATTTCACTCATTCTAATCTGGTGCCGAATTATCAAGGTAAGGAGACAACCTAAACTTTAATGCTTCCTTTGGCAGTATATGCAGTCATAGAATAAATTCTCTAAATCCAAAGCAATACTCTAGCACTATAGATTCCTTTAAAATTCTTAATCGTACATAGCATTGCTAAATTTCCTTACTTATACTGTGTAAGAATATGCCCTGCGCTTTTTTGTCACTGGCAATGCTTTAAGAAAACTTGTGAAAGGATTTAGTATCCTGCTTTGAAGCTTTAACACAAACTTGGGGACTGTGAGGATTACTGCTGCTGCTGATGGCAAGACTAGAAAAGTATCATATTTGTCTCCTTGTCCTCACTGACTCTCTGGTAAAATTTTTCAGGCTTATTTTTTATTCTTCCCTTTGTCTTTCATTTTTTTCCACCTTATTGTTCCTGGGTATGGGCTCTTGCAAGGCTCTGTGAGACCCACTCCATTTTATTCTGGAAAACACAAAGAATAAGGTGAATTGTTCATTAATCTGCAGCACTTTCACAATCACAACTCCAGCTTTCCAGTTTTATTGGGCACCATATAGCCACTGTGCTGTTTTGATAGGAGGCATATTGAGTATACTGGTTTGACCCAGAATATTATTGCCACAGCTCTCTGACAGGGATTCGTATTGCACTATCTCTCCTTGTCATTTCCAAAGCAACTTTTGCCACATGGGGGTGAAGACTGCAAGGTTAGGATGCTTTTTTTCCTGAAAACTTGACTGCACGCTTTTCAGTCTATGGCCTCACTGCGAAGCAGCGTGGATTAGTATCTTGACATAACCCATTCAGCATTCGCTTCTAGTTCTTCCAGTGAAATTCGTAGCCATTCTTCATTTGTTATTTAATTTTCCATGGTTTTAAATTAAGTTATTGAAGAAAGACACTACTCAAACACAGTTTTATGTATTAGAAGCTTCATTTCTGTTTTTAAAATGTTTGAATACATTTGCTTAAATGTCAAAAACAGAAATAGAGAATTGCATAGTATTCTGATCAACATATCAACTGATGAAATCAGTTTCTTTGTTATTTTGAGGGAATGCTGTATGTAAGGTATTGTATCTTTGAGCCAAAGGATTATTTTTATTCTTAATCTTGATAGTACGATGTTATGAGCTATCCCTGGGGTTTTGGGAAGTGCGGAGTGTAAGGTTGTAAAGTTGCAGAATATGAAAATATAAATGTATATATGTTACCTTTTCACACTTTGCAAACTGGCATCTACTCATTGCATTTTTTGGCCCGTAAATGGGTTATTTCCTTATTACATTAGTCTTGTAGTTCTTAAGTATGATAGAAGGTAGTCACCCCAGAAGAAAAAAAAATCCATATACAATGATTCCTTCCAACTTTGCTGACAGACTATTCTTTAACTTTTCCTTAGTTTTGGATTCTGACAATGCCAGTCTATCCCTATACGGGTCCAGGGAGAATAGTACTTTTTAAAATGGGGTCAAGATAGAAGTAAGAATTCTCTAGAATCTCAGATTGCAGAAGTGTGAAGGTTTGAAGGCAATTAAATGCCACTTTGCACCATTTTTAATACTGCCATGCACAAAATGAAAAGGTTAGCTAGAGAAATTGTTTTACTTGACCTCATTAATACCTATTCTTCGTTTAAAGTGCTCTGAGGTATTGGTCACATGAAGTATGACTTGAATTACCATGATTTTTACCTATCACTTACAGAACATTTCAACAACATAACTTGCCTTTCAGCTCTACTTGAGCAATAATGCTAAAGCATTGGAAGGTATACATTGAACCAAATACCGTTGTGGGAGTAGATTCTCATGCTATCAATAAAATGGATAAAGGATTCAGAATTTCATGTCAGAATTCAAAGCTATGTGATTATGTGCATTTGATTCTGGTAAGTGTAAATGACAAAGTCCAGACATTTATTTTACAACTGCAAAATAAAACTAGTGGATTTTGAAAGATTTTGTGATCCTCTAACTGGTGAATTACCCTATCAAATATTTTTCTTATTTATAAAGTGTGGCAAAATAGCCTCTGTCTAACATTTCCCAGAACTAAAAACAGCTAATCTTTACAGATAATAATCTGCTTATAAAAAATGCAATGTCTTACTGTCTTGACATATAGCATCCAGTGTAAGGTAAGCTAAGGGGAAGTACCATGCTGGAAAAAGTCCATATTTTCACAGATGAAATAATTTTTTAAATGGTATTTCAGATATAGCAGGGTTATATTTTTTAGTGTACCCTATTTTATAGGCCCTAGAATCAAAACACTAAGCCCACATATATATTTGTAAATAGCAGGGAGATAGACAGATTATTTTAGCCCAGTTAAATTCAGGTGCCCTACTCTAATAGAAGTAAACTTAAGCACAGCTTTGTACTCCTTTCTTTTAGCTGTAACTTGATACCTATAACATTTTCATTTAAATTATTTCACAATACACAGGCAGAAACTTTCTTGCTAAGTATGAAACTGCCAAAACCAGGCTCTATAAGTTCACACTTTGTAGAGGATGTTAATTGAAAGTGAAAACCCAAAACAATGCAGCTCAATTAAGCTCTTGAAGAAAACATGGAAATCACAAATCAGGTAGGCCCTGTGAAGAAGGCAGAGATTTTACCACTTTAAGCTTTGTCTTTTCTTCCTTCGTCACATTTTTGAAGTGGGTTCTAAAAAAGTGTTTCTCACTAAGACACTTCATCTTTTTGAAGGTTTTGGAAAAATGTCCCATGTTTTAAACTGATCATCACAAATTATCAATTAGATTTGTAGATACTGATGATTGACAGCTTCTCTATATACTATAAAACAGGAGTTTGAAACATAAAACTAGTAAGAAGAATGGTCTGACTCAGCCAATCAGAATTATAAATTATTTGTTTTGGTGATATTCGATGCAATGGCTATAATAGAACTTATCTGAAATATTATCATGATTCAAAATGCCTTGAAATTTTCAACTTATTCTTGGAAACATTTGGGGAGTTCTGACTTCAAGTTTCATTTATTGTTAGCGGAGGAGTATGCATTCTTACATTTTGAGTGGCCAGTTTTTTAGGTGTTGTTAACTAACAAAAACTATATCTCGTATGTGTAATAACACCACAATATTTATTTTCACAGGGGCTAAAGATAGAAAGATTCAATAGCCAAATGAGCTACATTAAAAAAATTTATGTAACACTGAAAAAGTTTAGAATCCTCATTAGAAAACTGAGCAGATCTGATTATTAAAATAAGTATATTTTCTTCTAGATATTTTTATCAATTTTTCCATGCTTATGGGCAAATATTGTTTCCCCAGATACATTGTTTGAAATAAAGATTTTTAGCACAAAATCTTTGTGTAAAGTTCTGAAACTTTTTTCAATTCTAACCCTAAAGAGGGAAATACCTCTGATAGCATACTGAAAAATGTGATCTAACTTTAGGAATAAGTAGCGAGATTTTAAATACTATTAGTTAAATTTAATTCATCGTTTTTTAATATTCTTTGTTCCCACTACCAACACTTTTCTTGTTTTTAAGCTCCAGATCTTTTATTCTGCTGAAATCTAATTTACATAGAGTGAAAGACGCAGATATTAGGTGTACAGATCAATCAGTTTTGACAAATGCTTCCTATAACTCACATACTTACTCATATATATATAGAATACTCCCAAAACCCCAAGAAAGTTTTTTTGAGCCATGTCCCAATTAATCCTTGACTGTCCCCCTGAAGCAACTATTGCTCTGATTTCTTTCACTATCGATTAGCTTTGCATGTTCTAGAATTTCATGTAAATCAAATCATATAGCAAGAGCTCTTTGGTGACCATTTTCTTTTGCTAAGCATAATATTTTTGAGATTCATCCATGTTGTTGCATGTATCAAGAATTCATTCCTTTTTATTGTTGAGTAGAAGTCCATTGTATACACATCTCACAATTACTTTATTGTCCCGTTGACACACATTTAGGATGTTTTTAGTTTTTCCTATTTTGACTAAACCTGCTATGCATTTTCTTATATGAGGCTTTTTGTGGATATATTTTTTCATTTCTCTTGTGTAAATTTCTTGGAGTGAAACTACTGGGTCATCAGAAAGGTATCTTAATCTGTTTGTGCTGCTCTAACAAAATACCATGGACTAGATAATTTAGAAACAATATAAATTTATTCCTCACAGTTCTGGAAGCTAGGAAGTTCAGGATTAAGGCACCTGCAGGTTTGGTGTCTGGTGAGGGCTACTCTCTGCTTCCAAGACGGTACCTTGTCACTTCATCCTCCAGAGGACAAATGCTGTATTCTCCCATGGCAGAAGGAATGGAAGGGCAAAAGGGGACAAATGCTAATTCCCTCCAGCCCTTTTATAAGGCTGATAATCCCATTCATGTGGGCTATGCCCACATAATTTAATTACCTCCTAAAGGCCTCACCTCTTAATACTATCACACTGGCCATTAAGTGTCAATATATGAATTTTGAGGGACACTTTCAGACCATAGCAGAGGGAATATGTTCAACTTTATAAGAAACTGCTAAACTGTTTTCATACTGGTTTAACATTTTATTTATCTGCCAGCAGTGTTTGAGAGTGTCAGTTGTTCCACGTTTGCTGACATTTGGTATAGTCAGTGTTTTAAATACTAGCCATCTTGGTGAATATGTAGTGGTATTCCATCACAGTTTTAATTTGTACTGGTCAACTGTTACCTAATGACGTTGAGTACTTTTTCATTGTGCTTATTGACCATTTGTATATCTTCCTTTGTGAAATGTCTGTTCAAGCATTTTGATCATTTATTGCTTGATTTATCTGTGTTTTAATAAGTTGAAGGTGTCTTTTATATATACTAGATTTGAGCCGTTTTGATATGGTTAGGCTTTGTGTCCCCACCCAAATCTCACCTTGAATTATAATTCCCATAATCCTCACATGTCAAGGGAGAGAACAGGTGGAGGTAATTGAATCATGGGGTCAGTTTCCCTCCTACTGTTCTCATGATAGCGACTTCTCATGAGATCTGATAGTTTTATAAGGGGCCCTTCCCCCTTTGCTCAGCACTTCTCCCTCTGCCACCTTGTGAAGAAGGTGCCTTGCTTCCCCTTTGCCTTCTGCCATGATTGTAAGTTTCCCGAGGCCACTCTAGCCATGTTGAACTGTGAGTCAATTTAACAACTTTCCTTTATAAATTACCCAGTCTCAGGTATTTCCTTATAGGAATGTGGGACTGGAATAATACAGTAAATTGGTACTGCAGAGTGGGGTGCTGCTGAACAGATACCCGAAAATATGGAAGCAACTTTAGAACTGGGTAACAGGCAGAGGTTGGAACAGTTTGGAGGACTCAGAAGAAGACAGGAAGATGTGGGAAAGTTTGGAATTTCCTAGAGACTTGTTGAATGGTTTTGGCCAAAATGGGGATACTGATATGGACAATAAAGTCCAGGCTGAGGTGGTCTCAGAGGGAGATGAGGAACTTCTTGGGAACCGGAATAAAGGTGACTCTTGCTATGTGTTAGCAAAGAGACTGGTGGCATTTTGCCCCTGCCCTAGAGATCTGTGGAACTTTGAACTTGAGAGAGAAGATCTGAAATAGGAACTTATGTTTAAAAGGGAAGCAGAGCATAAAAGCTTAGAAAATTTGCAGCCTGACAATGTGGTAGAAAAGAAAAACCCATTTTGTGAGGAGAAATTCAAGTTTGCTGCAGAAATTTGCATAAGTAACAAGGAGCCCAATGTTAATCACCAAGACAATGGGGAAAATGTATCCAGGGCATGTCAGAGGTCTTCACTGCAGCTTCTTCCATTACAGGCCCAGAGGCCTAGGAAGAAAACATGGTTTCATGAGCTGGGCCCAGGGCCTTGCTGCTTTGTGCAGTCTCAGGATTTGATGCCTTGCATCCCAGTTGTGGATAAAAGGGGCCAACGTACAACTCAGGCTGTGGCTTCAGAGGGTGCAAGCCCCAACCCTTGGCAGTTTCCATGTGGTTTTGGGTCTGCTAGTGCACAGAAGTCAAGAATTGAGGTTTGGGAACCTTTGCCTAGATTTCAGTGGATGTATGGAAATGCCTAGATGTCAAGGCAGCAGTTTGCTGCAGGGATGGAGCCCTCATGGAGAACCTCTGCTAGGGCAGTGCAAAAGGGAAATGTGAGGTTGGAGCCCCCACACAGAGTCCCCACTGGGGTACTGCCTAGTGGAGCTGTGAGAAGAGGGCCACAGTCCTCCAGACCTCAGACTGGTAGATCCACCAACATGATGCTTGCATCATAGCCTGGAAAAGCCACAGACCCTGAATGCTGGCCCAGGAAAGCAGCCAGGAGGGCGTTTTACCCTGCAAAGTCACAAGGGCAGAGATGCCCAGGGCCAGGGGACCCCACCTCTTGCATCAGTGTGACCCAGATGTGAGACATGGAGTCAAAGTAGATTATTTCAGTGCTTTAAGATTTGACTGCTCTGCTGGATTTTGGACTTGCATGGGACCCGTAGCCCCTTCATTTTGGCCAATTTCTCCCATTTGAAATGGGTGTATTTGCTCAATGCCTGTACACCCATTGTATCTAGGAAGTAACTAACTTGCTTTTGATTTTACAAGTTCATAGGTTGAAGGGTCTTGCCTTGTCTCAAATGAGACTTTGGGCTTGGACTTTTGGTTTAATGCTGGAATGAATTAAGATTTTGGGGGACTGGTGGTAAGGCATGATTGGTTTTGAAATTTGAAAGGGAGATGAGATTTGGAGGGGCTGAGGACAGAATGATATGGTTAGGCCTTGTATCCTCACCCAAATCTCATCTTGAATCATAATCTCCATAATCCCCACATGTCAAGGGAAAGAACAGGTGGAGGTAATTGAATCACGGGGGCAGTTTCCCTCATGCTGTTCTCGTGATAGTGAGTTCTCATGAGATCTGATGGTTTTATAAGGGGCTCTTCACCCTTCGCTCAGCACTTCTCCCTTCTGCCACCTTGTGAAGAAGGTGACTTGCTTCACCTTCACGTTCTGCCATGATTGTAAATTTTCTGAGGACTTCCCAGCCATGTGGAACCATGAGACAATTAAACTTCTTTCCTTTATAACTTACCCAGTCTCACATATTTCCTTATAGCAATGTGAGAATGGACTAATACACCTTTATTAGTTATGTGTTACAACTATATTCACCCCATCTGTAGTTTGACTATTCATTTTTTATTGTTATCTTTTAATGAAAAGAAGACTCTGATTTTCTTGAATTCCAATTCCAATTTATCCTTTTTTTTTTTCTTTTTTAGTTAACAATTTCTGGATACTGTCAAGAAAATATTTTTCTACCACACCATTGTGAAGAGATTCTCCTATGTTTATTCCTAGATGATTTATAATTTAACTTTTATGTTTAGCTCTATGATTCATCTAGAATATATATGTATGATATGAAGTAGGAGCTGTGTGTCATTGTTTCATACATGTGTCCAGTTATTCCAGCATCATTTGTTGAAACAACTTTCCTTTATCCATGGAATTGTCTTGGTGCCTTTGTAAAATATCAATAGGCTGTACAAGTATGGATCTAATATAGTCTATATTATCTTCCATTGATTGATCTGTCTGTATTTAACCTACTACCACGCTGTCTTGATAGCTGTAAATTTATAATAAGCCTTGATATCAGATAGCATCGGTCTTCCAATTTTGTCTTACCTTTTTGCAAGATAGGTTTGGCTGTTTTGGGTCATTTGCTTTTCCACATATATTTTAGAATTAGGTTCTCTTTTGGTTTAATAAAAAAGGCTGCTGGGATTTCAATTAAGATTACATTGAAACTGCAGATCAATTTTTGGAAAACTGACACGTTAACCCTATTGAGTGTTCTGATCCATAAACACTGCCAGTCTTCCGGTTATTTAGGTCTCCTTTAGTTTTTCTCAGCAATGTGTTGTAGTTTTCAGTGTAGAGGTCTTGCACATATTTAAATGAGTTCACTTCTAAGTATTTTATCTTATTGAACTTATTGCAAATGTTAATATTTTTAATTTCATTGTTAATTGTTGCTAATATATAAATATAATTGCTTTCTGGATATTGCCTTGTATGACTTTGCTAAATTCACTTATTAGTGCATGTGGCTTTTCTGTAGATTTCTTGGCATATTCCACAGGCCAAATTATGTCATTTTCATATACAGGCTGTTCAGTTTTTTTCCTTTTCAATATTTTTGGTTTTTATTTTTTTCCTTGCCTTATTTCACTGGCTGGGGCCCCCAGTAAAAGCAGACTTCCAGAACTTGCTTCCAATTTTAGGGGAGAAGCATTCAATCTTTTGCCATTGAGTTTGATACTAGCTATGTGTTTTGGTATATGTCTTTTGTCAAATTGAGGGACTTTCTCATTCTTGAGTTTTTACTACAAATGCCTGTTGAATTTTGTAAAATGCTTCTTCTGCATCTATTGAGGTGATCTTGTATTTTTTTTCTTGATTATTCTCTTTCAAGTGTTGAATTGCATTGACCTATTTTCTCCTGTTAGTCCAACCTTGAATTACTGAGATAAATCCTTCTTGATCACAATGTCTTATTGTTTTTCTATCTTGCTATATTCAATTTATGGATATTTTGTTGTTAAGGATAATTTGTATGTATATTTATAAGGAAAATTAGGTTGTGGTTTTCTTCTAATGTCTTTGCCTCACTAATAGCAGGATAATACTCACCTTATAAAATGAATTGGGAAATGTCACTCTTCTATTTTCTGACAGAATTTATATAATATTAATATTATTCCTTGTTTAAATATTTACTACAACTTACCATTAAAGCCATGTAGAAACATTTTAAATCACCACATCATCTTATTTGTTAGATATATATCGATTTCAATAAAACAATTATTGTATCAATCTTTGTAATTTGTGTCATTCAATTAATTTGCCCATTTTATCAAATTGTAACATTTATTGTAATCAAGATGTTCATAAAACATCCCAATATCCTGGCAATATCTGTAGGATTTATAAAAATGTTCTCCTTTCTTGTTTGTTATCGATAATTTGTGGGTTTCTTTTTTCCCTTTCTAGTCTACCTAGAGTTTATTAAATTCAGGGGCTTTTCATAAAATAACTTTTTTTTTTTTGCTTTGATTTACTCTATTGTCTGTTCCTTTTCTGTTTTATTCATTTCAGCTGTAACTTTATAAGTCTTTTCTTCTACTTTTGAGTTTTAATTTAGTCATCTTTTTCAGCTCATTTAGGAGTACACTTAATTGATTTGTTTTTCAGATTTTATGTTAGATTTAGGGGGTATATGTGCAGGTTTGTTACTGTGGTATATTGCATGATGCTGAGGTTTGGGGTATGAATGATCCCATCACCCAGGTACTGAGAATAGTACCCCCAAAGTTAGTTTTTCAAACTTTGCCCCCTCCCTCCTTCCTTTCTCTAGGAGTCCCCAGTTTCTATTGTTGCCATCTTTATTTCCATATGTACCCAATGCTTAACTCCCACTTGTAAGTGAGAACATGTGGTACTTGGTTTTCTGTTTCTGTGTTAATTCACTTAGGATAATGGCCTCCAGTTGCATCCATGTTGCTGCAAACGACATGATTTCATTCTTTTTATATACTGCATAGTATTCCATGCTGTATATGTATTACATTTTCTTTATCCAATCAACCATTGATGGGCACCTAGGTTGATTCCATGTCTTTTTGCTATTGTGAATAATACTGTGATGAATATGTGAGTGTATCTGTGTTTTTGGTGGAAGTACTTGTTTTATTTTGGATATATACCCAATAATGGGCTTGCTGGGCTGAGTTGAAAGTAGTTGTGTTTTAAATTCCTTGAGAAATCTCCAAACTGCTTTCCACAGGGACTGAACTAATTTACATTCCCACCACCAGTGTATAAATGTTCCCTTTTCTCCATAGTCTATCCAGCATCTGTTATTTTTTGACTTTTAATAATAGCTATTCTGACTGGTGTGAGATGGTATCTCATTGTGGTTTTCATTTGCATTTCTCTGATGATTAGTGATGAGGATTTTTTCATATGTTTGTTGGCTGCTTGTATGTCTTCTTTTAAGAAGTGTCTTTTCATGTCTTTTTTACATTTTTTAATGGCTTTATTTGTTTTTGCTTGTTGATTTGTTTAAGTTCCGTATATATTCTGGATATTAGACCTTTGTTAGATGCATAGTTTGCAAATATTTTCTCCCATTCTATAGGCTGTCTGTTTACTCTGTTGATTGTTTCTTTTGCTATGCAGAAGATGTTTAGTTTACTTAGGTCCCACCTGTCAATTTTTGTTTTTGTTGCAATTGCTTTTGAGGACTTAAGTCACAAATTCTTTCTAGAAGTCCATGTCCAGAATGGTGTTTCCTAGGTGTTCTTCTAGGAGTCTTATAGTTTCAGGTCTTACATTTAAATATTTAATCCACCTCGAAATTAATTTTTGTATACGGTGAAAAGTAGGGGTCCAGTTTCATTCTGCTGCATATGGTTAGCCAGCTATCAAAGCACCACTTATTGAACAAGCAGTCCTTTCCCCATTCCTATTGACTTTGTTGAAGATCGAATGATTGTAGGTTTGTGGCTTTATTTCTGCATTCTGACACTGGTCTATGTGTCTATTTTTGTACCAGTACCATGCTGTTTTGGTTACTGTAGACTTATAGGATAGTTTGAAGTCAAGTAAGGTGATGCCTCCAGCTTTGTTGTTTTTGCTTAGGATCACTTTGTCTATTCAAGCTCTTTTTTGATTTCACATGAATTTTAGAATATTTTGTTCTAGTTCTGTGAAAAATGACGTTGGTAGTTTAATAGGAATATCCTTGAAACTGACTGCTCTGCGCAGTGTGGCCACTTTAATGATATTGATTCTTCCAGTCCATGAGCATGAAATGTTCAAACAAACATTTATTTCTCCCAGTTCTGGAGGCTGAGAAGTCCAGGATCAAGGTGCTGGCAGATTTGATGTCTAGTGAGGGCCTACTTCCTCACAGACAGTACCTTCTCACTGTGTCATCACATGGTGAAAGGGGCTAGCTAGCTCTGTGAGATCTCTTTTATAAGGCCACTAAGACCAAACACAAAGGTTCCACCTTCATTACCTAATCACCTCCCAAAGGCCCCACTTTCTAATACCATGACCTGGGGTGTTTAGGATATCGACATATAAATTTTGAGGGGATACATACATTCAGGCCATCACAGATACAGTATCCTGTAAATATGAATTTGATTACCTTGGTTGATAGTGTTATTCAAATAATGTATACCATAACTGACTTTTTGTCTAGCTGTTCTAGTAATTATTGAGAGAGGAGTGTTAAAGTCTCCAACTACAATTGTCAATTTGTCTATTTATTCCTATAGTTCTATCAGTTTTTCTTCATATATTTTGAAGTTCTGCTATTAAATGCATATACACTTAAGAATTTTATGCCTTTTTGATATATTGACAGTTTTATCAACATGAACTATATCTTTTTTTCTTTAGTGATATTTGTGTCCTGAGGACTACTTTTTCTGATATTTTCATATCTACTAAAACTTTGTTATGAATGGGGCTTGCATAGTATGGTAATTTACATTTTTTACTATAATCTTATCTTTGTCCTCAGGCTATTTATTATTTTCTGAAGCTCTGAGTTTCTAGCTGGTACTATTCCTTTCTTGTAGTTTCTTATAGTTCAGGTCAACTTTATTTATTTGAAAATGTCTTTTAATTTACCTTTATTTTTGGAGGATATTTTCACTGGATATCAAATTCAAGATCAATAGTATTTATTTTCCCAAATGTTTAAATATGTCAGTTCATTTTCTTCTGTCTTCCCAAATGTTTAAATATGTCAGTTCATTTTCTTCTGTCTTGTATCGTTTCTGATGAAAAAAATCAACATTCTTATTATTGTTCTTTATGTAGTATATCTTCTTTCTTTATATTTGATTTCAAGTAATTGTATTATGATGTCCATAGGTGTGGTTTTCTTTGTGCTTACCTTGCTTGAACACCTAGGATCTGTGGATTTATATTTTTCATAAATTTTGAAAATTTTGCCCACTATTTTTTCAAACACTTTTTCTGTCCCAATCCTTCTCCTCTTATTCTGAGAAACCCATTATTTGTGTATTTGACTACATGATAGTATCACTCAGGTCACTGAAAATGTTTATTTTATTTTTTCAGCCTTTATTTCTTTCTGAGATTTCATTTGTAAGTTTTGTTGCCTTGTCTTCAAGTATATTGGTCTTTTCTTTGTTAGTGTTTAATCTGCTGTTAACCACATCTATTGTTTTTTTATTTCAGTTTTGTACTTTTCATTGATCAGATTTCCATTCGGTTCTGTTTTGAAAGATTGCTTTTTCCTACTGAAATTTCTCCATCTTATATATGTCCTTTTCTTTAAATCCTTGAATTTATTTATAATAGCTCTTTTAAACTATTTTTTGCAAATTCTAACATCTATCTCATTTCTAGGTGATTTCTATTGATTGATTTTTTTCATCATTTTGGGTCACATTTTCATGTTTCCTCAAATGCCTGGTATTTTTTAAATTACGCATTAGACACTGTCAATGCTATAGTCTTAAATTTCTTTTGTTATAGTCCTTTAGGGCATATTGAATTTTTGTTTTGGCAGGTCATTAGTTGTGCATCAGCTGATTTCTTGTTCTAGAGTTGAAATAGCCTTGTACCTTAGATGTGATTTTTTTTCAAGTCTCATCAGAATGTTAATGTAATTCAGTAATGTCTCTTCTATCTGGTTGGTTATAACTTTAATGACTGCTAATACTTCACAAACTCGAATCTCTATTCAGTTCATGGATCCTCAATAGTTGTTTTCCACTTTGTATATATATATATGTAGTCTAGTATTCATCTAAATATTTATTGTGTCCCTTCTGTAAATTTCTGGAGCCTCTTCATTGTTTAGTTTCCTCTTGTCTGTTATTCTGCCTCAAAAATTCCAGCCACCTACTCAGTACCTAACTCTAAACTCTATTTCTTCAGCTCAGCAAGACTGCCATGCTCTGGGCTCCACCTCCCTGTGACGCAACCTGGAAAGTGCCTCTTGGTAGAAAGCTAGGGAAATAATTAGCCTCACCTCCTGTTTTTCTCTTCTGTCACTAACTGTTACCTGTGCTGCCTATTTAGCAATAGCTGGAAACTATTGTTTCATGTATTTTTTTCAAGTTTTATAGTTATTTACAGTAGAAGGGAAAGTCTAGCACTAAGTAGTCCATCATGGCTAGAATTGGAATTACAGTCCCACCAAGTTTTCTAATCTGAGCAATGTCAAACCTAAAGAAAAGTTGAAAGAAGAGCATGCATACACTTAACTTAAATTTACCAATTATCATCTTGCCAAATTTACTTCATCTATTTTTAATATATACTTATTATCTATTATTTTGCTGAACCATCTGAAAAAGTTTTAGATAGCATGAAACTTCATCTGTAAACATTTCAGTATGTGTCTCTTGAGAACAAGGAAGTTATCTTAAATAACTACAATACCAGTATCACATCCAAGAAATTTAACATTGTTCAAAAAATATTATCTAATAGTATATATTCAAGCTCCCCCAGCTGTTCTTCTAAAGTCCTGTAGAGCTTTATTTTTAAACCTAGGATCTATTCAAGAATCACTTACTGTGTTTGAAAGTTATATCTTTTTAGCTTCCTTTGATATGAAATAGCCCTCCTTGCCTTTTTATCTTTTATAAAATTGACATTCTTAAAGAGTTCGGGTCATGTATGTCAGATTGTATCCTCATGAATAGATTCAAGTTAAACATTTTTGGCAAAAAAAAAATTCACAGAGTTCCGTATACTTTCCATTTGTATATTATGAACAGCATATATTCTCAGTTCATTTCTTTCCAAGTCATGCTAAGTCTGATCATTTGTTTAATGTTGTTCATGCCAGAGTTTTTCAGTGTAAGGTATATTTTCCTCTTTCTAATCAATATGCAATCTGTGGGGCAATGCTTTAAGACCATGTGATTGTCCTGTTCAACATTCTTTCACCGAATTGTTTTAGATCCACTGATAATTCTTACCTGAATCAGTTATTACATTAGGAGTTACAAAATGGTGATTTTCCTAATTCCATAATTTCTTCTACATTTATTATTTAAAATTGTTTTGTAATGAAGACTCTCACATTAGCTTTATCTTAGAAACATTTTTGAAACCTAACTAAATGATAAACTCAGGAAAAAAATCCTTAGTATGTATTTTATTAGTGTCACTGATCCAGCATGACTGCTACCACTTTAGGGATTTAAACTGAGTTCCCCAGTCAGGCACATTACTTTATAAAAGTGATATAGAATGTTACTCCATCGAGAAAGTTCCCTCATGTCCTTTCCCAACCCATTCAATCCCCATCCCCTAGGGACAACCACTGTTCTTGTTTTTCTTACCACAAATTAGTTTTTCCCATTGTAAAATTTCGCACAAATGGAATAATATAGAACATTATTTTTTGTGAAAGGCTTATTTCACTGATAAACATATGTTAAAGATTTATCCATGCTGCATGTATCAATAGTTTCTTATCATTGCTGAATTGTATTCCTTTGTATTTGCACACCAAAGTTTGTTCATTAAGTTTCCTATTAATGGCTTTGCTCTTTCCAGGTTTTGCTATTATAAATAAAGCTTTTATAAGTTTTGTATCAACAGACTCTAGGGTGGTTCCCCTGTGGATCTCAACTCCTGGTATTCATGTTCTAGTATTACCAACTCACTTTGAATGTAGGGAATTCCTGTGACTTGATTCTAACCAACAGAATATAGAAAAGGTGATGGAATATGACTTTCATAATTTTGTTATATAGATCCCTATCTTGCTAGTAGACTCTTTCTAGAGACTCTCTCCCTAGCTAGCTTGGAATAAGTAAGCAGCCATGTTGAGAAAACCACATGGCAAGGAGATAAAAGCAACCTCTGGCCAACACTAAGCCAGAAGCTGGGACCCTGAGCTCCACCACTACAAGTGTATTGTTTAATTTTCATGTGTTTGTTTAGTTTCCAAAATTCCTTGTTACTGGTTTGTAGTTTTATTTCATTGTAGCCAGAGAAGATGCTTTATTTTATTTCAATTTTTTAAATGTTTTCGGACTTGTTTTGTGACCTAACATATGTCCTGTCCTCGAAAATAATCTATGAACTAAGGAGAAGAATGTGCATTCTGCAGCAGTTGGATGAAATGTTCTCTAAATATCTATTAGTTCCGTTTGTTCTATTGTGCAGATTAAGTCTGATGTTTCTTTGTTGAGTTTTGTCTGAGACATCTGTCCAATGGTGAAACTATGATGTTGAAATTTCCAGCTATAATTGTATTGGATTCTATCCCTCTCTTTAGGTCTAATAATATTTGCTTTATACATTTGGGTGCTCCAGTGTTGGGTTCATTTATCTTTACAATCATTAAATCTTCTTGCTGAATTGGCCCTTTTATCATTATATAAGAGACCTTTTTTGTCTCTTCTTACAGTTTTTGTCTTGAAATCTATTTGGTCTAAGTATAGCTATTCCTGTTCTTTTTTGGTTTCCATTGGTATGGAATATCTTTTTCCATCCCTTTATTTTCAGTCTGTTTATCTTTATAAGTGACATGTTTCTTGCAGGCAACAGATCATGGCATCTTGTTTTTTTATCCATTCAGCCACTCTATGTCTTTTGATTGAGGAGTTTAGTTTATTTACACTCAATGTTATTATTGATAAGTAGGGAGTTACTCCTGTCATTTTGTTGTTTTCTGGTTGTTTTGCAGTCTTCTCTTCCTTCTTTCCTTCCTTCCTTTTAGTAAAAGTGATTTTCTCTGGTGGTACGTTTTAGTTTGTTGCTTTTTGTTGTGTAGCCATTTTTTTTTTTTTTTTTTTTGACAAGGACTCACTTTGTCACCCAGGCTGGAGTTGCAGTGGTGAGATCACAGCTCACTACAGCCTTGACCTTCCAAGGCACAAGGCACAGGTGATCTTCTTGCCTTAGTCCCCTGAGTAGCTAGGACTACAGTCATGTGCCAACATGCCAGGCTAATGTTTGCATTTTTAGTAGACATGGGGTTTTGCCATGTTGCCCAGGCTGGTCGTGAACTTCTGGGCTCAAGCGGTAAGCCCACCCTGGCCTCTGAAAGTGTTGGAATTACAGATGTGAGCCACTGTACCTGGCCATTTCAATTTGAGATTACCATGTGGCTTGCAAACACTGTGCTATAACCCACTGATTTAAGCTGATGATAGCTTAACACTGATAGCATAAAAATTACAAAAATATGCAATAAGAAAACTTATAAAAACTCTATACTTTGTCTTCTTGAGTTTTAACTTTCCATTGTTTCTCTTTATGTCTTATTGTACTATCTATGTCTTGAAAAGTTGTCATAGTTATTATTTTTGATTGGTTCATCATTTAGTCTTTCTACTTCTGAAAAGTAATTTACACACCACATTTATAGTGTTTTAGTATTCTGTGTTTTTCTGTGTGCTTATAATTACCAGTGAGTTTTGTACTTTTGATGATTTCTTATTGCTCATTAACATCCTTTTCTTTCAGATTGATGAAGTCCCTTTAGCATTTCCTGTAGGAGAGCTCTGCTGTTGATGATATTCCTCAGCTTTTGTTTTTCTGGTAAAATATGTATTTCTCCTTCCCGCTTAAAGAATATTTTCACCAGATATACTATTCTAGGATAAAGCTGTTTCCTTTCAGCACTTAAAGTATGTCATGGCACTCTCTCCTGGCCTGTAAAGTTTCCACTGAAAAGTCTGCTACCAGAAGTACTGAAGTTCCACTGTACATTATTTGTTCCTTTTCTCTTGCTGTTTTTAGGATCTTTTCTTTATACTTGATCTTTGGGAGTTTGACTAAATGCCTTGAGGTAGTCTTCTTTGGGTTAAATTTTCTTGGTATTCTATAACCTTCTTGTACTTGAATGTTAATATCTTTCTTGAGGTTTGGGAAGTTCTCTGATATTATCCCTTTGAATAAACTTTCTATCCCTATCTCTTTCTCTACTTTCTCTTTAAGGCCAATGACTCTTAGATTTGCCCTTTTGAAGTTGTTTTCTAGGTCTTGTAGGCATCCTTCATTGTTTTTTATTCTTTTATCTTTCGTCTCCTCTGACTGTATATTTTCAAATAGCCTGTCTTAAAGTTCACTATTTTTTTCTTCTGCTTGATCAGTTCTGCTATTAAGAGACTCTGATGCATTCTTCAGTATGTCCATTGCATTTTTCAACTCTAGAATTTCTGCTTGATTATTTTTAATTATTTCAGTCTTTTTGTTAAATTTATCTGATAGAATTCTGAATTTCTTCTCTGTGTTCTCTTGAATTTCTTTGAGTTTCCTCAAACAGCTATTTTGATTTCCCTTTCTGAAATGTCATATATCTCTGTTTCTCCAGGACTAGTCCCTGGTGCCTTAGTTGGTTCATTTGGTGAGGTCATGTGTTTTTGGATAGTGTTGATGCTTGCTGATATCCTTCAATATCTGGGCATTAGGTATTTACTTTAATCTTCACAGTCTGGGCTTGTTTGTGCTTGTCCTTGTTGAGAAGGCTTTCCACGTATTTGAAGAGACTTTAGTCCCAAGCCTAATCATGCTGTAGTTTTTGCAGACTCGTAGAGGTACCACCTTGATGGTCTTGGAAAAGATCTGGAAGAATTCTCTCAATTATCAGGTAGAGTTTCTTCTTCTTTTCCCTTACATCATGCCAAACAAATAGAGTCTCTCTTTCTCTCTCTCTCTCTCTCTGTGTTGAGCCATGTGGAACTGGGGGTGTGGTGATGCAAGCACCCCTGTGGCCACCACCACTGGCACTGTGCTGGGTCAGACCTAAAGCCAGCACAGCATTGGACCTCGACCAAGGCCCTTCCCTTCATGGTGGCAAGTTTCCCCAAGCTCTGGTCATGTCCAGAGATGCTGTCTCAGAGCCTCAGATTGGAGTCATTAGCAATTTAGTTAATGTTCTATTTTACTGTGTCTGAGCTTGCCCTCAAACCATAGTGCAAAATCCTTCCTGATCTTCCCACCCCTTTCCACAGGCAGAGGAGCCACCACCACATAAGTCAATGTTGGCTACCTGGACACTGCCAATGTTTGCTTAAAGCCCCAGGGCTCTTCCATCAGCTTGTGAATGCTGCCTGGCCAGAGACTCACCCTTCAGGGCAGTTGACTCCCCTTTTGTCAAGGGCTAGTCCAGAAATGCTGTCCAAGAGCTTAGACCTGGACTCGAGGACCCCAAGAGCCTACTTGTTGCTCTACCACACTGTGGCTGAGCTAGTATCTAGGGTACCAAAGTCCCCTTTACTTTTCCCTCTGCTTTTCTCAAACAGGAGTCTTTTATTATAGCCATCACAGCTGGGAATGTGCTATGTCTCCCCTGAAGCCGACCCATAGCCCAAGGCCCACAGCATACTCCCTAGGTATCACTAGTGGTTAGTTATTCAGGGCCCAAAGTTTCTTTAGTTAGCAGTTGATGAATGCTGCTAGGACTGGGTTCCTCCCTTCAAGGGACTAGGTTCCATTTTTGCCCAGAGTGCATCTTTTGCTCACCTGATTTTTGGTTCTTGTGATGATGCTTTTCTGTGTGGAGATAGTTATTAAAATTTGGTGTTCCAGGAGCAGGGAGATGAATGGCATAGGCTTCTATTCTGCCATCATGCTCCACCCCTCTATTAACCAATTTTTATTTTGGTTGTTAGTCTTTTTATAATTAACTTGTAGGCGATATATATATATATCTAGATATATATCTATATATATATCTAGATATATATATCTAGATATATATCTAGATATATATCTAGATATATATCTAGATATATATATATATCTAGATATATATCTAGATATATATATATCTATATATATATCTAGATATATATATATCTATATATATATCTAGATATATATATATCTATATATATATCCTGAACACTAGTCTTTTGTGATTTGCAACCATGTTCTTCCAGTATTTGGCTTGCTTATTCATTTTCTCAATTGTATATTTTGTTGAGAATTTAACTTTTATTTTAAGTTCAGGGGAACATGTATAGGTTTGTTACACAGGTGAACACATGTCAGGGGGTTTGTTGTACAGATTATATAATACCCAAGTATTAAGCCCAGTACCCATAGTTATCTTTTCTGCTCCTCTCCATATTCTCACCCTCCTCCCTCAAGTAGACCCCAGTGTCTGCTGTTTTCTTCTTTGTGTTCATAAGGTCTTATCATTTAGCTCCCACTTATAAGTGAGGACATGCAGTATTTGATTTTCTGTACCTGAGCTTGTTTGCTAAGGATACAAGCCTCCAGCTCCATCCATGTCCCTGCAAAAGACATGGTCTCATTCTTTTTTTCATTCTTTTTTATGGCTACCTAGTATTCCGTGATGTATATGTACCACATTTTCTTTATCCAGTCTATCATCAATGGGCATTTAGGTTGATTCCATGTCTTTGTTATTGTGAATAGTACTGCAATGAAGATACACGTGCATGTGTCTTTATAATAGAATGATTTATATTCCCGTGGTTATATATTCAGTGATATGGTTTGGCTGTGTCCCCACCCAAATCTTATCTTGAATTTTAGCTTCCATAATTCCCACGTGTTGTGGGAGGGACCTGGGGAAAGATTATTGAATCATGGGGGCGGTTTCCACCATACTGTTCTCATGGTAGTGAATAAGTCTCATGAGATCTGATGGTTTTATAAGCAGAAGCCCCTTTTGCTTGGTTCTCATTCTCTCCCTTGCCTGTCACCAATGTAAGACATACCTTTTACCTTCCACCATGATTGTGAGGCCTCCACAGCCACGTGGAACTGTGAGTCCATTAAACCACTTTTTCTTCATAAGTTACCAAGTCTTGGGTATGTCTTTATCAACAGCATGAAAAATGGACTGATACACTCAGTAATCGGGTTGCTGGGACAAAAGGTGTTTCTGCCTCTAGGTCTTTGAGGAATCACCACACTGTCTTCCACAATGGTTGAACCAATTTACACTTCCACCAACAGTGGAAGTGTAAGCATTCCTTTTTCTCCAAAACTTCATCAGCATCTGTTTTTTTTGACTTTTTAATAATAGCTATTCTGACTGGTGTGAGATGGTATCTCACTGTGGTTTGATTTGCATTTCTCTAATTATCAGTGATGTTAAGATTTTCATTATATGATTGTTGGCTGCACGTACGTCTTCTTTGGAAAAAATGTCTGTTCATGTCCTTTGCCCACTTTGTTATGGGGTTGTTGGTTTTTTTCTTGTAAATTTGTTTAGGTTCCTTATAGATAATGGAGAGTAGACCTTAGTCAGATGCATAGTTTGCAAAATTTTTCTCCCATTCTGTAGGCTGACTGTTTACTCTGTTGCTAGTTTCTTTTTCTGTGCAGAAGCTCTTTAGTTTAATTAGGTCTCATTTGTCAATTTTTGCTTTTGTTTCAATTGCTTTTGGCATCTTCATCATGAAATCTTTGCTGTGCCTGTGTCCTGAATGGTATTGGCTAGGTTTTCTTCTAGGGTTTTTATAGTTCTGGGGTTTACATTTAAGTGTTTAATCCATCTTGAGTTAATTTTTATATATGGTGTAAGGAAGGGGTCCAGTTATAATTTTCTGCATATGGCTAGCCAGTTATTCCAACACCATTTATTGAACAGGAAATCCTTTCCCCATTGTTGTTTTTGTAAAGTTTGTCAAAGTTCAGATAGTTGTAGGTATGTGGTTTTATTTCTGAGTTCTCTATTCTGTTCCACTGGTCAATGTGTTTGTTTTTCTACCAGTACCATGCTGTTTTGGTTACAGTAGCCCTGAAGTATAGTTTGAAGTCAGGTAGTGTGATGTTTCCAGCTTTCTTCCTTTTGCTTAGGATTGCCTTGGCTTTGTTTTGGCTCTTTTTTGGTTCCATATGAATTTTAAAATAGTTTGTTCTAGTTCTGTGAAGAATGCCAGTGGTAGTTTAATAGGCACAGCATTGAATCTATAAATTGCTTTGGGCAGTATGGCCATTTTCACGATATTAATACTTCTTATCCATGAGCATGAAATGTTTTTCCATTTTTTTGGTGTCATCTCTGATTTATTTGAGCAGTGGTTTGTAGTTCTCTTTGTAGAGATCTTTCACCTCCATAGTTAGCTGTATTCATAGGTATTTTATCATTTTTTGGCAATTGTGAAAGGGAGTTTGTTTCTGATGTGGCTCTTGGCTTGACTGTTGTTGGTGTATAGGAATACTTATGATTTTTTGCACATTGATTTTGTATCCTGAGACTTTGCTGAAGTCACTTATCAGCCTAAGAAGCTTTTGGGATGTGACTATAGGGTTTCCTAGATATAGGATCATGCCATCTGCAAACAGGGATAGTTTGATTTCCTCTCTTCTTATTTGCATTCCATTTCTTTCTTTCTTTCTCCTGCCTGATTGCCCTGGCCAGAACTTCCAATACTATCTTGAATAGGAGTGGTGAGAGAGGGCATACTTGTCTTGTGCTGGTTTTCAAGAGGAATACTTCCAGCTTTTCCCCCTTCAGTATAATGTTGGCTGTGGGTTTGTCATATATGTCTTTTATTATTTTGAGGTATATTTCTTCAATACCTAGTTTGAGAGTTTTTCAAGATAAGTAGGTGTTGAACTTTATCAAATGCCTTTTTTGCATCTATTGAGATAATCATGTGGTTTTTGCCTTTAGCTCTGTTTATATGATGAATCACATGTATTGATTTGTGTATGTTAGATGAACCTTGTATCCTAGGGATAAAGCCTACTTGATTGTGGAGGATGGGGTTTTTGATGTGCTGCTGAATTTGGTTTGCCAGTGTTTTGTTGAGGATTTTTGCATTGATGTTCATCAAGGACATTGGCCTGAAGTTTTCCTTTTTTGCTGTATCTCTGCCAGGTTTCGGCATCAAGATGATGCTGGCTTCATAGAATGAGTGAGTGAGGAGTCCCTCCTCCTCAATTTTTTTGGAATAGTTTCAGTATAAATGTGTATTAGTCTGTTTGCATGCTGCTATAAAGTACTACCCAAGATTGGGTAATTTATAATGAAAGCAGTTTACTCACGGTTCCACATTGCTGGGGCAGCATCAGGAAACTTATGATTATGGCAGAAGGGGAAGCAAACATTTCCTTCTTCACATGATGGCAGGAAGGAGATAATAAGAGCCCAGTGAAGGGGGAAGACCCTTATAAAACCATTAGATATTGTGAGAACCTACTCACTATCACGAGAATAGCATGGAGGAAACCACCCCCGTGATTCAACTACTTCCCACTGGGTCCTTCCAATGACATGTGGAGATTATGGGAACAACAATTCAAGATGAGATTTGGGTGAGGACACAGTAAAACCATATCATTTTTTCTTTCATTTTGACCTTGGAGAATCTGATGATTATGTGTCTTGGGGATGATCCTTTCAAGGGTTGTCTTACAGGGGTTCTCTGTATTTCCCGAATTTGAATGATGTGAATGTTGGTCTCTCTGGCTAGGTTGGGAAAGTTCTCATGAATGATATCCTGAAATATGTTTTCCAAGTTGGTTTCATTCTCCTCATCTCTTTCAGGGACACCCATCAGTAGTAGATTTGGTCTGTTTACATAATCCCATATTTTTTAGAGTTCTTTTTATTTCCTTTTCATTCTTTTTTTTCTCTATTCTTGTCTGCCTGTCTTATTTTAGAAAGGCAGTCTTCAAGCTCTGAGATTCTTTCCTCTACTTGGTCTCTTCTGCTATTAATACTTGTGATTGCATTATGGGATTCTCGTAGTGTGTTTTTCAGCTCTATCAGGTCACTTACATTCTTCTCTATGCTGGCTATTTTGTCTGTCAGCACCTGCAATGTTTTATCACGATTTTTAGCTTCCTTGCTTTGAGTTACAACATACTCCTGTAGCTTAGGGAACTTTGTTCCTATCCATATTCTGAATTCTACTTCCATCATTTCAGCCATCTCAGCCTCAGCCCAGTTCCAAACCCTTGCTGGAGAGGTGATGCGTTCATTTGAAGGAAAGAAGGTACTCTGGCTTTTTGAGTTTTCAGCATTCTTGTGCTGATTCTTTCTAATCTTTGTGGGCTTATCTACCTTCAATCTTTGAGGTTGCTGACCTTTGGATTTTTTTTTTCTTTTATCCTGTTTGATGAGCTTGAGGGTTTGATTATAGTACAAGGTGGATTCAGCCAACTAGTTTCATTTCTGAAAGATTTAACGGGCCAATGTTCAGCTCCCAACTCCTGGACTGTGTGCTCTAACTCTGGGGGACTTGTATTGGACCCTGACTTTGTTCTCTGGATACTCCAGGTTTGGAGTCTACTGCACTGTGGGGACTGAGGTGCAGCAGTTGCAGACAAGTGTTAGTGGATTCAGAGGTGCCCAACTCCCTGTGGGCATTCACCACAGTAGGCATTCCTCTCCATGAGAGCCACACACATTATTGGCAGTTGGGTGTGGGGAGTGGGGGGGCCCTTGCTGGAGACTGTTTGTGCTGTTGCACTGGAGGTGTTGTTGGTTTGGGGTGAAGTGCTGGCCAGTGCAGGTCTGGTGCCTTTTCTGAGCCCTGCAAGCAGGAGTTATTACTCAGGGTGTGGGAGGATCCCCTGTTCCCTGAACAGTGTTAGCGCAAGAGCAGGGCACTGGCAGGGGTGGGGCTTGCTGGATTTGTGCCCGCCAAGGCTCTGTCTGCAGTGGTAGTCTGTGGGGGTCGGGGTGCATACTGCAGTCCTATGTGTTGGCGGGGCAATTAAAGTAAAACTCGTGCAGACACACACCAGCAATGTGATGTGGGGAGTTGCTGTGGGCTCAGGGGATGCTGCAATATGGGGAAGCAATGTGTGGGTTGGTGCACAGTCATAGGTGCCACCTTGCTGGAGCTCTCCATCAGTCAGGTATGGTCCACTGGCTCAGAAGCTATGGTATGGGTATGGTATGGTCCCCCAGGGGACCCAAGACTGTCCTGTAAGTAGGTGTGGCGAGGCTGGGGTCCCGGGAGAGGCCAACAGACCAAGAAGTGCTTAGGTTGGACCAGACCTGTCTGATGTGCAAGACCTCCCTGTGAAGATCAGGTTCAACAATTCCCCTAGGGCTAAAAAGTCTCTTAAGAGAGCAAGTCGAGCACAGGGGGATGGCTGTCTCTCACCACGCTCTGCTACAGATGATTCTGCACCAAACCCTCTGGGCTCCACATCAGCTGGCTTGCTGCTCCACCACTTTGCTTCTCTCCTGGGGGCTCTACCCCAGAGAGATGTTGCTTAGCAGTAGCTCAGGGCAATCAGCCCAGGATGGAGGGTCTGTGCTGTGGGCCTAAGCCTGGGGTTTCTTGTCTGGTGACAAGCAGTGGGGGTGTGTAGGACCTGTGGGAGATGGACTGGCCTCCTCTCCTTGGGTTGACTGCAGCTTGTTGGAGGTATGGATAAAGCACTTAGGGCCTTGGCTTTTTTGTTAACCTGAGGGTAAGAAGGGCAGTTCCACTGCAGAGGCAGTGATAGATAGGCTTTCAATGTCCCTAAAGGCTCTGTCCAGGGAGTTGCTGAGTTGCTACTGGCTCGATAGCTCTGTCAGAGGGTGGCTAGAAGCCCAGGCTTGGAGGACCTGCCCAGTGAGGAGATATGGGAATGGGCACCCCTATAACAGTCTGACCACTTTTCCGTATGGCTACTGAAGTATGCTGGGGACCTGCTCCAGTCCCTAGTCGCCTCGAATTTTCCAGTACCTGGAAGTATCACCAGTGAAGGCTGTGAAACAGCAAAGATGGCGGCCTGCCCCTCCCTGTGGGAGCTCTGTCCCAGGGAGGTGCAGGACTGTTGCTGGCTGAACACACCTGTTGGAGGTGCCTGAAGACCCCAGTTGGGAGGTCCCACCCAGTCAGGAGGAACAGGATCGGGGACTCACTGAAAAAAGTAGTCTGGTTACATTTTTGTAGAGCAGCTGTGCTGTGCTGGGGGATCTCATTCACCCCTGGTCTGTTTGGACTCTCCAAAGCCCAAAGGCAGTAACGGCTCTCTCTCAAACAGCAGAGATGGTGGCCCACCCTTCCCCCGAGGAGTTCCATCCCAGGAAGGTGCAATGCTGCTACTAGTTGCAGGCTGGAATTCCAAGTTACTGGGTCTCATCCTGGAATTCCAAGTGAGGCACCGTGGAAATGTGGCCCACAGACTGTCGCTGCTCGGCCGCCTGGATTCAGCCTCCTTCCTAGGGGTATGTATGGTGCGGGGGTGGGGGGCGGCTAACTTCCCGCTTTGCTGGAGTTGCAACTACTTTTGGTCGGATGCCTGGAAAGCCAGAGTATCTAAAGCTCCTGAGTCTCTGCGTGCACCTGAGCGGCTGCTCTGCCAAAACTCAACAGATGTCTGTGTGTCAGACTGAAGGCCCCGATAGAGTGGGTTCATGAGGGGATCTCCTGACCTGAGGGTTGCAAAGGTCCATGGGAGAAGCTTGGGTTCCTGGGGTTGCACATTCGCTCATGGCTTCTCTGGGCAGGGGAGCTTCCCTTGGCTCCATGTCGCTCTGGGTGGGCAGTCATCCTCCCTTGCTTTTTCACTGTTCTTGGTAGGTCGAGTTGTTTCCTTGATTAGTGCCAGTGTGAGTACTTGGATGTTTCAGTTGAAGGTGCTGTATTTACTTGTCCCTTCCATTCCTTTCCGTGAGAGCCACACACATTATCTGCTTCTAGTTGGTCTTCTTGGCCACTCCCCAGAGAAATTTTTAATTTTGATGGTAGAGTTTATCATATTTTTCTTTTATGGTTCTTACTTTCTGTGCTCCCTCAAAGTCACAAAGATATTTTCCTGTTTTCATTGTATGCTTTATAGTTTTAGCTTTTCTGTTTAGGTCCATGATCCATCTCAAATTAATTTTTGTGTACGGTATAAAACTAGGATCAAAGTTGTTCACCCATCTCCATGTAGGTGCTCCTTTTTTTTTTTTTTTTTTTTTTTGAGACAGGGTCTGACTTTTTCACCCAGGTCAGAGTGCAGTGGCACGATCTCGGCTCACTACAACCTCTACCTCCCTGGGCTCAAGGGATCCTCCCATTTCAGCTGGGACTATGGGCGTGAGCCACTGCACCTGGCCTAGCATAAATTTTTAAAAGACTTTCCTTCTATAATTGGATGGCTTTGTAACCCTTATCAAAAATCAAATAACCATGGAAGTGTGGGTCTATTTCTGGGTTCTCCATTCTGCACCATTGTTCTACTTGCTAATCCTTATGTCAGTGCCATGGTTTCTTGATTGCTTTAGCTTTGTAGTATATATGGAAATCATTTTGTATAAAATCTGCAGCTTTATTTCTTTTTCCAAAATGCTTTGGGTATTCTAGGCTCCTTACATTTTGATATACATTTTAGAATAAGCTTGTCAATTTTTTAAAAATATCTTGCTGGGATTATGACTTATATTGCTTTGAATCTGTACATCTGTAGGGAGAATTGTCATCTTAACAACTTGACTCTTCAAATTCCCACTTATTTTGGTCCTTTTTAATGTCTTCACAATGTTTTGTAGTTTTTGGGTTAGAGGTCTTGCAATCTTTTATTAAATTCACTCCTATCCAGTCAATACTTTCGTAGCTATTGTAAAAGCATTAAAACATTTTTATTTTCCAACTGTTTTCTGCTTATATAATGACAGCATTTTTGAGCTCTTACTTTATGTTATATCTATGACTTCACCCTTGCTACCTGGAAAATAGACTAAACCCATCTCTAGTGCAAATGAAAGACTTTCAAAACACATATGAAAATCTGCTTGGTGTGCTCATTTTTCCCCTAAATTACCATATCTCCTCTGCCACAGCTTGATATCAGCTGATGCCATCATCAGAACCTGTATAATCCTATACCACTTAGTGGTGAATAAAAGTGTTCTAGTTGTCCTTATGAACCACTGACCCTCTATAGCTGAATGGAGTACACTAGATTCTTTATCACTTATAATATTATGTGATCATGGTCTTCAAACCCACAGGTCCTAAATCTGAAACAGGAAGTGTATTTGTGTGTGTTTAGAAAATTACACTTGAACTTATTAGTGAAAATAGAATGATTTTTATTTTATATATGACTAATTGGTCATAGTGACAATAATATGCTATGGCTGTAATGAAGTTAGAAATGGGGAGTAGAAAGATTTTTATATATTACCACTTGACTAATCACAGGAAGAAATAAAGTCAGAGGTGGAGATAATCTATTTCAATGATTTTTCTTTCTGTACCCTGTTACTATTTTTTCATTAGAAATATTACACAGAGTTCAAATATTTTTTAAAAATAGAAAAGAGCATAATTGCTCTGGCTTAAGTGATGGTAGAGGTTTTAGATCTAATGTCTTACTGTGGAACCTTTTTTGTTATGCTAGGGGTCAGAGGAGAAGTTGGGAAAATTGCAGACCTACTCACATCATCCTATTTTAAAGAAGTAAGGACAATAATCTTGGTTCTTAAGTCTGGCCTAGCAATTTACACAAATTTTTGTATCTGAGCAAGTCACTTAACTTTCTGTTAGTATTAGTTTCTCATCTGTTAATTGGGGACATGATATCTGTTGTACATACCATCAAGTTATTGTAGGGATTATATGAGACGACGCAAGTTGAAAGGGCTTTAGAAACTGTAAAGAATTCCCTACATGTAAAATTACATTATCATTGTTACAAAAGTCACCTCTCCATTGCAATAACATTTTAGTGATAAAAGGATGGCTTATATAATAAACTAAATTGGGTGTGTCTTATAGCAACGGCTGTCTTATCTGTAGTGTTAGTCCTGTGAGATTTTATCATGTCTTATTATCTGTGGAAGATAAATGATATCTGTGTGGTGACCTGATGCAGACCAGTCACAAACCAAGGGATCAGAAGAATTGTTATAAATATATAATGTACCAGATCTCAAAATAATGTACCATAGCAATGAACAGTAGGAAATAAGGTGGATTATTTTGAAGCATGGCCATGGGTCACAACTGACAACTTCCTATAATCACAAACCCTGTAAAATATCAACCATAGCTTGTGACTGATGGATGCTCTTCCTTCCAGTCATTCTAAAGAAGCTGACACATCTATATTCATTTCATAGGCATGAGTTTTGAACACTGTATCCCTTGATGTGGATTGCAATGATGTCAGCATTATAAAACAACCATAGATATTTGTGTTGAAAGTTACCAAACACATGCACATGTATGTTTATCGTGGCACTGTTCACAATAGCAAAGTCTTGGAACCAACACAAATGCCCATCAATGATAGACTGGATAAAGAAAATGTGGCACATATACACCATGGAATAGTATGCAGCCATAAAAAAGGATGAGTTCATTTCCTTTCCAGGGACATGGATGAAACTGGAAGCCATCATTCTCAGCAAAGTAACACAAGAAGAGAAAACCAAACACTGCATATTCTCACTCATAAGTGGGAGTTGAACAATGAGAACACATGGACACAGGGTGGGGAACATTACACATCGGGGCCTGTTGGGGGTGGGGGTCTGGGGAAGGGATAGCATTAGGAGAAATACCCAATGCAAATGACGAGTTAATGGGTGCAGCAAACCAACATGGCACATGTATACCTATGTAACAAACCTGCACGTTGTGCACATGTACCCCAGAACTTAAAGTATAATAATAATAATAATAAAGAAAGTTACCAAACTAAAGCATAAACAATCCTTCAGATGATCTTTTAGTAAGAGAAATAAATAGGTGTAATGGTCTGACCTGTAGTTTGTTTTTGAGTTTGTAAGTATCTGAAGCTTGAGGTTATTTTGGAATCAATAGAAGAGCTAATTTATTAAAATAATTTGATTTATATTAATCAGCAAGCACAGTGTCACATACTTAGGTTTCAAAGTGTTCTCCTGCTCCTAGACCAAGTAGGCACTTGAAAAGAAATGGAAAAGAGACACGTTAACTTCTCTGGGAAGAAGGCAATTATTTCATCTTTTAAGTTTATATTCAGAACACATCCACAGCAAATATAATTTAAGCCCACATCATAAATATTCCACAAGAAATGTTCACCAGTTCCCAGAACTTGAAGTCACCTCTTTGGACACCAGACCATTCTGTGACATGCCATCACCTTCATCTAGGAGATAACAATCACAGCATATTTATTATGTTGCTCTTAAGTAGAAAATATCTGTAAAGAATATTGCAGTACCCCTCTGAATTCTATAGAAAGAGTCATCCTTTAAATTTTTCTCCCATCTAAATGTTTACTTGTCTCACCAAACATCTGGAGCTCAGGGGGCATGAGGAGCTCATTTATTTGATGCAGTGCTTCTACATTGATTTTAGAAGGAAAACAATACACTGTGCCCTAAATAAAGCTCCTAGAAAAATCTAAAGTGTTTTGTTGTTGCGGTGGTGGTTATCCTGGATTACCATGCGGTCTTTTTTTCTCTCCTTACACACACATATTAGTGAAGCATGCAAACCATGGAAGGCACCTTTTTACATATATAGCCCCTACCCTGCATAAAATTGTCTAGGTTGTCTGCAAAACCTATGCTTCTAAGACAGTCAGAGCCCAGCAGGGGGATAATATGGACAATAATAAGTAAATAGAACCAAAACACTAGGCACAATTCAATTAAGCAATGGTACATGGGATCTAAGAAATCTTTTCTTAATACTCTCCAGGTCATGATCATCAATGCAGGCTTCTAATATGAGGGAAAGCAGAGGGTTAAATGGAAACATTGTATGTAAAGAAGTCAATATATATGAATTAATGAAAAAATCCAGCCCCTCGTACAATACCTCAAATACATTAAGTGCTCAGAAATGTTTACTGTTTTCTTACATCTTTCTATCTCACCTTTCTCCTCTTGGCTCACTTGTGAAATAATGTAAAAAATTTAAGACAAAAAACATGGGAGAATATTTTTATGAGCTCAGTGTATGTTTTTCTTTTTTTAAATGAGATGCAAAAAATACTAACAATAAAAGATTAGATGTATTAGTGTACATTAAAATGTAGAACTTCAGTTCATTACTAAAAGTGACATAGCAAGCCTAAAATTGAGGAAATGTATTTACAAGACATACAACTGCAAAATGATTGGTATCTAGAATAGTTTTAAATAAATATATTTTTAAAACCATGACAAATCAATAAGTGAAAATCACAGTCCAATAGCTAAAATGGGCAAGAGTCACTACAGGAATTTTGTAATATGTGAAACGTGTTGAGCATAAAAACAGATGTTTATTTCATTACTAATCAGAGAAATACAAATTCAGAGAACGGTGGAATAGCATTTTATATATCTGAAGAAAAGAATTATCAATACAAAATGTTGGCAAGCATGAGGATCAATAGGCACACTTAGAATCTGCTGAGGGGAAAGCAAATTTGACAAACATCTTGGAAAACAATTTGGTATTATTTTATAAAGTTAAACATTTGTCTCCACTATGGCACAGAAATCTAACTCAAAAGTAGGTTTTGGAGAAATTATTGCACATGTTCACCAGGAGAACAATATAGGAAATGTGTATAGCAGCATTGTTCACAATAATGCTAAGAGGATGGATAAGTAAATGGATGAATACATTTTGGTATATTGAAAAAATAAAATATCATATAGCATTGAAAAATAAATTATGGCTCATGCACAAAAAATGTATAAATCATAGAAAAAAGTAGAAATGTAAATCACAAGAGACTATAGTGTCTTCATATATATATTCATTTTTCATAAAGCTAAAAAACAAGCAAAACGAATAATATACTGTTTATAAATACATAAATATGAGACAAAACCAGTTTATAAAACAAGAGAATAATAAACATGAAATTGTGAATGGAGTTATCTCTGGAGGAGGCAAGGGGCTGAAATAGGGAAGAAGTCCACAGGTAAAGTCAATAGCTTTGGTAACGTGGGGCAATTAGTTTGGAGACTGGGCTCTCAGGTGTTTATTTTATTATTATGTGTTGTATATGGCAATATCTATTAAATATATTCTATATGCATTAAATATTGCATAGTTTTCAGTTAAAATATTCAAACAACGTCAGCTCCTGATGGTGAATACCTACTCACTACTTTACTGAGTCTTGTATGCTCTCATCTCCTTTGATACTAATCAGACCTAGACCTTGAGGGGCTTAGAGATGATCTTTGTTGGCTCTGCATTTCAACTCTCCCTATTTCTCAACACCAGGCCCTCGGACCCTTGTTCCCTACTCCTGGATTTCAATCTGCTACCCTGTCTGATATCTCAATTACTTACATGCAGATTTCTTGGATATCTCCCTTTCTAACTAGAATTCTAAGGAGTGTTTTCCACAAAGCCTCTGTTTTATGCCTAGCTATTGGGATCCTGTTCTTTCAGGATCCTGTTCTTTTTTTGATTTTGCCTCTCAAATATTTCTTCAGTTGTGATTAAAACTTCAGTGCTTCTTAGATTCACCCCTATTCAGCTAGCTGCACCTCGCAATTCAGCTTCTATTGCTATGAAAGTTCCTCCAGCACTTGTCTCCTGCCATTGGTTGGGTTTTGCATTTATCTTTTGCCCTACATGCTTACATTACTCAGTGGATTCATGAAGTGTCTCACCCAAATTCTGAGTTAACGTGAGAAGAATAAAAATGGCAAAGAGAATTTTTGAGATAGTTAAGTATAGCAAAGATAATAACCACCACTTTTGAATTTCTGGAATTCTGAAATACATTCATAGAAGTATAGCTCAATTATTATTTACACTTAGTGTAAATCTAAGGAAATTATTACACAGATATTGTCACATTGCAGATTTCCCTTTCAGAATAAGGAAGACTTTTTTTTCTGGACAGAACTTGGCACACTTAATTGAGTATGCATCCTGACATGCTAAAATATGAACACTGATGACCCCTGAAATTTTTATCAGATCAGAGCAAAAATAAATTCAACTTTCATAATTTATCTTTCTCTTTCTCAAACAGAATACTAAAATGCCAGTTTCCTGCCTTTTGAACTACTTTTAGCCAAATTCTTGGAAGGTGAAGAAACTTGTGTGGGTTTAAATTCTTTTCCATTAACATGCATTGTTCTCATTTCCAAAGATTATTCTTACATATTAAGCATTTATTTCCCTAAGTCCCCAAAAAGCATTTTTAAAGCACTTAAGTATTTGCTAAGATCTGCCAAGATCCCATCCTTTTCCTTTGGTTGCTTAATCAATATCTTCTTTTGTTCAGTACTCTGATTTTCACCTTCAAAAATCTCTTGATGGCAATGAACTCTGCTCTCCTTAGAAGTCATATGCCCTTAATATTCCCAAGCAACATTTTCTCACTGGAGAAGCTGTTTGAAATCAAAGGAAAGCTTTTAAAGATGTGTATCATTTGGTCTCCTTAAGCTATTCTCCGTGTGTGGTAGTTTCTTTTTAATCTCTAAGGACCAACTTGAATTTTGGAAGAGAGACGAGTCATCTACATGCTTCGCATTTCACCAGCCTTAACAAGTAAAACCTGATGTTATTAGAATCATTGATATATCTAGTATTGAAGGTGGAAGAGACCTTAAATGTCATCTATTCAAACTATTCATCTAACTTTTCATTATTCAGACAGTTAGGAATTCATCGACAAAGGCGTTGAAAAGAGGCATAACTTTATCCTTTATAATTAATGAATTTAGTAAGACGCATTCTTGGGTCCCTAGAAATCATATCTACAGCAGCCAAGAGAATAAGAATATATAATTTCCTTTAAAAATGAGAGGAAAATCTTTGTACGCTTATTTGTAATTGAAGAATATTTTATTTCTCTTTTCTGACCAGCATAATGTACAGCCATTTGAGAAAATATTATAAACAGTAGGTATGTCTAAATTTCTATTCAGGGTTTGGTGTTTTTATAGTCTGCTCATAAAATATCTTCTAGAACCTCTCCTTCTGTAACTTTTTCACTGAGGTAAATTCTCTCACCTTTTTGTAGCCCACACTATATTTTCAACATCTTAGCATTTGTAATCATTATCATGTTTTGTTAAAACACATCCTTTCAAGAAAAGAATTATTCTAGAACTGCTGAATTTCAGGCTTTTTACCCCTGCCTTGATGGTACCAGAACATGGCAAATGTAATTAATCTGCCCAAACACAAAAGTTGTGAATTTATTGTGGATTATTATTCATTGAAAAAGAAAAGAATTAACATTTAATACGTGCCTTAAAGCACATTAATGGCGTTTTTTCAAAGCCTAATAGTTAGATGTATATGATCTATGTGTGTGCATTAAGCTAGATTTTTTAACATATAAACATAGAGACAGAACATGCCTTGATATATATTCTATTTTCATAAAAAAATGTGGCTTAAATAGAGCTGTGGTCCCCAAAGGAAAGCACATGTTGAGTGAACATTTCAAATATGTCTGGGCCAGTTTAGTCTATGGCTATGTCTATATAATATAAACTAAAGAGTCAGAGCCACTGAATATCTGCCAAATTGATTAGCCATTGGGTGGCCAGAAGAGAGAGAAGAGACATCTTAATTAGTTAGGTTGTTTGATTTTAGCCTCTGGATAATACGGTCCTAGATCACCCAATCCAGTGCATTACATTACCATTTGATTTTGCTTCACTCAGACAAGCATTGATTTAACTGCTTTTCTCTGAATTTGTGCTTCTTTGAATAAATTGGTGATATCTGACAAGAAGATCTGTAGAACAACATCATATTGAAACGTCCCAGCACCTGTGTAGACTATGGTCAGTGGGCACTAGCATGAAAGTTTCCTTTTGGCTCCTTGCAATTTGTATTAGGATGTAATTGTGCTCTCTGAGAGCCTAGAAGAGGCAAAGGATTGATCCACTCAGAGAGAAAATTGGATCTGGTGCTATTCTAACCATCTTTCGGACTATTCTGCCAGTAAGTGCTTTAAAAAAATCCCCATCCAATTCCCATTTGGACACATAGAACCCTCTTAGGGCTGATTAGCAATTTACTTACTTGTTCATTCATTCATTAATTCATCAATCATTTATTCAGTATCTTCTATGTGGCACACACTGTAATAGTCATGGGGGATACTAAGATAAATAATGGTCATGTCTCTTCCTCAGAGGAGCTCTGCCTCAGTTGCGGTTTTAATAAATATCCAATAAGGTAGATGCAGAATATGGGGTAGAAGGACCTTCCTCCACTGTACTAAGGTCCTCCATGACTTTGATGTTATGCTTTACCTTGGCCCTACTGACTCTTCAGTCTATTTTATGGCTATAAGGAAACAGTGTGCAGGTGGGAAAGAAAAGCCTCGAAAGATAGATACCTGTGCTTCTCATTCACATGTACTTGTAATTTTAAACCAAAAGGCATCCTTCAATTCAGTAGTTTAAATATAACACATGTCACACAGTTAAAGGGCCCATATCTTTTGTTTAAATTTCACTGCAGTATCCTGATATGTCTTATTCATACATATTGTTAAAAGTAGATATGGGCCTGGGATACTGGCTCTAAAAACGCAACCAACAGAGATGATGTTGGATTACATTGACTCTAACCTGTCTGATTTCTCTGATTTAAAGCTATTAGCATTATTTAAAAATATATTTAACATTATCTACAGGGAGAAGTTGCTGTTAGGTTGGCATGGGAAGGGAAAACCTCCACACCACGTATTCCATTTGTTAAGGAAAGAATTAGGATAAGGGCAAATGTTAGGGGAACTGTAAAATGAGAAAGAACCAAAATGACAAATGCAAATTTCTCCCTAAATTTGACAAACAGAATGTTGGTAAATGGGTAATTTGGTAGCAGTTAAATTGTTGAGTCAAAAGTGCAAAACCTTTTATGGACAGAAATCAGCTAGACTAATCTGTTTTGTCAGCAGGGAGGGAAGACAATTCAAATGTATTTTACAGAAAGACTATAAATGTTTATCTTTATCCAAAAAGGAGAATACATACATCTGTTTGTTTAAAACTTGACATGTATATTTTCTATGTTTGCTGTGATATTTGTCTTTTGGTTTTGTACCGAAATATTTCAAGGTTCTTTTAATTATTTGCCCTAGGAAATATGTTGGCATCCTGTGGTATAAAATAGGCAGGGTTTACTCTAGAAAATTAGGGAAGAAACTGTGAATACATTTGTTTGGGTATGGATTAAAATATATCTACATCTAAAATAATATAAAATGTTTATATTGGCATTGATTAATAAGAACATATTGTCCCACTACCAAGGATAATTATATTTTATGCATACAGATATGTTCAATGCAGATGTCAAACTGTGTGCTCAGTAATTAGTGTTACCTGCAGCTTGAGTAAAACTCAAAATTGGTATGCTAACTGCATTCAGTGATTACAGTACATAGGAAATGAATACAACACATCATAAGGAACACATATATGCTTAAAGAATTTATACTACATGCTAACCAATTTATTCCTTAAAATATAGGCATTTAAAATTTGTTCATGGTAATGTGGTGCATGTTTTGGACAATGGCATATACTATTCAAGTGCTTCCTAATAATTTACAGCTATTTTTAAATTGGGTCATGTCTTGCCCTGCAAAATGATAACGTTCTTGTTTATCATTCTGCTCAAGTCACACTATGGTAGAATGAATCAGTTCTTATGAATACTGCAGCACAGTAAACCCTGTTTTTCTCTGCATTTAAAGAAACAGTCTGTTGAATAGATGGATAAGGATATGGTTCTCATAATTTAGAGTGTATCATTTTTGTGGTCAATGCTCTCCAACTGGGTGTTTACCTGTACAGCAAACACTACAAGGAAGCTCAGGGAAGAAATCGACCATGCAATTTATGATTTCACATTTGTTTCTGCTTGCAGTCAAAAGCACAATATTGCTCAGAGCTAGTCTGCTGTATGCTTAAGCAGCATATTTTCAGGAGTTTTTATTTTTAGGACTAACACTGCAAAGATGATGGTTACATCAGGACTTAAAACTAAGGATATGTCTAATCAGAGATAAGCATTCTGATAAAAGAAGAAAAAAATTCTAAATCTATCCAAATAACCAATATTTGATTATATAAAATAAAAACAATAATGCCATTTACTTCGTCATACTTTATTTCATTCAAACCATACAAAACAAAACCCTTTTTGGAACAAAATTATGTTTTCTATTTTACATATATGGCAACTGAGGGTCAGCTAGGGGATTTGATCCATCTGTATCTGACACCAACATGGTGCTCTGCTAACCCATGGATGCATAAACTAAACATGTCCAATTACCTGTATCAATGCTATCTCATGTGAGTTTTTTTTTTCACGTATCTCAGGTGCCTTCAGTATATATAAAATTAAAAATAAAATTTTGGCCATTTTCTGACAACATGGAGATAATAAATGAGATAAATCGTGAAAAGCCTCCACTGTATAACTAGAAAGAATTGCTTATTACTGGTTCCAAAACTTCAGATATTATCATCATAGTGATAATATCTTTCGCAGTAAAAGATACTCCTTTTGAAAATGTTTATCTGGTCTTATTATTACAAATAAATATTACTAATTTTATTTCTTTAGTTATAAAATGCATTGTTGCTTTTAGATATTTAAAATGCTATCCTGCCATTGTTTGAGGGTAAAGAAACAATTCTTCTCACTGGATTTAAGATTTACTAGTTAAAAACCATATTAAACAAACATAACTTTATAGTTGACATCAATAATACTAACTAGTCACGTGAATTAAATATCAGATCCAAATTATGGATTGTTCAGATGTATTTCCCACTTTTGCTTTATCTGATGTGGTATCTGAAACATACTACCTTGTATAAAACATCATTCTGTGTTACATGTCAGTTCATCACGTTAAAAGTCTTTGCTTCTGTCTTTAGAGATCATATAATTTGACATGTGTGCCATTTGAAATTACTCTGAAAAAATTAGTTTCTATTATTCTAGTAAATTTTCTTCAGCAATTGTTTCTGTATGTCATCGGGGTTTCATACCAGTCAACCCATATCAGACCCTTTCATCTCTCACATCAAATCTGTCCTGTTTCCTCTATGTCCTAAATATCTCACAGATGGTTCCATTTTATTTCCACCTCCACCTCTACTACCGTAGTTCAGGCCATATTGTAGCAGGTAACCTTTAGGGTAATATTTGGCAAGAAAGCATCAAAATTTACATATTCTTGGTCTTTTTTCTTGGATTGTATTCAATGTTCTGAGGATTAGAAAACATTCTTATGAGTATAGCAGAAGTTGGTGAGGATCAAAGAAAAGAAACAAAGGAAACCATTCTGTGATCTCTCCTCAGCAGGTCCACTATCCTCTCTAATGTTCCTGGGGTTTTTTCTTTATAATATATATCCCAGTTTGTGAACACTTGTTTCAGTGAATTTTAGATACCATTAATATAAGATGCGCCATTATTTGTATGGATTACTGAAAACAAACTAAAAATGCTGCCAATTAAGTTATGACGCAACATCAATTATTAGATGCCTCAAGATCTCAGAGATGATTAAATGTAAAAAAATATATGAATCAAAGCATTATGGGATTTACTTACATATAATAATCATACATACTTATTGTCTGTCTTTTCCACTAGAATCTAAGATACATGAGGGTAGGAAACATGTCTAACTTTTTTTATCATATGCTCAGAGAAACTAATATAATCCTTGGTATAAAATCAGGGCTAAGTATGAATTTGTTAAAGCAATGAATGACACAGGTAGGCTCTAACAATATTTCCTATGGCTCAATGCTACCATGTTTATTTTGTGTGTGGCATGGTAGGGATGGTGGATATTTATTTAAAATATTAAAAGTACACATAGGAACCGGAGAAAGAGATCTAAGAATGACCAAGAATCTTAGCACTGAAAGACTACTTGTGTTATAGACTAAATCTTGATACTTAAGAAGGATCCTTATGAGACGGCACACAAGAATATTCTACCCAACATTGTTTCTGAACATGCTTTTCTGGAAAAATGCCACCTGATATTTGATAGGTGGAGTTGTTAAGGGCTGAATGCCAATCAAGGAAATATTGTCCAGCTTTCTAAGAGGCTAACAGCATTAAAGAAAGATTGTATTTGCTTGAGTTAAAACATACAGAACCACTATTTATACATAAGACTCGATCAATCCTGATTTCACCAGGTGGAGATGTTTTTCGGCTATAAAACTTCTGGATAATTCTCAAACTTCATTGAATAATTATAAAATGGAGATCTGTGGACCCCACTCCCAGGTATTTTCTGAATTTTGTTTTCTTATTCAAATATATTTCATGAAAATTCTTCAAAGAAAGCTTGCATAGAAGTGATCCATTCTTTTTTAATGGCTTCAGAAGATACTATTTTGAAAATGTAGGAGAATTTATTTAACAATGTCCTTTTTGAAACACATGCACTTTTTACATTTTTTTTTGCCACGATCAACGATGATATATGTATATGAAGGTATATATATGTACATCCATATATACACATATATGTAAAATAAGTGTATCTAATAGTAATAAGTGAACATAGTAGATAAGGTGTCCATATCTATTTTTTTTATTTTTTACTTTTTTTAAATTATACCTTAAGTTCTGGAATACATATGCAGAACATGCAGGTTACATAGGAATACATGTGACATGGTGGTTTGCTGCACCCATCAACCCGTCATCTATATTAGGTATTTCTCCTAATGCTATCCCTCCCCTTGCCCCCACCTCCTGACAGGCCACAGTATGGGATGTTCCCCTCCGTGTGCCCATAAGTTCTCATTGTTCAACTCCCACTTATGAATGAGAACATGCGGTGCTTGGTTTTCTGTTCCTGTAATAGTTTGCTGAGAATGATGGTTTCCAGCTTCATCCATGTCCCTGCAAAGGACATGAACTCATTCTTTTTTAAGGCTGCATAGTATTCCATGGAGTATATGTGCCACATTTTCTTTATCCAGTCTATCACTGATGGGCATTTGGGTTGGTTCCAAGTCTTTGCTATTGTGAACAGTGCTGCAATAAACATACGTGTGCATGTGTCTTTACAGTAGAAGGACTTATAATCCTTTGTGTATATACCCAGTAATGGGATTTCTGGGTCAAATGGTATCTCTGGTTCTAGATCCTTGAGGAATCTCCACACTGTCTTCCATAATGGTTGAACTAATTTAAACTCCCACCAACACTGTAAAAGTGTTCCTGTTTCTCCACATCCTCTCCAGCACCTGTTGTTTCCTGACTTTTTAATGATTGCCATTCTAACTGGTGTGAGATGGTATCTCATTGTGGTTTTGATTTGCATTTCTCTAATGACCCGTGATGATGAGCTTTTTTTCATATGTTTATTGGCCACATAAATGTCTTCTTTTGAAAAGTATCTGTTCATATCCTTTGTCCACATTTTGAAGGGGTTGTTTTTTTCTTGTAAATTTGCTTAAGTTTTTTGTAGATTCTGGCTATTAGTCCTTTGTCAGATGGATAGATTGCAAAAATTTTCTCCCATTCTGAAGGTTGCCTGTTCATTCTGATGATAGTTTCTTTTGCTGTGCAGAAGCTCTTCAGTTTAATTAGATCCCATTTGTCAATTTTGGCTTTTGTTGCCATTGCTTTTGGTGTTCTATGAAGTCTTTGGCCATGCCTATGTCCTGAATGGTATTGCCTAGGTTTTCTTCTAGGGTTTTTATGTTTTAGGTCTTATGTTTAAGTCTTTAATCAATCTTGAGTTAATTTTTGTATAATGTGAAAGGAAGGAGTTCAGTTTCAGTTTTCAGTATGTGGCTAGCCAGTTTTCCCAATACCATTTATTAAATAGGGAATCCTTTCCCCATTGCTTGTTTTTGTCAGGTTTGTCAAAGATCAGATGGTTGTAGATGTGTGGTGTTATTTCTGAGGCCTCTGTTCTGTCCTGTTGGTCTATATATCAGTTTCGGTACCAGTACCGTGCTGTTTCGGTTACTGTAGCCTTGAGGTATAGTTTGAAGTCAGGTAGCATGATGCCTCCACCTTTGTTCTTTTTGCTTGGGATTGTCTTGGCTATTTTTGGTTCCATATGAAATTTAAAATATTTTTTTCTAATTCTGGGAAGACAGTCAATGGTAGCTTGAGGAGAATAGCATTGAATCTATAAATTACTTTGGGCAGTATGGTCATTTTCACGATATTGATTCTTCCTATCCATGAGCATGGAGTGTTTTTCCATTTGTTTGTGTCCTCTCTTATTTCCTTAAGCAGTGGTTTGTAGTTCTCCTTGAAGAGGTCCTTCACATCCCTTGTTAGCTGTATTCCTAGGTATTTTATTCTCTTTGTAGCAATTGTGAATGGGAGTTCATTCATGATTTGGCTCTCTGTTTGTCTCTGTTTGTCGTATAGGAAGGCTTGTGATTTTTGCACATTGATTTTGTATCCTGAGGCTTTGCTGAAGTTGCTTATCAGCTTCAAGAGTTTTTGGGCTGAGATGATGGGGTTTTCTAAATATACAATCATGTCATCTGCGAAGACAATTTGACTTCCTCTCTTGCTATTTGAATACCCCTTATTTCTTTCTCTTGCCTGATTGCCCTGGCCATACGTTGAATAGGAGTGGTGAGAGAGGACATCCTTGTCTTGTGCCAGCTTTCAAAGGGAATGCTTCCAGCTTTTGCCCATTCAGTATGATATTGGCTGTGGGTTTGTCATAAATAGCTCTTATTATTTTGGGATACGTTCCATCAATACCTAGTTTATTTAGTGTTTTTAGCATGAAAGGGTGTTGAATTTTATTGAAGGCCTTTTCTGCATCTATTGAGATAATTATGTGGTTTTTCTCATTGGTTCTCTTTATGTGATGGATTACGTTTATTGATTTGTGTATGTTGAACCAGCCTTGCATCCCAGGGATGAAGCCAACTTGATCATGGTGGATAAGCTTTTTGATGTGCTGCTGGATTCAGTTTGCCAGTATTTTATTTAGGACTTTCACATTGATGTTCATCAGGGATATTGGCCCGAAATTTTCTATTTGTGTTGTGTCTCTGCCAGATTTTGGTATCAGGATGATGCTGGCCTCATAAAATGAGTTAGGGAGGAGTCCCTCTTTTTCTATTGTTTGGAAAAGTTTCAGAAGGAATGCTACCAGCTCCTCTTTGTACCTCTGGTAGAATTCGGCTGTGAATCCATCTGGTCCTGGGCTTTTTTTGGTTGGTAGGCTATTAATTACTGCCTCAATTTCAGAACTTGTTATTGGTCTATTCAGAGCTTCGACTTCTTCCTGGTTTAGTCTTGGGAGGGTAAATGTGTCCAGGAATTTATCCATTTCTTTGAGATTTTCTAGTTTCTTTGCATAGAAGTGTTTATAGTATTCTCTGATGGTAGTATGTATTTCTGTGGGATCAGTGGTGATATCCCCTTTATCATTTTTTATTGTGTCTATTTGATTCTTCTCTCTTTTCTTCTTTATTCATCTGGCTAGCGGTCTTTATATTTTGTTAGTCTTTTCAAAAAACCAGCTCCTGGATTCATTGATTTTTTTTGAAGGGTTTTTCATGTCTCTATCTTCTTCAGTTCTGCTCTGATCTTATTTATTTCTTGTCTTCTTCTAGCTTTTGAATTTGTTTGTTCTTGCTTTTCTAGTTCTTTTAATTTTGATATTAGGGTGATGATTTCAGATATTTCCTGCTTTCTCATGTGGGCATTTAGTGCTATAAATTTCCCTCTAAACACTGCTTTAGCTGTTTCCCAGAGATTCTGGTACGTTGTGTCTTTTTTCTCATTGGTTTCAAATAGCTTATTTATTTCTGCCTTAATTTCGTTATTTACCCAGTAGTCATTCAGGAGTAGGTTGTTCAGTTTCCATTTAGTTTTGCAGTTTTGAGTGAGTTTCTTAATCCTGAGTTCTAATTTGATGGCACTTTGGTCTGAGAGACTGTTTGTTATGATTTCCATTCTTTTGCATTTGCTGAGGAGTGTTTTACTTCCAATTATATGGTCAATTTTAGAATAAGTGTGATGTGGTGCTGAGAAGAATGTATATTCTGTTGATTTGGGGTGAAGAGTTCTGTAGATATCTATTAGGTCTGCTTGGTCCAGAGCTGAGTTCCAGTCCTGAATATCCTTGTTAATTTTCTGTCTCGTTGATCTGTCTAATATTGACAGTGGGGTGTTAAAGTCTCCCACTATTATTGTGTGGGAGTCTAAGTCTCTTTGTATGTTCCTAAGGACTTGCTTTATGAATCTGGGTGCTCTTGTATTGGATGCATGCATATTTAGGATAGTTAGCTCTTCTTGTTGCATTGATCCCTTTAACATTATGTAATGCATTTCTTAGTCTTTTTGATCTTTGTTGGTTTAAAGTCTGTTTTTTCAGAGACTGAGATTGCAACCCCTGCTTTTTTGCTTTCCATTTGCTTGGTAAATATTCCTCCTCCCTTTTTTTTAGCCTATGTGTGTCTTTGCACATGAGATGGGTCTCCTGAATATAGCACACCAATGGGTCTTGATTCTTTTTCCAATTTACCAGTCTATGTCTTTTAATTGAGGTATTTAGCCCATTTGCATTTAAGGTTAATATTGTTATGTGTGAATTTGATCCTGTCATTATGATGCTAGCTGGTTATTTTGCACATTAGTTGATGCAGTTTCTTCACAGTGTCAATGGCCTTTACATTTTAATATATGTTTGCAGTGGCTGGTAACGGTTTTGTCTTTTCCATATTTAGTGCTTCCTTCAGGAGCTCTTGTAAGGCAGGCTTTTGGTAACAAAATCCCTCAAGCATTGGATTGTCTGTAAAGGATTTTATTTCTCCCTCATTTATGAAGCTTAGTTTGGCTGGATATGAAATTCTAGGTTGACAATTCTTTTCTTTAAGAATGTTGAATATTGGCCCCCACTCTCTTCTGGCTTGTAGCGTTTCTGCAGAGAGATCCACTGTTAGTCTGATGGGCTTCCCTTTGTGAGTAACCTGAGGTTTCTCTCTGGCTGCCCTTAACATTTTTTCCTTTATTTCAACCTTGGTGAATCTGACGATTATGTGTCTTGGGGTTGCTCTTCTCGAGGAGTATCTCAGAGATGTTCTCTCTATTTCCTGAGTTTGAATGTTGGCCTGCCTTGCTAAGTTGGGGACATTCTCCTGGATAATATCCTGAAGTGTGTTTTTCAACTTCATTCAATTTTTCCCATCACCTACAGGTACGCCAATCAAATGCAGGTTTGGTCTTGTCACATACTCCCATATTTCTTGGAGGCTTTGTTGGTTCCTTTTCATTCTTTTTTCTCTAATCTTGTCTTCTTGCTTTATTTCATTAAGTTGATCTTCAATCTCTGATATCCTTTCTTCTGCTTGATTGATTTGGCTATTGATACTTGTGTGTGCTCCACGAAGTTCTCACGCTGTGTTTTTCAGCTCTATCACGTCATTTATGTTCTTCTCTAAACTGGTTATTCTTGTTTGCAAGTTCCTGTAACCTTATATCAAGGTTCTTCACTTCCTTGCATTGGGTTAGACATGCCCCTTTAGCTCAGAGGAGCTTGTTATTACCCACCTTCTGAAGCCTACTTCTGTCAATTCGTCAAACTCATTCTCCATCAAGTTTTGTTTTTTTGCTGACGAGGAGTTGTGATCCTTTGGAGGAGAAGAGGCATTATGGTTTTTGGAATTTTTAGCCTTTTTGCTCTGGTTTTTCCTCACCTTTGTGGATGTTTCTACTTTTGGTCTTTGATGTTGGTGACCTTTAGATGGGGTTTTTGTGTGGGTGTTCTTTTGTTCATGTTGATACTATTCTTTCTGTTTGTTAGTTTTCCTTCTAACAGTCATGCCCCTTGCTGCAGGTCTGTTGGAGTTTGCTGGAGGTCCACTCCAGATCCTGTTTGCTGGGATATCACCAGCAGAGGCTGCAGAACAGCAAAGATTGCTGCCTGTTCCTTCCTCTGGAAGCTTCATCCCAGAGAGACACCCGCCAGATGCCAGCCAGAGCTCTCCTGTATGAGGTGTCTGTTGACCCCTGCTGGGAGTTGTCTCCCAGTCAGGAGGCATGGGGGTTGGGGACTCACTTGAGGAGGCAGTCTGTCCCTTAGCAGAGCTCAAGCACTGTGCTGGGAGATCTGCTGCTGTCTTCAGAGCTGGCAGGCAGGAACATTTAAGTCTGCTGAAGCTGCAGCCACAGCTGCCTCTTCCCCCAGGTGCTCTGTCCCAGGGAAATGGGAGTTTTATCTATCAGCCCCTGACTGGGGCTGCTGCCTTTCTTTCAGAGATGCCCTGCCTAGAGAGGAGGAATATAGAGCGGCAGTCTCTCTACAGTGGCTTTGCCGTGCTGCAGTGGGTCCCGCTCCCAGTTTGAACTTCCTGGTAGCTTTGTTCACACTGTGAGGGAAAACTGTATATTCAAGCCTCAGTAATGTTAGACGCCCCTCCCCCAACCAAGCTTGAGCAACTCAGGTCAACTTCAGACTGCTGTGCTGGCAGCAAGAATTTCAAGCCAGTGGACCTTAGCTTGTTGGTCTCCATGGGGGTGGGATCTGCTGAGCAAAACAACTTGGCTCCTTGGCTTCAGCCCTCTTTCCAGGGGAGTGAATGGTTCTGTCTTACTGGCATTCCAGGTGCCAATGCGGTACAAAAAGACACTCCTGCAGCTAGCTCAGTGTCTGCCCAAATGGCCACCCAGTTTTGTGCTTGAAACCCAGGGCCCTGGTGGTGTAGGCATCCGAGGGAATCTCCTGGTTTGCAGGTTGCGAAGACCATGGGAAAAGCATAGTATCTGGGCCGGAGTGCGCTGTTCCTCACGGCACGGTCCCTCACGGCTTTCCTTGGCAAGGGGAGGGAGTTCCCCAAGCCCTTGCACTTTCTGGGTGAGGCGAAGCCCCACTCTGCTTCTGCTCGCCCTTGGTGGGCTGCATCCACTGTCCGACCAGTCCCAATGAGATGAAGCAGGTACCTCTGTTGAAAATGCAGAAATCACCTGCCTTCTGCAGTGGTCTCGCTGGGAGCTGCAGACCAAAGCTGTTTGTATTTGGCCATCTTTCCTGGGAATGGTGTTTTTATTTTCTAAAATTGAGATTTCTAGATTGAATATATATATCAAAAATAATTTCCAGAAAATCTTTATTAATTCATATTTTCACTAGATATGTATGAGAACATCTTTTCCACTATACATAAACTATATATATCTGTTATCACTGCTTTTTCATAATATTAAATTTTTAAGTGGTCTAATATGTCTACTTTATTTTCTTTTAAAACTCCTGAGTTTCCAGTTTAGGTTAAGAAGCTGATTATGTTCTCTGGTGCACAATTTTATATGTAGACGCCTATATAGTCTTACATAAATTTTATTTGTTCACATTCAAGCCTTTAATCCATTTGAAGCTTGTTAATGTTTTTGTTTGCTTTACGTGAGGGGATTACATTTATTTTCTTTTATATGGATAGCTAGTTATGCCAGTAAAATTTATAGATAATCCATCCCTTCTTAAAGGATTAAAATATCAACCTTGCCATGTTAAATGGCCATATATACTGGAATCTATTTCAGTTTTCTCCATTGTGTTCTAATGATCTACTTGCATATTGATTTGATTAAAGTTAATTTATAGTATTCTCTATTGATGAAGCAAGTTTCAACCCATGTATTTTTCATAAGTTTTTGGCTATATTTGTCATTTAATCTTCAATTAATTTTAAGATCATTTTACCCAATTATGAAGGAGCAACATTGTTGGGATTCTAATTGGAATTGCATTGATTTCAGAGATTATCTTTTGTTTTACTGATAGTTCTATAATATTTACTCAGGACTTGTTTCAAATTCTTCTGTAAATGCTTATCATTTTCTTCATATAAGTTCTTTCACTTTTTATTTCAATTTTTATTTTTCGTTATTGTGAATGAAAAAAATTTTTCCCACTGTTTTTTCTAGGTTCTTATTTTAAGGATAAAGAACAGCACTTAATATTTGCATATTTATGTATTATTCTGGCAACTCATTAAATTCTACTTCTTTCTGTAGAGTACATTTAGGTTTTCCAGTAAACGATCCTATACTCATTTTTTTCTTCTTTTTAATGTTTATGCCAATTATTAGTTGTCTCACCTTATTGCAGTTGCTAGAGTATCCAAGACAATAGTCAAAATAAACAAGAAACACTTGATGCCTTAGTTATTGATTTTAATTATATTGGTTTTAGGGTATGATTGTTTGAGATAATATTTGTTTGGGGTTTTTATAGTATTTATTATATTTAAGTAGTTTTATTCCTTGCCATCTTATTTAGATACTTTACTAGAGATGGCTGCTGAACTTTATTGAATAACTCTTTAGCATTTAAAAAAATTTTTAATTTTATTTTTTTTGGGTACATAGACGTGTGTATATTTATGGGATACATAAGATGTTTTGACACAGGCATGCAATCTGCAACAATCCCATCATGGAAAATGGGGTATCCCACCACCACAAGCATTTATCCCCGTGTTACAAAACATAAAATTATAATATTTTAGTTGTTTTAAAATGTATGATTAAATTATTGACTATAGTAACCCTGTTGTGCTATCAAATACTAGGTCTTATTTATTTTTTCTAACTATTTTGTTTTTGTACCCATTAACCATCCCCACCTCCCCACCACTCCCTATGCACTACCCTTTCCAGCCACTGGTAACCATCCTTCTACTCTCTGTGTCCATGAGTTCAATTGTTTTGATTTTTAGGTTTCTTGAATCAGTGAGAATGTTTGTTTTTCTGTGGCTGGCTTATTTGACTTAACATAATGACTTCCAGTCCCATCCATGTTGTTGCAAATGGCAGGATTTCATTCTTCTTTATGACTGAAGAGTACTTCACTGTGTATAAGAAATGCATTTTCTTTATCCATTCATTTGCTGATGGACACTTAGGTTGCTTCCAAATCCTGGTTATTGTGAACAGTGCTTCAATAAACATGGAAGTGCAGAATCTCTTCCACACAGATTTCCCTTCTTTGGGTATATACCCAGCAGTGGGATTACTGGATTATATGGTAGCTCAATTTTTAGTTTTCTGAGGAACCTCCAAATTGTTCTCTATAGTGGTTGTACTAGCTTACATTTCCACCAACAGTGTATGAGGATTCCCTTTTCCTCACATCCTTGCCAGCATTTGTTATTGCCTGTCTTTTTGATGTAAGCCATTTTAACTATGGTGAGATGATATCTCGCTGTAGTTTTGACTGGCATTTCTCTGATGATCAATGATGCTAGCACCTTTTGATATGCCTGTTTGCCATTTTGTGTTTTTGTTTTGAGAAATGTCTGTTCAAATCTTTTGCCCATTTTAAAATCAGATTGTTAGATTTTTTCCTATGGAGTTGTTTGAGCTTCTTATATATTCTGATTATGAATCCCTTGTCAGATGAATAGCTTGAAAATACTTTCTGCCATTCTGTGGCTTGTCTCTTCACTTTATTGATTGTATCCTTTGCTGTGTGGAAGCTGTTTAACTTGATATGATCACATTTGTCCCTTTTTGATTTGGTTGGCTGTGCTTGTAGGGTATAACTCAAGAAATTTTTTGCCCAGACCAATATCCTATAGAGTTTCCCGAATGTTTTCTTGTAGTAATTTTATAGTTTGAAGTCTTAGATTTAAGTCTTCAATCCATTTCAATTTCATTTTTGTAGATGTTTAGAGATAAGGGGTCTAGTTTCATTCTTCTGGATATGGATATCCAGTTTCCCAGCACAATTTATTGAAAACACCGTCTTTTCCCTAGTGTATGTTCTTGGCATCTCTGTTGAAAATGAATTCACTGTAGGTGTGTAAATTTATTTCTGGATTCTCTCTTGTGTTCCGTTGGTTCATGTGTCTGTTTTTGTGCCAGGACCATGCTATTTTGGTGACTATAGCTCTATAGTAAAACTTGAAATCAGGTAATGTGAATCCTCCAGTTTTGTTCTTTTTGGTCAGGATAGCTTTGGCTATTCTGGATATTTTGTGGTTTCAATAAATTCTAGGATAGTTTTTTTCTATTTCTGTGAAGAAAGACATTGTTATTTTGGTAGAAATTGCATTGAATCTGTAGATTGCTTTGGGTAGTATGGACATTTTAACAATATAGATTCTTTCAATCCATGAACATAGAATATATTTTCATTTTTTGTGTCTTCTTTAATTTCTTTCATCAATGTTTTATAGTTTTCATTGCAGAAATCTTTCACTTCTTTGATTAATTCCTAGATATTTTATTTTATGTGTGGCAATTGTAAATGGAATTTTTTTATGTCTTTTTCAGATTGTTCCCTGTTGGCATATAGAAATGCTACTGATTTTTGTATGTTGATTTTGTATCCTGCAACTTCACGGCATTTGTTTATCAGTTCTAATAGTTTTTTGCTGGAGTCTTTATGTTTTCCAAATATAAGATCATATCATCTACAAACAAAGATAATTTGATTTCTTCCTTTCCAGTTTGGATGCCCTTTATTCCTTGCTCTAGGTAGGACTTGCTCTAGGTATGCTTGCTCTAGGTAGGACTTCCAGTAATATGTTGAATAACAGTGGTAAAAGTGGGCATCCTTGCCAAGTTCCAGATCTTAGAGGAGAGTCTTTTAGTTTTTTTTTTTTTTTTTTGATTCAGTATGATACTAGCTGTGGATCTGTCATATATGGCTTTTATCATGTTGATGTTTGTTCCTTCTATATCCAGTTTTTTGAGCGTTTTCATCATGAAAGGATGTGAGTTTTATCAAATGCTTTTGCACCATCAATTGAAATGATCACGTGGTTATTGTTCTTTATTTTGTTGATGCAATGTATGTATCATATTGATTGATTTGTGAACCATCCTTGCATCCCTGGGATAAATCCCTCTTGGTCATGATGGATGATCTTTTTAATACATTATTAAATTCAGTTTGCTAGTATGTTATTGAGGTTTTTTGCATCAATATTTATCAGAGATACTGACCTGTAGTTTTCTTTTCTGATGTGTCTTTTTCTGGTTTTGGCATCAGAGTAATACTGGACTCACAGAAATGAATTTTGAAGTATTCCTTCCTCTTCTATTGTTCAAAATAGTTTGAGTAGGATTGGTCTTAGTTCTCCTTTACATATTTGGTAGAATTCAGTGGTGAAGCTATCAGTCCTGGGTTTTTCTTTACTGGGGGACTTTTTATTACGGCTTTGATCTCATGACTTGTTATAGGTCTGTTCAGGTTTTAAATTTCTTCCTGGTTCAATCTTTGTATATTGTGTGTATATAGGAATTTTTACATTTCTTCTAGATTTTCCAATTTATTGGCATATAGTTGCTCATAGTAGCTCCTTTGAATTTCTGCAGTAACGGTTGTATTGTCGCCTTTTTCATCTCTGATTTTATTTATTTTGATCTTCTCTTTTTTGTGGTTAGTCTGGCTAAAAGCTGGTCAATTTTGTTTATCTTTTCAAAAAAAACACCTAAGTTTTTGTTTCATTGGTTTTTTAATGGTTTTCTTCATTTCAAATGCATTTATTTATTATCATGATTATTTCTTTTCTTCTACTAATTTTGAATTTGGTTTGCTCTTGCTTTTCTAGTTCTATAAGTTGCATCATTAGATTATTTAAAAATTTTCCAATTTTTTGGTGTAGGCATCTATAGCTGTAAACTTCCATTTTTAGAACTGCTTTTGCTGTATCCCATAGGTTTTGGCATGTTGTGTTTCCTTTATCATTTGTTTTAAAAAATTCTTCACTTTCCACCTTAATTTCTTCATTGACCCACTGGTCATTCAGGAGCATATTGTTTAATTTTCATGTATTTATATAGCTTCAAAAATTCCTCTTATTATTGGTTTGTAGTTTTATTTCATTGTGGGCAGAGAAGATCCTTGATATTATTTCATTTTTTTTATGTTTTCAGACTTGTTTTGTGACCTAACATATGGTCTATCCTTGAGAATGATCCATGTGCTGAGGAAAAGAAAGTGTATTTTGCAACAGTTGGATAAATGTTCTGTAAATATCTACTAGATTCATTTCGTCTATAGTGGAGATTAAGTCAAATGTTTCTTTATTGATTTTCTGTCTGGAAGTTCTGTCCAATGCTGAAAGTGTGGTGTTGAAGTCTCCTGCTATTATTATATTAGGGCCTATCTCTCTCTTAAGGTCTATCCATATTTGTCTTTTATATCCGAGTGCTCTCATGTTGGGTGCATATATAATTTTAATTGTTATAACCTCTTGATGAATTGACCCCTTTACCATTATAAAGTGACCTCCTTTGTCTCATCTTATAATTTTTTTCTTAAAATCTATTTGGTCTGATATATGTATAAATACTTTTGCTTTTTTTGAATTCCATTGGCATGGAATATGTTTTTTCATCCCTTTATTTTCAGGTTATGTGTGTCTTTATGGGTGACATGTGTTTCTTGTAGGCAACAGATCATTGGGTCTTGTTTTTTCATTTATTCAGCCACCCTATGTCTTTTGATTAGAGTTTAGTCTATTTGGAGTCAATGTTATAATTGATAAGGACTTACTCTTGCCATTTTGTTAATTGTTTTCTCTGTGTGTGTGTGTGTGTGTGTGTGTGTGTGTGTGTGTGTATGTGTGTGGTCTACTCATTCTTCTTTCTTTCCTTGCTGTCTTCTTTTTAGTGAAGGTGATATTCTTTGGTGGTATACTTTAGTTTCTTGCTTTTTATTTTTTGTGTATCCATTGTGTATTTTATTTTTTGTGTATCCATTGTGTGTTTCTTGGTTTGAGGTGTCTATCTTTTTTTAAAAATTAGAAAAAAAATTCTTTATTTCTTCTAAAAAAAACCCCAAACAAACAAAAAAGGGATACATGTGCAGAATGTGCAGGTTTGTTACATAGCTTTATGTGTGCCATGGTGGTTTGCTGCACCTATTGACCCGTCCTTTAAGTTCCCTCTCCTCACCCCCAACCCCTAACAGGCCCTGGTGTGTGTCATTCCCTTCTCTGTGTCCATGAAAAACACTATGTTATAACCCATTTTTAAAAGCTGATAACAACACCATTTGCATAAACAAACAAAGAAGCAGAGAGAAAACTAATACTCTCCACCTTTACTTTGTCCCCCTGCTTTTTAACTTTTTGTGGCTTCTCCTTATATCTTATTGTACTATGTCTTGAAAATCTGTTGTAATTATTATTTTTGGTTGGTTCATTGTTTCACCTTTCTACTTAAGATAGGAGTAGTTTACATACCACAGCTGCAATGTTATAACATCTGTGTTTTTCTGTATACTTACCAGTGAGTTTGGCACCTTCAGATAATCTCTTATTCCTCATTAACATTCTTTTCTTTTGTTTTGAAGTATGCCCTTCACCATTTCTCAAGGGACAGGTCTGGTGTTGATGAAATATCTCAGCTTTTGTTTGTCTGGGAAAGTCTTTTTTATTTGTTCTCCATGTTTGAAGGATATTTTCACGTGATGTGCAAGTCTAGGTTAAAAGTTTTTCTTCTTCACCACTTTAAATATGTCATGCCACTCTCCCCCGGCCTGTAAGGTTTCCACTGAAAATTCTGTTGCCAGATGTATTGGAGCTCCATTGTATGTTCTTTTCTTCCTCTTTTCTTGCTGCTTTTAGGATCCTTTATCTTTGACCTTTGGGAGTTTGATTATTAAATGCCTTGAGGTAGTCTTCTTTGGGTTAAATCTGCTTGGTGTTTTATAACCTTCTTGTACTTGGATATTGCTATCTTCCTCTGGGTTTGAGAAGTTTTCTGCTGTGAATTTTCTACCCTTATCTCTTTCTCTTTTGCTTCTTTAAGGCCAATAACTACTAGACTTGCCCTTTTGTGGCTTTCTAGTTCCTGTAGGTGTGCTTTATTGCTCTGTATTCTTTTTTCTGTTATCTCCTCTGACTTTTTATTTTCAAATAGCCTGTCTTTAAGCTCACTACTTCTATCTTCTGCTTGATCATTCTGCTATTAAAAGACTCTGATGTATTCTTCAATATGCCAATTGTATTTTTCAGCTTGAGAATTTCTGCTTGATTCTTTTTAATTATTTCAATCTCCTGTTAAATTTATCTGATAGAATTCTGAATTTCTTCTCTGTGTTATCTTGAATTTCTTTGAGTTTTGTTAACACAGCTATTTTGAATTCTCTGCACAAAAGGGCATATATCTCTGTTTCTCCAGGGTTGGTCCCTTATGCCTTAATTAGTTTATCTGGTGAGAAAATGTTTTCCTGGATCATTTTAATACTTGTAGACATTCATCTGTGTCTGGGCTTGAAGAGTTAGGTATTTATTGTTGTTTTCTCAGTCTCGGCTTGTTTGTTCCCATCCTGCTTGGGAAGGCTTTCCAGCTATTCTAAAGGACTTGGGTGTTGTGACTGAAGCTGTTATCTCCTTGAGGGGTTATTCCAAGCCCAGTGACAATGTGGTTCTTCCAGACTCATAGAAGTACTGCTTTAATGGTCTTGAACAAGATCTGAGAGAATTCTCTGGATTACCAGTTAGAGACTCTTGTTCTCTTCCCTTACTTTCTACCAAACAAATGAAGTCTCTCTCTCTTTTCTGATCCACCTGCAGCTGGCGGTTGAGTGACACAAGCACCACTGTGGCCGCCACCTCTAGGACTGTGCTGAGTCAGACCTGATGCCAGCACACCACTGGGTCTCACCCAACGCCATCTGTAACTACTCCCTGGCTACCACTTATGTTTGCTCAAGGCTCTGGTGCTCTATAATCAGCAGGTGGCAAAGCCCAGGCCTGTGTCCTTCTCTTCAGGGCAGTGAGATTCCTCAGGCTCTGGGTGGGTCCAGAGATGCCATCTGGGAGCCAGGGGAGAGTCAAAAACCTTAGATGACTACCTGGTGTTCTATTGGACTGCAGCTGACCTGGTACTCTAGCCACAAAATGCAGTCTTTCTCACTCTTCCCTCCCCTTTCCAAAGGCAGAGGAGCCTCACTCCATGGCCGCCACCACTACAGTCCCAAGGGGAGTGCTGTCAGACTATCACCAATGTTCCCTTAAGGCCCAAGGGCTCTTAAGTCAGCTTGTGGTGAATGCTACCTGGCCTGGAACTCACCCTTCAGGGACTTGGGCTCCCCTTTGGCCCAGGGTATGTCCAGAAATGCCATTCCAGAACCATGTCCTGGAATCAGGGACCCCAAGAATCCACTAGGTATTCCTCCCTGCTGTGACTGAACTGATATCTGAAGTCAGCATGTCTCAGAGTCTCATTTGAGGCCCTCAATGTAGCACCTGGGTATTGCTGCTGGTTATTCAGGGCCCAAGGGCTCTTCAGTTAACAGGTGATGAAGCCTGCCAAGACTAGATCTTTCCCTTCAAGGCAGCACATTACCTTCTGTCCCAGGGTGTGTGCAGAAATGTCACCTATAAGCTAGGAACTGGGAAGAAAGCCTCGTGACTCTGACCAGTGCCCGATCCTACTGTGGCTGAGCTGGTATCCAAGATGCAAGACAAAATCCTCCCCACTCTTCCCTCTGCTCTCTTCAAGCAAAAAAAAGTGGTCCCTTTTGGAGCCATGAGCTATGCACCCTGGCGTTAGGGGAGGGGGGATGCCAGCAGTCTCTTGGCTGCCCTTGCTAATGTCTCAGAAGGTCATAGACCCTCCCAGTCCACTGTCTCTGGGCCCAGTTCATCACTAGGATTCGCCTAGGAGTTGCTGTCCTTGTGGCCTAGACTGCCTTTCAAGTTTATTTGAGACTCCAAAGCACATTAGCCTGTGATGGGATCACAAATTCCAACCACTGAGATTGGCGATTCCCTTCTGGCTAAGGTTGGTTTAAATGCTCCCTCCATGAGCTGGTATCAGCTGAGTTTGGTCTGGTTTTTGTTTCTGCTATAACAGGCCAGTGCTGAGTTCAGTGCCTTACAATTGCTGAGTTCTTCTGCTCTGAACGCACAAAAATGCTCTCTGCACCATGTTGCCACTGCTGGAGGATGGGAGAGGGGTGGCATTGGTGATTCAAGACTATTTTTCCTGCCACTTCACTGCCTCTTTCAGCCAAATGTGCTTAAAACCAGGTACCGTGAATGCTCACCTGATTTTTGGTTCCTTTGAAGGTGTTTTTTGGGTGCAAATAGTTGTTAAACTCGTGTGTTTGCAGGGGGAATGATCAGTGGAGTCTTCTATTCTGCCATCTTACTCTGCCTATTTTAGTATTTGTTGTACGAGTTTTTCAATTCTTTTTGGGTCATTATTAAAACTTGTATTTTGTTAGAAGATCATCAATTTTTTCTCTAGGTTTTCAAATTTGTTGTGCTGGAATTGTGTATTAAATTCTCTTTAGAAAAGAATTGTAATATGTTAAACTTTTATGTATCTGTAATGATGTTTCACTTATGACTCTAATTTGTATTTTTACTCTCTTTTCTTTATCTCATGAGACCATTAACTATTTTATTGATTTTTAAAAAAGGTTTATCTTTGTGTATTATATATAATATAGTTTTTGCTTTCCAATTCACTACTTCAGCTTTATCTTTATTAAACATTCCTACCTTTTAGGCTTATCATATCATTCTTTTCCAAATATTTTAAATGAGAAATAATCATATATTTTCATAATTCTTTTTTAATATCTATGACATTTAAGCCTGTATATTTTCTTCTAAGTAAAGAGGCTTCTGCATCCCATATGTTCTAATTAAAGAAGTGCTTTCTTTTTAGTTCATTGGAGATAGGTTTTAATTTCAATTTTGATTGCCTCTATGATGTAAGTGTCATTTAAGGTTGTATTTTCTAGTTTCCATGTAGTGAAGATGTTTTTTGGTTTTTTGGGGCTTTTTTTTTGGTCAACTTTTTATAATTTCTTTCTAGTTTGTTGGATTATGACAGAAAATGTAGCTTGAATGTAGAACCTTTTGAATGTGTTAAGTTTTGATTTTTGGATGAATACATGATTTTTAAAAATGTTCAATGGGCAAGTGAAAAAAGTGTCTATTTGGGGAAGACAAGGTTCTGTGAATGTTTCACACAGTTAAATTCAACATAATTTAGTAGTTTACCTTTATCCATGGTGGTGAATACATTCCAAAAACCCCAGAAAGCACAGGTACCTATATACAGTGTGTACCCAAACCTGTATATACTATGATTTTTCCTATACATATGTACATATGATAAACTTGCATGTTTTCACTTAAAGAAACACTTTATGGCTTTTCTTTGGCATATCAAAATTGCTGGCATCACTACGCTTGCACTTTGGGACCACTATTAAGTAAAGTAATAGTTACTTGAACACAAGCACTGCAAAAGTCCATCTGATAATCCAGACGTCTACTAAGTGACTATCAGGAGGGTAGTGTATACGGTTTGGATATGCTGGACAAAGGGACAATTCACATTCCAGGCTGGATGGAGTAGGACAATACAGGATTCTATCATGCTACTCAGAATTGCATGTAATTTAAAACTTATGAATTGTTTGTTTCTGGAATTTTCCACTTAATATTTTCAGACCATGGTTGACTGTGGGTTACTGAAGGCAAAATCATGGATAAGAGGGAACTACTGTATTATATTCTATTGTTAACATATATTTGCCTGATTCAATATGTCCACCTCTGAAAGAGATATATTGATCTCTCTTACCATAATCAAACTTTTAATCAATTTCTTCTTTAATCAATCATATCTTCAATCAATTTATAGCAAACTTTTGCATAATAAATTTGTCTTTTCTGATGTAAAGAACTATATGACTAATATCTTTTCTGTAAATTCCATTTTTTATTTTAATAAATCATGCCCTTTACTATGCTTAATGCTTTTATATTTAAAGGCTACTTTCTATTGTTTTAATAATGTTACTGTTACTTATTGTGGCATTGTCCTGATAGCCTCTTTCCCAGTTTTAAAATTTTCATTATTTCATTATTACTTTAAGAATGTTTTCTGTAGAAGGCACGCTCGTCAGATTTTTTTGAAAAAAATTACAGTCCATGAGTCTCAGTCTTTTAATGCAAAAAGTCACTTCATTCACACTTAATTCAGTGACTGATATGTTTGATTTCATTGTAATCATCTTTATTTTTAAAATTTATTTTATGTTATTTTCTCTTTTTTAGTTTCCTCATTTTTCCTGGTTTGAAAAAGTTAATATAAATTTTGGGATCTTCAACGCTTAGGCTCTGTTTAAAGTCATCAGACAGGATGAGATGACCCAGAAGTGAGGGAGGGTGATAAGAGATCTGAGGACTGAGTCCTCAGGTTCTTCAATATTTAAAGGTCTTAAAAATTATAGAGAATTAACCAAGAAGACTATAAGCAATAGTCATTGATGTAAGAGGCTTTTCAAAAGAGAGACTATTGCCCAGGAGACCAAGTAAAGTGTTTCAAGAAGAAGAGAGTGATAATTATGTTAAAATGGTGCTAATAGGTCAAAAAAGATTAGGACTGAAAATTGGATTTAACAATATGGTAACCATTCATGACTTTGACACATTTTGGTGGAGTAGTGGGGGCAAAATCCTAATGATTTAAATTGTTGAAGAGAATGTTAGAGGGACTTTTGATTACAGAGCTGTGAAGATTTTGGTGGCAAATTATAAGTATAAAACTGGACAAAATAGTCAAAGGCAAACATCTCAGGGCACTGGAAATTGAGCAAAGGCTAACAACAAATTGAGAAATGTTTATTCTTGAAAAACTGCAAGAGCTTTTAGTAAGAACAGTGAAGATATTATGGTATCCTTGCCTGAGGAAGTTCTCATTATCCTCACTTCCCCACCAATTTCTGTGGTCAGCAAGAATGATATATATTTTACCATTTGGTGACTTCTCATGAAGAACAGAAAATTTGTTGTCAGAAAGCAGGACTTAATTGTGAGTGGTAAAAATTCAATGGCTTTTCTGACTAAAAATTGTGTACTAGGTTAGGAAAAGTGAAAGAAACCCAGTTTTGCTAACTGAGGTCACTGTCCCAGTTAAGGTGAGCAACAGACAAGTCAGAAATTTAATAGAAAGATATTGGCAATAAGAAAGGGATAGAAGGGCAAATGTAGCTCTCCATATATCCCTGGTTGAAAGAAAAAGTACACATGATCGGGAAAGTCTCAAGAGGGCCCACCAAAAAATGAAAGTCAAAGGAGACTTGATAATTGACTATAAATTTGAATACACTACTGAACCCACAAACAGATTGATTAGCATTGGGTAGGTGTCTTTCAGGCTCAAGATGTTTGAAAAAAACTTCCGCCCACTAAGTTACGCAGGTAAAGGTGTGACTTTTGGAAGCTATACACTAAATAGAAAGCTATACACACACACACACACACACAAAAAAAAAAAAAAAAAAAAAATCAGAGACATTAATGGCTGCAGTCAGGCAGATAGAGTTTATAGTTGAAGTCCCGGCAAGTTACTAAAAGAAAACAAATCATCTGAGAAAAAAATTTAAAAAGAATATAAAGTTGCCACATTATTTAAATATCCAATTGCAAAATACAATCATTTCTTCCCAATAGCCCCCAAAAGTCTTAACTCAGTCCAACATCAACTCAAAAGTCCAAAGTCCAAAGTCTCATCTGAGACTTGAGGCAAGTTTCTTACAGCTCTGAGCCTGTAAAATTGAAAACACGTTATTTATTTCTAAGATAGAATGGTGGTACAGGCAGTGAGTAAATATTCCTATTCCAAAGGGAGAAATTGGGCAAAAGAAAGGGGTAATAGGCCCTATGCAAGTCTAAAACCCAGCAGGGCAGACATTAAACCTCAAAGTTCTAAAATAATCCTTGACTCCGTGTACCTCACCCTGGGCACACTGGTACAAGAAGTGGGCCCTGGCCGGGTGCGGTGGCTCATGCCTGTAATCCCAGCACTTTGGGAGGCTGAGGTAGGCGGAGTGCCTGAGGTCAGGAGTTCAAGACCAGCCTGGCTAACAAGGTGAAATCCCATCTCTACTAAAAATACAAAAATTAGCCAGGTGTGGTGGTGCACACTTGTAGTCCCAGCAACTCGGGAGGCTGAGGCAGTAGGATCGCTTGAACCCAGGAGGCAGAAGTTGCAGTGAGCCGAGATCACGCCACTGCATTCCAGCCTGGGAGATAGAGCAAGACTCCATCTCAAAAAAAATATATAAGAAGTGGGCCCCAAGCCTCGGGCAGCCTTGCCCCGTGGCTTTGCTTATTCAAATGCTAATCTCATCCAGAAACACCCTAATAAACACACCTAGAAATAGGTTTTAATCCGGGCACTCCATGATCCAGTCAAGTAATCAGATAAAGTAAACCATCATGGAATGCCTAAAGGAAATAAAACGAAAGGAAAGGACACTAGACAGTATCTCCAATTTATATGAAGAAATACAGGCTGGATGCAGTGGCTCATACCTGTAATCCCAGCACTTTGGGAGGCCAAGGCAGTAGGATCACTTGAAGCCAGGAGTTCAAGGCCAGCCTGGGCAACAAGGTGAGACTCGATCTCTACAAAAAATTTAAAAGTTAGCCTGGTCTGGTGGCACACACCTGTGGTCACAGCTACTAGGGAGGCTGAGATGAGAGCATCACTTGATCCTAAGGGGTCAAGGCTGCAGTGAGTCATGATGGCACTACTGCAATCCAGCCTGGGTAACAGAACAAGTCCCTGTCTCTAAAAAATTAAAAGAAAAAGAAAAGGTTTTGGTTTTCCAAGCTTGGATTTCCTTTCCTATATCACAGCCCACTAAGTGTGCAGGCTTCACTCATCGCTTATTTCATTGCCCTGTGAGAACCATGGTTTAGGCAGCTGGTGCAAGAAAATGATGATAATCTGGCTACTGCCATTGCTGTGGAAATAAACCTTCCTTATGTCTGACCAGAAACCTCAGATCCTCTGCCATGAGAAACTATGGCAAATTAACCTGTTAATTTGCAAATAGCATGACATCTCATGCTCTTCACAGTTTTTAACAGTGTTAATCAGATAATAAGGAAGATATTATCTTACAGGATATAAACGAAGTCTACAATGTATGGTAAGTATAAGTAATGAGTGAGCATGTAGCTGTGAGATGTAGGCAGAATTCTTAAGATGTGTTAATGATAGGGAATAAGTTTGTAAGATGTTACAGATAAGTAGACCTGTTAAAGACAAAATAAATGGATATATGATGGATCAAACAAGAGTGTTACTTTCAGGTAGAAAGGAATGGAAAGAGCACATCATAAGATGCCATCGTACCCCACTTGGATTAACAACTATGCCACCCCCAAATTGGCCATTCATTGGTAACACCAAGTATACTTTCTTTCTGGTCCCACAAGTGATGTGCTTAAGAAGAAAAGATAACGTTATAGTTGTTTATCAAGTTAATTGGTGACCTACAGCCATTGACCAAGCACACTTACTTCTGCATCTTTCCTATTTAAATAAAGCCAGAAATGCCTTCTGTTTGTTCCTCAGAATCTCCCCCTTTACTCAAACCTCATCTCTGGTCCTCATAACTGCACCGTCAGTGGGGTAAGTTGATGCAACCGAGAGACAGGACATACAAACATTGTGTAACCCAGGATTTGGGTAGTGTGTTCTGTCCACCCACTTGCATCCTACCCAAAGTGTGTTGACATGTCAGATTTCTTTCCCTGTTGCTTCTTTTGTGTGTTTTAAATTGATTTACTAGATCATTTGATGTAAAAAATTGTAATTTTCCTGTAAGCTTTTCTGTTCTGTGATCTCTTGGAGAGTTTGCCTGGTGTTGTGCTTGGTAGACAGCACTGCATCACGGTAATTTCTTACATAAGGATAGTGGGAGCCGGTGAAAATTATCTTCTGATTACTTCAATTTTGCTAATTTATTAGGATGTAGGTGATCAGCTGAGAGTGAAGAAAAGGAGGAGATGGAATTTTGAGAAAAGTGGAAAAATGAAATAATCATCTGGGAGAAACATAAACTAATTTGATAGGGAAATGTAGTCGAATTATTGGGAAGCAGTAGGGACCCACTTGAGGTTAGTGGTCATGAATTTAAGTGAAACCTGTTACCACAGTCTTGTGTTTTCCTCTGACCACATTCAAACTGTATAGGTACAAGGAGAAAGTTGGTAGAGTTGTATTTATTCAAGATTGAGGTTTTTCCCTGAGGGTGTGATAAGGAATGAGGGTGGCAATGGACTGAGTATATAAGCTCCATGAAGGAAGAACTGTTTCTCAATGCTTAGAACAGTGACACAGTAAATATTTAATAAATATTTGCTGAATAAATGGAAACCTGATAGATTTTTCTCTTTATCCTCAAAGCTCAGTAATTTTACAAGTATGTCTTGTCTCACCAATTCTGGCTGGAATTTGGTGATCCCTTTTAGTCTGAGCTTAGCTACTTCTTCAGCTCAGGGAAATTTTCTTCTACTAATTTGCTTGATTGTTGTCTCTCTTCCATCTGTTCTTGACATCCTTCTGGAACTCTTCTTTGCATTTTAAATGTCCTAAGTCTATCTTCTAGGGCTCTTACCCTTTCCCTCATAATTTCTTTCACTTCATATTTCTGCTTTGAGTTGGAAGTATTTGTTCTTTTGATTTTCCAGTTTCCTAGTTTGGGTCTCAATAAACATTGTCCTCTACTTAAATGTGTCTACTTAGCTGTTTTGTTGACAAATTACCCAATGGGTGTTTGTTTTGTTTTGTTTTCATGGGCATGTGCTCTACTTGTTCTGAGTGGTTTCTCTCCCTGATTTCCGGGTCCTTTCAACCTTTCAATTTATTGTTTTCCTTTGTCATCCACTGTCAGCTGATTAGGACCAAGACACATTTGTTGGAGTTCTCTATGTGATGGGAGTCCCACAAGTGTTAAAAGGTGACATGGTGTCTGTCATTTCGAGCTAATGGTTTTAAAGCAGGCAGATTGTCAGTAGTGCACATTTTTGGTCTCCTTGTACATTCCCGGCCTGGCCTCAGAGTCTGGGAAGACTCACCTACTATTTTAGCTGTTTCCTGGCCTCTTACAAACCAGGGGGATCAGCCACACTCAAACAAGGGGTCAACTTTTGTCTCTTTTTCCCTGCCCCAACCAGAAGGCTCACAGATCTCTGTAGGCCAAGCTCTGTCTAGAGTCCACTGCTGACTGATCCTCTCATTTCTGATGCTATTCTTCAGAAATCTTTTTAAAAAGTATTTTACTCTCATAACCTTGTTAATGACCCCAAGAAAGAATCCTATATTTTCAAAAACTTCTTGGAGTAATCTTACTCTGCTTTGACTAGTGTCTTTAGGTCTATTGAACACTTAGATGTTCCACTTTTAATGTATAGTTCTACCTCACTTAAAGCCAGACCAATTTGTGAAGATATGGAGTAATGTTAAAGACAAATTTGGGAGTAACTCTGCTTCATCAAACTTCTCAAAACAGTGTTGCCTCAATTAAGCTCCTATTTTTTTCTCTGAAAGCAATTTCATTTGAGGAAATTTAAGTTATGTATACATTTTGAGGAACATATCATCTACTGAAAGTCAGAAATTTCAATGTAATTTTGCACCTGTTAATGAGTTTACTAATTATTCTCGAGCCACAGAATAAAAATGTATTGTGTATCTAGTCCATAAAATATTAACATTAGGAAATGACTTCTCAATCTTTTTTATCCTCTCCACAGTGCTTAATACTGTGTTTTTGTACAATGAAGATTTTCAATAAATGTTTAATTACCTGGATGGAGGTTAAGTTCAAATTGTAGCAATTATCCGGATAATGTTACAAATGCAAAACATTATAAAATGAATTGTAACTATACTACGATGGTCACAAAGTTTCTCCATTCTTTCAATCCCTGGCCTGATTAAGAGTTTGTTGTTGGAAGTAAGAAAAAAGTATGAGTAGAAAATTGGTGACATCTGGAAATGTCAGCTGAAGCATACATTTCTCACCATTCTTACCTAGTGATTCTACTTTTCTTGTGTCTTTCTTCTTCAATGTATTCTTTACCCCATATATTTTCCTGGGGTCTTTGTAATCTTTTTCTAAAAATCCAAATAGTCATATGCATATTCACTAGCAAATCAAAAACAGACCAATTATTGCATTCATTAAATCACTACAAGGGAAGTATATGTTTTATTGGTCTCTCTATTATTGGAGAATTTTAAATAGTGTCGATTTGTCTTAACCTCTTTAGTTAGGGGTGATTGCTATTTTACCTTTGAATAAGAAATAATAAAATGTAATAATTTGGAGAAAAATATGTTTAGTTCTTACAGGTGTTGAGGGGGAAATTCTTAGTCCAGAAGCAAATTTATATGCAGAATTGAAATACGTCATATGTACTGTGTTTCAGCAGAGTAAAAATAAAAATCCACATTAAAAGAAGGAAATTCTATCATACGCCACAACATGTATGAACCTGAAGGATATTATGCTAACTAAAATAAGCTTGATACAGAAAGATAAATCTCGTATGATCTCACTTATATGAGGTATGTAAAGTAGTGAAACTCATAGAAACAGAAAGTAGAATGGTGATTGCCAGTAGCTGAGGGGAGGGAGAAATGGGGAATTGGTGTTCGCTGAATATAGAGTTTGAGTCATGCAAGATGAATAGGTTCTAGAGATCTGCTATACAACCTGTGCTTATAGCTAACATTACTCTATTGTATACTGTAAAGTTTGTTGAGAGGGCAGATCTCGTTTTCCGCCTGCCCCCCAAACTTAAAAAACAATCTATATTAATTTCAGTCCTCTTCTCCTTTCATGGCCTCTGGTCTAAACACCTTCATTTTTAAAATAGAAATTTGGCATCTACTAACTCTACAATGTGTACTAAGTCATTTTGATATTTTAAAAATTGTATTTCTTCTGTTTAGTTACAGCAAGAGAAATAAAATCTGAAAGTAGCTGCTGAACCTCCACATAATGTTTGAGATCAAAAATTCATTGATAATCCATGTTTGTGATTCCAGGGCCTTTTACTGTCTCTAAGAGGTGGAAACAAACGCCAAGCAGCCAATTTGTTTCTAATGGTATTTGCCTCATTATAGTAGGGTTTGAGGAAGGTTTGTTTTTCAAATTCTTCCTACGTATGTTTCACTGAGATTGGAATGGCTTTAAAAATGTGAAGCAAGCTGTTAGGTGACTCATTGTCCTTCATGTTAAAAGATAATACTGCTAAAATAGTTTCTTCCTGCAACATGAGTTACTGGTAAGCACATTACAAAGTCTGTGTTCCTTTCTTAACTGATCTCTCTATGTGTCCTTTGCTCAATACCTACAGTTGCTTTAAGAACTTGTCACTGATAGTCGCTAGAGTTGTGCTTTATAGGAGTCTGAACTTCTAGCTCAGTTTGAGACACTCTATTTCTAATTGTGTATCTGTGTGTTTTCTGTCTATGTTGGCTGCTTTGTTAAAGTTCATAACTCCTAATGTAGTATTCATTCAAAAATGTGTTTTCTTGATTCTCAGAAACTGTATGTGGGCATGAGGAAAGGATGAAATACTCTGAATCAGTGAATGGCTTGCCCTTTACCAGACTCAGCTTGCTCTGTCCTGTTTTCATTGTTGTTTGCTTTGTTTTGTTTTTTTCTTTAGTGAATACAGTATTGAGTTCACATGACTGTTCTTCCCCACATGTTGCCCTTTGGTCAGATGTCTTCATATTATTTATTAGCTGAGTCTGCACTCATATTCCCTCAGGAGGACAATCTGTTTGTGGAGATATATGTGTGTCAGGTTGCCCAGATAAAAGGGAATGTCATTGGCCCTGAAAGCCTGCTGATTTGTGTTTGTTTTTCTAAAGTCAGATAGCATGAGCAGAGTGTTCTTCTCTATTGACCCCCTGCTGGTGTCACTATTTAGAGATTAATTCAACAGCCAAAATACGTGAGTTCACGGAGTCCTTTGAAACGTGACTTTCCTGTTCCCTGAAAAAATATATATATCTTATTGAATTCTCTTGCATACCAAATATTATTAAAGATAATGTGACCTTACCTCCAAGCATTCTTGCAAACAGAAAACAAAAAAAACCTAACTATCCTTTCCTCAGGGAAAGTGGTATAATAACAGACACAAATTACTATGCTTTCAGAACAAAGCTGTAGCTTGGCAGAGTGTTATTAAAGTGAAAGAAAGATGGTAGAAATGGAAAGGAAATAAAACAATATCTAACACCAATGCAAACCCAGCTCAACAAAGTGTAAAACACAAAGAGATGCAAATCATGGTGCTGAAATCAACCATGGAGGCATTGGCCTCGATAATTGGTACTCTTGCTATTTGATACTCTCAGTTGCAATTTAAACAAATTGGTGTGCTGAATAAGTTGAATGCAACGTAAGACCTTCTTGACCACCACTCAGAATTGTGATTTATTTTCCTTCTCAGCCAAAATCAAAGAGATTAACCATGTCACAGACTAGCTCTCTAATATTAATGACTTACAGTTATTGAACTCTTTCATGTGCTTCTTACATGCTTTGCCACAATTATAATCATAATTGTATTTATGTAAGTAATTATGATTATCATTTAAAAATTAATATTTAATGTTCACCATAGCTTTATGAGGTAGATTTATTATTATCATCATTTTATACAAGAAAAAGATAAGACTGAGTAGCTGAAGAACTTGCCTAATGTCATAAAACTAGTAAAGGGAGAAGTCTGAATTTGAAAGCAGCATTGACTCCAAGGCCCACATGCTGAACTGCTACCTAGTACTGCTTCTCTGCCCCTTTTTATCATCACCAATAATCTCTTTTTTAAGTAAGACAAAACATATCCAGATTTGTATCCACCTCTCTGCTCCACGGTGGGCCTATAATTATTTTGTACAGAGTGGAACAGTCAAGCTTTTGTTGGATATCTGAGGCAAAATGGAAAAATAGATTAGGATAAAGGCATAGAAGTGATGTCCTAATCACGTTCATGGTCTGTTTGGAATAAGGAGTTTGAAATAAGTCCAGACAGAGGATTAATTCCAGAAGAGAAGATCTAGAGTGAACAGGGGCAACGGGGTGGTCAGGTATTTTTCATATCACACAGATATTAAAGATCAGAGTGAACAACAAGTTTGGGACCTAGAGAAAGGACTTAGGCATCAATTATGAAGTCAGAAACCCAGACGAACACCCTGCACCACAAAAGATCAGGATTAAAGCAAAGGATCTGAACGCTATATATGAGGTAATAACAGCATTAAGGATCTTGATATGGAACCAACCTTCTGTCTCATGTTTGGAGCTTGCAGAGGCTTCCTGTTAAAATAGCCAAGCACTAAGTTTGGTTAGTCAGGGAATGCAAATGAAGAGATCCATCATTTTTTGTCAAGACTGGAAAATAAGAAGTCTGAAACTTTCCGTCTCCTTAAAAAAATCTGCTTTCAGTGAAAGAGCCGATATCAGTCTTTTTAGTGTGAATAAGGTAAGCTATGTGTTGTCTCTCCTGGGAGATTTTACATTTTCAGCCTTGTCTTCCAATGTAGAACGAAAATCTTAATCCTGGTTTATAGGGGTTTCCAGCTCAAGCCTCAATATGGAAGTAGATTTACAGAAAGGAGCAGAAGTTCTTCCCCATACTCTTGATACCAAACTACTTTGCTTATGCTTTGGAATTGCCCTGCCAATCTTGATCATTTAGTCAGTGAGAATGCATGAAAGACTTACATATTTTGGTGACTTATTTCATTTCTATTTGTAAGTCTTTGTGCTTCTATCTATAATAATCAGTGTAGCTATTTTAAAAATTAGAAGACAGTAAAACGAAGTTGACCTTTTTAGTTAATGCAGCTTAATAGAGCCCAGCAGTTTCATTGGTAAGTTTCCTGTCTTAGCTGGTGTTCATAATTAAGGTGATTCAGAATTGTTAGATAACTGCAATTTTCTTATCTGTTGTAATTCTTAGAAGTCAGTGGAAGAGAAACAAGGAGAAATTGAAGTTTATACTTGTGTGGTGAAATTGCAAGAGCACTACTCTCAGTTGGTAATTCATCCCCTGAACCTGAAAGAGGCTGTATTCAGGGATAAAACAGACATGTTCTCTCATCTGTCTATCTTTAGGAATGATGAGGTCAGTGTGAATGAGTAAGAAGATAGACACAACCAGTTAAGACGTTCTATACTGTTCTAGAATACTGTAGAATACTGGGTAATGTACTGTAAGGGTTTACATCCAGATGGAGTTAAATGACTCAAGGGGACAGAATATGCTAGTAGCTATGTTAACTTGTTTCTGTACTTGACTGATATACTTAGAAAAATCAACATGTACTCAAAACCAGGGCTTAAATGAAATACCCAAATATTTTTATGTGAGTTTTGCTTTCTCACTGTGTAAACTCGGGCCAGCTACTTAAGCTCAAGAAATTTCAGTTTCATCCTTATAAAATGGTGATAATAACCTAGTTCTTCATTAGGTTATTGTGAGAAATAAATGAGATAATATACATAAATCACTCAACACAGAGTCTGGCACATAGCAGACATTAAATAATAGAATCTATTATTATCCCTTTATGTTGTTAAAGCAACCCTGTTTAGTAGGAAGAGAAGCTATTGATAATCATATAACAAATATAGAAAATGAGTCTTAGGGGTTAAACTATTTGTTCCAAGTTGTTAGTAGAACAATTAGGTCCATAATTCATGAATGTGTATTATTCTTACTTTCAGAGTTTAACTCTTGATGTATTTAATTCTATTCTTGATTTACAAATTTTAAATGTATTTTATTTGGAATTTAATTCTCCTATGTGTGTATGATTTATCTTTGCACAGAATTAGAATAGGATGCCAAAAAGTGAGGACATAGAGTAGTGCCAAGAAATACTAGAATCACAGTAGCTCCAGGGGATGGCCGGGTTCAGGGAAGAAGTAACTTGGATTTCTAGAATATGAAGAATTTGAAGAATTTCAGAAAGTAAACAGTGAACAGAAAGCAAAGGAAAACAGAAACAGAAAGCAAAGGAGCCAGTGAAAAGGCCTAAAGAGGTAAAGCAGGGATCAGAAGCTCAAACGTCTTCAGAGTATGGGCAGGTAGCTGGCTGAAGCCAGTGAATGTAACACAGTAGAAAAGAATCAGGGCTGAGACAAAGTCAAGAGCGTGTCCCAGCTAAATGTATTACAAAGAAAAAAAGAAACACCTCTGAAGATCAAACAATCCAAGTCTGTGGGCTAATTTCAAACCTTAAGCTAATGATGCCTGGAATAAATGACAGGGCAAGGTGTCAGAGGAAATGGGATGAGATGGGATCAAAAGCGAAGATGAAGTAATTAACAAAGGGAGAAGGAAATATCTTTCTTGGGCTTGCACAGAAGTTGGGAAAATATGGTGCTAGATAATTTGATGTGGAAAGGAGAAAGATGCAGAAGTTCATGCCCCTCAATCTCAGGAAAGTAGAAAAGGAGAGATATCTCTTAGGAGTGCTTTTGAAGACAGAACAGAAACTGCGGGCTTGGGAATTTGAAGAAGATCTGCCTAGAAAAATCACCATAAGAAACACAATAGAAAGTCGCTAAAAAGAAATAAAAGGACTACTCACTAGCAGAGGAGGAACAGCTGAGGTTAGACAGCATGGGTGTGAACTGGTCCCATTCAATACAGTTTCAGGATTTTTTTTCTAAGCATACACCAAAACTGTTTCTATTCTGCTTTTCATCACTCTCATTTATAGTGTGTTTGAGTAATACAAACTCACATTATTAATCTATGCCAAATGTGATTGCACATGAATAACAACAACAAAAATGTCATATTACCTTAAATATTATAAAAATGACTTTTGTTTTCCTTATGCCGCTGGTCCTCACTATGAATGTAGAAGATCAAGACTTAAACAAATAGTACTTTATTTATCTTAATGTTCAATTGATTTTCCCTTAGGAGTAGTGTGTGTGTGTGTGTGTGTGTGTGTGTGTGTGTGTGTGTGGTGTGGGAGAATTATGCATTCCTTTGTGAATGTTCTCTTAGTCCCAGGATATCAGAAAGAGGGACGTGATTCTCAGACAGAGTATGTGGCACAGGTCAATGTGAATGACACCACTGTCAGTTTGACATGCAGAACAATATTTTTGTAGGCCTACATAGTGTTTAAAAATTTCTGCAGTGTTTATCTCATGGACTATGTTTTTGCTACCTTAAGATGTGAGTCTGTTTTAACATTTCTCATAGAGAAGAAAGTGCATTGCAACTTCTTTTTTTTCTAATATGGTATGGGGAAAATTGAGGAGCTGGAAGAAGTATTTCCTGAATATGACATCAGTGAAATCTGCACATTTCTTCCACCAGCAAACAGTTTCAAACCCTAGAAATGTGCTAGGTACGATTAGGCCTTTCAAATGTAATGAGAAATGTTTTGTGACAATTTCTTGCAATACAGTAGCAAGAGGTAGAGAAGAACCACATCAACTGAGGGGCTCTGGGGTTTAGAGACATCCTTCAAAGTGGAGAAAAGGAGGGAATGGAGCTTGTGGATCCCTAGCCATTCTTGAGTGGCCTGTAGATGAAAAGTGGTCTACTGAAGACAACTTCTGCTCAGAGGGCTAGGCAGTGTGCCGCAGGGCAAGAAAGAGGAAGTGAACAGAGAGACCATTATGCCAATGAATTAACTTAGTAAAAGATGGAAGGAAGGGAAGATTTTTATCAGTTTTTATGCTAAGGAACTTTGAGGAGAGAGGAATATGCATACATCACATTTCTGTTAAGGTCTTTGTATGCAGCGTTGTGTAAATCTTCCAGGGCGGCCTGCGCCTTCAAGAATTTATCATTCTTTTGGATGCAACTCCATTCATAGATTGGGCCATGTAAGGCCCTGTCATTTATTAGGGCTACACAGAGGCACAAAAAAGTTATGTCCTTCATCCTAAGGAAACAACAGTAATTGCCGAATACTGAAGTACAAAATTAGATCTTACTGCACAACTTGGAAAGAAGTAGAAATTGATGGGAACTCTTTTTTCGGGTCCATAGCTTTTGCACCCTGAGCCTTCAGATAAAGAACAAAAGCAGAATAACTCAGAGACTCCTCTCCAAGCTTGAAGCAGACCCTAATGCTTATGTTGAAGAGGCAGCTCATATGGCCGGAAGCTGCTTGGCTATCCCCTCACAACTGATGTTCAAATATATTAATGAAAGATACTGGCTGGAGTGTACACTGGTCTAATTATCCTTCTTTTTTTTTTCTGTAGCCATCTAATTACATTCCATTTAAAAGAATGTTTTTTACCATGCCATGTATACCCAGTATTCTTAAAAATAGCTGATACTTTTTGGTAAAATCAGTCAAGAGAAATAAAATTGTTTACTTTCTTATAGCCATCTTTTTTTTCTCCTTTGAACATTATACTTTCAAATAAAAGTATCGGCTGTTAAACCCTGTCAAAATCTAAAGCCCATAGCATTTCTTAATAGCCTCTCAACTTTATCCAGATCTCTGAAGACTGTCTGTAGACTGAAGTTTCTGTGATTCAGGTAGAATTCAGACTTTACAGAAAAACTAACCTTTCAGCTAAAAGCTTGCTAGTGAGTGTCTATGTGTGTGTGTTTTTTTCTTCATGATTTGAGCCAAGTGCAAAGACTTACAAACTTGTTCTGAACAGGGGAAAATATTTCCTTTTTCATTCCTTAAAATTATGCCTTTCCATGTTTTTCACTAAGCAAAACTCTCCCGGTTATCTGCTGGCACTAGAGGGTTAAGTTAAATAGTGAGGCAGGGAGCTGCTATAAGATTTTTATAGCTGTATTAAAATGAGAAATGGTAATGTGGCTAAGCAATTTCTGGTCAGGTGATCTCAAAGATTTATACATGTGGTTTTAAGATATCATTCACCAATCACATCACACTACTAATCTTGCTCATTTAATAAGCATGTCTATTTTGTTACTTTCATTCAGTTGTTGTCTAATGAAATAATGTGGGTAGTTTGAAACAAGCACAGAGAATACAAAATTACTCTTCTATGATGTGATCTGATTTGGATTCAGAGCACCACTGAGAGACTTATGTAAGGTTTCAAAAACAGAAATCTGTGCATACCAAGCTTTAGCCTAGTGGTTTCCAACATTTTTGTAATGGCAACATCCTGCCAGTAATTTGATTTTGTGAACCTTGCACTCCAATCTGACTGGTATCAATAACACACAGTTTAAAACAAAGTAAATTAACCACACATTTCTTTTGAAAAAAATTTTACTTTGTTGGTAACTATTGAGATAATCAGAAGTGGGAAATTCATGTTGAAGTGTTATAGACAATGGTTGAAAATAACCATTATTTATGATGGACAGTATAAACATAATATGCCAACTAACAGAATACTTTTCTTTTTCCATCCCCCAAATTTTAGCGTTTCAATTTTAACTGGTTTGCTCTAATAAATTTGTTTACTTCTAGGACACCAACAAATACGAATTAGAATATAGAAAGTCAGTGATTACTATCACATCTATTTGTAACTTCAGTACTTTCACATTTTCATTAGCAGTCTGAATGCTAAGTACCACATTTCTATATTTCTCTAAAGCCAGTGATTGCAGTGTGCAGCAGAAAAATATTAATTATTATAAAGCCTAATTAAAATTGAAAGCAAAGCTTTAATAAGTATAAATACCATTGTTTATCAAATGTGGAAAACACACATTAATTATTATTTTGCAAACCCTATCCTTAGACTCATATGTGTAACTCCCAGATACAAAGACAATAGCATTATGAGGTGGTGATGTGGGTAGGAATCTAAGCTTTAGGGACATCAGTACGTCTAAAGGCAGTCAGCATATTAGGATTTTTGAGGGGACAAAAGGCTACTTTTTTACACAAGGGTTAGTATTTTGATAATGACAAAAGAAAAATACTGCATGTAAAAACATTTGCTCTCTATCTTTTTTGGTGACTCTAAATACAGTAGGACAGGGAAGTAAAAAGCAGATAGCAAAAAGACAGCTTGTGAAATGCACACAGTTTGTTATCAGATTGCCAGTAGTTGTGAAGAATGGGAAAGTAAAGGGAGGGAAGACAGAAAGAAAAGAAGATGTGAGAAAATAGGATGCTTTCCATTTAAATGATGTTTTAGCATAAATCACACTTCTAAACCAAACTGCAGAAATAATTAATGAAACTAGTATCATTTTTCTTGTTTTATGATATGAGTTTCGTATCAACTGGGTCAAATGGTGCTGTTGAGCAGCAATAGATCATTGTGAAATCTCTCATGGGGCAGGACAGGAAATGCTGAATTGTTTGAGTTGCTCAAGGTGCAACCAATACCTAGATTTCCCGTCTTGTATGTAATGATACAAAATAGATCCTATATGCACAAATTATAAGAACCAGAGGCCAATTAATTCAAGCAAAAATGTAACTATGAATAAATAGGGACCATCAAGAAAGGCTGAGTTGAAGACAATACATTGACCAATAGTCATTGGCATGAAGTGGATCAAATTGTTGAAGTCAATATGTAGTCCAGAGGAGGCCCAAGAGGAAAACAATGATGTCTTTATGTGATTAGTGGTACAGCAGCAAAAAAGAAGAATTTATATGTCGACATTTATGTATTTCTTATAATCTGAAGGCTGCTATATCTTGTTCTCTTCTCTTCTAGCCACTACTTTATAATTGCCAAGCTTCTTGAAAATAAAAAATGTGGGAGTAATGGCTCACATTTGTAATCCCAGCACTGTTGGAACCCAAGGCAGGAGGATCTCTTGAGGCCATGAGTTCGAGACCAGCCTGGGCAACATAGCAAGACCCTGTCTCCTAAACAAATTTTTTTAAACATTAAAAAATTAAAAAATTTGTCTACAATGATTATCTACATTTCTCGAACTCCAAACCCATATCATTCTGATTTCTTCCTACGTTACTATCCTAGATGGCCACAATAATATCCTAACTGCCAAATCTATTGAACATTTATCTGAATCAATCTTTGATATTTGACTTTGTTGAAAACTACCTCCTTCTCAAAGCTCTGTCTTCCAGGACTTCTGTTCAACCTTTCTTCCCATGTTATTCCACTGATGCCTATGTGTAGAGCACCTGGCAAAGTATTTGTCACAGAGAAGATGCTAGGTACGTGTCCTCTCCTCTCATTCCACCTTCCATTTCAACTTTAGTGTCCTATAGGATCTTGTTGTCAGTCCTTTTGTCACTTGCTTTCCTTGAGCAAAATAAGAATTTCACATGAGCATGTCTTTTGTCATTCTCTACACTATTTCTTGTTAAAGAATTTAAATTTCCTGTCTTTACCACATCTCTAGTTTATTAACTTAATTTAAATTATGAACCACTATGACAAATAGATTTAGCTCTGCTTCTTGGAGCCTAGTTAATTACCCTTCATTTATTATCATTTACTTTTTATTTAGGCTCTCAGGTTAAATATGGATAATAACAACACCACCAGTTGGATTTTTCAACATAGTGAAAAATCTAGCAAACTGATTACATTGATTGGTCAAGGTTCTCAAAGTGATCAAGCTAGTAGCCTCCTGCAGAGACACAATCTCAGTATTTTTTTTATTTTTAAAATACCATGGAACTTAATTGTATTTCCTGTATTAAATGACTGTCTCTCATTTTGTGCCTTTTCCCTGTTTAGACAGATGTTATCATTCCCACCCAACTTTTTTTTCAAATTATTGAGTACTTTTTTTTTTAATATTATTTTTTAACTTTTAAGTTCAGGGGTACAAGTGCAGGTTTTTTTTACATAGGTAAACTTGTATCAAGGGGTTTTGTTGTACAGATTATTTTATCACTCAGGTACTAAGCCTAGTAACCATTAGTTATTTTTCCCAATCCTCTCCTTCCTCCCACCCTCCACCCTCAAAAGGCCGCCGTGTGTGTTGTTCTCCTCTATGTGTCCATGCGTTCTCATCATATAGCCCCCACTTACAAATGCAAGCATGTGGTATTTGGTTTTCTGTTCCTGAATTAATTTGCTAAGGGTAATGGCCTCTAGTTCCATCTGTGTCCACGCAAAGGACATGATCTTGTTCCTTTTTCATGGTTGCATAGTATTCCATGTGTATATGTACCACATTTGCTTTATCCAATCTATCATTGATAGGCTAGGTGGATTCCTCGTGCTTGTTATTGTGAATAGTGGTACAATGAACATACACATGCATGTGTCTTTGTAATACAGTGATTTATATTCCTTTGGGTATATATCTAGTAATGGCATTGCTGATGTGAATGATATTTCTGTTTTCAGGTCTTTGAGGAATTGCCACACTGTCTTCCACAATCGTTGAACTAAGCTACACTCCCACCAATAGTGTATAAGCATTCCCTTTTCTCCATAGCTTTGCCAGTATCTGTTATTTTTTGACTTCTTAATCATAGCCATTCTGACTGGTGTGAGATGGTGTCTTATTGTGGTTTTTATTTGCATTTCTATAATGATCAGTGATGTTGAACTATTCTTCATATGTTTTTTGGCCGCATGTATGTCTTCTTTTGAAAAAATGTATGTTCATGTCCTTTGCCCACTTTTTTGTGGGGTTTTTTTTCTTGTCAATTTGTTTAAGTTCCTTATAAATGCTGAATATTAGACCTTTGTCAGATGCATAGTTTGCAAAAATTTTCTCCCATTCTGTAGGTTGTTGCTAGTTTCTTTTTCTGTGCAGAAGCTCTTTAATTTGGTCTCATTTGTCAATTTTTGCTTTTGCTGCAATTGCTTTTGGAGTCTTTATCATGAAATCTTTGTCCATGCCTATGTACTGAATGGTATTGCCTAGGTTGTCTTCCAGGGTTTTTATAGTTTGCATATGGTATAAGAAAGGGGTCCAGTTACAATTTTCTGCATATGACTAGCCAGTTATCCCAGCATTATTTATTGAATAAGGGATCCTTTCCCTATTGCTTGTTTTTGTCAGGTTTGTCAAAGATCAGATAGTTGTAGGTATGTGGTCTGTTTTTGGGGTTCTCTATTCTGTTCTATTTGTCTATTTGTCTGTGTGTCTGTTTTTGTATCAGTACCATGCTGTTTTGGTTACTGTAGCCCTGTAGTATATTTTGAAGTTGGGCAGCATGATGCCTCCAGCTTCCCAACCCAACTTTTTACTTTTCACACCTACTCAGTATGTTTTCAATTCTATTGGGTAAGTGAGTCTTTTGGATGTGGCATATTGTATGAGATTTGGAGTTCAGTAAAATTGACTTAAAACTTCAGTTTCCTCATTTATTAAATGATCCTAACAATGTTATATGGTCTTAAGGGCTGAAGTCATTAACAGCTATCTGTTAGCATCATGTCTTCCACATGGAAAACAACCTCAAAGTTTAATGGTCCTGTATTTTTTGCCTTTGTTCCTCCCACATAGAGGCAATATGCTGTACACTTCTTTTATGTAACATAGAGTCCCAGGTTGTGTCAGGAATAAAACTCCACTACCTGGAACAGGAATGGAAGGAGGCCATGCAAGTTTATTGGGGTTTATGTATGGAAGACACTTTTACTGGGGATAGTAAAAGAGAAAGGGCAATGAGATAATGCTTAGGTTGGAGTTTGATGGAGTTGAGAATGAATAATTTGCTAAAAAATAGTGGGACCTAGCATAAGTCACCATGGTGGGGACAGATGAAAAGTTCAGCAGCTTGCTGTTTAAAATGGAGGAAGAGACCAGATATTATGTTTTGTTACCCAACTTGACATTGGTCAGGTTATAGTCAAACGGACAAAGCTATATCATATAAAATAGTCATCAGTATAAAAGGTATACTCTATTTATTTAGCTTTCAAAATTTTATTTCTAATAATTTAGAAATCATTTATCAGTTGGCCAGCCTTACTATATGTGCTTTTGATGAAATCTTGTAAGTTTTCCACATTATTTTAGGTTTGAAAATTAGAGTATTGATCAAATCACTAGCTTGGATACAGGTATTTTGACGTCCCTGGGTCTTTAAAGTTGATTTAATTTAAGGTGAACTGCTGTTCGTATCTCCTCTCCCATTCTCTGTTATTTATACAGATATCCTAAATTAAAACAGAAGTGGTACACTGAATCCCAAATGTCCTAGAAATGCTGTATATGCCACCTGTAAGCATCTTTGAATCATATCTTAATTTTCTGATGGACTCAGGCCTTTGATCCTATTAAGAATTCAGCACTGAGACCACTCAGGAAGAGCCAAAGTGCTTTCTGTTGGGGTTCAGGCATCATCAACCAAATTGTCAGCTAAGTTCTCATTGCAGAATCTTTATTACTGGCAATGATGAAAGAGGCAGAAAGAACACAGCTTGAATCTCAGATCTCTGGATGAAAATTCAGACCAGGTATTGAAAATATTCTTTTACCTTATAAATGAAGCAAATGTCGATATATCTGTGATTAATTGAAATTAGAAAACCCTGTAATGTCATAGTTTACTTACTTTTTCAGCCTGAAATCCAACTGTGACTACTGATCCTAGTTCCTGTTCTGTCATCATAGCGCCAACTTTCTTAACAAAAGGAACAATAGAATCAAACTAGATAACATGGTTTGAAATAGAAAAAGTCAGCATCTTCCCCCAAATCAGTAAAGTCTGTAATGCTGATCAAAGATAGAGAATAAATGATGTAGCAATGAGTGTGGGAATCAAAGGACTATCACCAATTGAAGGCATTTATTGGTAATTAAGATGAAGGAGCATGGGTTGATTGGAATTTATTATAAAATGTTCATGGCAGCAGGATTGCTGTGAACTAACATCATCAATATTAGAGCTATTGCTATGTCTCTATCATAAGGTAGTGACAGATAATTAATAAACCCAATTAACTATGAAATTATGTCTGCTTAGGTTTTTGCATATGGCTTGACTATATTTTAAAGTAATCAAAGTGATTTTCAACTGATAAAAATACACCACAAGACATCTCTTCTTACTGAAAGATCCATTTTCAGTCAATTTGAGCGTAAAAGTTCTTCAGAAGATGGAATAAATCTATAGACTGGTTTGGAGATTCTTACCCTTGTTTCATTCTCCTCACCAGCCTACACAGAGAGATTGGAAGAAAGCAGACAGACCTTTGTGAACATGACAGCTTATTGCTATCATTACGTGCTTTCTGTTTTCTGAAAAAAAATTTGTGAAAGTAAAAGAAAATATATATGTCTTTTCTGTCACTGAGCTTTTAATCACAGAAGTCAAATATATGGCACAGAAGAGTTGAAACATTAACTGGAACAATTTTGATAAATGCAATTGGATTAAATTGTACACAATATAAGGTAGAGATGTGGATGTCATGGTATGAGAAAGAACAAGGAAGAGGCCATATACATTGAAAGTACCTCGACATAAATATGTGGACAATTATTTCTTCTTTGATTTTCTTTTTCTTATCCCTCGAAACCTTTCTCTTTTAATGTGGAAATTTTTGTCTATCTCTGTGTTTCAAGAGCAGCAGGAGGTAGAACAGTATGAGAGATATGTGGAAGGGTCATTGCATGAAAAAAAAAGCCAATCTGAGCATGGAACACCTACTGGGGTCAAAGAGAATAATGGGATGTAATTAAACGGCTTCCTAGGGAGATGAAGCAAGAAGAGCAACCCACCCAAAGATACTTTTCCTCATGTTTGATAATATAGAACCTCTGCACATATAAAAGTAAATGCTGTTGGTTTATAGAAAGATCTATATATGTGTAAACATTTTGATCCACTTTCAGAATGGCCACTGATTTTCATCTATGGTGGTTTCATTAGCATTCCATTTTAGATATACTACTTTTTAGCTTAGAGAGTATACATGTTTGCCTGTGACAAAATCCAATTCCCAACCCCCAAATGAATAAACAAACAAACAAAATAATCCATAAAAAATCAACGTGAAGAAGAATACTCTCCAAAGCCTGCAAACTAAGTCATTGTCTTTTATTTATTAGCATAATGAAAAAAATTCTCAGTCGCTTATGGAAGTACAAGAATAAAAATCAGAAAAATCATGTGAGTAATTACACATAGAAGGAATTCAAATCCGTGCTGTGTTGGAGCTAGCAATGGCTTGTAAAAGCCAATTGTTAAATTTTCAGTAATTTTGCAAGCTGGTTGACATCATGTTGGTAGCTGAAATCAGTCATGGTGAGATGGAAATTGGCAAATGCTACAAATCAGAACTTTCTTTGCTACCTGAGAAAGCCAATTTTTAAACATTTATTTGTGTATCACCAGATTCAATCAAATCAATGCAATTTTTTTTTTTTTTTTTGCAAATCTCTTCAGCTAGTTTTCCCCTAGGTTAATAGCATGACATAGAATGGTGCTTTTCAAATCTCTCTCTTTTTTAACACAAGGAAAGTTTTCCAAGCAAAATCTTACATGGAAACTTATATAACCAATAAAGACAGATATGCTCTTATTGAAGTAAATAGGGGAAGAGTCATTCCCTGGCGTCCCTCCGTCCTATAAGCTACCAACCAAATGATCCTCTGAAACCCCACCTGGACTCTGGAAGCCATATTTATAACAATTGATAAAAAGGAAAGAACAAAAGCTGGAAAACAAAGACACAAGGAATTATGGTCCCAGTTTTGACTATAAGCAACCACTTCAGACCTTGATTTCTTTTTTGTAAAGTGAAGAGTTTAGACAAAGGACATTAGAACTCTCCAAGCTATAAAACTTTGTGTTTCTCTAATTTAAAGATTCATGAGTGTTCCGTGAAAATAATTTTTAAAATTTGACTTAAAATTAAAGATAAATTCTACTTCAGGTCAGCACTCTCATATTTTTTCCTCTAACTTCTAGGGAAATTATTTTTGCATTTAAATTAATTTGCAATTGCCACATACTTGCAGCTAGACTCACAAAAGTGATAATCTTGCCAATGCCTATACAAAGCTGCTAACATTTTTACCAACAAATATTCTCATTATATTGGTGTAGACCTAGCCAAACAAGACAAATAATCCTTCTTCACATCCATATTTGCTCTATGCAGTGCTGGCAGCACCAATCTTGGTTGTTTACTGACTTCTTTTTATGCATTACCATACACTAAATTCTCCTACTTCTACACCCTGTCCTTGATGATACTCTCTTCAGAGGCAATATGAGTCATATTAGTAAAAGAAGAGCTGAACGGTTCTGGAGTGGGTTTCCATTGCTAGAGTATTTGGAGGTGGTGAAAACAAAATCTGCAAAGTAAGATAAGTTTGCCTCAGCAGAAGCAATTCTGAAAGCCGAAACAGGTATGTTATATGTGGGTATGTAAATGCATAGGTATATGTATGTATTGATAGGCTCATAATTTCCCAAAAGAACTATTTCAAAATAAAGCAATAATATGTCTACCCATCTTTCAACTATCTAGGCATAGATTAATAAGTATGTGGACCAACTAAAATAAAAATATATAACAGCATATTTATAAAAATTATTACTATAAATCAATTAAAACAGCTACATGTAAGGATCTATTGTTCAGAACTAGAAAGTAACTGTTAGGGTCTTGGCAGGTGCTATGGTCTGAATGTTTGCAACCTTCAAAATTAATATATTGAAATTCTAATCCACAAGGTGATAGTATTACATGGCGGGGCCTCTGGGAGGTTATTAGATCATGAGGGCAGAGCTCTCATGATTGAGATTAGTGCCCTTAAAAAAAAGACTGCCGGCTGGGTGCGGTGGCTCACACCTGTAATCCCAGCACTTTGGGAGGCCAAGGCTGGTGGATCACCTGAGGTCAGGAGTTCAAGACCATTGAGACCAGCCTGACCAACATGGTGAAACCCTGTCTCTACTAAAAATACAAAAAAAATTATTTGGGTGTGGTGGCGGGCACCTGTAATCCCAGCTACTCAGGAGGCTGAGGCAGGAGAATGGCTTGAACCCAGGAGGCAGAGGTTGCAGTGAGCCAAGATCACGCCATTGTACTCCAGCCTGGGTGACACAGCAAGACTCTGTCTCAAAAAAAAAAAAAAAAAAAAAAGACTGCCAAGGGCTAGGTAGCCCCTTCCACCTTGTGAGGACAGAGTAGGAAGATTCCATTATGAGAAAGCAGGTCTTTACCTGACATTGAAACTGCTGGTGACTTGACCTTGGATTTTTTAGCTTCCAGAACCCTGAGAAAAAAACTTCTGTTGTTTTTAAGCCTCCAAGTTTGTGGGACTTTGTTATAGTAGCCCACATAGACTAAGAAAGCAGTAATAATAGTACACTTATAGAAGGTGTTTGAAGAGATTTTAAATAAAAAGGCTATTTTTAAATGTCTGGGCAGCATTAAGGGAAAGCAACAAAAAGCGGTGAAGCACTCAGGGCTAATGACAGAGAGCAGCTTTTATCAACCCATGGCCTAACTGGATAGGAGAAGGGAAATATTACCAGATCCTGGAGAGGTAATCATTCCCTGGCCTCCCTCCATCCTATAAGCTACCAACCAAATGATCCTCTGAAACCCCAACTGGACTCTGGAAGCCATATTTATAACAACTGATAAAAAGGAAAGAACAAAAGCTACAATAAGAGAAGGCCATCTGCTGCGAGCTGTAATATTTGGAAGAGGGGTGTAGCTGCCAGTTAACTCTTTGGGAGGAAGTTATTATAATAAATACCCTGACCTCTTTCTCCTCTGACCCTCTAATCCCTTATTGGTGCCTCCCATTGGCTAAAACCAACCAAAACCAAGAAAGCCTGTTGACCCACACATAAAGCCAACTTCCTGGGGCACAGAAAAAGGTGAAAATGGTAGAGAGAGGAATAGGCAAGGAAAATTGAGAATATCCACCACAGTAACCAATAGCTTCTACTTTTGGTCTACTGGAATGTAACAATACCCTTTCATCTTTATTAATTAATTCATTAATCCAATCTATATTTAGCACTTACTCTATACCAGACACTGTTCACAGTTTTAATTTTACAGCAGTGAACAAAATAAAGATTTTGTCCTCAGGAAAAAAAAGAGACAAGAAAAAATAAGTAAATAGTCAAAACAAGTTCAGATAATGTTAATACTAAAAAATAAAATGAAGAAGCATGATAGAATTATCACAGTGGGGGTATGGAGCTTCTCCAGGTAATGTGGGTAAGAAAGGCCTATTGGAGGAGGTGATAATTGAACTATGATATCATGATGAGAAGACATGAAGTATGCTCATAACTGAGGAAAGAGAATTCTAGACAAAGGGAACAGTGACTTTAAGGGCCATGAAGCAGGAACAAGGTTTTCATATTAGAAGAAGAAAAAGAGAGTAAGCCTGGTTAGAATACAGACAACTTAGTAGAACACAGAGAACTTAGTAGAACACAGAGAACTTAAATGAGTCTGGAGTATAGGGGAAAGGCATCATGAGGGATGTTTCCATTATGTATGGCTGCACATGTAGCTACTACAAACATAATAGCTTAATATAACAATTTATTATTCTTCAGGTGTTCATGAGCCAGGAATTTGGGCAGACCCTGGTTCAATAATTTTTCTGCTCTGTATGGTGTTAGCTGAAGACATTTGATAGTGTTCATCTGGTGGCTGGACTGGGCTGGATTGTCAAAGAAGGCTCTAGAATCCCTGGTGTATAGGTGCTTCTCTTCATGGCCTCTATCTATTCCCATGACTACTTTCAGCTTCCTCAGAGCATGGTGGTCTCAGGGTAGTCAGACTTACATGGAAGTTGGCTTCCTCTCAGGAAGAAGCAGAATCTGCTAGACCTCTTGTGATCTAAGTTTGAAAGTCCCAGAACGTTACTTCTGTTGCATCTTATCAGTCAAAACAATTTACAGGGCGAACTCAATTTCAAGCAGAGGGAAATAGACTCTAGCTCTTGATTGATTGTTGCAATCTTTGGAAACCAGCTATCATAAAGTCTCTTGTAGGCCATAGTAATGGTTTGGATTATAATCCAAGTACGGTGAAAAGCCATAGGAAGTTTTAATCAAGGGAGCAATATTATTTTATTTAGCCTTTAAAAGTAACACTCTGGCATCTGTGGAGAATGGACCCTAGTGTTGCAAGAGTACAATTTGAAAGAGCAGTTAGGAGTCTCCTGTGGCAGACAACAAGAAAAATTATGATGGCTTTTACCAGGATAGTGTTGGTAGATGTAGTGAAATATGGATAGATTTGGAATATATTTGAGAAGTAGAGCTAAGAAGACTTGCTGATGGATTTAATGTGTGAAGTGAGAGAAAAAGAAGACTTGGAGGGACTCTGAAGACTCCAAGTTTTTTATCTGAAAGCAGAGATCATGGTGCCATCCAGAGAAATGAGGAAGTTTGGGGAAAAGGTGGAGGGAAGGAGAGCAAATTAAAGGTTTTCTTTTGCCAACTGTAGAGCTGAGTGGTAGACATACTGAGTTATTTAAAAGGTCTCCTACTGTCCCTACCAACAACTACTGTATTAGTCCGTTCTCACACTGCTATGAGGAAATACCTGAGACTGTGTTAATTTATAAAGTAAATGGGTTTAGTTGACTCACAGTTCTGTATGGTTGGGGAAGCCTCAGGAAACTTACAATCATGGTGGAATGGGAAGCAAACACCTTCTTCTACACATGGCAGCAGGAAAGAGAAATGCCAAGCAAAGGGGGAAAAGCCCCTTCTAAAACTTGATCTTGTGAGAACTCACTCACTATCAAAAGAACAGCATGGGGTAACCACCTCCATGGTTCAATTACCTCCCACCAGCTCCCCGCCTTGACTCGTGGGGATTATGGGAACTACAATTCAAGATGAAATTTGGGTGGGAACACAGCCAAACAATATAATTCCACCCCTTACCCCTCCAAAATCTCATGCCCTCACATTTCAAAATACAATCATGCCTTTCCAACAGTCTCCCAAAGTCTTAACTCATTCCAGCATGACACTTGGGGATTATGATCATTCATAGATGACCAATTCAAGATGAGATTTGGGTGGGGACACAGCCAAACCATATCAATCACATAGAAATAGTTTTAATAATTTATGCTTAGCACTTACTCTATGTCAGGCACTGTTATCAGAGCTGTACCTATGTTAACAGTTTAAAGCTCACACCAACCCTGTGAGAAAGGTACTATTAGCATTTGTGTTTTACAGATGGGAAAACCTGAGCTATAGAAAGATTAACTAACTTGCCCCAAATCAGACAATTATTGATAGGTGGATCTGGGATTTGAACGAAAGTGGTTTGGGTCTGAAGACCATTGTTGGAACCATTACACTATACTACCTCTCCAAATGATACAAAACACTGAAGTGTTTCATACAAAGGCAAGCTAAAAAGTATGGGAATGTGCAAGAAACAAAAGAAGCTCAGTCCAGACTGATGAATAAAACCTGTAGCTCATTTTTGTTGGTGCATGTTTGGGACCTCAGGGTTGCTCAGGCATCAAACATTACAGGCTTTTGCCAGCCAGCCTTGTAGTTACTTTGGTGATACTGTTTCCTCAAAAACACTGTAGGCATTTGATCAATTTATTTCTCACTATATTAACTCATAAAGAGATTGTCTTTACCTAGATCTTTAAGAGCAGCTTTATTGAGATATAATTCACATAAGATAAATTCACTTAAATTGAATATTATCAAAATGAAAATCTTTTTTGATACAATTCATACAACCAAGAAAGTAAAAATAAAATCTATGGAATGGGTGAAAATTTTTGCAAATCATATATCTGATAAGGCAGTGGTCCCCAACCTTTTTGGCACCAGGGACTGGTTTCATGCAAGACAATTTTTCCACAAATGGTTGGGGGTGGTGGTGGGGTGGGGACCAGATGGTTCCGGGATGAAACTGTTTCACCTCAGATCATCAGGCATTAGGGTCTCATAAGGAGTGCACAACCTAGATCCCTCACATATGCAGTTCACAATAGTGTTCATGCTCCTGTGAGAATCTAATGCCACCGCTGATCTCACAGGATGCAGAGCTCAGGTGGTAATGCTTGCTCACCCACTGCTCACC